>NC_000012.12:7709650-8334650 GCF_000001405.40 Homo sapiens | reverse complement strand
CATGATGTAGGACAGTTTTTATATTAGTTATCTATTGCTGTGCAACAATATTACTGCAAACTTTGTGGCTTGAGACAGCAGACAGTCATCACTGCATGGTTTCTGTGGGTCAGGAATCCAGGCGTGACTCAGCTGGGTTCAGTGCAAGGCTGCAGCCATAGTGTCAGCCAGGGCTCAGTTCTCATCTGGAGGCTTGACTGGTGTTTGATCTGTTTCCAGGCTCATCTGGTTGTTGGCAGCATTCAGTTCCTTGCAGGCTGCTGGACTCAGGGCCCCAGTTTCTTGCTGCCCTCAGCTTCTTGCCACATGGGCCTCTCCATCTGGCCGCTCATGACATGGCAGCTCACATCTTCAAAGCCAGCAAGACAGACAGCCTCCTAGCCAGACAACTTAACATCCTATCTAACGTAATCACTACATCCCATCACCTCTGCCATATTCTTTTGGTTATAAGAAAGTCATAGGTCCCTTTGTCAGATGAGTAGATTGCAAAAATTTTCTCCCATTCTGTAGGTTACCTGTTCACTCTGATGGGAGTTTCTTTTGCTGTGCAGAAGCTCTTTAGTTTAATTAGATCCCATTTGTCAATTTTGGCTTTTGTTGCCATTGCTTTTGGTGTTTTAGACGTGAAGTCCTTGCTCATGCCTATGTCCTGAATGGTATTGCTGAGGTTTTCTTCTAGGGTTTTTATGGTTTTAGGTCTAACATTTAAGTCTTTAATCCATCTTGAATTAATTTTTGTATAAGGTGTAAGGAAGGGATCCAGTTTCAGCTTTCTACATATGGCTAGCCAGTTTTCCCAGCACCATTTATTAAATAGGGAATCCTTTCCCCATTGCTTGTTTTTGTCAGGTTTGTCAAAGATCAGATAGTTGTAGATGTGTGGCATTATTTCTGAGGGCTCTGTTCTGTTCCATTAGTCTGTATCTCTGTTTTTGTAACAGTACCATGCTGTTTTGGTTACTGTAGCCTTGTAGTATAGTTTGAAGTCAGGTAGTGTGATGCCTCTAGCTTTGTTCTTTTGGCTTAGGATTGACTTGGCAATGTGGGCTCTTTTTTGGTTCCATATGAACTTTAAAGTAGTTTTTTCCAATTCTGTGAAGAAAGTCATTGGTAACTTGATGGGGATGGCATTGAATCTATAAATTACCTTGGGCAGTATGGCCATTATCATGATATTGATTCCTCCTAGCCATGAGCATGGAATGTTCTTCCATTTGTTTGTGTCCTCTTTTATTTCATTGAGCAGTGGTTTGTAGTTCTCCTTGAAGAGGTCCTTCATGTCCCTTGTAAGTTAGATTCCTCGGTATTTTATTCTCTTTGAAGCAATTGCGAATGGGAGTTCACTCATGATTTGGCTCTCTGTTTGTCTGTTATTGGTGTACAAGAATGCTTGTGATTTTTGCACATTGATTTTGTATCCTGAAACTTTGCTGAATTTTGGTATTTTTAGTAGAGATGGGGTTTGCTGAATGCAGCCCCTAGTCACGTACTCCCTGCTTGGTCAATAGATCAAGACCCTCTCATGTGGACCCCCTTAGAGTTGTGAGCCCTTAAAAGGGACAGGAATTGCTCACTTGAGGAGCTGGGTTGTTAGAGACATGCACCACCATGCCCAGCTAATTTTTTTATTTTTAGTAGAGACGGGGTTTCACCATGTTTGTTGGCCAGGATAGTCTCGATCTCTTGACCTCGTGATCCACCCACCTCGGCCTCCCAAACTGCTGGGATTACAGGTGTGAGCCACTGCACCCAGCCCAGAGAAGGCTTTTCATACTTGCTTCACAGCCTCCTGCATCCTACCCCAGCACCAGGCACTCACCACCTGTGGGCTGCGCTCATCTGTGATCATCTCTCCCCAGGCCTGCTGTTCCTCGAGAAAGGAAGTTGTAATGGAAATAGTTCTAGGACAGCCCCCAAGAGACCCACTCCCTTATATCTGCTCCCTGTATCATCTCCTCTTCTTGAGTGTGTGCAGAGCTTGCGATTTGGCCAAGAGGAAGGGATTTTGCAAATGTGATTATGGTCACACTTGCTTTGTTAAGCACATTTGCTCAGCTGACTTTGAGTTCATCCATAGCAGGATGATCTTAGGTGGGCCAGACCTAATCAGGTGAATCTTTTAAAGGTGAAGTTTCAGAGATTGAACCCTTAGCCTCCAAGGAGACACAAACGGCCATGCTGTGAGCTGTCTTTGGAGGTGGCAGCTCTAGGAGTTGAGGGCCTTCATTCAACAATTGTAAGTAATTGAATTCAGTTCACAGACTGAATAAGCTTGGAAGAAGACACTGAGCATCCGATGAGACCCCAGCTCCAACTGACACTCTGGTTGCCGTATTGTGACCCTGAATAGAAGACCCAGTTAAACCCTGCCCAGACCCTTGGCTCATGAAAACAGATAATAACTGGGTGGTGTTTTAAGCTGCTCAGTTTGCACTGGTAAATCCACCAACAGGAAAGTAATATAGAAGTTAAATGGGCCGGACGTGGTGGCTCATGCCTGTAATCCCAACACTTTGGGAGGCTAAGGTGGGTGGATCACAAGGGCAAGAGATGGAGACCATCCTGGCCAACATGGTGAAACTCCGTCTCTACTAAAAATATAAAAATTAGCCAGGCATGGTGGCATGCACCTGAAGTCCCAGCTACTCAGGAGGCTGAGGCAGGAGAATCACTTGAACCCAGGAGGTGGAGATTGCAGTGACCCGGGACCATGCCACTGCACTCCAACCTGGGCAACAGAGAGAGACTCCATCTCAAAAAAAAAAAAAATTTTAAACGAATACTTTTGACAGTTGATGGAAGTTACTTTCATTCCCTCTTACTTAATCATCTTTATCTTAGCCCTGAAAGAGGGATGCTTTAACCCCATTTGTAACAAGTGAGTCTGAGGCCCGGGAAAGTGATAGAATTTAGCAAAGTCCACCTTGCCACCTGGTGGCCCCAGCTAGAACTCAGCCCCAGGTCCATATACCTAAAGTCATTACAACATACACTGAAATTTTGCCCCTCTCTCCATGCCTTCCTCTTTAGAAGCCTGTTCCTTCTGGGATAGATCCCAACCCAGTGTTACAAGGTACTGAACTCTGATTTTCACAAAATATAGTAACTACCCCCCAAAATTAATAATAGTATTTTTGAGCCGGGCACTGTGGTTCATGCCTGTAATCCCAACACTTTGGGAGGCTGAGGTGGGTGGATCATGAGGTCAAGAGATCGAGAGCATCCTGGACAACATGGTGAAACCCCATCTCTACTAAAAATACAAAAATTAGCTGTGAGTGGTGGCAGGCGTCTGTAATCCCAGCTACTTGGGAGGCTGAGGCAGGAGAATCGCTTGAACCCAGGAGGCAGAGTTTGCAGTCAGCTGAGATTGCACCACTGCACTGCAGCCTGGGAACAGAGCAAGACTCTTTCAAAAAACAAACAAACAAACAAAAACCTATTTTTGAGTCCTTATGTGTCAACCACTGGGCTATCCCAACACCAATAGATATTATGATTATGATTAGTTTTTCCATTTTATTGATGAGGAAACCAACACATAGAAACGTAAAGGAACTTGCCAAAGGTGACGGTCACACAGCCAAAGAACTGTAGAAGCAGCACAGGCATCCCAGCAAACTCACAGCCAAGCTCTGCTTTTCACCTTCACATCATACTGTCCTCAGACTAAAACCCTAACTCTGACCCTCCCAATCAAAAATCATACTCAAGGATGGGCGTGGCAGCTCATGCCTGTCATCTCAGCACTTTGGGCGGCCGAGGCAGGTGGGTCACCTGAGGTCAGGAGTTCCAGACCAGCCAGGCCAACATGGTGAAACCCCATCTCTATTAAAAATACAAAACTTAGCCAGACGCAGTGGTGGATGTCTGTAGTCACAGCACTTTGGGAGGCTGAGGCACGAAAATCACTTGAACCCAGGAGGCATAAGTTGCAGTGATCCATGTTCATGCCACTGCACTCCAGCCTGGGCAAGAGAGTGAGACTCTGTCTCAAAAAAAAAAAAAAATTGTGCTTAATAATAACTTGGAAATGCACATATCTTCTGTGAATTTTGATGGACAAAAATTAGCTTCAAAACACAAATAAGTAACTGTGTTTAAATGAGGCCTTCTGTGTAATAGCTAGGGAAAATCAATGTAGCTATTCTTATTTTGATTCCCATTCCAGGCACAGAGAAGTTGCCCATGTCTCTGTGATCTGTATTGTCCAATGAACCATGAGCAAGAGCAACTTGAGTCACCTCCAGGTGGAAGTGTTGTGTGAACCACCACATTCCCTTTCCCCTGAAGTAGTGATCAAGGACACATGCAGAGATGGGGCTTTTGTCAGCCTGGATCCCTGAGTGAACACAATGAACAGACCACCCCACAATGCCCTAACACAGCCCAGACATGCAACGTGACCAAGAATAAGCCTCACTGTGGCCAGGCATGGTGGCTCATGCCTGTCATCCCAGCACTTTGGGAGGCCAAGGCGGGTGGATCATTTGAGGTCAGGAGTTCAAGATCAGCCTGGCTAACATGGTGATATCCTGTCTCTACTAAAGTACAAAAATTAGTGAGACAGTAGTGGCACAGGCCTGTAATCCCAGCTACTCAGGAGGCAGGAGAATTGCTTGAGTCTGGGAGCCATAGGTTGCAGTGAGCTGAGGTTGCACCATTGCACCCTAGTCTGGGTGAGAGAGTGAGACCCTGTCTCAAAAAACAAACACACAAACAAATACCTCACTGCATGGATCCACTGAGATTTGGGGATTGTTGTTACTGCACCAGAACCCAAATCATCCTGACTGCTAGACTGTCCTAACTAGGGTTTCTTACCAAAAGCAAAGGCATTTTTAAAGTTCATGACAGACATTTAAACAAAAGAGCAAATACCAATATCTGCCACTTTGTCAGGCTAACAAACCCAAACAAAGCCAACAGCCAGAAGTTAAAAGAAACAGATCATTAGGTTGAAAACAGAACTGTCAAAACAGGCACAATTGACTTCATTTAGTGATTGCAAAGAACATCAGGCAAGACACACATGTGGTCATCATATCATTTATCACATGCTTAATTGCACATGTTTGACTAAGAAAAACACAAAGTATTTAAACTCATCTGTAGTTCAAAGTGCCTATCCATGTGTTTATTCATTCATCCTGATTTATTTATTGAGCAACTCTTTTGTGCCAGGCACTGTGCTGGGTGGTGGTAATGCAATGATGAAGATGGCAGACACAGCTCTGCCCTCCAGGAGTTTCTAGGGTATGGAGGGAGACAAAAAATAAGTAAATCCATGAAAGAACTATTGATGGAACCTGCCCCCAATATTTCAACATAGGTTCTTTCTATTTTCCGTAAGTGTCAGCCAGCTGAGAAATAAAGACAGACACTACAAAGAGAGGAATTTTACAGCTGGGCCGCTGGGGGTGACACTACGTATCAGTAAGTCCATGATGCCTGCTGAGTCTCAGACCAGCAAGTTTTTATTAAGGGTTTCAAAAGGGGGGGAGGCTGTAAGAACAGGGAGTAGGTACAAAGATCACGTGCTTCAAAGGGCAAAAAGCAGAACTACTACTAAGGGTCTAAGAAAGATCACATGCTTCTGAGGAACAAGACAAAGGGCAAAAGCAGAACTACTGATAAAGGTCCAGCAAAGATCACAAAGCTAAGGGCAAAAGCAGAACCACTGATAAGGGTCTATGTTCAGTGGTGCACGTATTGTCTTAATAAACATCTTAAACAACAGAAAACATGGTTGGAGAGCAGAGAACCAGTCTGACCACAAATTCACCAGGGCAGAGTTTTTCCCCACCCTAGTAAGCCTTTGGGTACTGCAGGAGAGCAGGGCATATCTCAGTCCTTATCTCAACTGCATAAGACAGACATCCCCAGAGTGGCCATTTATAGGCCTCCCCCCAGGAATGCATTCCTTTCCCAGGGTATTAATATTAATATTCCTTGCTAGGAAAAGAATTTAGCAATATCTGTCCTACTTGCATGTCCATTTATAGACTCCATGCAAGAAGAAACATATGGCTCTTTTTGCCCAAACCTGCAGGAAGTCAGACCTTATGGTTGTCTTCCCTTGTTCCCTAAAAATTGCTGTTATTCTCTTCTTTTTCAAGGTGCACTGATTTCATATTATTGAAACACACATGTTTTACAATCAATTTGTACAGTTAACACAATTATCACAGTGGTCCTGAGGTGATGTACATCCTCAGCTTATGAATATAACAGGATTAGGAGATTAAAATAAAGACAGGCATAAGAAAGTATAAAAGTATTATTTGGGAAATGATAAATATCCACAAAATCTTCACAATTTATGTTCCTCTGCTGTGGCTTCAGCTAGTCCCTCCATTTGGGGTCCCTGAGTTCCCGCAACAAGAAATAATGAGGTTAAGGTGGAGAAGAGCAGGGAAGTCCACTTGATAAAGGGGTCAGGAAAGAGCTGTCTGGAAGCATCATTTTAGCTGAGACCCAAAGGATGGTCTAATTTGGGGAGGTGCAGAGGAAAATCATTCCAGGCTGAAGCAGCAAGTGCAAAGGCCCTGTTGTGGAGAAAGGTTTGAAAGTCGAAGAAAACAAAAGGAGGCCAGAGTGGCTGAAATAGAGTAGGCCAAGGGGAGGAGATAGGAGAGAGCTGGAGAGGTGGCACGAACAGGCAGAAGACTCGGGGTCTCTATTTTATTCTATGTGCCATGGGCAGGAAAGGCAGGAATGAGACTCAATGGACACCTTAAGATCACTGAAGCTGCTAGGTAGGAAATGGATTGCTGAGCATGGAGAGCAGGTGCAGAGGACCAGTTAAGACCAGTTAGGAGGCTACTGCTGTAGCCCAGCTGGGATAGCAGTGTCCTAGGCAAAGATAATGACAGTGAAGATAGAGATAGTGGACAAGTTGGATAAAGTTTAGAATCACAGGACTTCTGACTGGAGAAGAGGGCAAAAGCAGAGTTAGCACAACACATGAGTTATGACCACCTTGAGCAGCTCAGCAGGGGGTGGTGCCATTTACAGAACAGAGATGGCATGGACAGAGCCCATGGAGGAGGAGGAGGAAAAAAAGTTTTTCTTTTGTTTTTTTTTTTTTTAAGACAGGGACTCTGGCTCTGTCAACCAGGCTGGAGTGCATTGGTGCAGTCATAGCTCTTTGCAGCCTCAAACTCCTGGGCTCAAGTGATCCTCCTGCCTCAGCCTGCCATGTAACAGGACTACAGATCCTACAGATGCACTTCACCATGCCTAGCTTTTTTTTTTTTTTTTGTAGATAGGGAGTCTCACTGTGTTCTCCAGGCTGGCTTCAAACTCCTGACCTCAAGTAATCCTCCCACCTCAGCCTCCCATAGCACTGGGATTACAGCCATCACCTACCACTCCAAGCCATGAGTTTGGCTTTGGATTTAAGAAGGTTGAGGTGTTCATGAGTTGACAAGTGGAAAAAACAAGAAAGAAGTTGAGTGTTTAAGACTGCTGTTTGAAGGAGAAGTCTAGCCTCAAGACAAAAGTTCAGGACTCATCAGCTGAGAAATGGCGCTGAAAATTATGCAAATGGATGAGCTCAGCTAGCAAACAAGTCCAGAGAGAGCAGCACTGGGCTATGCACCTGGCCTAATGCTTCCCTGCTCCTCCCAATCCCTGTGTTATGCCGGAGAGGGTTCAGCCTCTGGTGAGTTTCACCAAACCGCCACATCTCTTTCTTCTGAGACCTTCTCTAAAATCCCCTCTTTTATGCTTAGTGAAATGGGATTCTCTTTTTCCCATCCAGCTTAAGCAAAAACTTTTGACTATGAGAAGAATGAGGATGCATTTAGTATCTGTTCTGCATGGCTAATTCCATCAAAGATTTCTCATTATTCATGCCTGGCAGTCTCATTTTCTCCTTTTGCCTCTAAGAGCACAGTCGTAGCCTTAATTACTGACCTTTTCACCCTTCTAATACCAGCGATTTCCCCCATCTCAGTTCTCAGGAATTTCTGTTGGCAGAATTATCTCCTGAATCCTCACCTGGAGATAGAAATTGATCTCTGTGGCCATTTCTTCCCCCTCTAATTCTTATCAAAAAACTCAGTGATCTCTGTGCATCAAATATTAAACTCAAGCTTAAGAGATCATGATTCTGGCTTCTCTCTCTCTCCGGCCTGTGGGTTAACAGGTTTGCAACCTTTGCAGAGAAGACACCAAATTCTCAGGAGGCCAGAGTTTCCAAGGGTACTGGTCACTCTTGCTCTCTTTCTCCTGCTCAAAATTCAGCACTAGAGTGTGTTACACCATTGCACCTGCAGAGGAGTTCATCTGACTCTAGGGACTACAGAGGAGAGAGATGGAAAAACTAACAGGCATTCAGAAAATGACTACCACAATGGGGAAGAAAATGAAAGTCAAACCAAATAAGCAATGGTCAAAAAAATATATATATTAGAGGCCAGCTGCAGTGGCTCACACCTGTAATCCCAGCACTTTGGGAGGCTGAGGCAGGTGGATCATTTGAGATCAGGAGTTCGAGACCAGCCTGGGCAACATAGTGAAATCACATCTCCACTAAAAATACAAAAAAATTAGCCAGATGTGGCGGCAGGCACCTGTAATCCCAGCATTTTGGGAGGCTGAGATGGGTGGATCACCTGATGTCAGGAGTTTGAGACCAGCCTGGCCAACATGGTGAAACCCTATTTCTATTAAAAAATACAAAAATTAGCCAGGTGTGGTGGCAGGTGCCTGTAATCCAGCTACTTGGGAGGCTGAGGCAGGAGAATGGCTTGAAGCCAGGAGGCAGAGGTTGTGGCGAGCAAAGATTGCACCACTGCACTCCAGCCTGGGCAACAGTGAGACTTCGTCTCAAAAAAAAAAAAAAAAAACACCCTAGAGATGTCCATCCAGGCTAAAGAGAATATTCCAGAGCAGAGGTTGGGACACTATGGCCCATGGGCCAAATCTGACCTGCCTGCACATGTTTTTGTCAATAAAGTTTTATTGAAACACAGCCATGCCCATTTGCTACATATTGTCTATGGCTGCTGGATTAGGCTGTTCTCTCATGCTATGAAGAAATACCTGAGACTGGGTAATGTATAAAGAAAAGAGTTTTAATTGGCTCACAGTTTTGTAGGCTGTACAGGGAGCATGACACTGACATCTGCTGAGCTTCTGTGGAGGCCTCAGGAAACTTACAATGATGGCAGAAGCTGAAGTGGGAGCAAGAGAGTAAGGAGGGAGGTGCTACACACTCGTAAACAACCAGATCTTGCAGGAACTCACTCACTATTGCAAGGACAGGACCAAAAGGATGACGCTAAATCATTCATGAGAAATCCACCCCCATGATCCAATCTCTTCCCACAAGGCCCCACCTCTAGCACTGGGGATTACATTGCAACATGAGATTTGGGTGGGGACACATATTCAACCTATATCAGCTGCTTTCATGCTATGGGTGGCAGAGTTGATTAACTACTACAAGAGACTGTATGGCCCACGAATTCTAAAATATTTACTATCTGATGCTTTCAAGTAAAAGCTTGCAAACCCTGCTCTTGAAAAGGAAGGGAAGGAAGAGGAGAGGAGGAAGGCAGGAAGGAGCAGAGAGGGACACGGGGCTGTATTCAAACATCTGTTGTTAAGAAAGAGAAATTCAATTTATTTGGCATGGTTCAAGTTATCAAACTAGGAGCACTCCATTGAAGTTTCAGGACAAACACTGTGCTGAATGTCAGGATGACCCCATCTGTAATGCCTAACCTTGTTTTTATTAACTTTGTTCTTAGACTTTCCTTTTCTTTTAATCACTTAGCCTTGTTTCTACCTGAATTGACTTTCTTTTAGCTAAGAGAGCTAGACAGACTTTATCTTGGCTTTTTCACTGGCAGCCCCTTCCTCAAGGACTTAACTTGTGCAAGCTGACTCTTAGCACATCTAAGAGTGCAATTAACTGATAAGATACTGTGGCGAGCAATATCCGCAGTTCCTAGGAATTTGTCCGATTGATAATGCCTAAAGCCCCACGTCTATCACTTTGTAATAGTCTTCAAGCCCTTAGACCTAGAACTGTTTACTTTCCTGTAACAATTTATCCTTTTAACTTTTTTGCCTACTTTACTTCTGTAAAATTCTTTTAACTACACCCCTTTCCCCTTTCTAAACTGAAGTATAAAAGAAAATCTAGCCCCTTCTTCGGGGCCAAGAGAACTTTAAGAGTTAGCCATCTCTTGGCCGCCAGCTAAATAAACAGACTTAATTCATGTCAAAGTGTGGCATTTTCTCTAACTCGCTCAAGTACAACATTTGGAGGCCCGAGCGAGAAACGCCACCAGGCGAGAGCCGGGCTCGCTCCGGGCTCCCCCGGAAGGACGGCCGGCTTGTAGTGGGGGTGCCACCTGAAAAAAAATTTTCAGGTCCCCAAAAGGTGACCGTCTTCCAGAGGAGAGCGGATCGACTACCGTGTGGATGCCCACAAAAATTCCACCTCTGAGTCCTCAACTTCTGACCCCGAGGTCAGGTAGGTCAGATTTGATTTCAGTTCTAGTAAGAGGGAAGCGGCCCTGATGAGGGCGTCCCTCTTTTGACTCTGCCCGTTTCTCTAGGAAGCTAGAAGGTAGAGCCCTGGTTTTCTGTTAGGCACCTCTGTGTCTCTTTCTAGGAGGGAAGTGGCCCTGACAGGGGTCCTCCCTTGACTCAGTCCACATCCCAGGATGCTGGAGGACTGAGTCCTGGTTTCTGGCAGACCGGTCACTCTCTCTCTCTCTCTGTCTTTTTCTATCTCTCCTCTTTCTCTTCTTCAAGTTTCTTGAAGAAACTCCAAGAAAGAAAAAAAAAAACTGTTATAAACTCTTTGTGAATAATGAATGAATGAGGGAGGACAAGGGCTTGCGCTTGTCCTCCAGTTTGTAGCTCTACGGCGAAAGCGACGGAGTTCAAGTAGACCCTCACCTGCGGTTCCTTGGCGACCTCATAAGGCTTAAGGCAGCATCAGGCATAGCTCAATCTGAGCCGGAAGTTTATACCGGCCTGCCAATGCTAAGAGGAGCCCAAGTCCCCTCACGGGGAGCGGCCAGGCAGGCATCTGACTGATCCCATCACAGGAACCCCTCCCCTTGTCTGTCTATTAAAAAAAAAAAAAAGGAAGAAACTGTCATAACTGTTTACATGCCTTAAAGTCAATTGTTTGTTTTATATTGATTGTTCTGTTCAGTTTCTATTGTCTTCTTAGTAGTTGTGAAAGTTTTGCATGTCAGGACGGTGATATTGCCCAAGACATCTAAGTAAAAACTTCTTCAAAGTCCTTAGTGCTGATTTTTTGTCACAGGAGGTGAAATTTCTCATCAATCATTTAGGCTGGCCACCACAGTCCTGTCTTTTCTGCCAGAACCAAGTCAAGTGTTGTTACAAGAACAAGTGTGAAAAACATTTGCCTGATTAAGATTTCTAGCACCATGAAAGTTGTAAGTATTTAGATCGTCACACTCCACGTCCAAGTGATTAGACCTCCTCTAAACTAAACCAGTAGTGAGTTCAAAACAGCCACCCTGCAGATTTCCTTACTCACCTCTTTTGTCATTCTGTAACTTTTCCTGTGCCCTGAAGTAGAACACTATGTAAAGAAATGTACGCCCGTACTGCTTTACTTCGTTTAGATTCTTACTCTGTTCCTCTGTGGCTACTCTCCCATCTTAAAAATGATCCGAGTAGTCCTTTTCCACCTTGTCCCTGCCCCCTACCCCGCACATCTCGTTTTCCGGTGCGACAGCAAGTTCAGCGTCTCCAGGACTTGGCTCTGCTCTCACTCCTTAAACCCTTAAAAGAAAAAGCTAAGTTTAAGCTATTTGCCTTTAAGTCATAAAGACACCAAAAGTACTTAAAGTGCAGATCTAGAAGAAGAAGAAGAACGCCTAGATCAAACTGACCCAGAAGATCTCAGGCTGGCTCTAGTCCTCCTCCCTCAATCTTAAAGCTACAGTAATGTAGCAAGTAGTATTAGCTGTTGTGGTTTTTCTGCTCTTTCTAGTCATGTTGATTCTGTTCTTTCACTACTCCAGTCCCCCAAGAAATGTTTCTCTGTCCATGCTAAGTTTAATATCTATGCTCAAATCTTATTAAATTGCCTTCAAAAAAAAAAAAAGAAACACTTCCTCCCAGCCTTATAAAAGTTAAAGCCCTCTCCAATGTATTCTGCAGAATTTTCCTCTCAGTTCCTCAGAGGATTATAAAGTCCGCCTTAAAAAAGGCAAGCTCCAGACACTCTGCAAAATAAAATGGCCAAAGTTTAAAGTCAAGTGGCCCCCTGAAGGGTCATTGAAACTTGCAATTCTTCAAGCTGTGTGGCAGGTTGTTACTGAAACTCCTAGCCACCCTGATCAGTTTCCCTACATTGATCAATAGCTAAGATTAGTCAGGATCCCCCCTCCATGGCTCCATTCATGCGCCATTCATAATTCTACCTCCAAGGTCCTCCTAAGCCAGACCGCGTTTTCGCCTCGACCCTCAGCCGGTTCAGCTTCCCCTGTACTGCCTCCCTCTGAAGAAGAGGGGAGTCTCCCTCACCCAGTCCCACCGCCTTACAACCAACCTTCTCCCTTAAAGTTATCCCATGTCTCCTCGACGACGTCCCCTGTAGGCTCGCCACCCATTGCCTCTCAATCATGACCGTGGCAGGAAGAAGTAGCCCCTCTACTACCACTGAGAGAGGCACAAGTCCCTCCAGGTGACGAGCGCTCAGCACCCTTCTTAGTTTGTGTCCCTTTTTCTACTTTTGACTTACATAATTAGAAAACTTATAATCCTCCCTTTTCTGAAAAGCCCCAGGCTTTGACCTCTCTGACAGAGTCTGTACTCCGGACTCACTCACCCACCTAAGATGATTGCCAACAGCTCCTTTTAACCCTTTTCACCTCTGAAAAGAAAGAACGTATCCGAAAAGAAGCCAAAAAGTACTTCCTCACATCAGCCAGTGGACCGGAAGGAGAAGCTAGAGACCTCCTTGAGGAGGTCTTTCCCTCTACCCGGCCTAACTGGGACCCAAATTCTTCAAGTAGAAAGGGAGCTTTAGACGATTTTCACTGGTATCTCCTCTCACAAGTATTAAAAGAGCCGCTCAGAAACCCATAAACTTGTCTAAGACGACCGAAGTTGTCCAAAGGCCAGATAAGTCACCAAGAACGTTTTTAGAGCGCCTCCAGGAGGCTTATCGGATTTACACCCCTTTTGACCCGGCAGCTCCCGAAAGTAGCCGTGCTCCTAATTTAGCATTTGTGGCTCAGGCAGCCCCGGATATTAAAAAGAAACTCCAAAAACTAGAAAGATTTGCTAGAATAAATATCAGTCAGCTTTCAGAAATAGCCCAAAAAGTTTTTGACAATCATAAGTTTAAAAAACAAAAACAAGCAACACAGGCAGCTGAAAAGGCCACTCATAAAGCATTCAAAAGACAAACAAAAATCTTAGTGGCAACTATCCAAGAAGTACAGAATGAAATAGCCCATTAATTTAGCGTTAACTGAAGCCCCTGCTTTAGCCCTCTCTAATATCTCCAAAAAAGCCAAGGAGTTGCTAAAGACGGCTCACTCAGATTCTAAGACCCTAAAGATGCCCAGTGGCCTATTTAAGAGGCTAGATCCTGTGGCCTGTAGATGGCCAAGTTGTCTGCGAACCATAGCGGCTACAGCAAGCCTGGCCCAAGAAGATGATAAGTTAACTCTAAGCCCAAATTTAACCCTTACAGCTCCTCATGCCGTAAAGACCTTGCTACAAAATGCTTCTGGCAAATAGATGTCAAATGCTCGCATCTTGCAGTATCAAAGTTTACTGTTAGATCAGCCTCGTTTGACTTTCTCTCCCACAAAGTGTTTCAATCCAGCTACACTACTTCCTGACTCAGACTCCACTATTCCTGCTCATGACTGTCAAGAACTGTTAGAAACTATCGAAACTGGCTGATCTGATCTTCAAGCTGTGCCCCTAGAAGAGGCAGATGCCGCCGTTTTCACAGACAGTAGCAGCTTCCTCAAGCAGGAAGTATGAAAAGCCAGTGCAGCTGTTACCACAGAGACAGATGTGTTGTAAGCTCAAGCTTCACCAGCGAACACCTCAGCACAAAAGGCTGAATTGATCGCCCTCACTCAGGCTCTCCGATAAAGTAGAATAAACGTATTAACATCTACAGTGACAGCAAGTACGCCTTTGCTACTGTGCATGTACGTAAAGCCATCTACCAGGAAAGCAGGCTACTCACCTCAGCAGATAGCTGTGATCCACTGCAAAGGACATCAAAAAGAAAACACAGCCATTGCCCATAGTAACCAGAAAGCTGATTCAGCAGCTCAGGTCTCAGCGAGACTTTCAGTCACGCCTCTAAACTTGCTGCCTACAGTCTCCTTTCCACAGCCAGATCTGCATGACAATCCCGTACACTCAACAACAAAAAAACTGGCTTCAGATCTCAGAGCCAATAAAAATCAGGAAAGTTAGTAGATTCTTCCTGACTCTGGAATCTTCATACCCTGAACTCTTAAAGAAACTTTAATCAGTTACCTACAGTCTACCACCCATTTAAGAAGAGCAAAGCTACCTCAGCTCCTCCAGAGCCATTTTAAGATCCCCCATCTTCAAAGCCTAACAGATTAAGCAGCTCTCCAGTGCACAACCTGCGCCCAAGTAAATGCCAAACAAAGTCCTAAACCCAGCCCAGGCCACTGTCTCTGAAAAAACTCGCCAAGAAAAAAGTAAGAAATTTACTTTACAGAAGTAAAACCACACCAGGCTTAGTACAAATACCTTCTAGTACTAGTAGACACCTTCTCCAGATAAACTAAGGCATTTGCTACCAAAAATGAAACCACCAACACAGTAGTTAAGTTTTTACTCAATGAAATCATCCCTCAATATAGGCTGTCTGCTGCCATAAAGTCTGATAATAGACTAGCCTTCCCCTCACCTATAGCTCAGTCAGTCAGTAAGGTGTTAAGCATTCAACAGAAGCTCCATTGTGCCTATCAACCCCAGAGCTCCAGGCAAGTAGAAAGCATGAACCACACCCTAAAAAACACTCCTACAAAATTAATCTTAAAAAAACAGTGTAAATTAAGTAAGTCTCCTTCCTTTAGCCATACTTAAAGTAAGGTGCACCCCTTACCCGGAGAATTTCTCACCTTTTGAAATCATGTATAAGAAGGCGCCGCCTATCTTGCCTAAGCTAAGAGATGCCAAATTAGCAGAAATATCACAAACTAATTTGTTACAGTACCTATAGTCTCTCCAACAGGTACAAGATATCATCCTGCCACTTGTTCGAGGAGCCCATCCCAATCCAATTCCTGACCAAAGTCCTGCCATTCTTTCCAGCCAGGAGACCTAGCGTTTGTTAAAAAGTTCCAAAAAGAAAGACTCGCTCCTGCTTAGAAAAGACCTCACACCGTCATCCTCAGGACACCAGTGGCTCTGAAAATAGATGGCATTCCTAGTTAGATTCATCACTCCTGCATCAAAAAGGCCAACAGATCCCAGCTAAAAACGTAAGTCCCCAGGCCTAAGTCAGTCCCCTTAAAACTGCACCTAAGTCAGGTGAAGCCATTAGATTCATCCTTTTTACTACCTCACTTACTTGTTTTTGCCCGTTACATCCCCTGTGCCTTCCTACTCCTTTCTCCTCACCTCTTTCACAACAGGACGTGTATTTGCAAACACCACTTAGAAGGCCAGTACCTCCAAAGAAGTCTCCTTTGCAGTGGATTTATTTGTACTATTCCCAAAGCCAGCCCATACCCACGAAAAGCAACACAATCTGTCAGTCCCAGGAGCAGGAAGTGTCGACCTTGCAGCAAGATTCAGACACTCCAAGAGCCAAACTAAGTGTAGAGGCTCCAAAAGTGCAGAAAAAAGACTCCAAAATATTGGCTTTTACCTCTGTCCTAGAAATCACCCTGATGTTAGCTGTCAAGATACTTATCAGTTTTTCTGCCCTGATTAGACATGTGTAACTTTAGCCACCTACTCTAAAAGATCAACCAGATCTTCAACTCTTTCCACAAGTCGTGCTTCTCATCCTAAATTATGTACTAGAAAAATTGTAATCCTCTTACTATAGCTGTCCATGACCTTAATTCAACTCAATAGTATCATGGCATGTCATGAAGATTAAGATTTTATATCCCAGGATTTAATGTTAAGACTATGTTCACCATCCAAAAAAACCCTAGTCTCATAAAGCCCACCCAAGCCAATCAGGCCTTTAACTGATCTAAGTAACCCTATGTTCCAGAAACACCCTGACAAGTTGATTTAACTGTTCCTCCACCATTCTTAGTCATAAAAGATACACTCCAGACAGTGCAAGAACATCTAGATAAGCGCCAACAAGAACAAGAAAATAACATCCCCTAGTATCAAAGCATGTTCAACTAGAACCCAGAGCTAACTATTCTAACTACTAAGTTAGCCAGACCCCCTCCCAATCCTACTATTAAGTCTAATTTTTAGACCTTGTATATTAAATTAGTTTATTAATTTTGTAAAACAACACATAGTTTCTGTCAAACTTATGTATCTTAAGACTCAATATAACCCCCTTGTTATAACTGAAGAGTCAACGATTTGATTCCCCAAAAACACAAGTGAGGAATGTAATGCCCAACCTTGTTTTTACTAACCCTGTTCTTAGACTCTCCCTTTCTTTTAATCACCTAGCCTTATTTCCACCTGAATTGACTCTCCCTTAGCTAAGAGAGCCAGACAGACTCCATCTTGGCTCTTTCACTGGCAGCCCCTTCCCCAAGGACTTAACTTGTACAAGCTGACTCCCAGCACATCCAAGAATGCAATTAACTGATAAGATACTGTGGCGAGCAGTATCTGCAGTTCTCAGGAATTCGTCCAATTGATAACGCCCAAAGCCTGGCGTCTATCACCTTGTAATAGTCTTAAAGCCCCTAGACCTAGAACTGTTTACTTTCCTGTAACAGTTTTTCCTTTTAACTTTTTTGCCTACTTCTGTAAAATTGTTTTAACTATTTCCCCCCCTCCCCTTTCTAAACCAAAGTATAAAAGAAAATCTAGCCCCTTCTTCGAGGCCGAGAGAACTTTAAACGTTAGCCATTTCTTAGCCGCTGGCTAAATAAACAGACTCTTAATTCGTCTCAAAGTGTGGCATTTTCTCTAACTCCCTCAAGTACAACACATCCAGCAGGCACGTAATCCACTCTAAAATGCTGTCCTGGGGTAGTGAAGATGATGTTGCTGGAAATATCCTTAAATGGCATGGGGATGAGTTCCTCCAGAGGCATACATGTTGAGCTAAGTACTTTGCTGATGAAGGGTACAAGTTGAAGGGGTTTTGAAAGGCAGAGTGAGGTTCCTCAGAAGCCTGTTGCTACAGAAAGCCAGGAGGAGAAATTACATGGCCAGATAGAGTGGCACGACCATTGGATAAGGACTTTTTGTTTGTTTTTCAGATGGAGTTTTACTCTTGTTGCCCAGGCTGGAATGCAATAGCACGATCTCAGCTCACTGCAACCTATGCCTCCCAGGTTCCAGAGATTCTCCTGCCTCAGCCTCCCTAGTAGCTGGGATTACAGGCATGTGCCACCACGCCCGGCTAATTCTGTATTTTTTGTAGAGATGGGGTTTCTCCATGTTGGTCAGGCTGGTCTTGAACTCCCGACCTCAGGTGATCCGCCTGCCTTGGCCTCCCAAATTGCTGGGATTACAGGCATGAGTCACCGTGCCCAGCCTGGATGAGGGTCTTTAGCAAAGATGGAAGTTTTGGTACCTTGCAGTTTAGTCTCTTCATTTATGTCCTCCTGAAATCTTCAGGAATAGCACTATTTTGTCAATACTTCTGGGGTCGTATTTAGGGGGACTTAAAGGAGATGTGATGTGGCAGCCTTTGACTCAAGGGAGTATCATACTAGCTCAAAGAGATCTGGGTATATGCCAGTTGAACCAACTCTTCTGAGGATGTGATAGATCCTGGGAGGCCACTCTGATCCTGCCAACCTTGAGGCCAGATGAGTCTTTGAAAAACATGGTTTGGCTTAACACCAGCACTTAGTCTAATACCCGCCATGAATCTTGCTGAACTGAAGCTATACAAATACCTTTTCAAAAGATTTTTTTTCATTCCAGATCCTTCTTAGAAATTCCTAAGGCTCAATGCTGTGTGGAAGATTCTGAGAAAGAAAATAGTTTCCGATCTTTGGGATTCCCGAGATGGTCCAATCTGCAAAAAGTTCATTGCCATTTCCATCAAGGACACTGAGAACAAGAGTCTTATCTGGATTGGATCCTGGGAATTGAGAAGCTTCAGCAGGTGGGAAATGCACCCTCCACAGGCTCACACCCTTGTGGGCTGTTTCAGTTACCTATTGCACCTAAAATTAGAAACTTTAAACCACCACAAGCCATTATTGCTCATGACCCTGTGAGTTGCATGGGGACTTCCTGGCTGCTTTAACCTGGGCTCATTTGTGTGGCTACCTGCAGCTGGAGGGCCAGCTGGGCGGAACATCCAGGACGGCCTCATGCATGTGCCTGGCAGTTGGTGCTGGTTGTCAGCCGGGGAAGCTTGTTTTCCTCCATGTGGCCCCTCGCCCTCCAGAGCCCCTCTCCAAATGGCCCTTTAAGCAGGATAGCCAAGGTTTGCTTGGTGCCAGCATCCAAGAGGGCAAAAATATGGAAACTACGAGAGGGCTTTCAAGGCCTAAGACTATATGCACCCCAAAAAACTGAGGTCTCAGTTAATTCAGAAAGTTTGTTTTGCCAAGGTTGAGGACGCTTGCCTGTGACACAGCCTCAGGAGGTCCTGACAACATGTCCTTAAGGTGGTAGGGACACAGCTTGGTTTGATACATTTTAGAGAGACATGAGACATCAATCAATATGTGTAAGATGTACATTGGTTCAGTCTGGAAAGGCGGGACAACTCCAGGTGAAGGTGAAGGTGAGACAAGGGGAAGGGGCTTCCAGGTCACGGGTAGTTAAGAGACAAATGGTTGCATTCTTTTGAGTTCCTGATTAGCCTCTCCAAATGAGGCAATCAGATATACATTTATCTCAGTGAGCAAAGGGGTGACTGAATAGAATGGGAGGCAGGTTTCCCCTAAGCAGTTCCCAGCTTGAGTTTTCTCTTTAGCTTAGTAACTTTTTTTTGGGTGGGGGGACAGAGTCTCGCTCTGTTGCCCAGGCTGGAGTGCAGTGGTACGATCTCGGCTCACTGCAACCTCCAACTCCAGGGTTCAAGCAATTTCCCTGCCTCAGCCTCCCAAGTAGCTGGGATTACAGGCGCCTGACACCACGCCTGGCTAATTTTCATATTTTTTAGTAGAGATGGGGTTTTGTCATGTTGGCCAGGCTGGTCTTGAACTCCTAACCTCAGGTGATCTGCCCGCCTCAGCTTCCCAAAGTGCTGGGATTACACGCATGAGCCACCGAGCCCAGCCTAGCTTAGTGATCTTAGGGTCCCAAAATTTATTTTCCTTTCACGGCTAGAAGTTGGTCACCATCACTTTGGCAGCATTCCACTGGCCAAAGCAAGTCATAGGCAGCCCAGATTCATGTAGAGGAGTATAAACTCTACCTCTTAAAGAAAAGATTGGTTCAATTACACTACACGAGCATTTGCAGAAAGTTGTACCCATCTTTGGAAACTACCACACACACACACACACACACACACACACACACACCTTTACATGCAACCCTCCCTTGAGGTGCATCTACTTCCAGGCAGAACCAAATCTTGACAGTACTCGACAGAAGAAAAGTAATGTCCTAAATGCCAGCTCTCTTCTTACTCAACTTCAGCCTCATTATAAGCAGATTCTAACAGTTTATGTGTCTTAAGAAACATTTTAATTAATCTTTGGAATTTAAGAATTTCAATTCATAGCAGTAGCCTATGCATAGGAAATACGCATATTGTAAGTTTTTCCTTTCTGATAAATCATTCTGGGGGAACCACAATGTAACTTTTTTTTTTTTTTTTTTTTTTTTGAGAAGGAGTCTCACTCTTTTGCCCAGGCTGGAGGGCAGTGGCATGATCTTAGCTCACTGCAACCTCCGCCTCCCTGGTTCAAGCGATTCTCCTGCCTCAGCCTCCTGAGTAGCTGGGATTACAGGCGCACGAGACGGGGTTTCACCATGTTGGTCAGGTTGGTCTCGAACTCCTGACCTCTGATCTGCCCACCTCAGCCTCCCAAAGTGCTGGGATTATAGGCGTGAGCCACCGGCTCACGTATACTGTGACTGTATATTGAAAGTTTCTCTTTTTTTCAAATAATTAACAGGTTTAACAGAATGTATCTCCTGATCTATTCTTTTCACTGCAGACATCTATTGCCTTTTCAGCCTAGCAGCCCTCCCCTCTATGGAGACTCACACTTCCTACTCCACTCATGTGGCTCTCATGGGGGCTGCAATGTTCTCAAATGACTCCACCCCTCTGGCCTCAGTTGATTGGTCCAGGGATGAGCATCTGGCCTAAATTGGCCAATCAGAATTCTTCCCTTGAATATTTTTCCAAACTGGAACTAGACCAAGTTAATCATTCTCTGTGATGACAGGAATTGTGTGTAGTGAGAAATACAGGAGCTTTTGTGGCCACGTTCCTCGCCTTATGCAGAAAAGGCTTGAGTAAGAAGAAATTAAGCCAGTATGCAGACAAAGCTAGAGACAGAGATAGAGAGATCTTGTGGTAAGCCCCTTGGTTTTTATCATTCTAGTACATGCTTGCTACTGCATACAACCAAGACTTTCACCTGAGGGCTTTCTCAAAGTCAGGCATGGAGTATGTCAGAAAAGCCACAGAAGCCAGGTGCAGTGGCTCACTCCTATAATCCCAACACTGGGAGGCCGAGGCAGGTGGATCACGAGGTCAGGAGTTCGAGACCAGCCTGATCAACCTGGCAAAACCCCGTCTCTACAAAAAATAAAAAAATTAGTGGGGCATGGCGGCAGGCGCCTGTAATCCTAGCTACTCAGGAATCCGAGGCAAGAGAATCGTTTGAACCTGGGAGGCAGATGTTGCAGTGAGCCGAGATCATGCCATTGCAGTCCAGCCTGGGTGACAGAGCAAGACTATGTCTGAAAAAAAAAAAAAAAAGAAAAAAGAAAAAAGCAAAGCCAGAGAGTTGATGCCATGGGATCAGTCCTCAGCAAGTGACGGATAGGAGCCAGGCTATAAATGCTTCAATATCTTTGCCCCCTGGATGGAACAACTTTGAAATGTATTCCACATCACCTCCCAGAGGTCCCCAGTGGGGTCAAATCCTAGTTGCCTGGAGTGGTAAGCTGCTCATTGAAGCCCCCTGTGTGGCCTCCTGCCTTTCCATGAATCAATTCCTCACTCCTCTATTGGTGTTCCCTGGAATCATCTCCTAAATAATCCACTTGCAATCCTGTCCCTCTTTCAGGATCTGCTTGGGGTTGGGGTTGGGGTTGGGGAGTGCAGAGAAAAACATGATCCCTTTTCCACTCCACACTAGTAAGATGAGTTTCTGTCACTGGCAACCAAGAGTTCTGACTATTACCTCCTGAGATAATTCCTAAAATGTATTTGGGAATTTCCCCACCTCCACCCCACTGCCTATGTCATCAATATGTAGATTTCTTAACAAAGTTTAATGGTATTCTTTGATCAACCTCAAGTTTCACAAAACACACTGCACTTTCATAAGGGCTCCCCATGGCTGACAGATCAGCCGTTCAAAAGAAGGGAAGTGTCAGAGATCGCTCTGCTAGACTCACGTATTATTCAGTAGAATCTGGGTCAGGATGTTGTGGTCGGGAGATGCTTCTGGAGCTCTGGGACCCACAAGCCTGCGTGTCATGGTGGAGTATTAGGACAACTTGAAAACATAGTGGCAGGAGGAGGCTTCCTCTCTCCCCTGCAGTTCATCCTCCACCACACCCAATGTGCTCAATAGATATTGGTTAAATGAATAATGGGGCGAGCATGGTGGCTCACACCTGTAATCCCAGCACTTTGGGAGGCTGAGGCAGGTGGATCACCTGAGGTCAGGAGTTCAAGACCAGCCTGGCCATAGAAGCAGGAGAAGCACTTGAACCTGGGAGGCAGAGTTTACAGCACGCTGAGATGGCACCACTGCACTCCAGCCTGGGTGACAGAGCAAGACTCAAAAAAAAAAAAAAAGGATTTATTCCTTCCAAACTGCAGCTCACCAAAAGAACACCAACACGCATCACAATGTTGTGGCCATAATCACCACAGTGACAATAATAAATATAATCAACTGTCAAGCCAGCCACCTCCACTAAACCTAGTGGATCACATCTGGTGTTTCACTTTGGGGATACTTTAGTGGTCATAGTAGATTGTCGCCTGACTGCTGGCTGTTTCTACCATGTTTCAGGAATATAGAGATGTGTACAGATGACCCCTAAAATTAATTAGTATGCAATTCTCAAAGAGACAAACTGTACCCCAAAAGCTACTGGAATGAAAAAAAAAGTTTTACTTCTCAAAGAGACAAACTAGGTAGTAGAAGCATTTATGTTCCCTTGGAGAATCTTCCCACCAAGGACTCAAAGTTTTCTCCAGACCAGGGAATGCCTGGGGCCTTGGAGGTTCCCAATTCTGGTATCATCTCCCATTCTCCTTTAGGTCCAGTTTTCTCAGAGGGGCATGCATTGTTCATTGCCACCAAGGGTATCCAAGGACACAAACTGAAGATAATAGTGCCTTATTGTCTCTCAGTCATCTTTCTCTCCCACATGCTGGAAGGAGAGCCAAGTCCAATTTATCCAATTACAAAATAGCAATATTGGCATCATGAGATCACCTAACAAAACTTTCAGAGGCAATCTATCTTCCTACCAAAAGTAACCAACATCTGTGGAGCACTTACCATGACTAAGGGTCAACATAAGTGGTTTGCATGCTGCATGCATCAGGATGGACTAGGTTATGCTGCAGTAACAAATTAACCCCAGAGTCTCAGCAGCTTAGCAACCAAGGTTGATTTCTTACATTACATGTCCACAATGGGTTGCCTGGGTATGATGTGCTCCATATGGCCACTCAAAATCCTAGAATGACGGAAATTCTACCATCTTAATGCAAGGATTCTCCCATAGTTACTGCACCAGGAGATGAGAGAATGAGAGAGTTATTCCCAAGCCCTCAAAAGCTGTAGACTAGAGGTGATGTCAGTGACTTCCACTTATAGAGCACTGGACCCTGGCATGGATCCATCTAACTACAGGGGGTCTGGGGAATATGGGAAGCACCTGGAAATCCCATGAGCAGTAACCATTCCTGCCAGCATGCATTATTTCATCTGAACCTCACAACCACATGAAATATAGAACAGAGGCTTGGAGAGTTATGGGACCTGCCGCAAGGAGTCATAGATAATGAGTTTCAGAGCTGAGATATGACCCTCGGCCTGGCAGGATTCAAACCACTATGCTGCATACTCATCACAAAATGCTATGAAATTCCTCATACAGCAAAACAGCACACCAAGTAAAAAGAAAGCCAAGTTGTGCAAATACAAAATAGAACTCCCCTGACACTTCACCTCCTCACCCACCCCACCCCCACCGAAAGAATCAACCTACGCAAATAACTGGAATGAAATTCTCAGGCAATTTCAGCAGGGGAAATGGGGTTATCTCATCTGGGTCTCACATCCGACCTCGTCAAGACAAGACCTTCCCTAAACCTCACCTGAACACCTGGACACACCGTCATGTCTTGCCGCTTCTTGTTACTGGAAATCCAATGATGATGTCTTTATACAATTTATAGGTCTTTCTATAAGTGCCAAGATAAATGTCATCTCTGTACCTGCATATCATTCAGAGCTAGGCAAGCTTCTATGTAAAGTGCTAGATAGTAAATATTATAAACTTTGCAGGACTCATCTGAACTCCATCCTATATATTTTTTGTTTTTGTTTTACAACTTTTTTTCTTTTTAGATTGGGTCTAAAAAGAAAATAAAACTTATCCATGTTGTGATATGGATGAACGTTAAAAACATGCTCAGTGAAACAAGCAGACATGAAAGGTCATATATTGTACAATTCCATTTATATGCAATGTTCAGACTAAGCCAATCGACAGAGATAGAAAGTAGATGAGAGGTTTCCAGGGGCTGCAGGAGGGGGTATGCAGAGTGACTGCTGAATGGATATGAGGCTTCCAACTGAGGTGTTGAAAAAGCCCTGAAACTAGGTAGTGGTGATAATTGCACAACATGATAAATGTACAAAATGTCACTGACTTGTACACTTTCAGATACACAAAATGGTAAATGTTGCATATATTATACCACAATTTTATTCATTTATTTTAGAGATAGAGTCTCACTCCATCACCCAGGCTGCAGTGCAACGGCACAATCATAGCTCACTGCTGCCTTTACCGCCTGGGCTCAAGCAATCCTCACACCTAGTCTTCCAAGTAGCTGGGACTACATGTGAACCCTACCACACCCAGCTTTTTAAATTTTTTTATAGAGTTGCATTCTCGCAATATTGCCCAGACTGGCCCAAACTCCCGGCTTCAAGTGATTCTCTCATCTCAGCCTCCCAAAGTGCTGGGATAACAGGTGTAAGCCATCAGGCCAGGCAACTTTTAATTCTTACGCGAAATTTTCAACTAATTCCTAGGATTAAAAAGATGTCGATCAACATGGGGATTAGAGGAAAAACTAATTTTAAACAAGAGAAAAAATTAAATGAGATGATGTACATGTATACAGTGCCTGGCCTCATGATCACCGAGTCCACTGCAACTTTTTATTTTTTTTTCCATACAGGGTCTCACTCTGTCACCCAGGCTGAGTACAGTGGCATAATCACGGCTTACTGCAGCCTCAACCTCCTGGGCACAAGTGATCCTCCCACTTCAGCCTCTCAAGTAGCTGGGACTACAGATGCACACAACCACACCTAGCTATTTTTGTTGTTGTTGTTGTATTTTTTGGTAGTAGCAGGGTCTCACCATTTTGCCCAGGCTGGCATCTTGAACTCCTGGGCTCAAGCGATCCTCCCACCTCAGCTTCCCAAAGTGCTGGGATTACAGGTGTGAGCCACCATGCCCATCCTGTTGTAGCTATTTTAATAGTGCTGGTGAACAATAATTTGCTCTCTCTATAAAAACAGGACATAATAAGCCAAGGAAAGCACCAATCTAGTTTGTTCTCCCCAGATCTTCAAAATGTTGGAATTAGTATAAGAGTCCAAAATATTTCATGTGGTTTGATTTTTTTTTTTCTTTTTTTTTTGGAGATGCAGTCTCGTTCCATCGTCCAGGTTGGAATGCAGTGGCGCAATCTCGGCTCACTGCAACCTCTGCCTCCCGGGTTCAAGCAATTCTCCTGCCTCAGCCTCCCGAGTAGCTGGGATTACAGACATGCACCGCCATGCCTGGCAATTTTTGCATTTTTAGTAGAGATGTGGTTTCTCCATGTTGGCCAGGCTGGTCTTGAAATCCCGACCTCAAATGATCTACCTGCCTTGGCCTCCCAAAGTGCTGGGATTACAGGTGTAAGCCACCATGCCCGGCCAGTTTGATTTTTTATTGTGGTAAAATACATACAAAATCTATTATTTTAGCCATTTTCAAAGGAAAAATTCAGTGGTGTTAAGTGCATCCACCACATTGTACAGCCATGTCCCCCATCCATCTCCAGAATGCTTTCATACTGTCCTGCAAATATGCAGCACCTTGCTACACTCCAGTTTGTTTGTCCCACAACAGAGCTGGGCTGAATTATTAATGTGGACTTCGTTCAACAACGGACTAAAGAGGGAGAAGCCCATGAACTCTGTGAGGAGTGCATGACAGGTGCTCGTGGGATGACATGGCTCGGCGCCCTCCAGCTGCTGCTGCCGCTGCCTGTCCTGCTGGGCGGCCACCCCCTCCCAGGGAAGAAGAGCACTCACTACTGCTGCTCATCTTCCAGGGCTTCCGCTGGGACTAGGATCAGGGTGTGGACACCCCCAACCTGGACCGTCTGGCCGGGGAGGGCATCAAGGCCAATTACCCATGCAGCCCCCTGTCACAATGACCTCCCCATCCCACTTCACTACCATCCCAGGTAAGCGTCACTCTGCCCATTTCATCCGATGCCCATCAAAGCCCCAGCGTCCGTCATTCCCTGTGATAAGAAGCAAAAGCTCGGTCAGCTCTAGGGAGGCTGAGGCGGCTCCGGGGCCTCACTCTGTTGCCCAGGCTGTAGCTCAGTGGCATAATCACAGGTCAGTGGAGCCTCAAACTCCTGGTCTCAAGCAGTCCTCCCTAGCTCAGGATCCCCAGTAGCTAGGGATACAGACAAGCTACCATGCCTAATTTTCTCATTTTCTTAGAAATTGGGGAAGGGGGTGTCTCACTATGTTGCCTGGGCTGGTTTTGAACTCCTGGCCTCAAGTGATCATCCCACCTCAGCTTCCCAAAGTGCTGAGATTGGAGACACGAGCTACCGTGACTGGCCTGTTCTTTTTTAAAAAAGTAAATAAGGCCGAGCATGGTGACTCACCCCTGTAATCCCAGCACTTTGGGTGGCTGAGGCAGGTGGATCACCTGAGGTCAGGAGTTCAAGACCAGCTTGGCCAACATGGTGAAATGTCGTCTATCCTAAAAATACAAAAATAAGCTGGGCGTGGTGGCAGATGCCTATAACGACAGCTACTCGGGAGTCTGATACAGGAGAATCACTTGAACCCAGGAGGTGGAAGTTGAAGTGAGCCGAGATCATGCCATTGCACTCCAGTTTGGGCAACAGAGCAAGATTTTGTCTCAAAAAAAAATAAAAGTAATAAAAATAAAAAGGTAAATAACTAAAATCACTTTTAAATAATTGTATAAAAATAATGAAACCTTGACATTTACAGAGCTCAGTTAGATGAGGTGACTCATACCCTCCAATGGTGTCCTGGTCCTCTTACATAAGAACTCAAATGTCTTTTTGTGGCCCAAAAGATTCCACACAGCCTGGCCCCTGGCCCATCTTCTGCATCTCTCTCATCTCTCTCCCTCTCCTTCACTTCCTTCTAGATCACAGACCTTTTGCCTGTGCCTTCTGCCCTGCTCCTTCCAGCCCCAGGGCCTTGGCCTATGCTAGTCCAGTCTCTCCAGCTCACCAGGAGCATGCAGTCCAGTCGGGGAGACAGACACCAGACACCCAAACAGGCACATACATCCTGTGACAACTCAGGAGGCATCAAGGAGGAAAACGAGTTTTCCAGGCACAGACTACAGGGGTAAACTGGCTTCAAACTAGAGAGGGAGAAAGGGGGTCTCTGAGCATGGGGCAGTTGAGCTGAAAGAGATCTCAGGGGACCACAGCAAGGAAAAGTGTTCCAGGCAGAGGGAAGAGCATGTGTGAGGTCTCTGAGACAAAGACCTGGTCATTTCAGAATCCCAGTGGCCACTAAAATAGAGGGATTCCAACCTAAAAAGGAGGAAGAGGAGGCTGCTGGAAAGCAAAGAACTCTGTGTAAGAATCATAATAGCGGGGGTGGAGCCAAGATGGCCGAATAGGAACAGCTCCAGTCTACAACTCCTGGCATGAGCGATGCAGAAGACAGGTGATTTCTGCTTTTCCAACTGAGGTACTGGGTTCATCTCACTGGGGAGTGTCAGAAAGTGGGTGCAGGACACTTGGTGCAGCACACCAAGCATGATCCTAAGCAGGGCGAGGCATTGCCTCACCCGGGAAGTGCAAGGGGTCAGAGAATTCCCTTCCCTAGTCAAAGAAACGGGTGACAGATGGCACCTGGAAAATCGGGTCACTCCCACCCTAATACTGCACTTTTCCCATGGTCTTAGCAAACGGCACACCAGGAGATTATATCCTGTGCCTGGCTCAGAGGGTCCTAAACCCATGGAGCCTCACTCATTGCTAGCACAGCAGTCTGAGATCAAACTGCAAGGTGGCAGCAAGACTGGGGGAAGGACGCCCACCATTGCCTAGGCTCCAGTAGGTAAACAAAGCAGCTGGGAAGCTCCAACCGGGTGGAGCCCACCACAGCTCAAGGAGGCCTGCCTGCCTCTGTAGGCTCCACCTCTGGGGGCAGGGCATTGGCAAACAAAAGGCAGAGAATCCTCTGCAGACTTAAATATCCCTGTCTGACAGCTTTGAAGAGAATACTGGTTCTCCCAGCATGCAGCTGGAGATCTGAGAATGGAGAGACTGCCTCCTCAAGTGGGTCCCTGACCCCTGAGTTGCCTAACTGGAGGCACCCCCTCATAGGGGCAGACTGACACCTCACATGGCCGGGTACTCCTCTGAGACAAAACGTCCAAAGGAACAATCAGGCAGCAACATTTGCTGCTCACCAATATCCTCTGTTCTGCAGCCTCCACTGCTGACACCCAGGCAAACTCCAACAGACCTGCAGCTGAGGGTCCTGACTCTTAGAAGGAAAACTAACAAACAGAAAAGTCATCCACACTAAAACCCCATCTTTACGTCACTATCATCAAAGACCAAAGGTAGATAAAACCACAAAGATGGGGAAAAAACAGAGCAGAAAAACTGGAAACTCTAAAAATCAGAGTGCCTCTCCTCCTCCAAAGGAATGCAGCTCCTCACCAGCAATGGAATAAAGCTGGACAGAGAATGACTTTGACAAGTTGAGAGAAGAAGGCTTCACACGATTAAATTACTCCGAGCTAAAGGAGGAAGTTCGAACCCATGGCAAAGAAGTTAAAAACCTTGAAAAAAAATTAGACGAATGGCTAACTAGAGTAACCAATGCAGAGAAGTACTTAAAGGACCTGATGGAGCTGAAAACCAAGGCACGAGAACTACGTGACAAATGCACAAGCCTCAGTAGCCGATTCGATCAACTGGAAGAAAGGGTATCAGTGATGGAAGATGAAATGAATGAAATGAAGCAAGAAGAGAAGTTTAGAGAAAAAAGAATAAAAAGAAATGAACAAAGCCTCCAAGAAATATGGGACTATGTGAAAAGACCAAATCTACGTCTGATTGGTGTACCTGAAAGTCACAGGGAGAATGGAACCAAGTTGGAAAACACTCTGCAGGATATTATGTAGGAGAACTTCCCCAATCTAGCAAGGCAGGCCAACATTCAAATTCAGGAAATACAGAGAACACTACAAAGATACTCCTCAAGAAGAGCAACTCTAAAACACATAATTGTCAGATTCACCAAAGTTAAAATGAAAGAAAAAATGTTAAGGGCAGCCAGAGAGAAAGGTCAGGTTACCCACAAAGGGAAGCCCATCAGACTAACAGCTGATCTCTCAGCAGAAACTCTACAAGCCAGAAGAGAGTGGGGGCCAATATTGAACATTCTTAAAGAAAAAAATTTTCAACTCAGAATTTCAAATCCAGCCAAACTAAGCTTCATAAGTGAAGGAGAAATAAAATACTTTACAGACAAGCAAATGCTGAGAGATTTTGTCACCACCAGGCCTGCCCTACAAGAGCTCCTGAAGGAAGCACTAAACAGGGAAAGGAACAATCAGTACCAGCCACTGCAAAAACATGCCAAATGGTAAAGACCATCAAGGCTAGGAAGAAACTGCATCAACTAATGAGCAAAATAACCAGCTAACATCATAATGACAGGATCAAATTCACATATAACTATATGAACCTTAAATGTCAATGGGCTAAATTCTCTGATTAAAAGACAGACTGGCAAATTGGATAAAGAGTCAAGACCCATCAGTGTGCTGTATTCAGGAAAACCATCTCATGTGCAGAGACACACATAGGCTCAAAATAAAAGGATGGAGGAAGATCTACCAAGCAAATGGAAAACAAAAAAAAGGCAGGTGTTGCAATCCTAGTCTCTGATAAAACAGACTTTAAACCAACAAAGATCAAACGAGACAAAGAAGGCCATTACATAATGGTAAAGGGATCAATTCAACAAGAAGAGCTAACTATCCTAAATATGTATGCACCCAATACAGGAGCACCCAGATTCAAAAAGCAAGTCCTTAGAGACCTACAAAGAGACTTAGACTCCCACACAATAATAATGGGAGACTTTAACACCCCACTGTCAACATTAGACAGATCAACGAGACAGAAAGTTAACAAGTATATTCAGGAATTGAACTCAGCTCTGCACCAAGTGGACCTAATAGACATCTACAGAACTCTCCACCCCAAATCAACAGAATATACATTCTTCTCAGCACAACACACTTATTCCAAAATTGACCACATATTTGGAAGTGAAGCACTCTTCAGCAAATGTAAAACAACAGAAATTATAACAAACTGTCTCTCAGACCACAGTGCAGTCAAACTAGAACTCAGGATTAAGAAACTCACTCAAAACCACTCAACTACATGAAAACTGAACAACCTGCTCCTGAATGACTACTGGGTACATAATGAAATGAAGGCAGAAATAAAGGTGTTCTTTGAAACCAACGAGAACAAAGACACAACATACCAGAATCTCTCGGACACATTCAAAGCAGTGTGTAGAGGGAAATTTATAGCACTAAATGCCCACAAGAGAAAACAGGAAAGATCTAAAATTGACACCCTAACATCACAATTAAAAGAACTAGAAAAGCAAGAGCAAACACATTCAAAAGCTAGCAGAAGGCAAGAAATAACTAAGATCAGAGCAGAACTGAAGGAAATAGAGACACAAAAAAACCTTCAAAAAATCCATGAATCCAGGAGATGGTTTTTTGAAAAGATCAACAAAATTGATAGACTACTAGCAAGACTAATAAAGAAGAAAAGAGAGAAGAATCAAATAGACACAATAAAAATTGATAAAGGGGATATCACCACCAATCCCAGAAAAAATACAAACTACCGTCAGAGAATAGTACAAACATCTCTATGCAAATAAACTAGAAAATCTAGAAGAAATGGATAAATTCCTCGACACGTACACCCTACCAAGGCTAAACCAGGAAGAAGTTGAATCTCTGAATAGACCAATAACAGACTCTGAAATTGAGGCAATAATTAATAGCTTACCAACCAAAAAAGTCCAAGACCAGACGGATTCACAGCCGAATTCTACCAGAGGTACAAGGAGGAGCTGGTATCATTCCTTCTGAAACTATTCCAAACAATAGAAAAAGAGGGAATCCTACCTAACTCATTTTATGAGGCCAGCATCATCTTGATACCAAAGCCTGGCAGAGACACAACCAAAAAAGAGAATTTTAGACCAATATCCCTGATGAACATCGGTGCAAAAATCCTCTATAAAATACTGGCAAACCGAATCCAGCAGCACATCAAAAACTTTTCCACCATGATCAAGTGAGCTTCCTCCCTTGGATGTAAGATTGGTTCAACATATTCAAATCAGTAAACATAATCCAGCATATAAACAGAAACAATGACAAAAACGATATGATTATCTCATTAGATGCAGAAAAGGCCTGTGACAAAATTCATCAACCTTCATGCTAAAAACTCTCAATAAATTAGGTATTGATGGGACGTATCTCAAAATAATAAGAGCTATCTATGACAAACCCACAGCCAATATCATACTGAATGGGCAAAAACTGGAAGCGTTCCCTTTGAAAACTAGTACAAGACAGGGATGCCCTCTCTCACCAGTCCTATTCAACATAGTGTTGGAAGTTCTGGCCAGGGCAATCAGGCAGGAGAAGGAAATAAAGGGTATTCAATTAAGAAAAGAGGAAGTTAAATTGTCCCTGTTTGCAGATGACATGATTGTATATCTAGAAAACCCCATTGTCTAAGCCCAAAATCTCCTTAAGCTGATAGGCAACTTCAGCAAAGTCTCAGGATACAAAATCAATGTGCAAAAATCACAAGCATGCTTATACACCAATACAGACAAACAGAGAGCCAAATCATGAGTGAACTCCCATTCACAATTGCTTCAAAGAGAATAAAATACCTAGGAATCCAACTTACAAGGGATGTGAAGGACCTCTTCAAGGAGAACTATAAACCACTGCTCAACGAAATAAAAGAGGACACAAACAAATGGAGGAACATTCCATGCTCATGGGTAGGAAGAATCAATATCGTGAAAATGGCCATACTGCCCAAGGTAATTTATAGATTCAATGCCATCCCCATCAAGTTACAAATGACTTTCTTCGCAGAATTGGAAAAAACTGCTTTAAAGTTCATATGGAACCAAAAAAGAGCCCACATTGCCAAGTCAATCCTAAGCCAAAAGAACAAAGCTGGAGACATCACACTACTTGAGTTCAAACTATACTACAAGGCTACAGTAACCAAAACAGCATGTACTGGTACAAAAACAGAGATATAGACCAATGGAACAGAACAGAGCCCCCAGAAATAATGCCACATATCTACAACCATCTGATCTTTGACAAACCTGACAAAAACAAGCAATGGGGAAAGGATTCCCTATTTAATAAATGGTGCTGGGAAAACTGGCTAGCCATATGGAGAAAGCTGAAACTGGATCCCTTCCTTACACCTTATACAAAAATTAATTCAAGATGGATTAAAGACTTAAATTTTAGACCTAAAACCATAAAAACCCTAGAAGAAAACCTCAGCAATACCATTCAGGACATAGGCATGGGCAAGGACTTCAGGTCTAAAACACCAAAAGCAACGGCAAGAAAAGGCAAAATTAACAAATGGGATCTAATTAAACTAAAGAGCTTCTGCACAGCAAAAGAAACTACAATCAGAGTGAACAGGCTACCTACAGAATGGGAGAAAATTTTTGCAATCTACTCATCTGACAAAGGGCTAATATCAAGAATCTACAATGAGCTCCAATAAATTTACAAGAAAAAAACAACCCATCAAAAAGTTGGCAAAGGATATGAACAGACACTTCTCAAAAGAAGACATTTATGCAGACAAAAGACACGTGAAAAAAATGCTCATCATCCCTAGCCAGAGAAATGCAAGTCAAAACAACAGTGAGATACCATCTCGCACCAGTTAGAATGGCAATCATTAACAAGTCAGGAAACAACAGGTGCTGGAGAGGATGTGGAGAAATAGGAACACTTTTACACTGTTGGTGGGACTGTAAACTAGTTCAACCATTGTGGAATTCAGTGTGGCAATTCCTCAGGGATCTAGAACTAGAAATACCATTTGACCCAGCCATCCCATTACTGGGTATATACGCAAAGGATTATAAATCATGCTGCTATAAAGACACATGCACACGTATGTTTATAGCAGCACTATTCACAATAGCAAAGACTTGGAACCAAGCCAAATGTCCAACAACGATAGACTGGATTAAGAAAATGTGGCACATATACACCATGGAATACTATGCAGCCATAAAAAATGATGAGTTCACGTCCTTTGTAGGGACATGGATGAAGCTGGAAACCATCATTCTCAGCAAACTATTGCAAGGACAAAAAACCAAACACCACATGTTCTCACTCATAGGTAGGAATTAAACAATGGGAACACATGGACACAGGAAGGGGAACATCACACATTGGGGCCTGTTGTGGGGTCGGGGGAGGGAGGAGGGATAGCATTAAGAGATATACCTAATGTTAAATGACGAGTTAATGGGTACAGCACACCAACATGGCACATGTATAAATATGTAACAAACCTGCACGTTGTGCACATGTACCCTAAAACTTAAAGTATAATACAAAATAAAAAATAAAAACTTTGGCTGTTGGCTCCAAATATCCTGCTTCATCATCTCTCCACTCCAGAAACTTTTCACATGCTTACAAAGGGTGTTCGTTTCTCATCTAAGTATTTGCCCCCCAGCTCCACCTGCAAGAAGGTGGAAGTAGGGCCTCTGCCTGGGAGGGTAACTCTCAAATGTAAGGCAAGACCTGTCTCTCCACCAATATCTCCAGGACTGAAGGACTGTGAAAGTCTGCATATTGATCAAGCTTCTCCCTCCCTTATCCGAAGGGACTTACTTCCTTCAAGACACTTTTCCTCTTCCCAACTAGCTCCATGCCCCAATCCAGTCATCTTCCAACTCATCTCTCCCCACCTGCATGCCACACAAGAGGAACGTGACCACAGCACCTGGAAGTTCCTTAAAATTGAATGGTGTGTCAGGCCGTGTGTAGTGGCTCATGTCAGTAACCCCAGCACTTTGGGAGGCTGAGGCAGGCAGGTCATTTGAGGTCAGGAGTTCGAGACTCCTGGTGAAACTCCATCTCTACTAAAAATATAAAAATTAGCTGGGTGTGGTTGTGCTTGCCTGTAGTCCCAGCTACTTGGGGGGCTGGGGCAAGGGAATCACTTGAACCTGGGAGGCAGAGGTTACAGTGAGCCAAGATTGTGCCATTGCACTCCAGCCTGGGTGATAGAGTGAGACTCTGTCTCAAAAAAAAAAAAAAAAAAAGAAATCGAATGGTGTGATTAGCTTATGATTTTTTAAAAATGGGATGATGTATTCATTTTCTAAGCTGCATAACAAATCAGCACAAATTTAGCAGCTTAAAACATCCATCTATTACCTCTCCTTTCCTGTGGGTCAGGAGTCTGGGGGTGCAGCTTTAGCTGTGTCCTCTGCTCAGGTACTTACAAGGTTGTGATCAAGGTGTCGGCTGGAATTAGTGTCTCATATGAGGCTTGGGGTCTTCTCCCAACCTCACATGGTTGTTGGCAGAATTTATTTCCATGCAACTGTGGAACTCATGTGGCTGGCTTCTTCAAAACCAGCCAGGCATGGTGGCTCACGCCTGTAATCCCAGCACTTTCGGAGGCCGAGGCAGGTGGATCACCTGAGGTCAGGAGTTCGAGACCAGCCTGGCCAATATGGTGAAACCCCGTCTCTACATAACTTAGTAGAGCATGATAGCGCACACCTGTAATCCCAGCTACTTGGGAGGCTGAGGCAGGAGAATCACTTGAACCCAGGAGGCAGAGGTTGCAGTAAGCCAAGATCGTGCCACTGCACTCCAGCCTGGGCAACAGAGTGAGACTCCATCTCAAAAAAAGAAAAAAAAAGAGAAAGTACTTATATTCATTCTCAAGGGCTGCCACAACCAAGTACCAAAAGCTGGGTGACTTGAAACCAGAGAAATTGATTGTCTTGTGGCTCTGGTGGCCAGCAGTCTGAAATGGAGGTGCCAGCAGGGCCACACTCCCTCCTGCACTTGTCGGGGAGTCCTGCCTTGCCTCTTCCTAGCTTCCTGTGGTCTCCTGGCAGTCTTCAGTGTTTCCTGGTTTGCATACACATCAGTCCAATCTTCCATCCAATCCATGGCCTTCTTACCTGTGTCTCTGTGACTCGGCGTGTCCTCTCCTTTTTTATAAGGACACCAGTCATTGACTTAGGCCCTCCCTACTCCAGGATGACTTCATCCTAATCAACAGCATCTACAATAACCCTCTTTCTTTCTTTCTTTCTTTCTTTCTTTCTTTCTTTCTTTCTTTCTTTTTCTTTCTTTCTTTTTCTTTCTTTTCTTTCTTTCTTTATTTCTCTTTCCTTTCTTTCTTTCTCTCTCTCTCTCTCTCTCTCTCTCTCTCTTTCTTTCTTTCTTTTTCTTTCTTTCTTTTGAGACGGAGTTTCCTCTTGTTGCCCAGGCTGGAGTGCAATAGCGCGATCTCAGCTCAATGCAACCTCCGCCTCCTGAGTTCAAGCAATTCTCCTGCCTCAGCCTCCTGAGTAGCTGGGATTACAGGTATGCGCCACCACACCCAGGTAATTTTGAATTTTTAGTAGAGACGGGGTTTCTCCTTGTTGGTCAGGCTGGTCTCAAACTCCTGACCGCAGGTGATCCACCCGCCTTGGCCTCCCATAGTGCTGGGATTACAGGCATGAGCCACCACGCCTGGCCCGCAATAACTCTATTTCTAAATAAGGTCACATTCTGAGCTACTAGAATTTAGGATTTCAACATGTTTTGAGGAGGACTCAATTTAACCCATAAGAATACTATGTGGGCCACACATGCTGCTTCACATCTGTTATCCCAGCACTTTGGGAGGTTGAAGCAGGAGGATCATTTCTCAGGGCGTAGGGGGACACCAGATGCATAAAACCACAGCGTTGACTGGTGTGGGGGCTCACCCTTGTATGTTTGGGAAGCTAAGGCAGGGCGATCACTTGAGCCCAGGAGTTTGAGGCCAGCCTGGGTGACATAGTGAGATCTCACTTCTAAAAAAAAAAAAAAAAATTTAATTAGCTGGCCATGTTGGTACCCACCTACAGTCCCAGCTACTCAACAGGCTGAAGCAGGAGGGTCTCTTGAGTCCAGAAGATCAAGGCTGTGGCGAGCTGTGATTGCACCACTGCACTCCAGCCTGGGCAACAGAGCAAGCCCTGTCTCAAACAAACAAACAAAAAAATCATCTCCCTTGTCTTCTGATTCCATGAGCGACAGCTCATAGAAAGGAAGTGAAGCAGTGAAAGCATCCCCCAAAAAGGGACTTTTCAAAACCAGCCTAAGCAACATAGCAAGACCTTGCCTTTAGAAAGTATTTAAATTTGAAGGAAAAAAAAAAAAAAAGCAGTACTATGGCACAGAGTTGACAGCTACAGGTGTGGCTACATCCAGGTCCTAAAACTGTATTATCAGAATGAACCCTCACCCTCCCCCCGCTTTCCATTTTACTTTCTTAAGCATGAATGTGGAATTTCCAAGATTGTCTCTCCTTTGGCTAATCTGCTTCTCAGACCCAATCACTGTGGCCAGGGTGGTGGAAGGATACTGACATCCAGGCTGGGACCACATGCCCCAGCTCCAGATCAGGGTGGGGAATGGCCAGTCGCACACATGTCATGGGGGACTAGTGATTCCTCGGCGGAAAATCGGGGACTGTCATTGGAGAGGAGCGATAGAAGAAAGGCTGAAACAGTGCAATGTATCTCCTGCACCAGCCTGGGCCTCGATGTCTTGAGTACTGATGACCCAGTACTCAGTCTAGGGCAATCCCAACTCCATCTGTGGGGCTGCCCACAGTACATGGACCCCCTCACTGGATTTGCTGACCACACGTGCAAACAGCCACTTCCCAGCCCCACTCCCCGCAGTCCCCCTGAACACTGTCAAAATTCCCCTCAGTTCTCACCAAGATTAAAAGCAATTCTGAGGATGAGCGGCTCATTCTGCTAGTTTAACTCTCTCGATTCCTTCCCTCTCCAGAACTCTGTACTTACTGCTCCGTCACTGGTAATGACAATGAACATCTTCACAATCTCAGGTTTTATTGCAAAGTGATTGAGGACCAGTTAGAATAAGTTATGCTGCAGAAACTAAAGAAATCTCGTCAAACAAGTGGTATGTAATAGAAAGTCTTAGGGCAGCCGTGTATATTTTCTCCCCCAATGACTCAATTGAAAATGAGAAGCTGTTACCGCCATGTTCCGGGCAGAAGCTATCAAAAGTATAAGCCATGATATTATAATTTGATGATTTTTCACCCTTCAAATGGATATGGCCCAGGGGTGAAAAGTGGATGCTCCGTAACTAGATGATGGTCAAGAGTTATAAAAATGAGGTCGTCTCTGTTCAACATTTCTCCTTTCTTGAAAGGATACTCAAAGTCATGCTCAGGGCCTCTAATGGCCAGAAATAAAGTTCCTCCCAGTTCCAGAGCACCTCAGGACAACCCCAAAACCAGAGCAACTGCTTATTGCCATGTAGACTATGTACTGTGCAATTCCTGGGGTGGCATTTTCATAAATATGTGGGTGGCGCCCCCTGGAGGTATGCAATGCACAACTTGCACAAATGGTAAGTCATCGTAACCCAAAGTCCACAAAGAAGAGGTAAACAAAATTCCCATCGATGTTGCCATCAGTCATGAGTCTGCCTTTTCTTCATGGGACAGTAGCAAAACCAATTTGGCCAAGTGTGCTTGGATGATCTCTAAGATGGAATCAGGGTCTCTCACTTTCAGCACTATTGACATTTGGGGCTGGATCATTCTTTTGTCTTAGTGGGAGTTGTCGGGGCATTGTAGGATGCTTAGCAGCATCGCTGGCCTCTACCCATTAGCTGCCAGTAGCACCACCTCCTCCAGCCGCAACCACCAAAATTGTCTCCAGACATGGCCACATGTTCTCTGGGGGGCAAAATCACTCCCGGTTGAGAAGCCCTGAAGTAAAGACATAATACGCAGATCACATGTAAGTAAGACAGCCTAAGGGCCACACAGGGGATGCTGTACCCATGACAAAGACAGAGTCTTAAAGAGGTTAAAGAGGTGGAGAAAGAGAAAAGAAATGAAGTCCCAGCTGCCGAGAGAAACAGATGCTGACTAGATGTTGTTGACAGTCATCTTTAAACTGAGTTAAAAGATGCTGAGAAGCCATCAGCTCCCATCCTGCTCTCCAGGGACAACGCTGCTGAAAAAGGCCTGGAGATCAACAAAGCCCCAAACACAGGTGCACTGAGTAAAGAAACCAGAGATTGAGACAAAAAAGACATTCCCTCAAAGACTACTCATTTCCAAGAGGGGAGAAAAAGTGGAGTCATGAAAAACAGTTGAGGCTGGGTAGAGTGACTCGCACCTGTAATCCCAGCACTTTGGGATTACTCCCAGGCTGAGGTGGGAAGATTGCTTGAACTCAGGAGTTCAAGACCAGCCTGGGAAAAATAGCAAGACCTTGCCTCTAGAAAAAGGGAAAAAATTAGCCAGGTGTGGTGATACATGCCTGTGGTCTCAGCTACTTGGGAGGCTGAGGTGGGAGGATCGCTTGAACCCAGGAGGTAGAGGCTGCAGTGAGCCGGGATCGCACCACTGCACTCCAGCCTGGGTTACAGATCCTGTCTCAAAAAAGAAAAAAATTAAACAAAATTAAGGCCGGGCACGATGGCTCATGCCTGTAATCCCAGCACTTTGGGAGGCCAAGGTGGGCAGATCACGAGGTGAGGAGATTGAGACCATCCTGGCTAACACGGTGAAACCCCATCTCTACTAAAAATACAAACAATTAGCCGGACATGGTGCTGGGTGCCTATAGTCCCAGCTACTCTGGAGGCTGAGGCAGAAGAATGGAGTGAATTCGGGAGGTGGAGCTTGCAGTGAGCCAAGATGTCACCACTACGCTCCAGCCTGGGCAAAAGAGCAAGACTCCATCTCAAAAACAAAAAGAAAATTAAAATTTTTTTGAGACCAAGTCTCACTCTGTCACCCAGGCTGGAGTGAAATGGTGCGATCTTGGCTCACTGCAACCTCTGCCTCCTGGGTTCAAGTGATTCTCATGTCTCAAACTTGTGCCTCAACATGACTACAGGCATGTTGTCACTATGCCTAATTTTTGCATTTTTAGTAGAGATGGGGTTTCACCATGTTGTCCAGGATGGTCTTGAACTCCTAGGTTCAAGCAATCTACCCACCTCAGCCTCCCAAAATGCTGAGATTACAGGCATGAGCCACCGTGCCCGACCTCTAACTATTCATTATGGAAATTTCCCATATGCATAAAAAGCAGGGAGAGAATTACACCATGAACCCCCATGCACTCATCATCCCACTGCAAGAACTTGTCAATATTTCTCCAATCTCATTCCAGTTTCCACTTTTCTTTTCCTTCTTGCTATTTTAGGATATTTTAAAGCAAATTCCAGACACTTCATTTCACCCACATCCATAACACACCAGGGTGCATTCTTGATGTAAGGATTTTGTTTTGTTTTATAACCTCCATTACATTGCCACAGTTAATAGATTTAACATGAAGAAACTAAGATTCTTGCAGGTGGAGAAAAGATCTAATTACCACCTTAAAGTCTCCCTTATTAGCGCTTCTCAGATCTGAACGTGTATGCAAATCACCTGAGCATCTTGTTAAAATGCAGATTCTGGCCCAGGAGGTCCTTCCGGGTGAGCCCTGAGAGTCTTCAATTCCAAAAGCTCCTAGGTGATGCAATGCTGAGGGTCCATGAATCACACAAGAGGAAGAGTCGGCCAAACACCCACAACAACTGGGTGCAAAGTCCTGACTGTTCCTGACTGCAGGGCCTTCAGTGAACGGGGAAGCTGGGGAGCATTTGGGAAAGAAGGGAGGTTTTTCGTATCAGCTCCAGGCCTTGTAGAACTGCCAGGGAATAACAGACACAAGGTCAGCAAAGTCTAACCAACAGCACGAGTGCATTCATATTCCACAACCACTGCAGCAAAGAACCATGAAATGGGTGGCTTCAAACAATGTCTGGGCCGGGTGCCGTGGCTCACACCTAAATAATCTCAGGACTTTGGGAAGCTGAGGTGGGTGGATCACTTGAGGCCAGGAATTTGAGACCAGCCTGGCCAATATGGCAAAACCTCGTCTCTACTAAAAATACAAAAATTAGCCATGCATGGGGGCAGGCACCTGTATTCCCCACTTCTTGGGAGGCTGAGGCAAGAGAATGGCTTGAGCCTGGGAGGTGGAGGTTGCAGTGAACTGACATTGTGCCACTGCACTTCAGACTGGGCAACAGAGCAAGCCTCTGTCTAAAAAAAAAAAAAAAAAAAATTGTCTGGAGGCCAGAAGTCCAAAATCAATCAAAGGTCAGCAGGAGCATGCTTCTTCAGAGGTTCTAGGGGAGAATCCATTCCTTGCATCTTCCAGCTTATAGAGGCTACTAGAATTCCTCAACTTGTGGCTGCATGATCCAATCTCTGCCTCTGTGATCACCTTGCCTCCTCCTCTTCTGTCTGGGTCTCCTCCTCTGGAGGAAGAGTGTCAGGCCTCTGAGCCCAAGCTAAGCCATCATGTCCCCTGTGACCTGCATGTACACATCCAGATGGCCAGTTCCTGCCTTAACTGATGACATTATCTTGTGAAATTCCTTCTCCTTGCTCATCCTGGCTCAAAAAGCTCCCCTACTGAGCACCTTGTGACCCCAACCCTTCCTGCCAGAGAACAACCCCCTCTTTCCTTTACCTACCCAAATCCTATAAAATCGCCCCACCCCATCTCCCTTTGCTGACTCTCTTTTTGGACTCAGCCCACCTGAACCCAGGTGAAATAAACAGCTTTATTGCTCACACAAAGCCTGTTTGGTCGTCTCTTCACACGGATGCATGTGAAATTTGGTGCTGTGACTCGGACTGGGGGACCTCCCTTGGGAGATCAATCCCCTGTCCTCCTGCTCTTTGCTCTGTGAGAAAGATCCACCTATGACCTCAGGTCCTCAGACTGACCAGCCCAAGATACATCTCACCAATTTCAAATCTGGGAAGCAGCTTCTTTTTACTCTCTTCTCCAACCTCCCTTACTATCCCTCAACCTCTTTCTCCTTTCAATCTTGGCACCACACTTCAATCTCTCCCTTCTCTTAATTTCAATTCCTTTCATTTTCTGGTAGAGACCAAGTAGACACGTTTTATCCATGGACCCAAAACTCCGGTGCCGGTCACAGACTAGGGAAGGCAGCCTTCCCTTGGTGTTTAATCATTGCAGGGACGCCTCTCTGATTATTCACCCAGGTTTCAGAGGTGTCAGACCACGCAGGGCTGCCTGCCTTGGTCCTTCACCCTTAGCAGCAAGTCCCGCTTTTCTGAGGGAGGCCCAGGAACCCCGACCTGTTATCTCTGTGCCCTGATCCCTTATTTCCATGCCCCACCCTCTTACCTCTGTGCCCTGATCCCTTATTTCCACAACCTGACCTCCTATCTCTGCACCCCAACCCTTTATTTCTGTGCCCCAACCCGTTTCCCACTTTTCTGGAAGGCAAGAATGCCCCACCCCTTCTCTTCATGTCTCTATTCTCTCTTTTCTCTGGGCTTGCCTCCTTCACTATGGGCAAGCTTCCGCCCTCCATTCCCCTTTCTTCTCCCTTAGCCTGTGTTCTTAAAAACCTAAAACCTCTTCAACTCACACCTGACCTAAAACCTAAATGCCTTATTTTCTTCCACAATGCCACTTGACCCCAATACAAACTCGACAGTGGTTCCAAATAGCCAGAAAATGACACTTTCAATTTTTCCATCCTACAAGATCTAGATAATTCTTGTCATAAAATGGGCAAATTGTCTGAGGTGACTGATGTCCAGGCATTCTTTTACACATCGGTCCCTCCCTAGTCTGTTCCCAGTGCAACTCATCCCAAATCTTCCTTCTTTCCATCCCACCTGTCCCCTCAGTCCCAACCCCAAGCATCGCTGACTCTTTCTAATCTTCCTTTTCTACAGACCCATCTGACCTCTCCCCTCCTCGCCAGGCTGAGCTAGGCCTGAATTCTTCCTCAGCCTCTGCTCTTCCACCCTATAATCCTTTTATCACCTCCCCTCCTCACACTGGGTCCGGCTGACAGTTTCGTTCCATGACAAGCCCTCCCCAACCTGCCCAGCAATTTCCTCTTAAAAAGGTGGCTGGAGCTAAAGGCATAGTCAAAGTTAATGCTCCTTTTTCTTTATCCCAAATCAGATAAGGTTTAGGCTCTTTTTCATCAAATATAAAAATAAACCCCAGTTCATGGCTCGTTTGGCAGCAACCCTGAGATGTTTTAGAGCCCTAGACCCTAAAAGGTCAAAAGACCGTCTTATTCTTAATATACATTTTATTACCCAATCTGCTCCCGACGTTAAATAAAACTCCAAAAATTAAATTCCTGCCCTCAAACCCCACAACAGGACTTCATTAACCTCGCCTTCAAGGTGTACAATAATAGAGTAGAGGCAGCCAAGTAGCAACATATTTCTCAGTTGCAATTCCTTGCCTCCACTGTGAGACAAACCCCAGCCACATCTCCAGCACACAAGAGCTTCCAAACGCCTAAAGCGCAGTGGCCAGGCATTCCTCCAGAACCGCCTCCCCCAGGAGCTTGCTACAAGTGCCGGAAATCTGGCCACCAGGCCAAGGAATGCCTGCAGTCCGGGATTCCTCCTAAGCCATGTCCCATCTGTACGGGACCCCACTAGAAATCGGACTGTTCAACTCACCTGGCAGCCACTCCCAGAGCCCCTGGGACTCCAGCCCAAGGCTCCCTGACTGACTCCTTCCCAGATCTTCTTGGCTTAGCAGCTGCAGACCGACACTGCCTGATCGATCGCCTCGGAAGCCTACAGGACCATCACAGACGCTCTAGGTTACTCTCACAGTGGAGCGTAAGTCTATCCCCTTCTTAATCAATACGGAGGCTACCCACTCCACATTACCTTCTTTTCAAGGGCCTGTTTCCCTTGTCTCCATAACCGTTGTGGGTATTGACAGCCAGGCTTCTAAACCTCTTAAAACTCCCCAACTCTGGTGCAACTTAGACAATACTCTTTTAAGCACTCCTTTTTAGTTATCCCCACCTGCCCAGTTCCCTTATTAAGACGAGACACTTCAACTAAACTATCTGCTTCCCTGACTATTCCCGGACTACAGATACATCTCATTGCCACCCACCGTAACCCACAAGTAGAAGATACCTCTACTCCCTCCTTGGCGACCTATCATGCACCCCTTACCATCTCATTAAAATCTAATCACCCTTACCCCGCTCAATGCCAATATCTCATCCCACAGCATGCTTTGAAAGGATTAAAGCCTGTTATCACTTACCTGCTACAGCATGGCCTTTTAAAGTCTATAAACTCTCCTTACAATTCCCCCATCTTACCTGTCCTAAAACCAGACAAGCCTTACAAGTTAGTTCAGGATCTATGACTTATCAACCAAATTGTTTTGCCTATCCACCCCAAGGTGCCAAACACATATACTCTCCTATCCTCAACTCCTCCCTCCACAACCCCTTATTCTGTTCTGGATCTCAAACATGCTTTCTTTACTATTCCTTTGCACCCTTCATCCCAGCCACTCTTCGCTTTCACTTGGACTGACCCTGACACCCATCAGGCTCAGCAAATTACCTGGGCTGTACTGCCGCAAAGCTTCACAGACAGCCCCCATTACTTCAGTCAAGCCCAAATTTCTTCCTTATGTGTTACCTATCTCAGCATAATTCTCATAAAACCACACGTGCTCTCCCTGCCGATCGTGTGTGACTAATCTCTCAAACCCCAACCCCTTCTACAAAACAACAACTCCTTTCCTTCCCGGGCATGGTTGGATACTTTCATCTTTAGATACCTGGTTTTGCCATCCTAACAAAACCATTATATAAACTCACAAAAGGAAACCTAGCTGACCCCATAGATCCTAAATCCTTTCCCCACTCCTCTTTCTGTTCCTTGAAGACAGCTTTAAAGACTGCCCCCACCCTAGTCTTGGTTCCCTGACCGGGAAGCGAGGTAATTGACGGAAAGTCAAGGCAGCCCGTTAGGTGGCTTAGGCCTGCCCTGTGGAGCATCCCTGAGGGGGACTCCGGCCAGCTTGAGCGACGCGGATCCTGAGAGCTCTCCCGGGTAGGCAATTGCCCCGGAGGAATGCCTCGTCAAAGCAGTGTGTGGTAGGCCCCCATGGAAGATCAACACAGTGGCTGAACACAGGGAAGGAAGAGGCACTTGGAGTCCGGACATTTGAAACTTGGTAAGACTGGTCTTTGGAACTTGCCCACTCCATTTGAGTGGAAGCGTGGCCTGATCACCCACGGTGTGCCTGTACTGGCACTTTGGTTTTTGTTTTTGACTTGACTTGAATTGCTTGATACTTTGGTTTTGGTTTGACCTGGCTTGGATTTCTGGATACTCTGATTTTGGTTTTGATTCTGGTTTGGTGAAAACTGAAAAAGTGTGTGTGTGCCCTTCTTACCCATTCTTTGTTCTGTGGTGTGCGTGTGGTGTGAGCTTGGTGTTTTGTCTCGAGGAAACGTGGGTCAGATACAAAGTAAGCCTACTCTGCTGGGAACTATGTTGAAAAATTTTAAGAAAGGATTTAATGGAGACTTTGGGGAACTTAGAACTTTGTGTGAAATAGATTGGCCAACATTAGAAGTAGGGTGGCCATCAGAAGGAAGCCTGGACAGGTCCCTTGTTTCTAAGGTATGGCACAATGTAACTGGTAAGTCAGCACACTCAGACCAGTTTCCATACATAGACACTTGGTTACAGCTGATGCTAAACCCCCCACAGTGGCTAAGAGGGCAGGCAGCAGCAGTGCTAGTAGCAAAGTGACAGATAGCCAAGGAAGGATCCCGCTCCACCCGCAGAGGGAAATCAACTCCTGAAGTTCTGTTCGACCCAACTTCAGAAGATCCACTGCAGGAGATGGCACCAGTGATCCCAGTGGTGCCCTCTCCTTACCAGGGAGGCAGGCTCCCCACTTTTGAGTCCACAGTGCTTGCGCCTCCACAAGACAAACATATCCCTAGGCCACCCAGAGTAGATAAGAGAGGAGGTGAGGACTCGGGAGAAACCCCTCCCTTGGCAGTTCGTTTAAGACCCAAAACGGGGACACAAATGCCCCTGAGAGAGCAGCAGTATACTGGGATAGATGAGGATGGTCACGTGGTGGGGAGGCGTGTTTTTGCGTACCAGCCCTTCACCTCTGCCCACCTTCTCAACTGGAAAAACAATACCCCATCCTGTACCGAAAAGCCACCAGCTCTGATTGATTTGCTCCAAACTATTATCCAGACCCATAACCCCACCTGGGCTGATTGCCACCAGTTGCTCATGTTCCTCTTTAACACAGATGAAAGGCGGAGAGTGCTCCAAGCAGCAACTAAGTGGCTAGAGGAACATGCACCAGCTGATTACCAAAAACCCCAAGAGTATGTAAGGACCCAGTTACCAGGAACTGACCCCCAGTGGGACCCACATGAAAGAGAGGATATGCAAAGGCTAAACAGAGACAGGGAAGCTCTCTTGGAAGGATTAAAGAGGGGAGCCCAGAAGGCCACAAATGTTAGCAAAGTCTCTGAGGTCATTCAGAGAAAAGAAGAAAGTCCAGCACAATTGTAGGAGAGACTGTGTGAGGCCTATGGTATGTATACTCCCTTTGATCCCGATAGCCCTGAAAATCAAGGCATGATTAACATGGCTTTAGTTAGTCAAAGCGCAGAAGACATTAGAAGAAAACTGCAGAAACAGGCTGAGTTTGCAGGGATGAACACATCACAGTTATTAGAAATAGCTAACCAGGCATTTGTAAACAGGGATGCAGTAAGTCGTAAGGAAAACCACAGAGACAATGAATGTCAGGCCCAGCGAAACACCGACCTGTGAGCGGCAGCAATCAGAGGGGCCCCCCACAAAGAGGCAAGGGAAGGGGGGCCCCGGGAAGGAAACTCAGCCTGGCTGTCAGAGCTTGCAGCGTAATCAGTGTGCTTATTGTAAAGAAATAGGACATTGGAAAAACAAATGCCCTCAGCTAAAAAGAAAACCAGGTGACTCAGAGCAGGAGGCCCCGGACAAGGATGAAGGGGCCCTGCTCAACCTGGCAGAAGGGTTATTGGACTGAGGGGGACTGGGCTCAAGGACCCCCAAAGAGCCTATGGTCAGGATGACAGTTAGGGGTAAGACATTGATTTTCTTGTAGATACCGGTGCTAAACATTCGGTAGTAACCGCCCTGGTCACCCCCTTATCCAAAAAGATTATTGACATCATCGGAGCCAAGGGAGTTTCAGCATAGCAAGCTTTCTGCTTGCCTCGGACTTGTGCTGTAGGAGGACATAAAGTGATTCATCAGTTTTTGTACACACCTGACTGTCCCTTGCGCTTTTTGGGAAGGGACTTGCTTAGCAAACTGAGAGCCAGTATCTCTTTTACAGAGCATGGCTCTTTGCTGCTAAAGTTACCCAGAATGGGAGTCATTATGACCCTTACGGTCCCCCGAGAAGAAGAATGGAGACTTTTCTCAACTGAGTGGGGCCAAGAGATAAGACCAGCTCTGGCTAAGCGGTGGCCAAAAGTGTGGGCAGAAGACAATCCTCCAGGGTTTGCAGTCAACCAAGCCCCCGTACTTATAGAAGTTAAGCCTAGGGCCCAGCCGGTTAGGCAAAAACAGGAGCCGGTCCCCAGAGAAGCTCTTGAAGGTATCCAGGTCCATCTCAAGCACCTAAGAACTTTTGGAATTAGAGTTCCTTGTCAGTCTCCATGGAACACTCCCCTCCTGCCTGTTCCCAAGCCTAAGACCAAGGACTACTGGCTGGTACAGGATTTGCGCTTGGTTTATCAGGCTACAGTGACTTTACATCCAGCAGTACCTAACCCGTACACATTGCTGGGGTTGCTGCCAGTTGAGGACAGCTGCTTCACCTGCTTGGACCTGAAAGACGCCTTCTTTAGCATCAGATTCGCCCCTGAGAGGCAGAAGCTGTTTGCCTTTCAGTGGGAAGATCCGGAGTCAGGTGTCACTACTCAGTACATTTGGACTGGGCTTCCCCAAGGGTTCAAGAATTCCCCCACCATCTTCGGGGAGGCATTGCCTCGAGACCTCCAGAAGTTTCCCACCAGAGACCTAGACTGCGTGTTGCTCCAGTACGTTAATGACCTTTTGCTGGGACACCCCATGGCAGTCGGGTGCACCAAAGGAACAGATGCTCTACTCCGGCACCTGGAGGACTCTGGGTACAAGATGTCCAAGAAAAAAGCTTAGATCTGCCGACAGCAGGTATATTACTTAGGATTTACTATCCGAAAGGGGGAGAGCAGCCTAGGATCAGAAAGAAAGCAGGTCATTTGAAATCTACCGGAGCCTAAGACCAGAAGGCAGGGGAGAGAATTCTTATGGGCTGTGGGGTTTTGCAGACTGTAGATCCCAAATTTTGCAGTATTAGCCAAGCCGTTCTATGAGGTCACAAAGGAGGGGGGACCTGGAATTTTTGAATGGGGATCCCAGCAACAGCAAGCCTTTCATGAGATAAAGGAAAGACTTATATCAGCCCCAGCCCTGGGGCTACCTGATCTAACAAAGCCTTTTCCATCGTATGTGTCAGAGAGAGAAAAGATGGCAGTTGGAGTTTTAATCCAAACTGTGGGTCCCTGGCTGAGGCCGGTGGCCTACCTCTCTAAACAACTAGACGGGGTTTCTAAAGGATAGCCCCCGTGTTTAAGGGCCTTGGCAGCAACTGCCCTGCTAGTACAATAAGCAGATAAGCTGACTCTTGAACAAAACCTGAACATAAAGACCCCCCCCATGCTGTGGTGACTTTAATGAATACTAAAGGACATCATTGGCTAATGAATGCTAGACTCACTAAGTACTAAAGTTTGCTCTGTGAAAATCCCCGTGTAACCATTGAAGTTTGTAACACCCTGAACCCCGCTACCTTGCTCCCAGTATCAGAGAGCCCTCTCGAGCATGACTGTGAAGAAGTGTTGGACTCAGTTTACTCTAGCAGACCTAACCTCCAGGACCAGCCTTAGGCATCAGTAGACTAGGAACTATACGGGGCTGGGAGCAGCTTCATCAACCCACAAGGAGAGAGATGTGCAAGATATGCGGTGGTAACTCTGGACACTGTTGCTGAAGCCAGATCGTTTCCCCAGGGCACTTCAGCTCAGAAAGCTGAACTCATTGCTTTAATTCGGGCCTTAGAACCCAGTGAAGCTAAGAATGTCAACATTTACACTGACTCTCAATATGCCTTTTCAACCCTTCAAGTGCGTGGAGCATTATATAAAGAAAAGGGCCTATTGAACTCTGGGGGAAAAGACATAAAATATCAGCAAGAAATCTTGCAATTATTAAAAGCCGTATGGAGACCCCACAAGGTGGCAGTTATGCATTGCAGAGGACACCAGCGAGCTTCCACCTTGGTGGTTTTAGGGAATTCCCGCGCTGACTTGGAGGCTCGAAAAGCAGCATCTGCCCCCTTCCGGGCATCAGTCACAGCCCCCATGCTCCCTCAAGCACCTGATCTTGTACCCACTTATTCTAAAGAAGAAAAGGACTTTCTCCAGGCAGAGAACAAGTGATGGAGGAAGGATGAATTCGGTTACCGGATGGGAGAGAAGCTATGCCACAGCTGCTAGGAGCTGCAGTTGTACTGGCTGTGCATGAAACCATCCATCGAGGTCAGGAGTCACTTGGAAAGTTGTTAGGCTGGTATTTCTACATCTCGCATTTGTCAGCTCTTGCCAAAACGGTGAGGCAGGGGTGTGTTACCTGCCGACAGCATGATGCGAGGCAAGGTCCAGCCGTTCCACCCGGCATACAAGCTTATGGAGCAGCCCCCTTTGAAGATCTCCAGGTGGACTTCACAGAGATGTCAAAGTGTAGAGGTAACAAGTATTTACTAGTTCTTGGGCGTACCTACTCTGGGTAGGTGGAGGCTTATCCAACACGAACTGAGAAAGCTCGTGAAGTAACTCGTGTGCTTCTTTGAGATCTTATTCCTAGATTTGAACTGCCCTTACGGATCGGCTCAGATAACAGGTCGGCATTTTTGGCTGACTTAGTACAGAAGGGGGCAAAGATGTTAGGGATCACATGGCAACTGCATGCTGCCTACTGGCCTCAGAGTTCCGGAAAGGTGGAGCGAATGAATCAAACTATCAAAAATAGTTTAGGGAAAGTATGTCAGGAAACAGGATTAAAATGGATACAGGCTCTCCCTATGGTATTATTTAAAATTAGATGTACCACTTCTAAAAGAACAGGATATTCCCCTTATGAAATATTATATCATAGGCCCCCTCCTATATTGCGGGGACTTCCAGGCACTCCCTGAGAGTTAGGTGAAATTGAGTTACAGCAACAGCTACAGGCCTTAGGAAAAATTACACAAACAATCTCAGCCTGGGTAAATGAGAGATGCCCTGTTAGCTTATTCTCCCCAGTTCACCCTTTCTCCCCAGATGATCGAGTGTGGATCAAGAACTGGAACGGAGCCTCTTTGTGTCCACTGTGGAAAGGATCCCAGACTGTCGTCCTGAGCACTCCCACCGCTGTGAAGGTAGAAGGAATCCCAGCTTGGATCCACCACAGCCATGTAAAACCTGCAGTGCCTGAAACCTGGGAGGCAAGACCAAGCCCAGACAACCCTTGCAGAGCGACCCTGAAGAAGACGACACGCCCTGCTCCAGTCACACCCGGAAGCTGACTGGTCCACGCACAGCCAAAGCATGAGGAAGCTCATCGTGAGATTCATTTTTCTTAAATTTTGGACTTATACAGTAAGGGCTTCAACTGACCTTACTCAAACTGGGGACTGTTCCCAGTGTATTCAACAGGTCACTGAAGTAGGACAGCAAATTAAAGCAATCTTTCTGTTCTATAGTTATTATGAATGTATGGAAACAATAAAAGAAACTTGTTTGTATAATGCCACTCAGTGCAAGGTATGTACCCCGAGAAATGACCGACCTGATGCGTGTTATAACCCATCTGAGCCCGCTGCAACCACCGTTTTTGAAATAAGAAGAAGAACTGGCCTTTTCCTAGGTGATACAAGTAAAATAATAACTAGAACAGAAGAAAAGGAAATCCCCAAGCAAACAACTTTAAGATTTGATGCTTGTGCAGCCATTAATAGTAAAAAGCTAGAAATAGGATGTGGTTCTCTTAACTGAGAAAGGAGCTAAAGAGTAGAAAATAAATATGTTTGTCATGAGTCAGGGGTTTGTAAAAATTGTGCCTATTGGACATGTGTTATTTAGGCTACTTAAAAAAAGAACAAAAAGGACCCGGTTTATCTTCGGAAGGGGGAAGTCAACCCCTCCTGTGCTGCCGGTCACTGTAACCCACTAGAACTAATAATTACCAATCCCCTAGATCCCCATTGGAAAAAGGGAGAACGTGTAACCCTGGGGATCAATAGGACAGGGTTAAACCCTCAAGTTGCCATTTTAATTAGAGGGGAGGTCCACAAGTGCTCTCCCAAACCAGTATTTCAAACCTTTTATGAGGAGCTGAATCTGCCAGCACCATAACTTCTGAAAAAGACAAAAAATTTGTTTCTCCAATTAGCAGAAAATGTAATTTTCTTACTTAATGTTACTTCTTGTTATGTACGCGGAGGAACCACTATCGGAGACAGATGGCCTTGGGAAGCCCGAGAGTTGGTGTCTACTGATCCAGCTCCTGATATAATTCCAGTTAGAAGGCAGAATCTAGCAACTTCTAGGTCCTAAAAACCTCAATTATTAGACAATACTGTATAGCTAGAGAAGGGAAAGACTTTATCATCCCTTTAGGAAAGCTTAATTGTGTAGGACAGAAGTTGTATAACAGCACAACAAAGACAATTACTTAGTAGGGACTAAACCACACTGAAAAGAATCCATTTAGTAAATTTTCTAAATTAAAAACTGCTTAGGCTCATCCAGAATCTCATCAGGACTGGACTGTTCCCTCTGGACTATACTAGATATGTAGGCACAGAGCCTACATTCGGTTACCTAATAAATGGGCAGGCAGTTGTGTTATTGGCACTATTAAGCCATCCTTTTTCTTATTACCCATAAAAATGGGTGAGCTCCTAGGTTTTCCTGTCTACGCCTCCCGAGAAAAGAAAGGCATAGTTATAGGAAACTGGAAAGATAATGAGTGGCCCCCTGAAAGGATCATTCAGTATTATGGGCCTGCCACATGGGCACAAGACGGCTCATGGGGATACCGAAACCCCATCTACATGCTCAATTGGATCATACGGTTGCAGGCCATCTTAGAAATAATTACTAATGAAACTGGCAGAGCTTTGACTGTTTTAGCTTGGCAAGAAACCCAAATGAGGAATGCTATCTATCAGAATAGACTGGCCTTAGACTACTTGCTAGTAGCTGAAGGAGGAGTTTGTGGAAAATTTAACTTAACCAATTGCTGCCTACAAATAAATGATCAAGGACAGGTGGTTAAAAACACAGTCAGGGACATGACAAAGGTGGCACATGTGCCTGTACAGGTTTGGCACGAGTTTAATCCTGAGTCTTAATTTGAAAAATGGTTTCCAGCTATAGGAGGATTGAAAACCCTCATTGTAGGTGTATTGCTAGTGATAGGAACCTGCTTGCTGCTCCCCTGTGTATTACCCTTGCTTTTTCAAATGATAAAAGGTTTTGTAGCTACTTTGGTTCATCAGAAAAACTTCAGCACACGTGTGTTATATAAATCACTATCGCTCTATCTCACAAATAGACTCAAAAAGTAAAAATGAGAGTGAGAACTCCCACTAAAAGGTGAAAATGCTCAAAGGAGGGAAATATGGTGTGAGGCCACCACTTCTCCTGTTGTCCTTCCCAGTTTCTCCCCAACCTCCCCTTTTCCCTAGTTTGTAAGACAGCAAAAAAGGGAGAAAGCAAAAAGTTGGAAAAAACAGAAGTAAAATAAATAGCTAGACGACCTCGGCGCCACCACCTCGCCCTGGTGGTTAAAATATCAATAATATTAACCCCTGACCAAAACTATTGGTGTTATCTGTAAATTCCAGACATTGTATGAGAAAGCACTGTAAAAACTTTTTGTTCTGTTAGCTGATGTATGTAGCCCCCAGTCACGTTCCTCATGCTTACTTGATCTATTGTGACTTTTTCACGTAGAACCCTTAGAGTTGTCAGCCCTTAAAAGGGCTAGGAATTTCTTTTTCAGGGAGCTCGGCTCTTAAGACATGAGTCTGCCTATGCTCCCGGTGGAATAAAAAAACCTCTTCCTTCTTTAATCCGGTGTCTGAGGAGTTTTGTCTGGAACTCGTCCTGCTACACTAGCTCTCCGTGACTCATCCCAACCCTTTTCATTACACACAGCCGAAGTGCAGCGCTGTGCAGTTGAAATTCTTACACAAGGACCAGGATCGCGTCCTGTAGCCTTTTTGTCCAAACAACTTGACCTTACTGTTTTAGGTTGGCCGTTGTGTCTCCGTGCAGCAGCTGCTGCCACCCTAATACTTTTAAAGGCCCTTAAAATCAGAAACTATGCTCAACTCACTCTCTACAGCTCTCATAATTTCCAAAATCTATTTTCTTCCTCACACCTGCCACATATACATTCTGCTCCCCGGCTCCTTCTGCTGTACTCACTCTTTGTTGAGTCTCCCACAATTACCATTGTTCCTGCCCCGGACTTCAATCCAGCCTCCCACATTATTCCTGATACCACACCTGACCCTCATGACTGCATCTCTCTGATCCACCTGACGTTCACCCCATTTCCCCACATTTCCTTCCTCCCTGTTTCTCACCCTGATCACACTTAGTTTATTGATGGCAGTTCCACCAGGCCTAATTGCCACACACCAGCAAAAGCAGGCTATGCTACAGTACAAGCCACTAGCCCTCCTCTTAGAACCTCTCATTTCCTTTCCATCGTGGAAATCTATCCTCAAGGAAATAACTTCTCAGTGTTCCATCAGCTATTCTACTACTCCTCAGGGTTCTTCAGACCCCCTCCCTTCCCTACACATCAAGCTCAGGGATTTGCCTCCACCCAGGACTGGCAAATTAGCTTTACTCAACGTGCCCCAAGTCAGGAAACTAAAATAACTCTTGGTCTACGTAGACACTTTCACTGGATAGGTAGAGGCCTTTCCCACAGTGTCTAAGAAGGCCACCACGGCCATTTCTTCCCTTCTGTCACACATAATTCCTCAGTTTGGCCTTCCCACCTCTATACAGTCTGATAGCAGACCGGCCTTTATTAATCAAGTCAGCCAAGCATTTTTTCAGGCTCTTAGTATTCAGTGAAAGCTTTATATCCCTTACAGTCCTCAATCTTCAGGAAAGGTAGAACAGACTAATGGTCTTTTAAAAACACACCTTACCAAGCTCAGCCACCAACTTAAAAAGGACTGGACAATACTTTTACCACTTTCCCTTCTCAGAATTCAGGCCTGTCCTCAGAATGCTACAAGGTACAGCCCATTTGTTGCGGGAAGTCAGGGACCCCAAACGGAGGGACCGGCTGAAGCCATGGCAGAAGAACGTGGATTGTGAAGATTTCATGGACATTTATTAGTTCCCCAAATTAATACTTTTGTAATTTCTTATGCCTGCCTTTATTTACTGCAATCTCTAAACATAAATTGTAAAGATTTCATGGACACTTATCACTTCCCCAATCAATATCCCTGTGATTTCCTATGCCTGTCTTTGCTTTAATCTCTTAATCCTGTCAGCCGAGAAGGATGTATATCGTCTCAGGAACCTGTAATAATTGCGTTAACTACACAAATTGTGCAGCATGTGTGTTTGAGCAATATGAAATGTGGGCATCCTGAAAAAAGAACAGGATAACAGCAATTGTTCAGGGAATAAGAGAGATAACCTTAAACTCTGACCGCCGGTGAGCCGGGCAGAACAGAACCATATTTCTCTTCTTTCAAAAGGAAATGGGAGAAATATCACTGAATTCCTTTTCTCAGCATGGAACGTCCCTGAGAAAGAGAATGCGCACCTAGGGGTGGGTCGCTGAACTGGCCCCCCCGGAGCGTACCTCTCTCTTATAGTCGAGATTGCAGAGGTGAAATAAACGCCAGTCTCCCATAGCACTCCCAGGCTTATTAGGAAGAGGAAATTCCTGCCTAATAAACTTTGGTCAGACCGGTTGATCTCAAAACCCTGTCTCCTTATAAGATGTCATCAATGACAATGGTGCCAAAGCTTCATTAGCAATTTTAATTTCACTTCGGTCCTGTGGTCCTGTGATCTCGCCCTGTCTCCACTTGCCTTGTGATATTCTATTACCTTGTTAAGTACTTGATGTCTGTCACCCACACCTATTCGTATACTCCCTCCCCTTTTGAAACTTCCTAATAAAAACTTGCTGGTTTTTGTGGCTTGTGGGGCATCACGGATCCTACCCAAGTGTGATGTCTCCCCCGGACGCCCAGCTTTAAAATTTCTCTCTTTTGTACTCTGTCCTTTTATTTCTCAAGCCAGTCGACGCTTAGGAAAATAGAAAAGAACCTACGTGATTATCGGGGCAGGTCCCCCGATACCCATTGGATCTCCTGTATAGACACTCCTTTTTATTAGGCCCCAGTCTCATTCCAGACACAAGACCAACTTGGACTGTGCCCCAAAAAACTTGTCATCCCTACTATCTTCTGTCTAGAAGAGATTCACCGTTCTCAACTACTCATATATGCCCTGCTCTTGTTTACACTGGTGGTTTACACTGTTTCTCCAAGCCATCACAGCTGATATCTCCTGGTGGTATCCCCAAACCACCACTCTTAACTCTTAAATAATCTTTGCTGGCAAGGCTATGCTGAACCTCCCTAGGCACTCTCTAATTAGATGTCCTAGGTCCTCCCAATTCTTAGTCCTTTAATACCTGTTTTTCTCCTTCTCTTATTCCGTTTAGTTTTTCAATTCATACAAAACTATATCCAGGCCATCACCAATAATTCTGAATGACAAATGTTTCTTCTAACAACCCCACAATATCACCCCTTACCACAAAATCTTCTTTCAGCTTAATCTCTCCTACTCTAGGTTCCCATGCCACCCCAATCCCGCTCGAAGCAGCCCTGAGAAACATCACCCATTATCTCTCCATACCACCCCCCAAAAATTTTCACCATCCCAATACTTCACCACTATTTCATTTTATTTTTCTTATTAATATAAGAAGACAGGAACGTCAGGCCTCTGAGCCCAAGCTAAGCCATCATATCCCCGGTGACCTGCATGTACACATCCAGATGGCCGGTTCCTGCCTTAATTGATGACATTCCACCACAAAATAAATGAAAATGTCCTGTTCCTGCCTTAACTGATGACATTATCTTGTGAAATTCCTTCTCCTTGCTCATCCTGGCTCAAAAGCTCCCCTACTGAGCACCTTGTGACCCCCACTCTTACCTGCCAGAGAACCCCCCTTTTTCCTTTACCTACCCAAATCCTATAAAGTGGCCCCACCCCTATCTCCCTTCGCTGATTCTCTTTTTGGACTCAGCCCACCTGCACCCAGGTGAAATAAACAGCTTTATTGCTCACAAAAAGCCTGTTTTGTGGTCTCTTCACACGGACGCGCATGAAAAAGTGTGTCCTTTTTTTTTTTTTTTGAGATGGAGTTTCACTCTTGTTGCCCAGGCTGGAGTGCAGTGTCATGATCTCAGCTCACTGCCACCTCCTCCTCCTGGGTTCAAGCAACTCTCTTGCCTCAGCCTCCCCAGTAGCTGGGATTGCAGGCATGCGCCACCATGCCCGGCTAATTTTGTATTTTTAGTAGAGATGGGGTTTCTCCATGTTGGTCAGGCTGGTCTCAAACTCCTGACCTGAGGTGATCCACCCGCCTCGGCCTCCCAAAGTGCTGGGATTACAGGCATGAGCCACTGCGCCCGGACAAAAGTGTCCTCTTATAAGGACATTTGTCTTTAGATGTATAGCCGACCTAAATTACTCCAGGAGAATCTCAAGATCCTTAACTTAATTACATCTGCAAAGACCCTTTTTCCAAATAATGCCACCTCCACAGATTCTAGGCACAAGGATCTGGATATATCTTGTGCAAAGCCACCTTTCAGCTCACTACACTAGAAAGAGGAAAAACAACGAAGTAAAAAAAGGCACAGAAGAAAGAACAGATGCAGCTTGTGTGGCAGTGGCCATCAAGGCAGGCTGGGGTAAAACTGTGTTAACCGAACCCCCAGACGGATCTCAAGTGTGGCCGTCTACTCCCAGCTACTCACAGAGAACGTTTCTGTTTCTGACAGCAGAGTAAGAGAAGGGGTGGGAAGAGAGATAGCCCATTCTCTGTTGGCCTAATTCCTAAGGAATTGTGCCTCTGCCTTCGGGTCATTCTCAAGTCTTGTTCAAGGATGAAATGATTTATTGATGGCCGTAATTAAAAAGCAATGGCAACAGAAGCAGCCTCAGCATTTTTCATTTGTACTTACACATGAGCAAGAGCAGTTTAGGGAAACGGGTGTCTTCAGGTTCTGTTTTCTCCATCTAGAAAAGGGCTGCCTTCGTGGAATGCTGGTCCCAGGGAGAAGCCTCATTTCTATAGCAGGAATTGATAGAGTTTTAAATTCCGATTGGTACACGGAGCTACCCGTCCTCATTTCAAGCACTTCTGGTTTGTTCTGGGTTCAGTGGATGAGCAATGAGTAGAAATCTGGGGAGGAGGATTTGGAGTGAGCGTGGTTTTGATCCCCAGAGGGAGCTGTTTTTCCATCAATGTCTTGACTGTGATTCAGAATGGGCTTCTCTGCTCAAGATGGGAGTACTGGGCTGATTTAAGGCAGGTGATTGACTTGATTTGGTGGCTACTTTTATACTAGCTGGTTAACGAGCTATTTTCTTCATTAGTTTCAGGCATGTGAGCTTAATGAAGCATTGGACCTCCCAAATTACAATGAAAATACAGATATAGCTTATGTGGTAGGTTCAAAGGAGTTAGTGAACAAACACAGTAGGGCCATAAATTATTGTTAAAGACATGAATGCATGAAAGTGTATCTATGTCCAAATGGACTCTCTACAACCATACTGTTCCACCTGAAAATTTGTACATAGAAATTCAGCAAATGCTTGGACAGGGGATACTCTCAGAACTATTCTGACTAAATAGCAGGTTTTATTTTCATATCACTAAAGTAATTTCTTCTCAAATTGACTCTGAACTAAATCTTATGATACCTCCTTGCTCCGATTGTACTTAACCACCTGCAATTAAGGTGGAGGCAGTGGTAAGAGGAGCTGTTGAATGAAATTAAACATTTGTTGGATGCCTACTGAAGATAAAGCCCTGTGCTTTGTGCCAGGAAGATTCCAGAATAAATGAGGCACAGACCTACTCTCAGGAAGCTTTTGCAAACTAATGGAGAAAACACATCTGCAGGCAATGACTTATGGTATAAGAGGAAATGGGGCCAGGTACGGTGACTCACACCTGTAATCCCAGCACTTTGGGAGGCCGAGGTAGGTGGATCAATTGAGGTGAGGAGTTCAAGCCTCGCCTGGCCAACATGTCGAGACCCTGTCTCTACTAAAAGTACAAACAAAAAAACAACAACAAAAAAATAAGCCAGGCTTGATGGTGTGCACCCGCAATCCCAGCTACGTGGGAGGCTGAGGCACAAGAATCACTTAAACCTGGGAGGTGGAGACTGTAGTGAGCCGAGATCCCGCCACTGCACTCCAGCCTAGAAGACAGAGCGAGACTCTGTCAAAAAAAAAAAAAAAAGGAAATAAGATTGGTGTTGAATGGGAAATCTAGGCAGGATGGAATGACAGGAGAGCGCCCACTTGCCCAGCTCCAATAACACTTTTGACAGCCATGACAATATTGCAGGGACACCCATTCCTCATGGTATCTGAAGTCCCATGAAGGCTTGAGTCTGGAGGCTGGTTCAGTCTTGACTTTAAGATCAGGGGATACAAGGAATGATTTTCATCTATCCCAAGCCAATAGTCCAGCCAAAAATCTAGGTCTGAGATGATGAGAAAAAGCAAGTCATCACCCATGTCAACCATTTCATCATCATCATCATCATCATCATCATCATCATCATCAAAAACAAAAGACAGACCTGTAACCGTCTTGTGTGCCTGGCTCTCATCTTAGTTCAAAATATAGAAGTAAATTCTATGGCCAGCGAACAATGACCAAAATAGCTCTCATCACTCTTGTCTGCCACCATGTAAGACATTCCTTTTGCCTTCCACCATGATTTCGAGACTTCTTCAGCCACATGGAACTGTGAGCCCATTAAACCTCTTTTTCTTTATAAATTACTCAGTCTTGAGTAATAAAATAGTGGTTTGTCCACAACATCAATGAACGATGCTGTTACTTGTTCCAAACACATATCATTTAAGAGGTTTGGATAAACAACAACCTAAAATAAATAAGCACTAAGCAAACTCAGGGCTACATAAACCCTGTGGTGAGGTAACTGACAATGGGTACAACTGGGACACTTTACTGTTAAATCACCTCTATCTACATGTGCCCAAGCTGTGAGGTACTTGGTTTTAATCCTAAAAAATCATGGTGCACATTTATTCCTGCCTTCCAACTGGGCTCTAATGTCACCTCCTCAGAGAAGCCCACTTTTCTGTGCTTCCACTCTGCTTTTTTTCAGCATTTAGTAGAGCATCAGTCACCATCCATATCTGGGAACAATGATTGTAAGAAACAGAAACCCATTTGCATGAGCTTGAGGACAAGGAGCACACCTTATCTCTAACAGGCAAACTCATGGGCACAAGAAACAAATGAGCGGCCATGAGAGAATGGATACTGCAGTTACAGAAACCAAAATTCCTCTTTCTTGCTCTCAGAAGCCCATGGTCTCTTTTTTTTTTTTGAGACGTAGTCTCCCTCTGTCGCCCAGGCTGGAGTGCAGTGGTGTGATCTCAGTTCACTGCAAGCTCCACCTCCTGGGGTTCACGCCATTCTCCTGCCTCAGCCTCCCAATTAGCTGGGGCTACAGGCACCCGCCACCACACTCAGCTAATTTTTGTATTTTTAGTAGAGATGGGGTTTCACCGTGTGAGCCAGGATGGTCTCGATCTCCTGACCTCGTGATCCGACCATCCTGGCCTCCCAAAGTGCTGGGATTACAGGCGTGAACCACCGTGCCCAGAAGCCCATGGTCTTTCTTATGAGCCCTGTGGACTTTCTTATCTCTTCTTCTCACTCACAACCAATTTTCCCTTTTTGCTGGTGGCCCATCATGGCAGCCAGCAGAGCCCACCGCCAGCTGATCAGTCAGTTACTGGATATCTTGGAGAGGGAGGGAGGGAGGGAGGGAGGGAGAGGGAGAGAGAGAGAGAGAGAATGACAATTGGGCTTCTGGCCAACCAATTGAGTATAGGGAGGGGAAGTACCATGGTACAAATATGGCGCCAAGACCTGCTTTCCAGCATGGCCAGTGAGTAGGGAAATTGAGGGAAGGTACCTGCAAACACAGCAGACATCTCAGAACATGCTCTCTGTTCTTAGTTCTCTCTCCTGCCTTCTCCTAGATTGTAAATATCACAAGACAATCTAGGATAGTACCTGGCTCAAAATATTTGAGAAAGAGAAAAAGGAAGGCATTGGATCAAACTGTGGACTTCATGGTTTCCTAAATTCACTCTGCAAGTTTTTGGGTTTTTTGTTTATTGAGACAGAGTCTTGCTCTGCTGCCCAGGCTGGAGTGCAATGGCATAATCTTGGCTCACTGCAACCTCCACCTCCCAGGTTCAAACAAATCCCCTGCCTCAGCCTCCTGAGTAGCTGGGATTAAAGGCACGCACAGCTACACCAGCTAATTTTTGTATTTTTAGTAGAGACAGGGTTTCACCATGTTGGCCAGGCTGGTCTCGAACTCTTGACCTCGTGATCCACCCACCTCGGCTTCCCAAAGTGCTGGGATTACACGTGTGAGCCACCACACCTGGCTGACTCTGCAAGTATTTAAGTGAATGAATGTCAGTCCCTGAGAATCAGAATTTCTTCTGATTTAACGGCATTAAATCTCCATTAGGTTTAATCCTGGTCAGCAGCTGTGGGGTGTCCTGGGTTTGGGATCAGTGGGATGAGGAACAAGCAGGTTCTCCAAACCACCACTCAGGGAGGGGAGGTGTTAACTAGGCCAAAGATGATGGGTGGGGTACGTGCCTGGGTTTCAAACAGCTTATGCCAGGCCTAAAAACCGATGCTGAGGCAGAAACTGTATTAAGCAAATTGATGACACAATGGCGGGGGTCAAAGAGTTTAATATTGCTAAGAAGATACAAATATTGATCATGCAATATGTTATGGTTATCACGCCATCTCCTGCTACGCGCCAGGTTTCCTTTACCATGAGATGGAAGAGATTTGTGGATCTGACCTAACCCTCCAAATTGTAAGGTCCCTGAGAGTGGGCTCATGACATTCATGTTTAATAAATGTGGCATAAAGCCTCACGCTGGCTGCCATGTGGCCCAATGCCAGTTCGATGCTACATTCAAAGAACCATCATTCCAGCATGCAAGCATACTGAAAGGCAATCGAAATGTTTACCGCCGATCCTCAAGACAAACACCAAAGAAAAATTATTTTCAAAATGCATAGCAACACTTTTAAAATCTTATTTTCCCAACTCTTTCTCTCTCTCTACCACATTCCCAGGAGTTTACCAGGAGCAAAACTATCATAAAGACCCAGGAGCAAAATGATTAATGACTTCACTATATCTGATTCTGATTTAGTTGGTTTAGAGTGGTGTCCGGGCAAACGTATTTTTTAAAATCTTGCTGGGCACAGTGGCACACACCTGTAGTCTCAGCTACTCAGGAGGCTGAGGCAGAAGAATCACTTGAGCCCGGGAGTTTGAGTCCAGCCTGGGCAACAGAGCAAGACCCTGTCTCTGAAAAAAAAAAAAAAAAAAAAAAAAAAAAGCAAAAACAAATCTCTCTCAGCTGCAGTCAGGGTTGATAACTAGTTGATCAAAAATTTGTGGCAGCCATCCTTCACAATGGACCTTAATATTCCCACCTCCTGGTGTTATTCATTGTGGAATCTGTCTTAGCTAGTCCTCAATTGGTTCTGGTATCCAGGCCCCACCTTGAGAGACTAGTCCCACCTCCTACCCCACACATGGTTTTACACTTACTTTCAAGACTGGCCTAAAAATGTAAAATGTATTTGTTTTGACCTTGTTTCCAATGAAACAACTATTCTAAACATCCATTTAGGATGGTTAGGGAAATTTGAACACCGGCTAAATATTAGAAGATATTTGCTTCAAAATAACCCAGATTGGTAATGAGATGATGGCGGCAGAGGCTGGTGATAAGCACAGAGGGCTTCATTATCAAATAGAAACAAGTGGAAAAAACAGAATTTTTCCATAATACAAATGTAAGGTAAACAGGAAAATGTATTGAGTGCATAAAAAGAATCTGTGGTCTCACAGGCATTAGATTATAATTTGAACATCAAAAATAAAAGTGACGGCCAGGTGCAGTGGCTGATACCTGTAGTCCCAGCACTTTGGGAGACCGAGGTGGGTGGATCACTTGAGCCCAGGAGTTTGAGACCAGCCTGAGCAACATAGTGAGACCCCCATCTCTAAAATAAATAAATATAAATAAAAGTGACTAGAATTGATTATAGAACATCAACTCGATTTGAGTCTATAAAGATTACTGGTGGAGGGGGGCAATGGGGAGAAGGAGGAAGAGAATATACTTGTGACCTAGATTATTTTCCTTAGTTTTGAGAGAATCTTCGGGTCTCCTGGGTCTTCTAGCCCAGTATTAATGTTTATTTTTTATTTATTTATTTTTTTTTAAATTTTTTTAGATGGAATCTCACTCTGCCACCAGACTGGAGTGCAGTGGTGTGATCTCGGGCCACTGCAACTTCCGCCTCCCAGGTTCAATCTATTCTCCTGTCTCAGCCACCCAAGTAGCTGGGACTACAGGTACCTGCCACTTCACTCAGATAATTTTTTTTTTTTTTTTTTTTTTTTTTTTTGAGACAGAGTCTGGCTCTGTTGCCCAGGCTGGAGTGCAGTGTTACAATCTCGGCTCACTGCAAGCTCCACCTCCCAGGGTCATGCCATTCTCCTCCCTCAGCCTCCCGAGTAGTTGGGACTACAGGCACCTGCCACCACGCCCGGCTAATTTTTTTGTATTTTTAGTAGAGACAGGGTTTCACCGTGTTAGCCAGGATGGTCTCGATCTCCTGACCTCGTGATCTGCCCGCCTCAGCCTCCCAAAGTGCTGGGATTACAGGCATGAGCCACTTTGCCCGGCCGCACCCAGCTAATTTTTGTATTTTTTGTAGAGATGGTGTTGCACTATGTTGATCCAGGCTGGTCTCAAACTCCTGACCTTAGGTGATCCGCCAGCCTTGGCATCCCAAAATACAAGGATTACAGGCATGAGCCACCACACCCTGCCTATTTTCCTTAGTTTTCAGGGAACCTTTGTGTCCCCTGGGTGTTCTAGCCCAGTATATCTCAAACTTTGCTGCACCGAGGACCTTGTTGAAATGCAGGTTCTCATCGCGAGGCTCAGTGGGCCGGCAAATCTGCATTGGTTTAGGAAGCTCACCCTGAGTAGCAAGCTTCAGTGAGGACCAGGCGGGCCCCTGCCTGCCAACGCCCTCTCAGCTGGGCTTAATTCTGGCTCTCTCCTGCCAGGGTTCCTCCCCTCAAAATCGGAGCTATTTTCAAAAAGTCTCTTGGAAAAAAGGTCCTGTTTTAAAATTGGGGTGTTCAGGATTGGCCATCTGCTCACCATGGGGTTTTAAGACCTTTGCCCAGACCCCTGCAACCAACTTAGAACTGACATCTTTACTCTTGAAGGCCCCACTCCACACCATATTAAATTCACTAAAATCAACCCCCATGACAGGCATATCTCAGGCATCACGCCCTCAGAACGGCGTTGCAGCTGACCACTTGACAATGTTGCAAAGCATTAAACATGCATTCATTTCAACCTTGCAGTTTTCACATTTAGGAGCCAATTGTCTTAGGTCTAAAGCATTCATGCCGAAGCATTTTTATGGGCCCCAGACACTATGCTTCCCAGCCTTCATGGCCTCTCCAATGCTGGTTCCTACTGCCCCACCCCTGGGTTCTGGCCGGCTAGCCCGCGCCACCTCACTTCTCCCCCATTCAAGTGTGCCTTAAAGGTGTGGTTTCCAAACTCATCTACACTTTAGGGTCACCTGGGATTTTTTTTTAAATCTTCCAAAACCCAGGCCACACCCAAGAACAATTAAAGCTCAACCTCTGGAATGGGACATAGCATCCGTTTTTTGTTTTGTTTTTGAGACAGGGCCTCGCTCTGTTACCGAGGCTGGAGTGCAGTGGCACAATTATAGCTCATTACAGCCTCCAACTCCTGGGCTCAAGAAACCCTCCCACTTCAACCTCCACGGTAGCTGGGATCACAGGCGGGCACCACCACACCTGGCTAATTTTTAAATTTTTTTATAGAGACGGTATCTCCCTATGTTCTCCAGGCTGGTCTCAAACTCCTGGCCTCAAGCGATACTCCCGCCTCAGCCTCCCAAACTGCTGGGACAATAGGCATGGGCCACCATGCCTGGACATCAGCATCTGTATTTTTTGAAGCACAGACGAGTTTGGGAACTACTGCGCTAGAGTGAGCTCGGTTTCCTAGACCTGTCTGACCGTAGGATTCGGCTGGGCTGCTTCTGAAAACAGAGCACCCCAGGCTCCTTCCCAGGTAATTCTGATTCATTAGGTCTGGGGTGGGCCCCGGAATGTGCATTTTTTATGAGATCCCTCTGGGTGAATCAGGCTAAAGCCAGTTTGGGATCTGAGACCTTGGAGATCATTCCCCAGCTTCCCTCCTAACCCAGTTCCCAGCTTGGCCCACCTCACCCAGGCTGTGTCACATCTGACTTCACAGATTACACCTGAGAGGGAAGCCCCAGCCACCACAATGTGAGAACATTTTACAATGACCAGGATATGCCAAATACATTTTAAAACTCATTCAGGATTAGCGTTCACCTTAAACTTGACGGACTCTGAGAACGGGCTGGCCACGTGCTGTGCACAACCCTTAGTGCTCTTCTGTGACTAATATTTGGATAATTGATTGTTGGAAGCTTGGGAAGCCTCTCTCTCTCAGAGGGGTCGAAGTTAACTTCTTTATTTCTGAGGTAGGGAACAAAATGAGGATGTTCTGCCTTTTGCTAGACTGAATACTGTCCTCCAAAAATTCACATTCACCAGGAATCCCAGAATGTGACCTTATTAGGAAATAGGGGCAGGGCATGGTGGCTCATGCTTGTAATCTTAGCACTTTGGGAGGCTGAGGCAGGAGGATCACTTGAGGTGAGGAGTTCGAGACCAGCCTGGCTAGCATGGCAAAACCGTCTCTACTAAAAACAGAAAAATTAGCTAGGCATGGTGGCATGCACCTGTAATCCCAGCTACTTCAGAGGCTGAGGCTGAAGAATCACTTGAACCCAGAGGCAGAGTTGCAGCGAGCTGAGATTGTTTCACTGAAATCCAGCCTGGGCAACAGAGCAAGACTCCATCTCAAAAAAAAGAAAAGAAAATAGGGTCTCTGCAGATCTAATTACAAAGAGGTCATATTGGAATAGCGTGGACCTTAAATCGAGTAATAATGGCATCCTCATGGGAAGAGAAGAAGAGACAGAGACACACAGGGGAGAAGGCCACATGAGAATGAAGGAAGAGAATGGAATGATGTGGCCACAAGCCAAGGAATGCCAGCAACCATCAGAAGCCAGAAGAGGCAAGGAAGGATTCATCCCTAGAGCCTTCAGAGGGAGCACTGCCCTGCCCGTTTCAGACATCAAGCTTCTGGAACTGGAGAGAATGACTTTCTGTTGTCCTGAGCCACCCATTTGGGGAACTTTGTTAGAACAGTCACAGCCAGCTCATGTGCTCCTGGATGCATCTCAGGCATTAACAAGCACTGTCTTGGATGAGTCAGGGGTGGCTCATCCCTGTAATCCCAGCACTTTGGGAGGCTGAGGTGGGTAGATCACCTGAGGTCAGGAGTTCGAGACCAGCCTGACCAACATGTAGAAACCCCATCTCTACTAAAAATACAAAAATTAGCTGGGCATGGTGTTGTGCACCTGTAATCCCAGCTACTTGGGCGGCTGAGGCAAGAGAATCACTTGAACTGTGGAGGCAGAAGTTGCAGTGAGCCGAGATTGCGCCATTGCACTCCAGCCTGGGCAACAAGAGCGAAACTCCGTCTCAAAAAAAAAATAGGAAGTACTCTCTTGACTGTGGTCATAAAAATATTTGATTAAGGGTTAGCCAGAAAGCCTGACCCTTTCACAGATGGACGGAAGGGCCAAAAGAGAATAGATTGTTTGCAGTGGGGCAAGAAGGATAAGAATCCTATGGAAAAAAAAAAAACAAACAGAGGGATTTGTTTAGTGAGCGCTGGGGAGAGGCATTTGTTTTCTTGCTTACAAAAGAAACACAGGTTGGGTGCGGTGGCTCAAGCCTTAATCCCAGCACTCTGGGAGGCCAAGGTGGGTGGATCACCTAAGGTCAGGAGTTCAAGACCAGCCTGGCCAACACTGTGAAACCCCATCTCTACTAAAAAGACAAAAACAAAAGAAAAAGAAATTAGCCAGGCATGGTGGCGAGCGCCTGCAATCCCAGCTACTCGGGTGGCTGAGGCAGAGAATCACTTGAACCTGGGAGGCAGAGGTTGCAGTAAGCCAAGATGGCATCGTTGCACTCCAGCCTAGGCAACAAGAGTGAAACTCTGTCTCAAACAAAAGAAAGAAAGAAAGAAAAAAAAACATAGTTTTAAGTCCACTCAGTGGAGTTTAAAAATACATTCCCATTGCACAGTGCTTTTGGAATCTTTTCTAAACTTCTGTTGCACATGATCTAATTTGATCTTCATAGCAACTCCCTGAGATGGATAGGGCAGGCCTTTCTGAACACCCATTTTCTAGTTTGCATTAAAAGAATGGAATTGGCTGGGACCAGTGGCTCATGCCTATAATCCCAGCACTTTGTGATACAGAAGGGAAGGGCTCAGAAGGGAAGAATGTGGTCCCTTTAAATGATATGGAAGTGAGGAAGGGAAGTACTGGGTAGAGGAGGGTGTGGTCCCTGGCTAGGGCTCCACCCCAGGGCCTGTTCCCACGGACCTAGGTGAGGACAGGCATTTTTGTTTTCCTGCCCAAATGTTGCATTTCCCAAGACCACCCTGGCTGCCACACCCCCATTCTGTGCCTATGAAAACCCTGAGACCCTAGCAGACAGACACACAGGCAGTTGGACTTTGAGAGGAGCACATCAGCGGAGGAACACAAGGGTGCTGGACGTCAAGAGGAACGCACCAATGGGCACCGGCACACCGTAGGCCACTGACTGCGGAACAACCCAGAGTTTGGCTGGGACAGTCGGAGAAGAGTCAGGCCACTCACCCGACTCCAGGGGTAAACCATCTCCCTTCTGGCTCCCCCATCTGCTGAGAGATACTTCCACTCAATAAAACCTTGCACTCTCAAGCCTGTAATCCCAGCACTCTGGGAGGCCGAGGCGGGCAGATCATGAGGTCAGGAGATCCAGACCATCCTGGCTAACAGAGTGAAACCCCGTCTCTACTAAAAATACAAAAAAATTAGCCGGGCGTGGTGGCGGGCACCTGTAGTCCCAGCTACTCGGGAGGCTGAGGCAGGAGAATGGCGTGAACCCAGGAGTCGGAGCTTGCAGTGAGCTGAGATCGCACCACTTCCGGTACACCAAGACAAGAACCCCGGGACAAAGAGAGCCCTCTGTCCTTGCAATAAGGCGGGGGTCTAATTGAGCTGACTAACACAAGCTACCTACAGATGGCTAAACTAAAAGAGCACCCTGTAACACACACCCACTGGAGCTTCAACTATAAACATTCACCCCTGGACACTGCCATGGGGCTCCCTGCCTGTCTGCATGCTCCCCTAGAGGTTTGAGCAGTGGGGCACTGAAGAAGCAAACCACACCCGCATCGCATACCCTTCAAGGGGTACAATGGAACTTTTCCCATTTCATCGGAGAGGCCAAGGCAGGAGGATCACTTGAGCCCATGAGTGTGAGACCAGCCTGCACAACATAGCAAGACCCCATCTCTACAAAAAAAAAGTAAACAAAAAAAAATAAACATTAAAAATTAGCGAGCTGTGGTGGCACACACCTGTAGTCTCAGCTACTCAGGAGGCTGATGTGGAAGGATTGCTTGAGCCCAGGAGGTTGAGGCTGCAGTGAGCCAAGATTGAACCACTGCACTCCAGCCTGGGCGACAGAGTGACACCCTGTTTCGACAACAACAAAAGGAATGGAACAAAATAACTTCTCAAATAGCTAGCAGAGGCAGATCTGGTTCTCAAATGCAGGTTTTCCAGGTTTCAATTCTTATTTCTAGCAGTATTATGGAGAAACATGATCACTAATACATGAAGGAGAGGAGGTTTCAAGTTCTGATGAAAAGATGGTAAACAGAGGAGTTAGTTGACTAGGAGTGACTAGGAATTGGAAGAAAACGCATGATACCACTTAGAGGAAAGAAGAAAAATAAGCATAGAGGTGACTGAGCAGACAGAAAGGACTTGGAATAAGCGTGGCTGGCCCTGTCTCTGCATTTTTTCCCTTGCATTAGTAACTTCCCTGATGACTTGGATGAATCTTCTCTTCAGGGCACCTCGTGTTCCCTTTCTGTCCACTTCTCCTTTCCCAGGGCCCATACAGTCTGGGGAAGCATGCTCTGCAGGCTTCTCATCTTTCCTTCCTTAATCAGCCCCTAGCATCTCTACATAACCGATATACACCTGGAGTTCCACATGTCCCAGTCTTTGCACTGCAGTGAATTCAAAGAATGGTAGACTCTAGCTGGGCACAGGGGCTCACATCTGTAATCCCAGCACTTTGTGGGGCTGAGGCAGGTGGATCACTTGAGCCCAGGAGTTCAAGACCAGGTCTGGCCAACATGGTGAAACCCCATCTCTACTAAAAATACAAAAATTAGCTGGGCTTGGTGGTACATGGCCTGTAGTCCCAGATACTGGGGAGGCTGAGGCGGAAGAATTACTTGAACTCAGGAGGCAGAGGTTGCAGTGAGCTGAGATCGTGCCACTGCACTCCAGCAGCCTGGGCAACAGAACAAGGCCCAGTCTCAAAAAAACACAAAGACAAAACTAAACCAAAAAAAAAAAAAAAAAAAAAACACGCACACACACACAAAAAAACAAAGGTAGACTCCAATAGGAAAAATTCACTCAAAAGCAATTCAAATAATTATTCAGTCAACCCAGTTCTATCTCAGTTCTTTATTATATATATAAACTTATTCTGTCCAGATTCTCTAGTTTTCTTTTTCTTATCTTTTTTGTTTTCTTTTGAGACAGGTCCTCACTCTGTCAGCCAGGCTAGAGTATAGTGGCACAATCATGGCTCACTGCAGCCTCAACCTCCTGGGCTGAAGTAGTTCTCCCACCTCAGCCTCCCAAGTAACTGGGACTACAGGTGCATGCCACCATGCTCCGTAAGTTTTTGTATATTTTGTAGAAACGGGGTCTCACTATGTGGGCCAGGCTGTTCTTGAACTCCTGGACTCAAGAAGTCCACCTGCCTCAGCCTCCCAAAGTGCCAAGATTACAAGCATGAGCCACTGCATCTGGCTGATTCCTTCGTTTTCTTTTTCTCTTTGCCCATTGCTTGGATTCCATAAGCAGAAGGAAAACCCAGGGGCTGACTTTGTAGGCAAGACTCTTTCCTTTTCAAAACATAAATTGGTTCAAGTGGTACCAAAACTGAAACATGTTTACAACTTAACATCTTTTCTTCCTAACCCTTCAATCTCTTGAGCAATGAGAAAAGACACTGGGCTCTTTATTTGTGTAGGGAAAAGAAAGAGAGATCAAACTGTCACTGTGTCTATGTAGAAACGGAAGACATAAGAGTCTCCATTTTGAAAAAGACCTGTACTTTAAACAATTGCTTTGCTTAGATGTTGTTCATTTGTAGCTTTGCCCCAGCCACTTTGCCCCAGCCACTTTGACCCAACTTGGAGCTCACAAAAACATGTGTTGTATAAAATCAAGGTTTAAGGGATCTAGGGCCGTGCAGGACGTGCCTTGTGAACAAAATATTTATGAGCAGTATACTCAGTAAAAGTCATTGTCATTCTCTAGTCTCAATAAACCAGGGGCATAATGCAACGTGGAAAGCAGAAGGGACCTCTGCCCTTGAAAGCAGGGTATTGTCCAAGGTTTCTCCCCATGTGATAGTCTGAGATATGCCCTTGTGGGATGAGAAAGACCTGACTGTCCCCCAGCCTGACACCCGTAAAGGGTCTGTGCTGAGGTGGATTAGTCAAAGAGGAAAGCCTCTTGCAGTTGAGATGGAGGAAGGCCACTGTCTCCTGCTTGCCCCTGGGAACTGAATGTCTCAGTGTAAAACCCGATTGTACATTTGTTCAACTCTGAGCTAGGAGAAAAGCTGCCCTGTGGCGGGAGACGAGACATGTTGGCAGTAGTGCTGCCTTGTTATTCTTTACTCCGCTGAGATGTTTGGGTGGAGAGAAACATAAATCTGGCCTACGTGCACGTCCAGTTATAGTACCTTCCCTTGAACTTAATTATGATATAGATTCTTTTGCTCACATGTTTTTTGTTGACCTTCTCCTTATTATCACCCTGCTCTCCTACTACATTCCTTTTTGCTGAAATAATGAAAATCATGATCAACAAAAACTGAGGGAACTCAGAGGCCGGTGCCAGTGCAGGTCCTTGGTGTGCTGAGTGCCGGTCCCCTGGACCCACTGTTGTTTCTCTATACTTTGTCTCTGTGTCTTATTTCTTTTCTCTGTCTCTCATCCCACCCGACTAGAAATACCCACAAGTGTGGAGGGGCAGGCCACTCCTTCGATTTGGTGACACATAGCCTGTGCCCTCAAAGAACACTGACACCCCAGTAACATCCATTCAAAGAGCTTCTCCATACCTCCCCTCCTTTATCCCCAAGGACACTGGGTCAGACATCACGGAGTCATTCACAACATGATGTTTAACACCGAGACGCTCTGCAATTGCTCCTTCAAGACGACTCAGAAGAAGAACCAGTGCTGAGAAAATCGTGTTCTCTCTCTCTCTGGATCACCGCCCAGAGACAAGGACTGCCAGAGACCCTGGCTTCCCCAGCTGCTACCTCTCATTCCTGTGCCTGTGGGATGAGAGTTCGAAGCTGTGTGACCTTGACCAAGTTACTTACCCTCTCTAAGCATATGTTTCCCTAAATGTGAAATAGGGATGATGGTGATGTGTTTATTTCACAGATTTGATAGAAGGATTAAATGAGAGATGCATCAAAAGCAGTGGGCACAGGGTCAATGCTCAGTGAGCTTTCTCTTTTCTTATCAATAGACAGGTCTTCATGAGGACAGAGACTGGCTTCATCTCGACTGTAGCCTCAGGGCTGGCCACCATGTCTGCACCCAGCAGGACTTCAGTAAATATCTGTTTATACACTAACCGCAGACTTAGGCATAAAAGCCCTTTGGAAGAAAGTTGACCATTTCATGCACCTTCAGACTATGAAGAGCAATGATGACAACTTTAGCTTGAGAGGGTCTCAGTGCCCATTCATCACCACTGTGAAAAGGCAGAAACCAGAGCTGTGTGTTTAACTCCCAGCCCCAAAACCTGTTGGCTTTGCTTTATCACTATGAACTTCCAATGCTATCCCTTAAGAATGGGACCTCTCTCTTCTTCCCCAAGGCACCAGCCTTCACCCCAGACCCATCCTTATTAGCTGGTGGCTCCTGTCTGTACTCTGAGCCCATGCTGTGCTCGTCAGATAGCAACATGGGAGAATATAGCAGCCCAGAATGCAGGCTGCAGAGTTAGGTCCCCAGAACAGGATCTCAGCCGGCTCCATCCTTCCTCAGCTGGGCGACCGTGGCCATTGACTTCCTCTCTATGCCTCAGTTGCTCCATCTGTGAAATGAAGATTGTCACAGTCCCTTCTTCAAAGAGTCACTGGGAGGATTAACTGAGAAAATGCAGGGAAGGTGCTTGGAACTAAATGCTCAAAAAAAGTCCATCTGGCCAGGCACGGTGTCTCACGCCTGTAATCCCAGCACTTCGGGAGACCGAGGCAGGTGGGTCACTTGAGGTCAGGAATTCAAGACCAGCCTGGTCAACATGGCAAAACCCTGACTCTACTAAAAATACAAAAATTAGCCAGGCATGGTGGCAGGCACCTGTAATCCCAGCTACTTGGGAGGCTGAGGCATGAGAATCTTTTGAACCTGGGAGACAGAGGTTGCAGTGAGCTGAAATGGTGCCACTGCACTCCAGCATGGGCAACAAGAGCAAAACTCTGTCTCAAAAAAAAAAAAAGTCCATCATTCTTATTAATGGAGGCCAAATCATCTCAGCCTTTCTTTGGATGATCAGTCCCCTCCAAGCCAGTGTTATCCAATAGACCAGAGGTCCCCATCCCCCAGACCACAGACCAGTAGTGGTCTGTGGCCTGTTAGGAACTGGGCTGCACAGAAGGAGGTGAGCAGTGGGCTAATGAGTGAAGCTTCATCTGTATTTACAGCTGCTCCCCATGGCTAGCGTTACTGCCTGAGCTCTGTCTCCTGTTAGATCAGCAGCGGCATTAGATTCTGATAGGAGCACCAACCCTATTGTGAACTGCATGTGGAAGGGATCTAGGTTGTGTGCTCCTTATGAGAATCTAATGCCTGATGATCTGTCACTGTCTCCCACCACCAGGAGATGGGATTAACTAGTTGCAGGAAAACAAGCTCAGGGCTCCCACTGATTCTACATTATGGTGAGTTGTATAATGATTTCATTATATATTATAATGTTCATAACAATAAAGTACATAATAAATGTAATGCTCTTGAATCATCCTGAAACTTCCCCCCACAAATACATGGAAACTGGTCCTTGGTGCTAAAAAAAATTGGGGACCACTGCAATAGACTATTCAGTCATGGTCCAATCAAACATTCTGCAATGGCGGACTTGCTCTACTCTGCACTGTCCAACATGGGAGCTGCTAGCCACCCACATGGGCTGTTGAGCCCTTGAAATGTGGCTGGTGAGAATGAAGAACTGAATTTTCAATTTTCTCTTAACTAATTTTTTTTTTTTTTTTCTGAGACAGAGTCTCACTCTATCCTCCAGGCTGGAGGGCAGTGGCGCAATCTCGTCTCACTGCAACTTCCATCTCCCGGGTTCAAGCAATTCTCCTGCCTCAGCCTCCTGAGTAGCCAGGATTACAGGAACCCGCCATCATGCCCGGCTAATTTTTGTATTTTTGTAGAGACGAGATTTCACCATGTTGGCCAGGCTGATCTTGAACCCCTGACCTCAGGTGATCTGCCCAACTTGGCCTCCCAAAATGCTGGGATTACAGGTGTGCCACCATGCCTGGCCTCAATTCATTTCTAAATCACAAAATCTAAACAACAAGTGGCTAGGAGCTACCATAGTGTACAAGGCAGCTGTAGAATTACAGGAAATTGCCAATGACCCTGTCCTGCTTCAAGTTGACTTTTCTCCCTCATGGTGAGACTCCAGATTCTTTCCTCTTCTCTCACATTTTTTAGACTTTTAGGATTAGACCATGAAAATAAGTTCTGTCCTTCCAAGAAAATAACGTTCATAACACTTACTGTGTACCAGGCTGATTTCAGTGCTTTACATGTATTAATTTACAACAACTCTGAGGCAGGAGCTGTGATTATGCCCATTTAACAGATGACAAAACTGAGGCACAAAGCAGTGCTGGAACTTCTCAAAGTCACACAGGTAGCAGGAGGCAGAGCTCGGATTTGAACTAGCTTTGTGTTCAGCAACTCACAGCTCTCACCTATGACATAATATTACTTCTGTGGTCAAAACACTTATACCTGGATTTCACAGGAATCTTGTGCTTGCCTGGCTGCTAGGAAGGTTTTCATCATCTTCCTTATCTCACAGTTCAAAACCCATGGCCTCCCTGCTCTTGCTATGGTGGCCGTTCACTGGCAGGAGGCTTCTGGGAAGGTTCTCCTTTTCTGTCATTTTTCTTATTCGTGGTTTTTGGTCTCATTGGTGTTTATCTGCAGAACTTTGTTTCCTTCTGCTCAATTCATAATCAGAGTGCTTTTCCTCCTGGCTCAATTCATAAGTGTTTGTGCAAAAAGAGGTTGGCGCAGAGCCAGGCGACTGACAACACCCGGCTCATCTGGCAAGTGGATATCAAATTGTTGTATCTCGTTCTGCCATTCACAGCTCCTGCTGTGGGGCTGGGTCATCTGCCAGCTCTCCAAGGAGCTGGCGGGAAACTGCTGCAATCAGAGCGAACCCACAGCCCGGGTGAGCCCGCCTCGGCACAGCACTCCAGCTGTGGGACACATCTCCATTGCCAGGCAGGGCTGTGGGAGGGCCGCCTGCCGCCTGTCCATCACAGGGAAAACCTATCCTTGTCCCGCGTCCTTTCCAGGCAGCCTGTGTGGGGATTGCTGTATTCACCTTTAATATGGCTAAAATGATTTCCTTCAATGACAGTAATGCTGCCAGAACCCATCAAGATACCCAGGAACTGATGTGCCTTGGCAGATGATGCTGGAAAGATGGGATTCCCGACAGCCTTTGCATCTGTTGCTCACAGCCCACGAGCATCTCCACTGTCCAGCAGGTCAGGGCACGGTCTCTCTCTCTCTCTCTCTCACGGTCTCTCTCTCTCACGGTCAGGGCAGAAAGAGAGAGAGTCCATCTGGAGCAGACTCGGATTTTAAATGACTGTGCCCGATATTTTAACATGATCAATGGCTGAGGTATTTCACCAAGTTCAGGAGTCCCAGTTCTCAGAGAGAGGCACCAGCCATGACTGTAAGACCTGGGCAAACCGTACAAACCAGACAGCAGGTCTCACCCCTCCCCAGAGAGCTCCAGAGAGTATCAAAGAGTGAAACAGCAGAGGGATGGTCTGGGTGGGGTCATCGTGGCTGGCAAGGGTCTGTGACAGCACCTTGTTAGGCTACTCCCAAGAGGAAATTTGGACAGAAGGTGGGAGGGCAGCTCTCAGTGCAAGCCAAGTCTCCTGGAAAGTAACTTCCAAACTTTGGAGGATTGTGAGCAAGATGGGACCAGCAACTTCTACCTAAAAGAATGTTAATAGCAAGATAACTCATCCTAATATTGGTCCAAGCTAGGTCTTTATTATGTATCATAAAGGCTCAGAGAATAACAATGTAACCTCCAAAAGGGCTGCGGGCTTTGAGGAATCTCAGGCAACTCGCTTCCTTCTGCTCAGTGACTCCCCTGGAGCACAGCAAAGCAAGGAAACGCGTAGAGCCAAGCTTGAGTTCTGAATTTCAAATACAGGGCGTCCATCTCTTTCTACCCATTGTTCCCTAGAATCAGTAACTAACTCCTTCCCCTTAACGGCACATACTTCCTACCAAAGCACAAGCGCGATGGGCTGTCCATGAGCCTCCCCAAAATGTGTGCACCTTGTGATATAAATTCTGTCACCGAAAGAGACCAGACAAAATGCAAAACCAAAGAGGAGCCTTTCCTTGAATTATAGGTTCTAAAGAGTTTTGGAACCTCTACAAAGCCCAAGAGTTAGGAATTGCCTGGAAGAAGCACCAGCTCTTGTTTTAAAGAGGCAATTTAAGAATAATAGTCATGCTGATGCCACACTACGCTACGGGAGAATAATGAACCTAATAAAACTAGCGATTTTCCAATTGCTTTTCCTGCTGGAAACACTGATTATGCTAACTAAAGGGTAGAATAGTAAATAGCCACTATTTTGCATCCAATTAAGTATTCAGATTATTTCTCAGAAGTATTTGTTGAAAATAGCACTTCTGATAATCATGGGTCGCAAATAAACAGAGTCAAGTGTGGTGTGGTACATGTCTGAGCGTGTGCGTGTGCACACATGTGTCTTTCTGGAGCTCATTTTATGGAGATCCCGCATAGCTCCCCAAATTCCTATGAGACCAAATAAGAAAAATCACAGTTTCCTAAGACTACTTAGGGATATCTTTGGAAAAGGTGTGTATTGAGAACACAGCATATGGAAACTATTTCACGTTAGCAATATCTGTGATTTAACATTGCAAACATTAGAAATACAACCGGTTCTTCAGAGCCACCTAAGCCCCTCATAATGGCAATATTAGCTTTTTCTAAATAATAAATTAGCCAGTCAAACTGTGTTCTACAGCATGTTAGAAGTTTCATACTTCTAGTCAATGTCACATTTCAAGGCAAAGTCGATTTATATGTAAGTTAAACGAAGTGCTGTCACTAAAAATTGAGAATTATGTCTAATGCCAATCAGAAATGGAATAAATAAGTATTAGAAGATTTGTGAGTTAAAGCAACCATAGAAATGCTATCATCAGGAAGGAAAATGTATTACCTGCAGAGGTTACACATAGGACGCTAGAACCCAGAAGAGAAAGAATCTCTGTAAATATTTCCGTTAAGTTAATCAAGAGTGGCTGGGTATGGTGGCTCATGCCTGTAATCCCAGGACTTTGGGAGGCCAAAGCAGGTGGATCACGAGGTCAGGATTTCGAGACCAGCCTGGCCAATATGGTGAAACCCTGTCTCTATTAAAAATACAAAAAATTAGCCGGGCATGGTGGTATACACCTGTAATCCCAGCTACATAGGAGGCTGAGGCAGGAGAATTGCTTTAATCCAGAAGGCAGAGGTTGCAGCTAGCTGAGATCACACCATTGCACTCCAGCCTGGGTAACAGATCACGACTCCAATTTGAAAAAAAAAAGAAAGAAAGAAAGAAAGAAAGAAAGAAAGAAAGAAAGAAAGAAAGAAAGAAAGAAAGAAAGTTAATCAGGGTGAGAATAGGATGAGTTTTTCATCCACAAAAGGAGATGAGATTCATGCATTCTTTCAACATGCAGTCCATCAATAGTGAGCACCTGCTCTGAGCTAGGCCCTTCCTAGGTCCCAGGAAATGGGTAACCAACCAGACATGGCCCCTGATTTGGAGCTCACATTTTAGAGCAGCTAAATGGACAATAAACAAGTAAGCAAATGAGGATCATCTTAAATTGGGGGAAGTTCTTTAGAGAAGCACTTCCATAAAGCTGAATCGCATCATAGACTATGAATGCCAGGTGGTAGGGAAGGTAATATCTCACCTGCTTGTGGATAGCAGCACTTCTGAGGCCTTGCAAAGTATTTAGTACTAAGATTTCTGTCTTAGGTCAAGTTCCCTAAAAGCAGAGCCTGAGGCAAGGATTGAGTGCATGTAATTCATTCAGGAAGAACTCTCAGGAGATAGGAGTAAGGAAAACAGGATATGGCAGGGAAGGAGCTAAGTGAGATGTGGTCTCAGCTGGAGACCGGCTCCAGTCTGATCTCACAGGGAGCTCCAGAGGATGAACTGCACCACCATGTTATCCCAGCCTCAGGTCTTTTGTTCTCCTGTGTCAGCCGGTCCCTGGCCAAGGGCTGCAGACTCTCTCGGGGCCCCAGCAGACCGGAGGAGAAGGAGCATGGTCTGTGGTCTACTCTTCTGTGCACACCCACCCACCTCTTCTCCAGCTGACACTGCTGGAGGAGGAGAGGGAGAGATGTCATCTCCTCCTATGGCAACCTGTGGGATGGCAATGGCCCTTTTCCTGTTGGGTGTAATCTGCTGCCATCTCTTGCTGTCTGCAGCCTGACACAGAAGGGTGAAGGTCACCAGGTTCCACTGACAGGGGTCTTTATCTCAAGCAGCAACCCGAGGACCGAGGGTCCCTTGCAAGATTCAGCCACATTTCATGACTGTCTGCAATACGCCCCATGCCTCTGATGGAAGGAACCCAATGCCCCATGCTGCACTCATTTCTGTCAGACTAGGGTCCCTGATCTCAATTTCCCTCTGCAGTCCCCAACTCTGGGGCCTGCAGACACATTTCAGATCCCTCCTTAGTACCTCCCAGGAGGCAGAAGCCAGAGGAAATAATCCTTGTCCCAAAGCCCCTGACCATGCCACCTCACTGCAAGCTCTTTCTCCCTCTCCTGGAAAAATCAAGCTCGTTGAATACTTACCAATATGCCCACATGCATTTAGTCCCCATAACCACTTCTTGGGGCAGAATTACCATCCCCAAGTTACAGATGAGGAAACTGAGGAGAGCATTTATATAACATGCATCTAAGTGGTGGACAAAGGATCTAACCAGGCAGTGCGGCACCAGAGCACCCATTTTTGTTGTTCAGAGAGATGGGGTCTCTCTCTGTCCCTCAAACTGGAGTGCAGTGGCCTGATCATAGCTCACTGAAGCCTTGAACTCCCGAGCTCCAGCAATCTTCCCGCCTCAGCCTCCCGAGTAGCTGGGACTAGAGGCATTCACCACCAACCCAGCTAATTTTTAAAAAACATTTTTGTAGATATGGGGTCTGATTCCAAACTCCTGACTTCAAGCGATCCTCCTGCCTCAGCCTCCCAAAGTGCTGGGATTACTGTCGTGAGCCTCTGCACCCAGCCCAGAGCACACTTTTTTTTTTTTTTTTGAGATGGAGTCTCACTCTGTCACCCAGGCTGGAGTACAGTGGCAAAATCTCGGCCCAGAGCACACTTTTAACCACCATATCATTCTGCCTCTGGGTAGGTTAGTCAAGCTCTGTAGCTGATCAGATGTCTGTGGAGAGAAAGAGACATCAGTCTCCCCTTCTTCCAAACACCCCCAAATTTTACAAGTGATTTTCTCAGATCCCTCAGCATCAGGAATGGGGATGTGCAGGGCAGCCTGTCCCCTTCTCAACAGCCCAGCAGATATCCCAAGATTACATCTCATTGGCTCTGACTAGGACATGAGCCCAAAGCTGACCAGTTGCTGTAGCCATGGCATGCAGCACCCTCGGTCCTCTGGCCAGGCCAGAGCTACATCCCACCTCTGGATCCTCGGGTTGAGTCAATACATCTTGAACCAGGCGCGGACTGAATCTCAAGGGGGAGTCAGAGTAATGTGACCCAGCCCAGCAGGAAGTGGGTGCTGAGCAGGCAAGCATTCATCACCCACTGCACACACCAGGAAAGGCTTGTGGTGGCTTAGTCCCACCTGGAGGCAAAGAAAAGAGTGCCTGCTCCATGCCAAAATGTGAAGCCCAACACTGTATCTTAAAGCTAGCTGGCTTTGTAATCCCAGCCACTTGGGAGGCTGAGTCAGGAGAACCACTTGAATCCAGGAGGCGGAGGTTGCAGTGAGCCAAGATCACGCCATTGCACTCCAGCCTGGGTGACAAGAGAGAAATTCTGTCTCCAAAAAATAAAAAATAAAAATAAAAAAATAAAAAGCTAGCCTGCTTAATGCTCACAAAGATGCCATCTACTTTTTGGCATTCTACAGGTAGAAACACTGAGACACGGAGACACTGGGAGATTTTAAAACTCACCACCAGCCGGGCACGGTGTCTCATGCCTGTAATCCCAGCACTTTGAGAGGCTGAGGCAGGAGAATTACTTGAACCCAGGAGTTCAGGACCAGCCTGGGCAAATTAGTGAGACCTCATCTCTACAAATATTAAAAAAAAAAAAAATTAGGGCTAGGTGCGGTGGCTCACACATGTAATCCCAGCACTTTGGGAGGCCAAGGCAAGTGGATCACTTCAGCCCAGGGATTCGAAACCAGCCTGGCCAACACGACAAAAGTCTATCTCAACTAAAAATACAAAACTTAGCTGGGCATAGTGGCACAAGTCTATAATCCCAGCTACTTGGGAGGCTGAGGCACGAGAATTGCTTGAACCCAGGAGTCAGAGGTTGCAGTGAGCTGAGATTGTGCCACTGCACTCCAACCTAGGTGACAGAGTGAGACCGTGTCTCAAAAAAAAAAAAAAAAAATAGGTATGGTGGCACATGCCTGTGGCCGCAGCTACTCAAGAGGCTGAGGTGGCAGGATCACTTAAGCCCAGGAGTTCAAGGGTGCAATGGGCTATGATTGAACCACTGTGCCACTATATATACACAGGTATACATATATATGTCTGTATATATATACACATATATATACATGTATATGTGTATATATGTGTGTGTGTATATATATATGTATATATATATAACACACATGCACAAATTCACCAGCACCAACTCAGAAATTACCATCTCCCTCTATTCTAAGGAAGTATTTTTCATTTTGCCATCTCTGAAGTTGGAATACACCTTACAATCACTGGAATGTCACGGTCTCATTGGCAGCATTTTTCTGCTTAGTAGCCCATAAAATAATAGCACATCTTGTAACTAACAGTGTTGTAGATGCTATGAGATCCTGGGGAAGCCCAGAATCTAACTCCACCCTGTCTGACTTCAAAGACCACATATTTTCTATGCCTTTGGACTGGGGCACAGATGTAGACAACTCGAGCTTTGCTGATTGTGAGAAAGGTATGGGAAATGGCCCTGATGGAATTTTCTTCTTGTACTTGCAGGGGAACAGAGCGGCATCATTCCACTGTTCCAGGGGAGGTGCTAAATATGAGGGTGAGGTTGTCAAGCGGTCCCTGGTGGAGTCCTACACTCACCCAAACAGCAGCGAGACAGAGCAGAGGGAGAACATCAATACCGTCATGAACTGGTTCACCAAGGAAGACTTTGACTTTGTGACACTGAGCTACAGAGAGCCAGATAACGTGGGACATTGATTCGGGCCAGAGGCAGAGAACAGCAAGTTGATGATTCAGCAAATCGACAGGACCATCGGGTATCTGGTGGGAGCCACTGAGAAGCACAGCCTGCAGAGCACCTCAGCATCATCATCACATGAGACCGTGGGATGACCACCGTGAAGAAGAGACCCAATGTCAACAAGATCCCTTGTCCAACTACATGAAGTTCAGGGACTTGGTCAAGTTTGATATTGTGGGCTACAGTGGCTTTGGGATGCCCCTGCCCAAATTGGGGCAAGAGGAAACCCTTTACCAGGCACTGAAGAATGCATACCCTCGCCTCCACACCTACAAGAAGGAGGAGCTTCCAGAACACTTCCATCTTGCTAAACATGACCGGGTTCTGCCAATTGTGATGTATGCCAACTCTGGTTACAGTATCAATAGGGTAAGTTCATTCTAAAATGAATAAAGTCACCTTAGATCTAGGAGACAACCATTAGGGAAGGGTGGTTCTGCAAAAATCAAACATAAGTGCACAGCCAGGCACGGTGGCTCACGCCTATAATCCCAGCACTTTGGGAGGCTGAGGCAGGTGTATCACCTGAGGTCAGGAGTTTGAGACCAGCCTGGCCAACATGGTGAAACCCCAGCTCTACTAAAAATACAAAAACTAGCCAGGCGTGGTGGCGCACATCTGTAGTTCCAGCTGCTCTGGAGGCTGAGTCAGGAGAATCGCTTGAACCTGGGAGGCAGAGGTTACAGTGAGCCAAGATCATGCTACTGCACTCCAGTCTGGGCAACAGAGTGAGACCCTGTCTCAAAAAAAATAATAATATAATATAATATAATATAATATAATATAATATAACAAAACAAAACAAAATAAAATAAAATAAGTGCACACACTATGAGTTGTAGCCCACAGGGTCCTAAATGTTCCCCACCCCCCATCCAACCAATGCTGCCACAAGTTACCGTTATACAAGATTAATGACCAATTCAACTTGACAAGGCTGATTTAAAAATAAAAATAAGGCTGGCCATGGTGGTTCACACCTGTAATCTCAGTGTTTTGGGAGGCCAAGACAGGAGGATTGCTTAAGGCCAGGAGTTCAAGACCAGCCCAGGCAACATAGGGAGACCCCCATCTCTACAAAAAACTAACAAATAAATAAATAGCCAGACATGGCGATGCATGCCTGTAGTCCCAGCTACTCAGGAGGCTGAGGTGGCAGGATTTCTTGAGCCCAGGAGGTCAAGGCTGCACTAAGATGTGATTGCACTACTGCACTCCAGCTGGAGCAACAGTGCAAGACCCCGTCTCTAAAAAATAAATAAATGATAAAAAATAAACACCAACTTCATTATTCAAAATTGTGCACAGTGCTTCACTAAACATAGAACAGCAGTTCTTTCATTTTTGTCTTCCCAACAACCCTATAAAATAGATGCTCTTAGTTCCGCCATTTTAAAGAAGAAATCAAAACCTAGAGAGAAGTGACTTGAGATTAAAAATGTAAGGTTGGGCTGGGTGCAGTGGCTCACACCTGTAATCCCAGCACTTTAGAAGGCTAACGTAGGTATATTGCTTGAGCCCAGGAGTTTGAGACCAGCCTAGGCAACACAGTGAAACACCGTCTCTATAAAAAATGCAAAAAATGTAGCTGGGCGTAGTAGCACGTGCCTGTGGTCCCAGCAACTCAGGAGGCTGAGGTGGGAGAACTGCTTGAGCCCGGGGGTGTTGAGTCTGCAGTGAGCCATGATCACGCCACTGTGAGATAGGAGGCAGGACTTGACTCCACAGGCAGGGCTTGGACACCAGACCAAATTGAGGACTAGCTAAAACAGGGCTGGGGCAGAAGCAGCTTTCCATCAGAGATGCCCACCACTGTGCCATGTGAGTTTACTATTGCCAAGGTAACACCAGGGAGTTACTGCCCCTTTCCATGGCAATGACCCAATGACTCAAAAGTTACTACCCATTTTCTAGAAATTCCTGCATAAACTGCCCTTTAATCTGCATGCAATTAAAAGTGAGTATAAATGTGATTGCAGACTCTCTGCCGCTACTCTCTGCCTCCAGGGTAACCCTGCCCTACAGGAGCAGTCACAGGGCTGTAATGCTGCCTCTTCAATAAAGCTGTTTTCTTCTAAACCTCTGGCTTGCCCTTGAATTCTTTCCTGGGTAAAGACAAGAACCCTCACGTGCTATTGAGAGGTGACAGCATGCTGGCAGCCCTCGAGCTCACTCTCGGCACCTCCTCTGCCTAGGCTCCCACTTTGGTGGCACTTGAGGAGCCCTTCAGCGCATGGCTGCACTGTGGGAGCCCCTTCCTGGGCTGGCCGAGGCTGGAGCCGACTCCCTCAGCTTGCGGGGAGGTGTAGAGGGAGAGGCGTGGGCAGGAACCGGGGCTGGGCACGGCGCTTGCGGGCCAGTGCGAGTTCCAGGTGGGCATGGGCTCACTGGGCCCTGCACTCGGAGTGGCTCGCCGGCCCCGCTGGACTCGGGTAGTGAGGGGCTTAGCACCTGGGCCAGCAGCTGCTTTGCTCAATTTCTCACTGGGCCTTAGCTGCTTCCCTGCAGGTCAGGGCTCGGGACATGCAGCCCGCCATGCCTGAGCCTCCACCCAACCCGCCGTGGGCTCCTGCGTGACCTGAGCCTCCCCGATGAGTACCGAGCCTCCCCGATGAGCACCGAGCCTCCCCGATGAGCACCGCCCCCTGCTCCAGGGCACCCAGTCCCTTCAACCACCCAAGGGCTGAGGAGTGCCAGCACAGGGCATGGGACTGGCAGGCAGCTCCACCTGCAGCCCCCATGTGGGACCCACTTGGTGAAGCCAGCTGGGCTCCTGAGTCTGGTGGGGACTTTGAGAACCTTTATGTCTAGCTAAGGGATTGTAAATACACCAATTGGCACTCTGTATCTAGCTTAAGGTTTGTAAACACACCAATCAGCACCGTGTCTAGCTCAGGGTTTGTGAATGCACAAGTCGACACTCTGTATCTAGCTAATCTAGTAGGGACTTGGAGAACTTTTGTGTCTAGCTCAGGGATTGTAAATGCACCAGTCAGCACCCTGTCAAAACAGACCCATCAGCTCTCTGTAACACAGACCAATCGGCTCTCTGTAAAATGGACCAATGAGCAGGATGTGGGTGGCGCCAGATAAGGGAGTAAAACCAGGCTGCCCCAGCCAGCAGTGGCAACACACTGGGGTCCGTTTCCAAACTGTGGAAGCTTTGTTCTTTTGCTCTTTGTAATAAATCTTGCTGCTGCTCACTCTTTGGGTCCACACTGCCTTTACGAGCTGTAACACTCACCTCGAAGGTCTGCAGCTTCACTCCTGAAGCCAGCGAGACCACAAACCCACCAGAAGGAAGAAACTCTGAACATATCCGAGCATCAGAAGGAATAAACTCCAGACACGCCGCCTTTAAGAACTGTGACACTCACCGCGAGGGTCCGCGGCTTCATTCTTGAAGTCAGTGAGACCAAGAACCCACCAGTTCCGGACACGCTATGCTCCACTTCGGGGCTCCCCTGCCCTGCGTCAACTGCACTCTGGCCTGGGTGGCAGAGAGAGAGACCCTATCTTTAAAAAAAGAAAGAAATGTAAGGTTAAGTGCTGCCCCCAAGCCTGAGTGGCTGATCATTATACAGAGTACACGAAGATCACCGAAAAAGTCACCACAGAGGCCCCCTGCCGCTGGTTCTCTTTTGCCCATATCAAAAAATATGCAAGCCTGTTCATACAAAGACACACACAGATGCTCGTAGCAAAATTATTCATAATTGTCAAAAGGTGGCAACAACACAAATGTCTATCAACAACAGATGAATAAGCAAACAAGTACAGTCCACCCGTGTGATGGAACATTAATCAGCCACAATATGGAATGAAGGGCTGATTCATGCTACAACCTGGATACACCTTGAAACCGTTAGGCTAAGTGAGAGAAGCCAGACAAATATTAGATGATTCTATATATATATATATGCCCAGAATATGAAAATCCAAAGAAACAGAAAGTAGATTAATGGTTGCCAGGAGCCAGGGGTGGGGACAGTCAGGGGGAAATAAGGGGTAACTGCTAATGGATACAGGGTTTCTTCTGGGGTAATTAAAATTTCTAAAATTGATGGTGATGATGGCTGCCCAACTCTGTGAATATATTAAAAACCACTGAATTATGCACTTTATTTATGTATTTAGAGAGAGGGTCTGGCTCTGTTGTCCAGGCTGGAGTGCAGTGGTGCAATCTCAACTCACTGCACCCTCCACCTCCTGGGCTCAAACCATCCTCCCACTTCAGCCTCCTGAGTAGCTGGGACTACAGACACACACCACCATGCCCAGCTAATTTTTTTGTATTTTTGGTCGAGACAGGGTTTTGCCATATTGCTCGGGCTCATCTCAAACTCTTGGGTTCAAGCGATCCTCCCACCTCAGCCTCCCAAAGTGCTGGGATTACAAGTGTGAGCCACCATGCCCGGCCAAATGATACACTTTAAATGGGCAAATTGTATGGTATGTGAATTATCTTTCAATAAAGCTGTTATTAAAAAGCAGCTTTAAGGGCCAGACATAAGGGCCATGCCTGTAATCCCAGAACTTTGAGAGGCCAAGGCAGGAGGATCACTTGAGCCCAGGAGTTCAAGACCAGCCTAGACAACATGGCAAAACCTGGTATCTAAAAAAAATTAAAAATTAGGCTTGGCGTGGTTGCTCACGCCTGTAACCCCAGCACTTTGGGAGGCTGAGGTAGGTGGATCACTTGAGGTCAGGAGTTCAAGACCAGGCTGGCCAACATGGTGAAACCCTGTCGCTACTAAAAATATTTTTTAAAAATTAGCCAGGCATGGTGGTGGGTGCCGAGGCTGAGGCAGAAGAATGGCTTGAACCCGAGAGGTGGAGGTTGCAGTGAGCCAAGATTACGCCACTGCACTCCAACCTGCTGGGCGACAGAGCAAAACTCCATTTCAAAAAAAAAAATTAAAAATTAAAAATTAGCCAGCTGTGGTGGCTCGTGTTTGTAGTCCCAGCTACTCAGGAGGCTAAAGTGGGAGGATTGCTTGAGCCCAGGAGGTTGACGCTGCAGTGAGCCAAGATTGTGTCACTGCAGTCTGGCCTCAGCAACAGAACAAGACCCTGTTTCACAATTTTAAAAGCAATTAAAAAAAAAAGCATAAAGAAAACACAAAAACCAATGCTAACTGTAAGACATAAATGAGGTGGTCTATTTTTGTTAACTACCAACTAACAATTCATGGCAGACACAAATTTTAAATGATGCTATAGCCGGGTGCTGTGGCTCATGCCAGTAATCCCAACACTTTGGGAGGCTGAGGCGGGTGGATCACCTGAAGTCAGGAGTTTGAGACCAGCCCGGTCAACATGGTGAAACCACGTCTCTACTAAAAATACAAAAATTAGCCGGGCGTGGTGGCAGGTGCCTATAATCCCAGCTACTCGGGAGGCTGAGGCAGGAGAATCGCTTGAACCCCGAGGGGGCGGAAGTTGCAGTGAGCCAAGATCGCACCATTGCACTCCAGCCTGGGCGACAGAGTGAAACTCCATCTCAAAAAATAAATAAATAATGAAATAAATGATGCTATAAACCTCATGTGAGGGAAGACTGTCCCAGGTACAGCTTGAAGAAGCCTTGCTGTGAATAGGAGCCAAATGCAATAACTATGTTTGCAACTTGCTTCATGTTAGCTTGTTGCGACTCCAGAGTGTAACAGGTATGAGAAAACTCATGGGGTTACTGTTTAATGTTGGTGGAAATATTCACATTAAAATACAACAGTTTATCACCTAAGGTATATTTTATCCCTCAAGTGGCCCAGAACACTGTGATTATTGCACACCAATCGCACGCCCGTAGCAAAGGCCTTGCCAAGGAGAAATTCCACAATCACCTGGCCTATTTGTAAACCTGGTTTATGACGTTTTGTAACAGGATATCTTGACAGTAGCATGAGGACATTTAACGAGGCAAGAACATTCCCCACTGACCAACCAGATGGTTTGAGGGAACAGGATGCAGTGCTCAGTTTAATCTTCTGCTGGACCGACCATTAGGCAGAAAATCCTTTGGGTCAATGCCTCTCACTGAATCCACTTCTCAGATTCCTGTCCACCTGCCTGCTTTGCAGTGCAGAGTAAAGTGGGCCTTCCTTGACTCTCTTCAGGGACCAACGTGCTTGAGGCCATCATGAGGACATTCATTCTTTTTTTTTTTTTTCTTGAGAGAGTCTCACTCTGTCGCCCAGGCTGGAATGCAGTGGTGTGATCTCAGCTCCCCACTGCAACTTGTGCCTCCCAAGTTCAAGTGATTCTCCTGCCTCAGCCTCCTGAGTAGCTGGGATTACAGGGACGTATCACCAGGCCCAGCTAATTTTTCTATTTTTTGTAGAAATAGGGTTTCACAATGTTGGCCATGCTGGTGTCGAACTCCTGACTTCAAGTGATCCACCTGCCTCGGCCTCCCAAAGTGCTGGTATTACAGGTGTGAGCCAACGTGCCTGGCAGAGGGCTTTTATTCTTGATGGACTGCTCCATAGCCTCAGAGACAGTCGGACTGGTTTCTTCAACCAGAGCGGAGCAGACAGGCAATTTCTGTATCCACCAGGACAAATATTAGACCAACTCTTCAATGTACAGAGAGCATCACGTTTCTTATATGCTAGAATATCTGTTGGTCTAAAATATAAATAAATAGTATTGTAGCCAGCCACAGGGGCTCACACCTATAATTCCAGAGCTTTGTGGGGCTGAGGCAGGAGGTTCATTTGAGGTCAAGAGTTCGAGACCAGCCTGGGCAACATAGCAAGACACCCCCCAAGACACCCCCCCCACCGCCACCTGCCATCTCTGCAAAAATTAAAATAATTAGCTGGGCACAGTAGTGTGGGCCTGTAGTCCCAACTACTTGGGAAGCTGATGTGGGTGGATCGCTTGAGCCCAGGAATTTGAGGCTGCAGTGGGCTATGACTGCATCACTGTACTCCAGCTAGACCTTGTCTCAAAAAAAAAAAAAAAAAAGTGTTGCAATTGACATTACTTTATCATTTGAAAAGAGGGACAGACAAGAAAGGTATTTGGCATTTACCAAGCAATTACCCAGAATCCTCATCCCATCCTACACCCACCCTTCCCCTAAAAATGTATGTATATGTTTTTATGCCATAAAAAATACATCTGTTTGGCTCTGGAACCAGATTGCTTGGGTTCAGTTACCTGATCTAGCATTTGCTCCTGATGACTCAGTGCAGAAAAGCTCTGTAACTCAGTTTCCCCAGCTGTAAAATGGGGAATGGCGACTTTACTGGGCTGCCATGAGGGTAAAGGAGGTAACATATATTTATAAAGAATTCAGAACAATTCATGATACATAGTAAGCTCTATATATTTCAGCTTATTATTACTGTCAGTACGATTATCATCATCTTGCTGTTTCCAATGGGTACGCTTTCTACATTCTCTTTCTTAAAGACCTTTAAATCCTTGGTATTCTCTCCACCACCACAGAGAGCAGTGTCCTTGTAGTTTAAATTTTCAAAGACTTCATGGATCCAATAAGCATGACATTAACTAAGGGTCAGTTTTCTTTCAGTGGATTGGAATCTAAAATGGCTTTTTTATTGTTATTATTGCCCAGGCTGGTCTCGAACTCCTGACTTCAAGTGATCCCCCCACCTCACCCTCCCAAAGTGTGCTGAGATTACAGGCATGAGCCACCATGCCCGGCCCTCATTCTCTTCTTTTATAAGGACACCAGTCATTGCATCTGCCCCCTCACCAGCAGCTCCCAATCCAGGATGACTCACTGTTACTTGATTACATCTAGAAAGACCCTATTTCCAAATAAGGTCACATTCCTGTGTACTGAGGATTAAGATTTCCAATTTTTTCCCTGACTCAATTTTTTTTTGAGTCAGGGCCTCACCCTGTCACCCAGGCTGGAGTACAGTTCTGTGATTATAGCTCACTGCAGCCTCAAACTCTTGGGCTCAAGGGATCCCCTGACCTCAGTCTTCCAAGTGGCTGAGACTACAGGCGCACACCATCATGCCCGACTAATTTTTTTTTGTTTTTTTGTGGGTTTTTTTGTACAGGTTAGGTCTCACTCTGTTGACCAGGCTGGTCTGACCTCAAGCGATTCTCTTGCCTTGGCCTCCCAAAGCAGTGGGATTACAGGCGTTATCCCATGCCTGACCCTCTTTCTACATCTCAATCATTGCATCATTAGCCTGAGCTGCCCATATCCCTTATTCTGCCCATCCCTGACCAACCTCCTCCTTTAACATAACTTCCACCTCGATATGATGGGGCCTGCTGGGCACTGCAAACAGCCTAAGGAAAGTGGAAACTTTACTTAACCTTAAATTCTCTTACAAAGTCCACATTGAAAGTAATTTATATTTGAACTACAAAAATTTTCTGTAAGTTGAAACATGACCTATAAAGGTCTCTACACCCTGAAGCAACGATTTAGAAAGAAATCAATTGGTCCTTTTCTGCAGAAATCATTAACCATAGGAGAGATAAAGGAAAAACTTCAAGGTACTGATTGAACTTCCATGCCCATAGCTTAACTTCTAAAAGGCAACCATTCCATACTGTTAAACTGCCTTAGGTTGTTATTACTGTTATTAAAGACACCCTCAAAGCCAGAAGTTGAATCTTGACTGTAGTTCTTGCACATACACGCACACTCTCGCAATTGAAACCACTCAGATTGTCCTAATGCTGCTACCCATAGCAACACCACCTGGAATTTTACGTTTGTTTTTAAGCATCCGTCGTAATCTTCACTTGCTCCTGAACACATCGCACCTGTGAGAACCACGTGACATTAAAAAAATCCCTTCAGTGAGGCCGGGCATGGTGGCTCACGCCTGTAATCCCAGCCCTTTGGGAGGCCAAGGCAGGTGGATCATGATGTCAAGAGATTGAGACCATCCTGGCCAACATGGTAAAACCCTGTCTCTACTAAAATTACAAAAATTAGCTGGGCATGGTGACGCGTGCCTGTAGTCCCAGCTACTCCAGAGGCTGAGGCAGGAGAATCGCTTGAGCCCGGGAGGCAGAGGTTGCAGTGAGCTGAGATCCTGCCACTGCACTCCAGCCTGGCAACAGAGGGAGACTGTCTAAAACAAAAAAATCCCTTCAGTGCCTTGATCCTTCCAGATTCAGATCCAAGAGAGATGACATTTGTTCATCACCAGAGACTGCACACCAAGATAAAGATTTCTTCTGGCCGGGCGCGGTGGGTCACGCCTGTAATCCCAGCACCTTGGGAGGCAGAGGTGGGTGGATAACCTGAGGTCAGGAATTTGAGACCAGCCTGGCCAACGTGTTCAAACCCTGTCTCTACTAAAAATACAAGTGGCCCGGCAGGGTGGCTCACGCCTGTAATCCCAGCTACTCGGGAGGCTGAGGCAGGAGAATCGCTTGAACCTGGGAGGTGGAGGTTGCAGTGAGCCAAGATCGCACCATTGCACTCCAGCCTGGGCAACAAGAGAGCAAAACTCCGTCTCCAAAAAAAAAAGAAAAAAAGATTTCTTCTGTGTGCATGGCTCAGCTCTGTGGTCCACTAGCGTCCTTCCTCAGTCTGCTTCCAATCTATGGACTCAGGAAAGACTGAACCAACCTAGATTTATTAATATTTTAGTATAACATAATACAATGTTACTTACTATGGCATTGACCATATATGCCCTTTTGCTCCTTGGAGGAAAGACAATTAATAGCTATTATGTGAGTTAAGAAAATAAGCCCAGGATTTATGAGTACAACTAACCTGTTCCCATTGGTTTTCCTTGTCTCCTGCAGGCAGAGAGCTGATCAAAACAGCAAAAGCAAAGCAGTGCCCCTGGCCCAGTTCTGAAGCCAACCTTCCTTAATCACCCAGACCCATCCCTGGTTAGGACTTGCTGTGGATTCTTAGGTGACTCCATCTCAGGATACAGGGACTGAGAGGGTGTATGCACCATCTCAGACCCAGAAACCGTTGATTCTGCCTAAAAACACAGCAATAACCACATCCCATCCTCTTGATTTAAATGAAAGTGTTTGGAGGAATAAAAGATGAACCTTTTTTTTTCTTTGTCAGATCTTGCGCTCATTTGGTTCTGGTGTGGAACAACAGCTATAAGAGAACAAGTGTATTCAATTAGAATTAATTCCCCTCTCTTATTCTCATAGCTGAGCAGGGCTCAAGTGGCTCTCATCTGAAAGAGGTAATAAGATTTTATCTGTCTCCTCATCTACCTTTTGCAAGTGTACTTAACAAATTCGCTCTCGGGACTCTTCCAAATGGAGTTTTATGAGGAATTTGCTAAGGTAAACGTTTTAGACTTTGAACACAGTTCAGATTTCAGGGGCAGTACTGAAATCTGAACTGTGTTGCTAACTGCCCTGCCTTTCAACTCAAGACACAATAACTTTGAACTAAAATAATTATATTTTTGTTGTTTTCCACTCTGTCCCCACGTCTATATCACCACCACCCCCAATCCCACCCCGCAGGAGCTAACTCCTCCTTCCTGTCCCTGCAAGATCAAAACTCCTCCTGCAAGCCCCGCTAGCTCTGTCTGCTCACCTTCGTGGCAGATATCGCTATCGTACTTTTATCCTCATTTGTGTGATAAGTATTTCAATGTCCACTTCTTCCACGAGCCCCTGAGCCCCTGGAGGGCCTGGACCACACCTACTTTTTCTCACCGTTACATCTCCCTTGTCAGGCACATGGTAGGCGCTTAATAAGTATTTTTGATGAACGAATGGCTTGTTTGGTGACAGTCCAAAGGCTGGGGGACAGAGGGAAAGCTCCCTCGTTTCGGGCCCCAGACGGGTGGCGCTGATGGAGAGGAGGTTAGGATAAGGCCTCCAGGACCGAAGCGCGCACCCGTAAGGCCTCTGCTAAAAAGACCTTCCTGAAGGCGGAGGAACTGCGAGAGTGCCTACGTTAGCCCAAGACCTGACCCGTCGATCCCAGGGACCCTCACCCTAACTGGCCCCGCCTCCCGGGCCCCAAACTCGGACTCCGCCCCGCCCGAAGCTCCGGATCCTGGGGCCCGCCCCTGGCCCCGCGTAGGCAGACCGTGGGCTCGCTCCTGGGCCTGCCTCAAACCCTCCGCAGGTAACGCCTCCCGAACTTGAGCCACATTCCGATCCTCTCCTCAAACCCCTCCCCGTTTCCCACACCCTGGACCCCTCGCTCCGTCTCGGCCCCGCCCCAAGCCCAGCTAGGTCTCGGACCCTGAGCCCAGCCCCGACCAGCCTCCCAGTCCCTGGGTCCCTCCCGCCACCGGCCCCTCCCTAAGCTCCGCCTCCCAGGGCCCGCCTCCTGAGCGCAGCCCAGCCGGGACTCGGCACCGCCTCCCGGACCCTGGGCCCCTCCCCACGTGGGCCCGTCCTAAGCTCCGCCTCCCAGAGTCCGCGCACCGCCTGGCCATGTGCCAAGACATAGTCAACGCCCCGCCCCTGCCCCGCCTCCTGAGCCCTTCTCTGGGTCTGGCCTTAGCCCCGCCCTAAGACCTGTCTCCTGGGCTCTGCTCTGAGTCCCGCCTCCTGAACCCAATGGCGTTTATCCCCGCCCTAATGCCCGCCTCCAGGACTCTTATCCTGCCCCCACGCAAGGCACTGCCTCCAGGACGCCACCAACCTGGACGCTTCCGAAGCCCAGCTTCCAGGATCGCCCTATCCTGGCCCCGCCCCAAGACCCGCCAACCTGGTCTCTACCCAGGACCTGCCCCAGTGAGGCTTATCCTGGCCCTACCCCAGGCCTCGCCCTCATGGCGCTCATCCTGGCCCCACCCCAGGCCCCGCCCTCCTAAGGCTCACCTTAGCCCCGCCCTAGAGTCCGCCCCCAGGACGCACCTCCTGACCCTACCCCCCAGGCCCCGCCCCCTCCCTGCCCCCGCGCACTGCCCCGGACCCGCCCCCTCTTCAGTCCAGGCCGGCTTCCTCCAGGTCTCCCGGCAACGCTGCGGCCCCGCCCACGTCATGGCGCCCGAGGAGAACGCGGGATCGAACTCTTGCTGCAGGGTTTCGATCGCCGCTTCCTGGCGGCGCGCACACTGCGCTCCTTCCCCTGGCATGTGGGCGGCGGGGCGAGCGGAGAGGCCCGCGGGGCTCGCGGGAGTCCAGGGGCAGACGGGATGGGTCTCCGTGCTGAAACCCCCGGCGCTCCGGCTACGTGAGTTCCTGGGCTCTCCCCGGTCAGGGCCGCCAGACCCGGTTCCGTCCCTGGGGCCTGGCCAGAGTCGCTCGCACCCCTTCTGCCCCGCGAGCTGGCGGCGGAAGCTGGGGGTGTCTCCACCGCCTTGGGGGGCAGACGCGCGCTCGGTGTGGGGTACAGTTCACGATCCTTTTCACGACTTTTAAAAGGCAGTAATCGTTCTGGTCACTGGGACACTGGGACACAGCTGCACTCGCCCATTCTAAAAAGTCAGCGCCCTCAGGCCCGCGGGTAACCACCTCCTCCTGAGCGCGGTGGCCAGATCACAGGCTGTGCCTCGTGCCTCAGTGTTCTCATCTGTATGTCGAGCACTGCACAGAATTGGCTCATGCGCTGAGGCTTTCACACCTGTGATGGAAGAGAAAGAGAAGGGGGTGGCCTCTCCTCTCCCTGGGGACCTGCCATTCTCAGCACAGGCGCATGGCAGGCAGCAGCCTCCCTTCTGCCAGCAGAGGGGCTTAATGCACCCCGCTCCATTTGTAATTCATGTGCAGTGAGCTCACTGGGATGAGTCAGTTTGGATATATATTCCTCCCTGGGTCTGCCCCATTTTATGGGGTGTTGCTTAATCATTTGCATTCTTCCATTGACATAAAATATTTAGCACTCAGAGATCATTTCTGGTCAGGAGAAATTTGTGCATTTTTAATCCAAAATAGAAACCTTCATAAAAGCATCATAGGTCTCCATTCAATATTGACTATAATTGTTCACATGCCCACGCTGAATGCTAACTTGGGCTCACCCTCAACACCCACGAGGTGGGTACTATTATTATCACTCACATTTGACCAGAGGGATTGTTTGATTAGGGTGAAGTAGTTGAGAGTTCAGACCCAGGAGACAGCCTGCCTGCTTCGAATCCTGGCCCAACCCCTTGCCCTGTGTGACCTTGGGCAAGTGACTGCATCTCTCTGTGCTATTGTTTTCTTATTAATGGGGGATATAATGATACCTACCTCTTAGGGTTGTTGTCAGCGTTGAGTACAAAAGCCTGTGGATCAGTGCCTGGCTCATGGTAAATGCATGTCGGTGTTAGCTAGTGTTTTATTCAGTCTCAAAATGTTTAATAAATGCCTTCCGTGAGCCAGGCACCATGGATCAGCAGTACCCATGATAGATGAGGCTCTGCTTGCATGGGAGAGCCAGAGAATAAACAGATAAATGAATAAACAAGAAAAGACCAGATGAGAGTGGCTTTAAAGCCAATAAAACAGGGAAATGGTGAATGGAGCAACTGGGGAGAAGAGTCACCAAAGTCAGGGAATCATGGAAGCTTTCCCCAAAGAGGTGGCATTTGAACTGGGGCCTGAGTGGTGAAGCAGCCAGCCATGGGAAGGGTTTGGGGAACAGGATATGCAAAGGCCCTGTGGTGGAAACAAGCCAGCTGTGGTTGAGGAACAACAGCAAGGCAGCCAGTGTGGCTGGAGTGGAGTGAGCAGGGTGGGCCAGGGGTGAGGGAGAACAGGCCAGAGAGAGGGATTAGCACCAGGTCTTGTAGGGCTTTTTATGGCATAGAAGGAGCTCTGAAGCAATGAAGTGCCTTGCCGTGTGCCACATGCCAGCCGAGACAGTCTGCCTAACTCGGGAGCCAAAGTTCGCTGCTGGGCTTGAGGCCCCTATAAGAGGACAATGTAACCCAGGCTGGTATGGGCACATTCTGCATTTCCACTTAAACTCAGATGGCAAGCCCATCAAACCTTGGTGCCATGGCTGCCCTGGTAATTCCTGGCTGACCAGTGCAACCAGGGAGCTGGCCCATGACCTGGGTGGCAGCTGAGTAGCCAGGACTCATGCGGCCAAGAGTCAGCCTTCTTCCTGTGACTCATCCAGGTGCACCCTGCGACATCTGAAGGTCAGGCTTTCAGCCGCTGTGGCTTCCACTTCCAACTGGCTCCACGTCCCCAGGGAGGGATCACATAGAGCTTTGCCAACACATTCTATTGCGTGTTTTAATGTTCCTGTGAATGCGCCCTTGAGATTTCTCCCTCCCCCGTCCACACTGAGCTTAGAAGCAAAGTTAAGAGACTCATCAGATTCTGAGCTGCTGCGGGATATTTTGCAGAAGGTAAGAATCCCAGAGTCCCTGGGACTCATGACTCTGCCTCCTGAATCTCTCCGGAAGACCTGAGAGAAGAACCACAGGTGTGCTTGTACCCTTTAAAAACAGCCCTCTTCAAAGAACAAAACCATTGAGTCAGCACTGCAGGTGGGTGTCAGCACCTCCGACAGCTCCTGCGCTTTCGTTTTCTATCTAAGACTTAGACAAAGACATCAGAATATACAAAAATCTGCAAGAGGGGGGAAATCTAGGGAATGTTTTTTAAACCATCCACAGCAAAAACAGAGATGACAGGTGCAAAACAGCTTCTAGCATTTGGTAGATGCTCAGAGACTTTCTTTTTTGCATTCATGAGGCCTGTCCCACCCACTCCTGTCTCTTCTAGACCTAAATGGGCCCTTGCTTTGCCCAGGGTGGGGTTTGGACTCAAGTGCATCTGCATGCAGGTGAGAGCCAGGATCACCACCCGGCCCAGCCACAGCCTGACCTTGGCCTTGAGGGCCAAGTGCAGATCACCCTGCATCCTGGGTCTTCACCTTCGAAGGGCCATGAGCCCTTCTGAAAAGACAAAGCAATAGACTCCCTCCCAGAAAGAAGTGCACCAAAAGAATACCTTTTCCATACAAACTCAGGGGAGGCAGACATCCTCCACTCCCACCCACCCAGCCCATCCTAGGAGCCCCGGAAAAGAATTCCTGTGCTAGAGGTGAACCAAGATTATCCACGTGGAAAAGATGCAGCCACAGCAGGGAAGACTTTCGGGGCAATACAGTAGGTCAGGGCTTCGAGCATGGAGATACCTGAAGTTGTCTTGCACCTTGCTCTGAGTTTCACCCTGAGCCTCACTCTGGTAGGTGGTGAAGCATGAGATATAGGGAGAGCTGCTTTAAAACCCAGCACAAGGCTGGGTGCACTGGCTCACACCTGTAATCCCAGGTCTTTGGGAGGCTGAGGTGGACGGATCACCTAAGGTCAGGAGTTCAAGACCAGCCTAGCCAACATGGCAAAAACCCATCTCTACTAAAAATAAAAAAATTAGCTGGGCATGGCGGTGCACGCCTATAGTCCCAGCTACTCAGGAGGCTGAGGCAGGAGAATCGCTTGAACCCAGGAGGCGGAGGCTGCAGTGAGCCAAGATCTGGCCATTGCACTCCAGCCTGGGCAACAGAGCGAGACTCTGTGTCAGAAAAAATGAAAAACCAGCACCAGCATGAAGAGCCTGTGTATTGCGTGGGGTACTTTGCTGCCCTTGGGCAGAATCTGCATCCCTCCCAGCCAGCAGGCGCTGCGGACCGTCTCCTCCCTCTCCCTCCAGGCTCCTGTTTTCCCGCCGTCCCCCCTCCTGCTGCACCAGTCCCTCTGCCCTCCGTTCCATGTGCCAGCCCGTGGCCACCTCAGAGCTTGCACAGGCTGTTCCCACTGCCTGGAACTTGCTCATCCTGCACTTGGCTTCTCTCGGCTTTAGCTGGAGTCACCCTGAGCGCCCCCTCCCCTCCATCCTGTCCCCAGGGACACATGATCCAAGAGAGCAGTTGCTGAGTGGGCCTTCCCACCTCTTCCATAGAGCCAGACAGTTGGCGACTGTCCTTACTGCAAACCCTGGTTCACACTGGCTCCCCTGGGAGGGAGGTGGTTGGGACCCACATGCCCTGTGTTCCTGCTCAGAATGGGCGTTAGAAATGCTGCCATAGCCTGTGCCACTGCAGTGGAAGCATTTTTAGGAAACGGCTTACATCTTAAGACGAACTTCAGATGCGTGGGGCCAGAACGCTGTGTCCATCTGCATCTTTGCTGAGGGATCAGGTAGCCTGGAGTTTGCCCTCTGTTGTGTTGGCTTGAAGCTCATAGGAGACTTAAGACGGGCTCTCGAGCAACCAACGTTCTGTCCTTTGCCGTAGACTGTGAAGCATCCTGTGTGTGTGTGAAGCACCCGCCGTCAGTCAAGTATGCCCGGTGCTTTCTCTCAGAACTCATCAAAAAGGTCAGTTATGGGCAGTGTCCGCCCAGTAGCCGGACAGCATAGCCACCTGCGTGCTGGAGCCCCCGTCCTTCCCAGGCCCTGGGCCTGCTTTGCAAACCCCAGCATGGCAGGGGCCTCCGCAGGCAACTGGCTGCAGCTGAGTGTGACCCATGGGAGACAGTGCAGGGTGGGAAGAAGGGGAGGCCAGCGTCTCTCCCTCACTCTGCCTCCTGGGGTTTCCACAGCAGCTGCTTCTCTGGGGCCCCATCTCCTAGCATATGAATTCTCATTCCTACCAGGCTGGTCCAGCCCACAACACTGGAACCCTCACTCACACCCTCTGTCCTGCCCGCCGAAGGGTTTGGAGTTTCCTGCTCTTGTCCGTCTCTGGGTTGCCCCACGGGCCCCTGTTGGAAGATTTAGCTCTTGCCATACCTTTGGAACTAGTTCCTCTGGTGAATTCTCTTCATTGATCCTGCTGGAATGAGCTCTTTCCTGACTGCTATAGGATGGATTTTATTTTTTACTTGTTTATTTACTTTTTTGAGACAGTCTCACTGTGGTGCCCAGGCTGGATTACCGTGGCACAATCTCGGCTCCCTGAAATCTCTGCCTCCTGGGTTCAAGCAATTCTCGTGCCTAGCCTTCTAAGAAGCTGGGACTACAGGCACACGCCACCATGCCTGGCTAATTTTTGTATTTTTAGTAGAAACAGAGTTTCACCATGTTGGCCAGGCTGGTCTCGAACTCCTGACCTCAGGTGATCCGCCTGCCTCGGCCTCCCAAAGTGCTGGGATTACAGGCATGAGCCACTGCACCTGGCCTAGGATGGATTTTAAAGATGGGCCTGAACATGCAGGGTTTGACAGGAGGATGTCGAGAAGCCGTTCCTTAGTAGGCAGTAGCAGACCTGCTGAGTGAAAGGGCCACACTTTTAGCAAATAAACAATCCCCTGCTTCTCCAATACCTGCTTTCTCCCTAGTCCTCCCCAAAAGGGTGCATCTGTGGTTGCCAGCCGGTCTGCCCTGTGCCACCACGAGAGGGCAGCAGTCACCCAGTGTACCCTGCTGCTGCCTTGTGAATCCTAGGACGGGGCCAGCTGTGGAGAAGCAGCCTGCTGACAGCCACAGCCTGCAGCATGGGCCGCCCTCACAGTTCTGCCTGGGCTCACTTAAAAGCACCTTTTGTTTTCCTCCTCTCTGTGTTTGATCCAAACACAGAGCTCTCTGTCATGGTCATGTGGCAGCTCTCACGGAATCCTTGTCTCCTGCCCTAGACTACACCTAACCCTCCCCTCTCAACACCTCTTGTTGAAGGCCCTCCCGTCCAGGTTTCCCTACGAAGTGGAATTATTTTTTTTTAGAGACAAGATCTCTGTTGCCCAGGCTGTCCTCGAACTCCTGGGCTCAAGCAGTCCTCCCATGTCAGCCTCTAGAGCAGCTGGAACTATTCGACACACACCACCACGCCCAACGAAGTGAATATTTTATATACCAGCTGGCCGGTATTACACCATTCCATCCCAAATCTCCCCTCCAAACTTGGTGAAAATCATCTGGCCATTTTTACAGATTAGTACGAAAGCAAACAAGCTCTCACTCTGTATGCCCCCAGCACGAGGCTGTCCACACGGAGCCTTTGGACGAGCTGTACGAGGGGCTGGCAGAGACTCTGATGGTCAAGGAGTCCACCCAGGGCCACCGGAGCTATTTGCTGGTATGAGAAGGGCACCCTCCTCCCCCTCACAGCCCAGATACCCTTCCTGCACAGAAAAAGTGAAAACGTGGGTGTGGGTTCAAATCCTGACTCACCCATTCTGCAGTCTTAGACATGAGGTCCATTAACCTTCTTTAGCCTCAGTTTCCCTGTCTGTAAATCAAGCACTTCAACAACAACAGCATGTCTCGTGGGGTTGTTGGGCATTTGTCCAATAGGTGACACACACTACCTGCTTCACAAGGACCTGGTGCTCAGTCCTCAAAGAATACTTGACAGGGCTGGACATGGTGGCTCATGCCTGTAATCCCAGCACTATGGGAGGCCAAGGTGGGTGGATCTGAGGTCAGGAGTTCGAGACCAGCCTGGCCAATATGGTGAAACCCTGTCTCTACTAAAAATACAAAAATTAGGCCAGGCGTGGTGGCTCATGCCTGTAATCCCAGCACTTTGGGAGGCTGAGGCAAGGGGATCACCTGAGGTCAGGAGTTTGAGACCAGCTTGGCCAACATGGTGAAACTCCATCTTTACCAAAAATACAAAAATTAGCGGGGTGTGGTAGTGGGGGCCTGTAATCCCAGCTACTCGGGAGGCTGAGGCAGGAGAATCTCTTGAACCCCGGAGGTGGAGGTTGTAGTGAGCCGAGATCGCGCTATTGCACTCCGGCCTCGGCAACGAGAGCGAATCTATGTCTAAAAAAAAAGTATAAAAATTAGCCAGACATGGTGGCACACGCCTGTAGTCACAGCTACTTGGGCAGGTGAGGCAGGAGAATTGCTTGAACCCAGGAGGCAGAGGTTGCAGTGAGCCAAGATCGTGCCACTGACTCCAGCCTAGGTGACAGAGCTCAAAAAAAAAAAAAAAAGATAAAACATAGATACAGAAAACCACAAAGGAAAAACATAGCATACTGAATCATCACAAGGCAGCCACCCCTTCATAGCCACACCCGGCCTCTGGCCACCACTGACCTGTGCTCCATCGCCAGAATTCCGTTGTCTCAGGAATGTTCGATGAATGGAATCCTGTGTGGCCTGAGATGAGTGTCTTTCATGCCACGTGACAATCTTGAGGCCCGTGAAAGCTGTTGGTATGTCAACAGTTAGCTGCTTCTCATTGCTGAGTGGCGATTGGTCCTGTCATGGTTTATTCAGCCATGTGGTGGATGGCTACTTGTCTTCTAAGCCACTTGCCTTCTGATCGCTGGACTGACTCTCTCGCCCTCTCTTGGTGCAGCCCTCGGGAGGCTCGGTCACAATCTCCGAGAGCACAGCCATCATCTCTCACGGTACCACAGGCCTGGTCACATGGGACGCCACCCTCTGCCTTGCAGAATGGGCCATCGAGAACCCAGCAGCCTTCACTAACAGGTGACCTCGGGGCACAGGGCAGGGCACCAAGGCAGGCTTACCCTGGTGCAGTCGAAGACACGGTCCCCTTTCCTCCCGCCAGGACTGTCCTAGAACTTGGCAGTGGTGCCGGCCTCACAGGCCTTGCCATCTGCAAGATGTGCCGCCCCCGGGCATACATCTTCAGCGACCCTCACAGCCGGGTCCTCGAGCAGCTCCAAGGGAATGTCTTTCTCAATGGCCTCTCATTAGAGGCAGACATCACTGCCAACTTAGACAGCCCCAGGGTGACAGTGGCCCAGCTGGACTGGGACGTAGCGACGGTCCATCAGCTCTCTGCCTTCCAGCCAGATGTTGTCATTGCAGCAGGTAATGCCCAGCCCCGGGCACCCTGTGCAGGCGGTGTCCTTGCAGCTCTACCCAGCTCTTGGCTCTGGGAAAAGGGAACAATGGACGCTGTCAGGCATGGACATGATGGGGCTTCCAGAAGAGTTACTCTGGGCCTCCAGGGTGACATCAAAGGACAGGGGTGCCTCTTAAGGTGACCTTCAAGCCACAGCCCTCTTGGTGGAGACAGGCATACTCCCGTTACAGTCGTCGGCACATGGCTCTGTCCCAGAGCCATGCCCTGTGTCCTTCAGAGACCACAGGAGGAAAACAACCACTTCTGGGACGAGGACAAGGCCCATGAGAGAAGGTGGTATTTGGCTGGGCCACCGAAAACCCCTCACCCCTGCAAGCACACTCAGTCCCCTCTCTGGTGAAGCAGAGCTCTGCCTGTGGTCCTGGGTCCCAGCCCTGAAACCCACAGGTCCAGCGGTGGCCAGGGACACAGGCCCACCCCTGCAAGCCAGCAGACCAATCGGCAGACACCTGAAACACGAATTTCATGGCAGGGTCAGGCTTTCTGTCATTCAAAGCCCTCTAGATAGGCCAAGAACCAGAGCTGGTTTTTTAAGGAACACCAGTGAGTCTGGAGATTTTTTTCTTTTGCTTCGGTCTTTTGCAGCTTTCTCTACTAAGGGTTCTCCTTTTTCACCCAAGTAATTGCCTTTCCATCTAATGGCCCAAATGGTCAAATGGCATCTAATAGTCTCATAGGACCGCTGCCTCTCTGGCCTCGCCCTGCTGCTGAGGTCAGCATGAACTGGAACTTTCCACTTGTCCCTTTCAGTAACCTGAAGCTTTCACCGTAGACGTGCTGTATTGCCCAGAAGCCATCGTGTCGCTGGTCGGGGTCCTGCGGAGGCTGGCTGCCTGCCAGGAGCACAAGCGGGCTCCTGAGGTCTACGTGGCCTTTACCGTCCGCAACCCAGAGACGTGCCAGCTGTTCACCACCGAGCTAGGTGAGCCCACACACCCACCCGGGCCTGCATGGTCCCTGAGCTGTCCCTGCAGGACTCCAGTGGAAGTGAAAGAACTGGGCACCGGGGAAAAGCTAGGATGTCCCACACTCCTACACCATGCAGGGAACTCGGGCACAGGCCGGTGAGCAGGGTGGGCTTGGGGCATGGGGTCTTGCGGCAGGAGGAGGGCAGCTCAGCACAGGGAGGGAGGGTCTGAGCCCAGCAGCCCTACTATGTGCTTCAGAGCACGGTTCCCTAAGCCCTTGGGCCTCGGTTTCCTCATCTATAAAATGGAGGTGGTGGGAGGGGCAGTCGGGGTCAGGGCTGGACACAGCTGTGGCCTGCAGGATGCTGGAGCACAGGCTGTACAGGCGGATCCTCCACGCCACTGTCCTGAGCACCCAGTTGATGGAAGACGAGCAGGGTGACTATAGAGAAGGGAAACTGGCCCCGTAGTGGGCCAGCCACTGTCCTCAGACCTGACATTTGTCAGCCCCCAGCACCTGTGAGGGTGTGCTGTCATTGTCCCATCACACCGACAAAGACACTGGGACACACAGAGGCCAAGCGACCCCCGAGCTCCCGCAGACTGCAGCCCGGCCACCTGGCTCTAGTGCCTCCACACTACACCCAAGCCCCCCATTGCCACCAGCCTCTGCCCCAGCTCCCCCTGAGCACAGCCCCTCCTGGCAGCCATCTGCACAGATGCACTCGCAGCAGCCTCTGCCTGCACACAGAGACACAGACGACCCAGTACCTGCCCACGTGGGGCAGCCCGTTAACTACAGAGTCAACAAACAAGCCAGCACATGAAGGCATACTGGGTTCCATGACAGAGTCCCGCACAACCTCGCACAGGAGGCTGGCTGGGCGTGGGGCTCAGGCCTGTCATCCCAGCACTTTAGGAGGCTAAGGCAGGAGGACTACTTGACCCCAGATGTTCAAGACCAACCTGGGCCACATAGTGGGACCCCGTCTTCACAAAACATACAGAAACTAGCCAGATGTGGTTGCACATGCCTGTAGTCCCAGTTACTCAGGAGGCTGAGGTGGGAGGATGGCTTGAGCCCATGAAGTGGAGGCTGCAGTGAGCCCTGATCTAACCACTGCACTCCAGCGTGGGCAACAGAGCAAGACCCTGTCTCAAAAAAGCAAAAAAGCAAAAAAAAAAAAAAAAAAAAAAAGGAAGTCTTTCTTCAGATACTTACGTGAAAAAAACCTGCAATATCTTTTAAGTGAAAAAAACAGTGCCAAGCAGCACACATAGTATAAGCCCCAACCAACCTTTTTTTTTTTTTTTTTTTGAGACAGAGTCTGGCTGTGCCCTGCCACTTTCTAAGCTTTGCGAAGAGTGAGTTGACTGAGCAGCCAGGTAGATGTGGGTTCAGATCTCTGCTTCTGTCCTGCTGTGCCAAGTGCTGGGGCAGACACAGGCAGAGAGTGGACAGCGGCATGGTGCCTGCTGCTAGCCATTTCTATGCAAAACCAGATGTCTGGTCCCATCCTGGAGGCCAATTCTAGGTATGTGGGTGGGCCTGGGAACCTGTGAAACAAGTAAACTGACTTAGACACCCCCCACCCCGCCAGGCCTGTCCTAGCAGCCCCACACAAAACGCTCATGTCCTGTCCCCAAACACCGCCATCCTTAAACACGTGCTTTGTTTCCAGGCTGGGCCGGGATCAGATGGGAAGCAGAAGCTCATCATGACCAGAAACTGTTTCCCTACGGAGAGCACTTGGAGATGGCAATGCTGAACCTCACACTGTAGGACTCACACACGACTCTAACGGGATTGTAAGAATCAAGTCACTCTCATGGGAAGAATTTTTATATGGGAAAGCGGCTAAAACTTTCATTGGACTGGAATGTTTGGAGATTGTTAAATTCCAAATCAGGAACCACAAACTGCCCTCTAATAAGATATCAGCTGTCTAAGCGTGTGGGTGCCGCCTTTCTGCCAGTAGTTCTGGTTCTTAAGAAAAGCACCATAAATCAGACATGAAAATTCTGGCTCCAAAAATAGCATTTTCTTTGTGCAAATAAAAACGTGTGTATCAAGTATGACGTTCCCCCAACGTGGACACACTTGGTTCCTCAGAAAGCCAAGCCCGCTGCAGCTGCCACATCCCAGGGCTTATGGTGCAGCAGGTGCTTTTTTCAAGACAGGAATCAAAGTGTTAGGAACACGGCAGACAGGTGACACCTGGATACCAAATGCAGGATGAGGAGTACTGCAGAGGTCACAGGGAAGTCACAGAACAGTAATACGCTAGCAGGGGCATGGGGCGTGAAGAACAGAAGAAGACAGGAAGCGTTTCAGAGACTCCAAAGAAGAAATCAGGGCCCACCACAGCTTCCCGGGTCATTCACCAGGTGGCACCACTGCCGTCATTTCAGCTTCTGGCCACTGGGAGGCGCTGCTCGAAAGGGTTTGCCCTGAGACTCCAAGAAGAAGCTGCGGGAAGGACAGCAGGGGCCCTGGGGTTTTAGCCTCTGGCCCAGGAGTTATGTGTCCATAACCAAAGGGAGCATAGTCTGCACCCAGCTCTCATCCCATCAGAGCTGCTGCGACTCCCGCAGGTTCTTCTGGAACTGGTTTAGCTTGCCTGCAGGATCAGGAGAGTTTGAGAAAAGCATCTGCAAAATGCTAAAGAGCAGAGCTTACCTCATTGCCTGTCCCCATCTCATCCCAGGTCACCACCTGGCTGACCCCAGGTCCCCGACCCAACAACAACCCCTCCCAAGTCCCTAACTCCCTCACTTGGACTTGAGACCCTTCACAACCCAGCAGCGCTCCGCCTCCAACGTGACATCATGCTTTCTGGAAACTTCCCCGTATGTCCCACTTTCCCACACTTGGTGCCCTGGAGCACCTTCCGGCCTCTACATGCTGTACGTTCCCCTGTGAGCACCCTCCTCTCGGCCTCTGGCCAACACAGTCCCACCCATCTGTGGGTAACAAACGGGTGTGTGTGTTCTTTTCAGCCTTGCTAAACTGTCTGAATCAAGGATCACAAACTACAGCCTGCAGGCCAAAGCCAGCCCACAGCCTGTGTTTGTAAATAAAGCTTTATTGGAACAAAGCCACACCCCTTAATCTACAGATGATCTGTGGCTACTTTCACACCACAACAGAGTACCATGGTTCTGACAGAGACTGGGGGACCCTGTCTAAATGACTTCTGACCTGGACCTTTACTGAAAATCCTCCCAATCATTCTGTTGACAAGAATGGTGTATTACTTTTTGCAATAAGAAACAAGTAACCTTTGCAGAATTCCACCCATCTTTCAAGGCTGATCCCAGAAGTTCCCTCTGCCCACGCACCTACCTGATCCTGATCACTTCCTAAACTGCAGCCCGGCCCACCCGGCTCCAGCATCATTTGTGGAGTCTCAGCTCCATAAATCCAGAGGGCAGGTGGGGGTGTGTCCTAATTTTCCCGAGCCTACTGTACCGAAACAGGACAGCAGAGTAGGAAGCCTCTGTGACTTCTGCTCCCTCCCTAGCTTTTCCACCAGACCCTGCATGGTCCCACCCTGGCTGTGTGAAGCAGGGATCAGGGAGCGTGGCTCGATGTCAGTCTCCAGAACCCTGTCCACCCTGGCGTGGTGGCAGACATGGCTACCTGCAGCTGAGCTGCCAGTTCCTCTGAGTCCTCAAAGACCAGGCCATTTTCTTTATGTTTCACCAGCTCATGTAAACTGCAGAGAGAACCAAGGGAGCCTGAGAGCTGCCTGGGGAAGACACCAGACCCCTGGGGTGCCCAGCTGGGCTCCCACCCACCCCACGCTCAAGCCAGGCTGGGGGTTGGAACAGGGGGTGTGGTTTCTGGGAGCTGGTTCTTAGATTTGGCATCTGAAGGGTATAAAGGCCTGGGGGGGGTGCACATCAAAATGACCAAATCGATTTGAGGAGAGAGCCTTAAGGAAGGTTTGTACCTTCTGTGCTGGATGCTCTTCAAGGACTGAAGAATTATTTTTGCATGTTTTTCTTAATTCCATGGCCATGGAACAAGTAAAGGCAACCCCCTGGGGACTGGTTCAGCACATAAAAGATGACTTTTCTAGGACACCAGATTTGATCCCGACATTCCCTGAGCTCAGCTCACATGAGGGGCTCGCATCCCTGAATCCCATCCAGGAGCTGGCTCCTGAGCAGGGGCCAAGGGCTCAACTTGTGCTGGGGCTACTGCTTCTAGAATCTCCTCTAACGCCGCCCTTCCAAACACCCGTCTATGCTGGGTGCAGTGAGGCCACAGCATGACACTCATTTAACTCGTTCAAACCCAGCACGTGAGCTTGGCCAAAAGGGACATGGTGGGAGAGAAAAACAAAGAAAACCATGTAAGCCTGCAGGCAATTCCCGCCAATTCTACTCTAGGAGCAAAAGCCCCGAGTGGAGTTCTTGTATTTAAGGTACTTTTTTTTTTCATATTGGGTTGGTGCAAAAGTAATTGCCATTTTTAATGGCAAAAACCGTGATTACTTTTGTACCAACCTAAATATAACATGAGCTCTAAATGGAAGCAACTACTTCAGTGAGGCTCAGCCCAGCCACAGCAACCGCAGGGCTCCTCCTCGTGGCCTCCAGTGTGTGCTGGACTGACCGAGGGGCAGGGCCTCACTGTGGGCAGCTCACTCTGCACTGCTTCCCCCTCAGTGGTGGATCTGTGAAGCTATCCCCAGAAAGATTGGGGTTCTGCTCCTACCACTTGAAGTTCACGGCACACGCAGGCAAACAGCACCTGAACATGTCCACCACCTTCATGGGCAGGTCCAGGCCACTGGAGGATGTGTCCAGAGAGACACCCAGGTCCACTAACCCTGCTAGGCAAGAGGGGTGGGTCAGAGCGCTGGTCTCTGCCCTGGGAACACAAATCCTCCCAGCACAGTGAGACAACTTCCCCCGAGGGGAGTGAAAATTGGATAAGGTCCCCGACAACCCCAAGCACAAGTGGCTTAAGGTGGCCAAGCAGCCACACGGCCTGGGTGGGACATCTGAAAATGTAAGTTGACACTTTTTCTACATAGCCACAATTTGTTTTTTGTTGTTGTTGTTTTGTTTTGTTTTGAGACAGAGTGTCACTCTGTCACCCAGGCTGGAGTGCAGTGGCACAATCTCAGCTCCCTGCAACCTTCACCTCCCAGGTTCACCTCCCGCCTGTAATCCCAGCATTTTGGGAGGCCAAGGCGGGTGGATCACCTGAGGTCAGGAGTTCAAGACCAGCCCGGCCAACATGGTGAAACCCCATCTCTACTAAAAAAAAATACAAAATTAGCGAAGCTAATTCGTGGCAGGTGCCTGTAATCCCAGCTACTCAGGAGGCTGAGGCAGGAGAATCGCTTGAACCCGGGAAGGCAGAGGTTGCAGTGAGCCAAGATCGCGCCATTGCACTCCAGCCTGGGCTACAAGAGCGAAACTCCGTCTCAAAATAATAATAATAATAATAATAATAATAATAATAATAATAATAACAAGAGCGAAACTCCGTCTCAAAATAATAATAATAATAATAATAATAATAATAAACCACATCACACCCACCACAAACCAGCTGTCAGTGTGAAAATAAAGCCAAATAGCTTAACATTTCTAAAGACTAGCTGGGGCTAGGCATGATGGGTCAGGCCTGGAATCTCAGCACTTAGGGAGGCCAAGGCGAGAGGATCACTTGAGGTCAGGAGTTCAAGACCAGCCTGGCCAACATGGTGAAACCCTGTCTCTGCTAAAAATACAAAAATAAGCCAGGTGTTGTGGCGGGCTCCTGTAATCCTGTAATCTACTTGGGAGGCTGAGGTGGGTGAATCGCTTGAACCCAGGAGGCGGAGGTTGCATGAACTGAGATCGTGCACTCCAGCCTAGGCAACGGAGCAAGACTGTCTAAAACAAAGACTAGCTGGAGAATCCTGCCAGGAAAAGGCCCTCAGACTCCAACTGCTCTGCTCACTCGAAGCTGGAAGATGCGGCTCTAGAGACGCATCAGGACCAAGCCACGACTCCCCACTTGGAGAAATCAACGCGGAAAGAGACGGAGGCAAAGGAGAACCATCGCACTGGGAGAGGCGACGCTGTTTGACACATCGTCCCTGTACCTCCCAAAGCCACTGCCCTCCCACACCTGGGCAACAGTGGCCCCAACCCCAGGCCCAGCCCTCCTGCAGGAAGGAAGAGGACTGAATGGAGGGCGTGGCAGACTGAAAGGACGTGGCCTCCTCAAACCCCTTGGTAAAGGGCCTCTGGGGCCACCTGGCAGGGAGGGGCTGGCACACCAGGAAGTAGCCTCCTCCCGGGAGTTCAGCTAGAGCCCAGGTCCTGTCCCCAAGTGGCCTCCAGAGCCACCTTTTCTGAAAAAAGTACATCCTGCCCACCCCTGTTCCCCCTGCTTAAGGCCCCGCGTCCTCCCTGAGCCTCCTGCTGGCCTCTCACCTAGAAGCGGGGGTAGTCCTCGGCCCTCCAGCCAGGGGGTGCAGACCTGGATGTGCTGGAAATGCTTCTGGTGGATGAGGCGGCTGTAATACTCCCTCAGAGGCCCTTTGCCTTCACAGAGAAAAGCAGACACTGCCATGGACCCGTCTCTCTCCGTGCCACGTGGCCCCAGGCCCAAGACACTCCCCCTAGGAGGGATCCTTTTCCCAGAAGCTCCACCCCTCGGCAGCTCCAGTCAGGCCCCATCCGGGCCCTTCCAGAAGCAACCCAGGAGCCCCGAGACCTGCAGGGATGTGTGCACCCTGACCCCTGACGCATAGCCCTGCACCTGCAGCCAGCTGGCCTCGGGCTTGAAAACATGGCGGGGTAAGCACTGGCCTGGCACCCGACCGCCCACTGGGTGGACCCAGCCTTCTGTCTGTGTTGTGCGCAGGGGACACGAGGACTCCCGCTGCCCTGACACAGCCCCCAGATCACATGGCGCAGGTTCCAAGCCGCCCCTGCCCTGCCACAGCCCCCAGAGCACACGGCGCAGGTTCCAAACCACTCCTGGGAGCCTAGAGGCCAAAGGAGGGAGGAGAGCAGGACCAGCAGCTGGCCCAGACCCCGCCTCTTCCCACACCGCTTCTGCTTTTCCCCCTCCTCACTGAGTCATCTTGAAAGGGCTCAGCAGCAGTAACTGAGGGACAGGGGCTCTTCCGTTTGAAAAATTAAAAGAGGCTTGGTTAAGGCAACAATGACATGACCGGGCACAATGGCTCATATCAATAATTCCAGCATATTGGGAGGCCAAGGCAGGTGGATCACCTGAGGTCAGGAGTTCAAGACCAGCCTGGCCAACATGGTGAAACCCTGTTTCTACTAAAAATACCAAAATAAGCTGGGTGTAGTGGGCACCTGTAGTCCCAGCTACTCGGGAGGCTGAGGCATGAGAATTGCTTGACTGTGAGACGCGGAGGTTGCAGTGAGCTGAGATCACACCACTGCACCCCAGCCTGGGCGACAGAGACTGTGTCTCAAAAAAAAAAAAAAAAAAAAAAAAAGACATCAATGAAGAAACAAGAAAAAAAAAAAGATGCTTGGAAACTACTGAAAAATTAGAAAGCTTGGTATGTACAGATTCACATCTGGGCTCCCTGCCCTGCTGTGAAACCCTCTGAGCTTCAGTTTCCCACATGTAAAGCAGTATAAGACCCTATGGCAGAGAGCTGCAGTGGGGATTAAGGAGACAAGATCGTGGGAAGCACAAGGTAAAGGCGGCGTGCCCCTCCCTGGACTCCAATGCCTGGAGTCTCAAGACCAGCTGAAAAGGGAGCCAGGCACTGAAGGACAAAGCGGTGTTGACTTTCTTCATCTGTGTTTCCCAGTGCGCTCCAATTCACGGTGGTTTCCAAGCGCATTCTGGAGGAGAAAACACATGAGTGTGTGGTCAGGGTTCTCTGCTGACAGACCTACCGTGGGGAAGAAAGAGAAGCTCTGAAGATGGATCATGGCCGTGACTGCATGTCAAGGAGAATCTCCATGATGACACGGAGGCCTACGTCGAGATAGAGTAAATATGGTCCAATTAAAAGGTGTCTATTTTACCACATTTTTTAAAACAAAACAAAACACAAAAACAAAAAAGATGGAAAAGAAGACAGGGGTACAGGCACCAGTGTTACATATCTGACGGGGAACATCTATTCTTCAAAGCTTGCAGCTGTACACGTAGGTTTTAGAATGTCTGTCAGCAGTGGACATGATCTTAGAGTGGGCTGTGCAGATAGACCTTTCCGAGTCATGTAATTGGATTAAGTTAATTGTAATTAACCTACATGTAACTGATTAGGTTAGGGTACGTTCCACGTCAGGTGACCAGAGGCAGTATAAAAGGCAGCCTGGAAAGCAGAGGTCCCTCTCTGCCCCTTCCTCCGTCTTCCTGGATGCTGCATCGCTTCCAGCGGGGCTGCTCCAGCACCTGCCCATCTCAGCGCCAGCCGGGGAAAGAAAGTAGACGTGTAATTTCAGGTTAGTTTCACTGAACAGTTGTTTGTTTCACGCAATCCCTGAGGGGTGGGGGGGAAAAGAGACAAAGGAGGCCGAAAGAAAGCGATCACACTGGGGCTTGCTGATGCGGTAGGGTGTGCTCTCGTTACTAGTAATTCTTGGAACAGAAAACGAGAAAGCATTTCCGTCTCCATGTGTGGGATAAGACCAAGGTGGGAATGCGAAAAGAAATGTACTGCAGCATGCTGAATTGGTGGGTAAATGGAAAAAGGACTTTGGAAAAAAGGGTGGTTTGCCCTTCAGCCGTGTAAGACATTGATACGATATGGCACTTGTTCACCGTTCGTTTAGATGAATTCGTGTGGCATGCGTAAAATACCAGAAAAATAAATAAAGAGGGGCTGGAGCTAAAGCCAAAAAGATAGAACAGGAAAGACCATCACCTGCTAGTGTGGTAGAGAGGAAGATAACTTCTCTCTATGAATTTGTGTTTGGAAGTTGCCTAATGAAACGGCAAGAGTAGCGATTCAAGTTGTGACAGGAGGCATCCCTTATCCCAGATTTCAAACAGACCTGCCAAAGGGTGACACACGCCATGCCCTGTGGCTTCGATCATTCTGTCGGTCAAGGGAGATAGAGTCATCGTGTCTTCTACCGGAGTGAATCGTGATAGACCTAAGTCCAGTCTCCAGAATCAGTTGTTAGTTTGGGGTTGAAAGCTCAACTCCCCATACCTAGGCCACGGGCCCTGTGGCAGGCGAGGTTTACTCTTGGACTAGGTAATCATGGCAGAGGAACACACAATATCTGAGGATGCACACAGCACATTGTGTTCCACAGATTTGACCGACTGGTGGTGAGGTCTCCTCATGACCACACCGGCAAGGAATTAGCGGGGGGCTTCCTGTGGGTGTGTGAATATCCAATGTGCTTAACCATCGACTTGTGTGTGTTTGTGTGTGTTTCAGGTGACCCGACAATCAACCCCTGAAAAAGGCGGTCATAAAACCCCCAGGAGACGAAGATGATGGCACGTCGTGACCCCAAACCTGGGGCAAAGAGACTGGTGAGAGCCCAGACCCTCCAGAAGCAGCGGAGGGCCCCAGTTGGGCCAAGGGCTCCCCCGCCCGATGAAGAAGATCCCAGGGTAAGTCTAGCCCTGGATCTCTTGGGTATTGGGGTGGGGGTGGGGGCGGGGGGACGGGGTGTCACACGGTCCTCAGAGACTGGGTTGGATTCCAAAGAGTTCTGTCACCACCACCCAGGTTGCTTTTCCCATCCAAGGTGGGCGTGGCTTGGGACCTCCTCCCCGGCCCGATAGGCCCCTTGAGAGACTCTTGGGGGCAACCTCCCTTTCTACTTAGAGTCCTGTGTAGCCACGTTTGGCTGTGTTGTTGACATCGGGTTCACCATCGTGCCCCTTAGGACCTTGAGTCCTGCCTTTTAGAGTTCCTCCGTCACATGGGCTTTGGGAGGGAACATCGTATCCGAACTCTCCCAGCACTTAACGGCCCCCATGCCGGTGTCCCCTCTTTGGAATCCTTATTCAGCTCTGAATTCACAATCCGTCTCAATGTTGACGTGGGATCGGTGCCTGTGGCTTCAGCTCACTCACTGACATCACTTCCTTTCCACCCACAGCTCAAGTGCAAAAACTGTGAGGCCTTTGGCCACACGGCCAGAAGTACCAGGTGCCCCATGAAGTGCTGGAAGGCAGCCCTGGTTCCACCGAACTTTGGGGAAAAGGAAGGGAAGGAAAACCTGAAACCATGGAAGCCCCAGGTTGAAGCGAACCCTGGGCCCTTGAACAAGGATAAGGGAGAGAAGGAAGAGAGACCAAGGTGAGCAGTGGGAGTGGTTTTCACCACTCTTAGGGTACTGCCTCCTAAGGACATGGTGTCTCTGCACCTGCACACCGTGTGCCTTTCCGTCTCCGGGCCAGGGAAGGAACGCTGCAGAGAAACAGACCGGAGCTCTGTGTCTTCCGGAGTTCCACACCCAAGAGCTCCTTTGGCTCTGGGAGATTCAGGGACGGGGAGGGGCGGGGGCGCTTCGTGCAGGTTCCCCACGACAGGGGGAAAAGTGATGGAATCCAAATCACAGTCCTTAGTTGGGAAGCCTAGAGGGCCACCTGGAGGATGGGAAGGTTGGCACGTGAGGGAAGGTGCAGAGGCGGAAAGGGCACCAGATGTCCATTTCTGTATCACAAAACACGGAATGGGACTGGGCCCCAGACAGGGTTCTCCCCGTCTCCTGGGGAAAACCAGGGAGGACGGCCTGACCTTTTTCTGTTCTGCAGGCCACAAGACCCGCAGAGGAAGGCTCTCCTCCACATATTTTCCAGGAAACCTCCAGAGAAGCCGCTGCCAAATCAAAAAGGATCCACGGAATCTTCTGATTATCTGAGGGTGAGGGTCACCCTGGGCCCCTGGTCTTTTTCTCCTCTAGGTCACCCTGGTTGATTTCCTTTCAGCTTCCCGTCTGCGGGAGGGAATCGGGGAACCCCTCTTTCTTGCCTTCTTGGGGTCAGACACTCCACGATCCTTCCAGGTCAATTTGATTCCAGGCGAAGGCATCTGAAGATGCCGTATTTCCTGTTGCTTTCTTTCTGTCCAATTATGGCAAGCCTGCCAACAACACGTTCCTAGCGGCATGAGGAAATTAGTCCCTCAGAGGCCCCAAACGTGGAGAAGGCTAAACCCAGGAACATGCATATGTTCAGAGAAGACGTCCTGAGTACCCTTGAGCCACCAACCTGCCTTCGGAAGGGCATCAGTCGGTTCCACTTCATGGAAGGCTGAGTGGAGGCGCTTTGATCCAGCTAATGCCTAAGACGCAATCTTTTGAACAATGGTGTGCTTAGATCAGCTACACATAGCTCGAGAGCGCATCTTTCATGTGTCTTGTCCTGATCAGCACTCAGGTGGAGGGTCTGTCCCTACTTCCAAGGACCGCCTGTCGATAGTGTACTAAGAATTTCATGGCGTGTGCACCTTGTCTTTGGATGTGGTTGATTTTCATGTTGGCTCCATGCTGAGGAACTTCTAACCTGTGTTGTTTCCTCTCTTTCAGGTTGCAAGCGGGCCAATGCCGGTCCACACAACCAGTAAGAGGCCGCGTGTGGACCCTGTCCTCTCTGATCGCTCAGCTACCGAAATGTCTGACAGGGGCTCCGTCTTAGCTTCACTGTCTCCCCTCAGAAAAGCCAGTCTGAGCTCCTCCTCAAGTCTTGGACCAAAGGAAAGACAGACAGGGGCTGCGGCCGACATCCCTCAGACTGCAGTCAGGCACCAGGGCCCCGAGCCTCTCCTCGTGGTGAAGCCGACACACAGCAGCCCTGCGGGTGGCTGTCGAGAAGTTCCCCAGGCTGCCTCCAAAACCCACGGCCTGCTCCAGGCCGTCAGCCCCCAGGCACAAGACAAACGTCCTGCGGTGACCTCACAGCCCTGCCCACCAGCCGCCACACACAGCTTGGGCCTAGGCTCCAATCTCAGCTTCGGGCCAGGAGCCAAGAGATCTGCCCCGGCTCCGATTCAGGCTTGCCTGAACTTCCCCAAGAAACCGAGACTGGGTCCCTTCCAGATCCCCGAAAGCGCCATCCAGGGAGGTGAGCTGGGGGCCCCGGAGAATCTCCAACCTCCGCCAGCCGCAACCGAACTTGGACCACGTACGTCACCCCAGACAGGCACGAGGACACCCGCCCAGGTGCTTAGCGGCGACCGGCAGCCTCCGCACAGCAGACCTTGCCTGCCTACTGCCCAGGCCTGCACCATGTCCCATCACCCAGCGGCCAGCCATGATGGGGCCCAGCCTCTCAGAGTGCTCTTTCGGAGACTGGAAAACGGACGCTGGAGCTCCAGCCTGCTGACGGCCCCCTCATTTCACTCTCCTGAGAAGCCGGGAGCCTTCCTCGCTCAGAGCCCTCATGTCTCAGAGAAGTCTGAGGGTCCCTGTGTTCGTGTCCCACCAAGCGTCCTCTATGAGGACCTTCAGGTTCCCTCCTCCTCAGAGGACAGCGATTCTGACCTGGAGTGAGACTGCAGGTGGCAGGGGCTCCTTGGCCTCCAGCTCCCGTGACTTGGAGGGGACTGTGGGACTGAGGAGCACAGAGCAGAGAGCAGACTCTGTGCGGTGACTCCGAAGCTCCCCGGCTGTGGCCCTTCTGTGGATGTGGGAGCCCAGGCCAGGCAGGGAGCAGATGCAGGGACTCTGCCACGTTGAATTCTGGTGAGGGACATTGTAGTTCGCATGGTTCTCTGGAAACGCGCCAGGAAAAGCTTCCGTGCCAGTGATTCGTTGCCTCAGAAACTGCATGACGCGCAGGAGTCAGACTTCCGCTGGGACGTCAATAGGAAACGGGGGAATTACTGTGTATTTGCTCTCTAGACGACTGAATAAGGGAAAAGTTAGGGAACCCTGAGAGGTGCAGCCCTTCCGCTGTGCCCCGCCCTGAGAGCAGTGTTTCGGACGCTGGGAAGCGCGCTGTGCAAAGCGCTCTCGGGGTCTTTCCTCAGCCTCGAAAAGTGGGCTCTGGAATCCCTTTGTAAATAGGTGTGTTGAATTTGTTTTGAAGTGAATAAAATTCTCAAAAAGATGACATATTGTCTTTTGACTTTCATTCCGTGTTTGTGTTTAACTGATTTTCCAAGTGAAGGGGTGGCCTGCCCCTCCACACCTGTGGGTGTTTCTAGTCGGGTGGGATGAGAGACGGAGAAAAGAAATAAGACACAGAGACAAAGTATAGGGAAACAACACTGGGTCCAGGGGACCGGCACTCAGCACACCAAGGACCTGCACCGGCACCGGCCTCTGAGTTCCCTCAGTTTTTTTTATTATGATTTTCATTACTTCAGCAAAAAGGAATGTAGTAGGAGAGCAGGGTGATAAGAAGGAGAAGGTCAACAAAAAAAACATGTGAGCAAAAGAATCTATATCATAATTAAGTTCAAGGGAAGGTACTATGCCTGGACGTGCACGTAGGCCAGATTTATGTTTCTCTCCACCCAAATATCTCAGTGGAGTAAAGAATAACAAGGCAGCACTACTGCCAACATGTCTCGCCTCCCGCCACAGGGCAGCTTTTCTCCTAGCTCAGAGTTGAATAAATGTACGATCGGGTTTTACACCGAGACATTCAGTTCCCAGGGGCGAGCAGGAGACAGTGGCCTTCCTCCATCTCAACTGCAAGAGGCTTTCCTCTTTGACTAATCCACCTCAGCACAGACCCTTTACGGGTGTCAGGCTGGGGGACAGTCAGGTCTTTCTCATCCCATGAGGCCATATTTCAGACTATCACATGGGGAGAAACCTTGGACAATACCCTGCTTTCAAGGGCAGAGGTCCCTGCGGCTTTCCACGGTGCATTGTGCCCCTGGTTTATTGAGACTAGAGAATGGCAATGTCTTTTACCAAGTATACTGCTTGTAAACATGTGGTTAACAAGGCACGTCCTGCACGGCCCTAGATCCCTTAAACCTTGATTTTATACAACACAGGTTTTTGTGAGCTCCAAGTTGGGTCAAAGCGGCTGGGGCAAAGTGGCTGGGGCAAAGCTACAAATGAACAACATCTCAGCAAAGCAATTGTTTAAAGTACAGGTCTTTTTCAAAATGGAGTCTCATGTCTTCCCTTTCTACATAGACACAGTGACAGTCTGATCTCTCTTTCTTTTCCCTACATCCAAGGGCTTGAAAATTTCTTGACTTGTTCTCAATCCAAATCGTTATGTCTCTGAAACAGAGTTGACTGAGGGGACCGCAGGGCTGGGCAGGACCTTTGACTTCGTATACATCCACAGGAGCAAGAAAACCTCAGCCCCACTCTACCAACACACACCTAGTAAAATTCCGCCAACTGAATCTCACGCACGCTAACACGTGGGGAGCGTTGCTTGCACCACGAGTCCCCATTTGGCTCAACCGCCGATGCCAAGTGTGTGGTTCCAGTTGCGACGGCCCCCCGTGAAGTGGCTTCCGGATGTGCGAATGAACCAGGCAGAGTTTCACTGGCCAAATAGAGCCCAGCAAAGCTGAAGTTAACTCCCAGATTTGGGATGTACTTCAGAGGTAAAACATTCATCCCATCTTCTTTCCGGATGTCTGACACCGGGCCTTTCCATGGTTCTCCCCCTGATCCTAAGAGTAGCTGAGGTAGAGACTCACTGAAAGATCTAGGCAGGGATATCCCATCATGCCCAGGCTCTCTCCATTCTCTGACCTGGGAACAACTCTGAGCAGGATTCCACATCTAGGAGGCCTCGGAACTGAGCGCGATTTTCTGAGACACACCAAATGGCTGCTCCCTTTCCGCCGCTGTTGAGGGTCGTTATCCTGATTATCCAGATCACCTAGAAAGTATCCGTATCCAGAATCAATAAGATCAACTCTCTGCTCCTCTGACAGCAGAAGGAGCAGGACCACAAGGAACCAAAGAGCGTGGAAGGAAACGATGTGACAGGAAAGCTCAGAGAACGGCCACAGGGGGTCGTCAGCAGGCCTTCCAACCTGAATCATGAATAATTAATGAAGCGCAAATCAAAGGGGACTCGAGTTTCAGCCTGTGCAATTCATCCAACGGGAGATCGCCGGAGGGCCAACACGATTGAGAAACTGGGAGTCGGGTGCTGTGTCAAGTGGGACGCGACTGGTTCCAAAGCTCAAGAAGACCTTGGGTCACTTGGGCTACATGAGAAAACGCCCCAGTGTGCTGGTTCAGCATTCCGACTCCTGCCTGTCTCTTCCCGTCCAAGGAACACCGACCCTAACTCGTGCAGCTGCAGATGACCATGGGCAGAATTAGGGGACGTGGCACAAAAGTTCACCGACACGGGAGTTCCACAGAAGGTCCGGTGGATCTTCGCAAATCCAGAGACATGGCAATGGGACCCAGGGAATTAGAGCCTCACAGGCACCTGGGAGACTTTTCAGGCATAATGCCTAGAGTAGCAAGACGAGCTGAAAAAGGAGCCAGGCACTGAAGGACAAAGCGGTATTGACTTTCTTCATCTGTGTTTCCCAGTGCGGTCCAATTCACTGTGGTAGAATTCATGTATTTATTTTCCGTCGGCTTGTATTTGCAAACTTTTGATGTTATTGATTTTTGGTTGGAGAGTTTCGGTTTGAAAAAGTAGATATTCTGAAGATGGAGGTTGTCCAAGATTGTATCTCAAGGTGAGTCTACTTGATGCCAGCGAAGCATACTTTGACATATAATGCATATGTTTGAATTATATTTTGTCTTTTTTACCACATTTTAAAAAATCACTTCGTGAAAAATGTCAGAGTTAGATACACCAATGTTAAATTTCTCATCACATGTCCAGAGGCACTGTAAAATGCAGTCTAGAATGCAAAATTCCCAGCCACTTCTATGTGGAACTTTCTGCAGAGTGGGATTGTATCCAGCGTTTTCAGAGGGCGCAGGTGTGGTACGAGTTGGTCCTTGGCTTCCTGCTGAAGTTGGAATCCTGCAGATAGCGTAGGGGCGGTTTCAGCCTGTCCCTTCTTTCCAGGTCATCACTAACCTTTCCTGAGCCCCCATGGGGACTCAGAACTTATCTAGAGTCACAGGCCGGCCTGGGATGCTGCCCTTGAGCCTTTGTGCTGTCCATGATGGTTCCATGCCACTGATCTGCTGGGACACATTCTGCAGAGGGATGGGCTGGCAGGAGCTGTCCCTGCCTTTCTGAAAATCAGGGAGATTTCTGGTGTCTGAAGCCACATAGAAATATCTGTGGAGTCTCAGGTAGGCCAGGGATGCCATTCACAGGCTCCTATTCTTCCTCTTAATGGCAGCAAGAGTGATTTCTGAGTTTCCTAATTGACTTCGAAATAATTTTGTTGATTTTGTTGTGACAAAGACCACTCCTCTTTCTGTGGCATCCAGTTCACCTTTAGGGTTTTTTGGGATTATGTGGAAACTCTTGCATTTTTCCAGAGCCTCACTTCATCGTGGATGTTCTCAGGAATGCACGAGCTGATCCCTGCCTTGGTGGCATCTTGAAACATTGAGGGAGGCCCCTTAGGTCCAGGAGGCACTAGGAGGTCCATCAGGAATTGAGAGGGCATGTGTCTGCCCATCTGTAGCTGGAACTTCTATTTGCCTTCAGAATGCAGATTCTTCCTGAACTAATAAATTATCTTCATCTTGGTGTAAGTAGCCACAATATAATAATTCATAGTAACTCTATTAATAAATATAACTGAACATCAACAATGAAGATAATAATGACAATGTTAATTATTATAATATTAATAGTAAAAATAAAACAATGGCATTAGAGATTAGAGATTCCCCTAAGTGAAGGACAATGTACAGATATAGGGACACGTGAGTTGTTTGGACTCAGAGTCCAATGAAACGTGTTCCTCAAAGGCAAAGGACAAGCAGCATAAGGAAAACACAAAGTTCATGGATGACCACATGGGCTACCTTGGAACTCATGTGGAAACACTGCAGGCAAAGTGTACCTGGTACTGGGACTGCCCACCAGCCAGCCCCCACCCACCTTCATGAGGTAGGACAGCAGGATAATGGGGAAGGGGTCCATGCAAGGGATGCAAGGCTCGTGTCACACCTGATTCAAAGAAGCACTGCTTCTGACAGATGTTTATCTCCTAACACTGTGTCACCTCTAACTGCCTGGCTCCATGTCTGCCATCTGTTCTTCTTAGGTCACAGGAGGGACAGACATTACTGTCCACCTATCTGCATACAGAGCCATTGGAGGCCATTACCCTTGTTGCTTCCTCTTTGGAAAGGGGCAACATACATGGCAGATGCCATTCTCTGTCTCTTTGGAAAACTTTGTCAGCACATTTAAGGTTTTCTTCAGCCACAGAAAGCCACCTGCTTCGAAGTCTCATCCTCCACAAGTGGCAAGCACACAATCATTAATGGAGGCAAGGGGTACATAGGCTTTGCCATTTGATTCAGTTGGGACAAATAGGAGAGGACTTCTTAGCTCTACAGCTCTGTCCGTATGGCCAGGTGACAATGTCAGGCTGCACTGCCATTAGACTTGTCCCTTTGCACATAAGGCTTCCCTCCAATCCTTTCCACAGATGTGGATCCTGACATCACTTCCTAATAAACATCGTGCACACTAAACTTCATCTATATCCAGTTCCCTGGGAACCAAACCTGTGACAAAAGTGAAAAGTTTCTAGGGAAAATAGGGTTTCCTTATCAGACAGGAATCAAATTCTGCTGAGCTAGAAAATAAAGTCAAGTCTGATGCCTCTCATGATTTTTTTTATTAGGACATTACCACTGCCAGCAAGAATTGTGTGCATCAATTTGTGGGGACAAACATCATATTGGAGTGGGATGAGGTTGTTGTGGGTTGAGGAGAAATGCTGATGAATGGACTTTACCCTCAACTTGGATTCCGGAGAGGACACAAAAACAGCTGGAAATAAAAGGTGTCCGAAAACATTTTTCTGGTTTTTCAAAACTTCAAATTTCAGGTTGGGAGACACTGTATGTTTAAATTCTAAAGGGATGTAGCATACTGAGAAGAAATAACTATAGACGAAGTGTCCATTTTATGAATAATACAATTTATGGTATGACAGGAGACCAAGGGACATAACACAATTTTGGAGTTAAAGAAATTAACAGACATTCTCGATAATTCCTCAGCTATTATGGCAGAGATGCTGGGACAATGGATGTCCATGTAGCAGTACTTTTTTTTTTTTTTTTCTGGGAGACGGAGTCTCACTCTGTAACCAGGCTGCGCTGCAATGGCGCAATCTCGACTCACTGCAACCTCTGCCTCCCGGGTTCAAGCAATCCTCCTGCCTCAGCCTCCCAAGTAGCTGGGACTACAGGCACATACTACCACACTCAGCTAATTTTTGTACTTTTAGTACAGATGGGATTTCACCATGTTGGCTAGGATGGTCTCAGTTTCCTGATCTCGTGATCTGCTTGCTTTGACCTCCCAAAGGGTTGGGATTACAGGTGTGAGCCACCATGCCTGGCCCTTGTGGCAGTACTTTTGAACTTAATGGCTGAAAGCATCCACCTCCAAACTTACGTATTATATCTGCAAAGGAGTACAAACCATGTGATAAATTTTAAAGGGAAGACAAGCCTGTGGGAATTCAACAGCCCTGGCAATGTTTTGAACTTCTTTTTATTAAACATGTAAGAAGTAAGTGAAGTTCAAGACCTAACAGAATTGCCAGGAATTATCTGAGGAATTACCAAGATGACCATAGACACTATGAAATCGTTATGATGTCCTCTGCTGGAGTTTCCTCCTACAGCCAGCGATTTTAAGCAAGAAGCAAATGTCTCTGCAGGCATAAAAATTCAACCCAAATGTACTATTCAATTTTAAATGAGATGACAATAAAATTATGTGCTATATAGCAACAACATTTTTTTTCTTTCAGACAGAGTCTTTCTCTGTTGCCTAGGCTGGAGTGCAGTGGGACACTCTTGGCTCACTGCAATCTCTGCCTCCTGTGTTCAAGTGATTTTCCCACCTTTTTCACAATGTATCCTTATCCTCAAACTCATCCTCCTAAGTAGCTGGGATTATAGGCCTGTGCCACCATGTCTGGCTGATTTTTGTGTCAGCAAAATTATTTCTGGGGCGGAGAGTTAGGAATCTTTTTTCTCCCACGCCCAAAAACATGTTCTCCAAATGATCTGTCAATAGAAATAACTGATACCTATATTTGCTAACCTACCTTTTTCTTTCTTTAAATTCAGAACTAGAGTGGGGAAAAGTGATATTAAGAAGGTTCTCTTAATTTTCAACACAAGTTATGGGCTAGGCGCTGTGCTAGGTGCTACAGATACGCACTAATATACCCACAATAGTTTTGCCTTATTGCCTTCTATGTTCTAATAATGCACCAAAAGAAAAGTATAGATTAGCTTTTTATTTTTTTGAGATGGAGGTTAATTCTGTCACCCAGGATGGAATGCAGAGGCGGGATCTTGGCTCACTGCACCTTCTGCCTCCTGGGTTCAAGTGATTCTCCTGCCTCAGCCTCCTGAGTAGCTGGGATTACAGGCACGTGCCACCACACCCAGAAAATTTTTGTATTTTTCGGAAAGACAGCTTTCATCATGTTGGTCAGGCAGGTCTCAAACCCCTGGCCTCAAGTGATCCACCTATCTTGGCCTTCCAAACTGCTGGGATTACAGTCATGAGCCATAGTGCCCAGCCAAAGAGAGTAGCTTTAAATAGAAAATATGAAACTAAAAGAAACGTATGCTCATCAATTTTATACTGTATTTGGCCAGGTGCAGAAGATCGACTTGTAGTAATGTAAGGGAATAAGGTCAATTCACATCTAATTGTTTGGACAAGTCACCAGAAATCAAAAGTTGGAGGAGTTGTATCTTTTGAGGTGGGTTGCACAGGCAAGCAGCAAGTTGCTATCTCTCCAAAGTCCTAAACTGTTCTATTTGTCCTACTGTGGAAAAATGAGTCTTCAACTTGATTTCAATTTATATAGGAAAATGCTCAATAAAACTAATAAGGGCTACATTCCAGGACACAGCCAGACCACACATATACTGAACCTTGATTCTAGAGACACCTCCTGTTCAATGTAATTGGATTTTCAAGACAACAAAAATATAACTCTGACACAATATTGGAGAGCCAAAAGGAAAGGACATTTTGGGTTGAAATTTTTTCTTTTAAAAATGTGTCCTTGAGTTCTATTAACAATAGCTGAAGCCTGGGAACAGCTCAAATGTCTATTGAGAGGAAATTGATAAATTATATGCATATTATAGAGTAATATTTATCAATAAATGGGAATAATCAACTCTACGAATCGACATCATGATCATGGATCAATATAATCTTTCTAACCCCGAGAGAGGAAAGCTAAGCTAAAAAGTGTCCTATAATATAAATAAATGTATACAAAATTCTAGAACAGACAAACCTAATATAAGCTAAAAAAGTTCAGAAAAGCCAGGTGCAGTGGCTCATGCCTGTTATGTCAGCACTTTGTGAGGTGGGTGGATCGCATGAACTCAGGAGTTCAAGACCAGCCTGGCCAACATGCTGAAGCTACCCCATCTTTACCAAAAATACAAAAATTAGCCCAGTGTGGTGTGGTATGCAGGAACAGAAAACCAAATACTACATATTCTCATGTATAAGTGAGAGCTAAACATTGGGTTATACACTGTTTAGCTCTCACTTATATGGAAACAACAGACACTGGAGATTCTTAGAGGGAGGAGGGAGGGTTGGGTGCAAGGCCTGAAAAACTACCTATTGGGTATTATGTTCACTACGTGTGTGATGAGATCATTCATACTCTAAACCTCAGCAGCACACAATACATCCATGTAACAAACCTGCACATGTATCCTCTGTGTCTAAAATAAAAATTAAAAACGTAAAAAATGAACAAAGATATATGAGCAGGCATTTCTCGAAAAAGGAGATACAAATGGACAACATATATATAAACAATTCTTACCCTCTCTAGTCATCACGGGAATGCAAATGAAAACTACCAAGAAATATCACCTCACACCTGTTAGAATAGCTATTATCAAAAAGATGGATGATAACAAGTGGCGGTAAGGATGTGGAGAAAAGGGAACCTTTGTATACTGGTGGTGGGAATGTAAATTAGTACGGCCACCTTGGAAAATAGTATGGAGGTTTCTCAAAAAATTAACAATAAAAATACCATTTTGTTCCAGCAATCCCACTTATTTTATATATAATATATATATCCATATATATATATGTAAATATATATATATGAAGTCATTGAAATCAGTATGTGAAAGAGATATCTGCGCTCCTATGTTCCTTTCAGTACTGTTCACAATAGTCAAGATCTATGAAGAAGTCATACATGTTATCATTCATTCATGGACGGCTGAATTAATGTTATATATATATATGCACAATGGAATATTATTCAGTATTATATAATAATGAAACCCTGTCATTTGTGACAACATTGATGGATCTGAAGGGCATGAAGTCATGTGAAATAAACCAAACACAGAATGACAAATACTGTATGATTTCACTTGTATTTGAAATCTCAAAAAAAAACTCAGAAGCAGAGGGTAGACTGGCCAGGAGCTGTGGTGCAGGTAAGTGTGTAGGTGTGATTATAGTACAAAGTTTTAGATATACCACATAAATAAGTTCAGGAGGTCTAATTTACAGCATAGTGCTTATAGCTATGAATACTGTATTGCATACTTAAAATATAATAGGAGGGTGAATTTTATGTTAATTATTCTTACCAATAAAAATAATAATTAGAATGGGAGGGAGAACTTTGGGAGGTGATGAATATGTTTATAATCTTGATGGCAGTGATGCTTTCACAATGTACCCTTATTCTCAAACTCACTGAGATATACACATTAAATAGGTACAGCTTTTTGAATGTAATCATGTCTCAACAAAGTGTTTTTAAGGGGGGTTGGTTAAAAAATTTAAAAAGGAAGGGTAGATGTTCCTTTGCCCTTCTCTCATGCCTTTTTTCTCCCTGCTGTCTAGAATTCAGAAATAATAGGTGGGAATTTATCAGCCAAACTAGGACCTTTTCTAAAGTATAGCAGAGCAGAGAGCTGGAAGGGACCTGCATCCCTAATGATATTAGAAAGTATCTGTACTAGCCCTGAATGGTATAACTACAGGTTAATTTTAAGTGAAAAAGAAATCAACTTCTGCCTTGTTTAATCAAACTTATTCAGGCATTAATTTTATAAACATGTAGAGAATACATACTCCTTATGAGCAGAAACAATGTTTATGCCATATGGTCCATGATGGGTGTTCAATAATGTGTGATGATAATAATGAAGACAATAGTGATAAATAAAAGAAAATAAAAAGCAGTGAAACAAAGTGGTTTAATAGCTATACATAGTTATTTTGTTGAAAGATTCTGCTGCTAATATTTCTCAATATTTTTGTATGCTGGTACAAGTAAGGAAATTTACATTGTCTAATAAAAATTATTTATCAATTTATGAAACAGTAAAAATTTCATAGAATGGGGCTAAGAATCTGCATTGCAAACTAACTCTTTCAGTTGATTTTATGCACAGTAATTATTGAGAATCCCCTTATCTAGGTCCAACGGATCTGGACCTACATAGGTGCTATCAAGACTTAAGGAAGAAAATTTTCCTGACTCTATCCATACCTCCAGTTAGTAATAGATCTAGAGATTTAGAACTGAAATCCAGACCTCCTGCTTCCATGTGCAGTGACTTTTCACTGTCCTGTTTTGCTTCACTTGATGAAGAGGATTTGAGAATAAATGACCACATGATTCAACTCCTCCTCAGCTCTGAGGAATATAGCCCTGTCCTGGCAAACAAGAAGCTCCTTCAGTAGTAGAGGAGGCAAATATACGTTCACTAATCTAACATACAAGGCAGTAGGCACTGTACCATAAACAAGGCACTGTGGGGGTTCAGACCAGGGGCAAAGTGGGGATTAATAGGGCTAGTAAAATCTGGGAAGTGTTCACTAACAAAATGTCTAATCATTAACTAAACTAAAAGGTTTCTCAACATGGCCTAATTAATTGTAACTTAATATAAATGGTTGTTTGTCCATAAACCTTAATCTTTTGCCAAAATATTTGTAGCTTATGTTCCCATTTAACAAGGTTTTCTGGTCAAAACTGTGCACCCACATCATTCTAATGAACTTAGTGTCCAATAAAACATGGACTCTCAGTCGTCCCATGAAGGTTATTTTGTGTGCACAGTACATCTCTGTGAATATGCCTAATGAGGTATGGAAGGACACTTATTATCCAAACAGAGACATTCCACTGGTGCTAGAGAGTCACAGACGGAAGTTTTCTCTGCCTACTGGAAATAAAGCCAAGCTTTCTTCTTTCCTCAGCCGTGAGGATTGCTGTCCTCCTCTTTATCATTCTCTCTTTTTTTTTTTTTTATGAGCCAAGCTCCACCAAATAACAAGATAAACTTTGTGTAAGACTTGGTAAGAGTAGAGTGTCTGACACCTTATGGTGCTATAACACTCAAAGCAAAAGCAAAATCGCCTATGACCAGAAAAGGGAGTCACATAGGAAATCTAGAAGACCTATTGGCTGAGAGACCTGCAGCCTCATAGTTCATTAGCTCTCCATAGCAACTCTCACATGAAATGAAGTCAGTGGTGTTTCAAGTGCTTGAAACCCTCTTTACTCTACTTCTAAATGTGAATTAATTAGGCAAGTTTACTAGCAGTTACTAGACCTCAAAAGCAAAATAATCAGGCATTATTCTACTAAATATTGGTCTCCATAACTCCTCTATTTTCTTTTGGAAAAGTTAGTTAGTCTAAGACATTTGGCATAAAGGCTATGCCAAAGCTTTGGTGGGGTCAGCCAGGAAGGATTCGTGGGGGTCTCCTTGGAAATATTGCAATAATCTAAGAAATCTTCAACCTATTGCCCCTCAGTACTGTTGGTCCCCTGTACTGGACTTTTCCCCTTAAGTTTGATTCCATTTCCTAACATTATCCTTCCCTCTTCCTCCTCAGCAACTAGTCTTCTAAATTAGAACTTAAACACAATGACCAGATATGACCCTGCAACAGAGCATGCCCTTCTGCATTGAGCATGCAATCATGTATCACAGGTATAAGACCCCTTGAACAGACATGGTTTTGGTGATTCTGTGTAGGACTTATTGCTTTTACCCAAGAAGATGATCAGGCATCCTAAGTAGATCAGAAAGTTTTCTGGAGCTCTTGAATGTGTATAGGCAAGAAAGATTAAGCAACCTGTTGCCTTATATGAGGCAAACTATCTTCTCATATTTTCTTTTGAATTCAGGATTTCAAGGTTGGGGAAGGAAGGCCGGGCGCGGTGGCTCACGCCTGTAATCCCAGCACTTTGGGAGGCCGAGGCGGGCGGATCACGAGGTCAGGAGATCGAGACCATCCCGGCTAAAACGGTGAAACCCCGTCTCTACTAAAAATACAAAAAATTAGCCGGGCGTAGTGGCGGGCGCCTGTAGTCCCAGCTACTCGGGAGGCTGAGGCAGGAGAATGGCGTGAACCCGGGAGGCGGAGCTTGCAGTGAGCCGAGATCCCGCCACTGCACTCCAGCCTGGGCGACAGAGCGAGACTCCGTCTCAAAAAAAAAAAAAAAAAAAAAAAAAGGTTGGGGAAGGAGTGGGAAAGTAGCCATGGACATGTGAGAATGTGGATGATCCTTGTACATTGTAAGGGATGGTCAAATTCTATGCTTTATGTTGTTTGCTAAAAGACACTTTCCAAAGTTTTCAACAGAAAATATGGTGGCACACATGCCTATTCTTGGTGAACCCAGACTTTTCTATCTAGTCTGTAATAGTAAATTTAAAAGGACGGCTTAGGGTAAATGAATCCTTCAAGTTATAAAGATGAAGGGCAGTTTTTGGGCAATTCCCATTTTGCTGTAGGAAAACTAATCTGGAAGAAGTAAAAGGGAGAGATTGAAGTGGAGAGAACGGAGATGGAAAATGAGTTCAGTTGATCAAATTTTTGTTAAGCGCCCACTGTATGTGGGGCCCTTACAAGGAAACAAGCAGACAAAGAACAAAAGCATGTGATGGCCTTGCTCTTAAGAAGCCCGAGGCCAGTCACCTGGATTGCTACATACCAGGAAGACGTCAACAAGCCCCTACAATACAGCACTGGCATAGGATGAAGAAGAGGTTTCTTTCTATGACATAAATAGCACACAACCAAAAAAGAAAGCCAAAAGATACACAAGGCTCGAAAACCTAAGGCACCAACCCTTAAGAGATCTGATTGTTGGTGGTGACTTTGAAAGGAAAATTATTATTAGGATTATTTTAGTACTAAGAGTTTTGAGCTGTCTATCCAAGATTGTCATCTGCACCTCTGCCTTAGGTAATACTGGGTGTGTGTGTGTGTGTGTGTGCGCACGTGTGTGTGCCTTTGCATGTGTTTGAAATATATTCTGTATCCCACATTCCACATAGGTTTGGGGCTGATCTGAAACTATACTCTTAGGGATGGGGTTAAGCTACTCTATCACATTGCGAAGAGTTGATATGTAAGAGACTCTTAACCTTTTATAAATTACCTTTAAAATGTTTCCTTTTCTGTGAAGGGAAGAATAAGAATTTGTAAACAAATGCAAAAATATCTTTAACTAAACAAAAGAACAGTTCGTTAGCCTTGTTATGATTAGCAGAGAGGATAGCTGCAGACACTGTAAAATCACTCAGCAACAAGATTTGACAAAACCTTAAATATGGCTCTATTTTTCCTGTTTTATAGAGGAAAATATTAAGGCTCTGGGAACTGAAGTGCTTTTCCCAACAGTGGAGTAAATGTCAGAGTCAAGGCTGGGTTTTACATCCCAGCTTTCCCTATACATTCCACCCTATGGTTCTGTTGTGCTGTTCCTTTGTGTGACTCCGTAAAGCCTGGTTAAATGTGATACCATATCAAATTGTGTTAACTCAGTAGCACATAACACCAGGGAATTGATTTATAAGATTTTTATCCTGGTGGTGTTGCTGAAGACCCATCTGATGAGTAGTTATCAAGTAGTCATCCCGGCTAAATATATGCGTTTGATTTTTAATTTTGAAAATGAAAAATATTTTAAAATATATGTCTTACATCCATATCCCAGGAAATTCTAATCAAGTTTTAAAACTTCCAAATTTAGATAAACTAAAGGTTTTTTGTTTTAATTTTCTTTCAATGAAAATAGAAGAAACTAATTGGATAGAACAGCACAGCAGAAGCATTACTTATAGCCAAAAATGGGATACAACAAGACTGAAGAAGAAAATGCAAGACAGTGCTTAAAAAAGCAGTCTAATGAAAAGTGAGGTCTCCTCTGATGTCCTTAGGTAGACATTGCAGCAGAACTGTAAAGTTTTTCTGGAAGGCTGGGGAAGAGAGGAGGAAACAGAGAAGGGGCAAGAGGAGAAAATAGAATGAGGCTCAGAATACCAAGCCTTAGTGCTGTCCCTATCGCCTTCCTCGCTAGATCACTGGGTGATCCTGGGCAAGTTTCTTCCTTTCCCTCAGCTCATTTCCTCATCTGTAACGTAAGTGACTAGACAAGATAGCCTATGATGTTCATTGTAACTCTAACTTTTCTTCCCAAAGCAAATAGCTGGAAAAGACACTGTGCTTACAATATGCAACAAATAAAAACAAAAGATTTTTAAAAACCCCTAGTGTAACTTGAATTCTTACAAATAAGCAATGGTACATCATAATTTTACAAAGCCCTTTTGTGATTTCGTTTTTAAAATCACGTCAAGTTTTATTTTACTTCATAATAAGATAATGGGAGATAAGTGTTAAATGGGTTCATAAAAGAATGTTTGTAAAAGACACAATAATCCAAAATAGGTAATTGTTATATTAGTAGTTCCCTTTACTGGGGGGGAACAGATAAAAAAGTGTTAGGAAAAGCTTCATAAAGTGGATTATATAGAATGTGCTTTAAAAGAGTTTAGTGTTTTATTGAGTGGGGAAAGAGCAATATGGGGAGTTATTGTTCAAGGGTTAAAGCTATACAAAATGAGTCAATTACAGAGATAGGCTCCAAAACATAGTACCTATAGTTAACAATGAGGTACTTTGTATTTAACAATTTGTTAAGAGGGTCGATCTTAGGGGTTCTGACAACAACAACAACAACAACAAAGGGACGTAGGAAACATTTGGAGGTGATGGATATATTATTACCTGGATATTGGTGTGGTAACAAGATAATATATATGTGCAAACTTGCCAAACTATATCCATTAATTATGTACTGTTTGTGTATAACAGTTTTACTTCAGTTCCTACTATATTGCCTGGCAAACAATAGATGTATAAAGTGAGATCAATGATTATTGCATGTGCATGTCAAAAATAATAAAGAAAGCAGGTGACAATAAAGACATCCTGAATCTTTGGGAAATAAATAGCATTCACCTGCTTTCTCATCCATTGAGATATCACCACATTTATGTACTTGTGTGTCCCTGGAAGTTTCCTGTGGGAGATTTAGTTATTCTCTTTTCGTTAGGCTCTACTGACCAAGAACAAATCACAGACTCAGAGAGCATCATAAAAAGGCCCAGACCCACAATGCCCAGAGAATCCAGGCTCAACCCACATTGATGCTGGCCCTTCAGCCGTGAGACTCCATGTGCTTCTCCTTATTCTCCTTCTTTTTTCAATTCTCTTATCCCCAGGTAAGTTGGTAGCTGATTACTATAAGGTTCTGCAGATGAGAAGGCTATATCCCTGGCCAGACAAGATCCTAGAATCAGTCCTGTGGGTTCAAGAACCTAATATTTACAGCTTCACTAGGATTATAATAGGGAAAAATAGAAAAGAGACTCATTTAGCAGTAGCTCCTGTTGATAAGATTCCATCCATGTCTTTTGACCTAGTGAGTGGATATAATAATGGATGCTGCTGAAATTCAATCCTGTCAGATGAAACTGCCTGCATATAAATTTCCATGCCCCACCAAGCATCTCAAGATACAAAGTAAGGATACAACAGAACATGACCTCAATGAGATGCCTTTGCGGGACATGGAAATTTATATGTAGGCAGTTAGATCTGACAGGATTGAATTTCTATGGCATCTATTGTTATATTCACTTACTAGGTCAAAAGAGATGGATGGAATCCTATCAATAGGAGCTACTGCTAAATGAGTGTTGACAAATCTGAAAGTTTTATTCTAAGAGACAAACGGAAAAATTATAATCCTAGAATAAGTGAAAATTATATGAGAGACTTTTCAAAATAAATTATGTTTTATATGGTTATGAATAAAAAATGATTTGCAAAGTGAAACTGAGGACCAGAAAGCAGAGTTAAAGGAACTTCAGACAAGTGAATTAATAAGGAGCAAAGACACCAAGAAGTGCTGCTCACGGTATATTACAGGTAACCACACAGAAATGGGTAACATTACTTTCAATACAAAAATGGCTAAAATTTAATGGGCTAAGCACGCATTTTGGGGGCTTTTGGAAAAAAAACAGCATAATAACCCTAAAGAAGATAAAGGGAAAATTATAAATACAAAATATAAATTAATGAAACAAATGAGAAAAAACTAGTATTTTTAAAAATGTTTTTCAAAAAGTCTAATACACTTTATAATAATCTGGCAACACTGAACAAGAGAAAATGAGAACATGCTTAAAATAACTATTGCAGGAATGAAAGGTTAATATCAAAACAGATGTTTCAGAGATTCAAATAATTTTTAAATTTGTGTATTATATTCCCTCTTTGCTGTGTACTTGGGGATTTTCCTGTTGCAGTTCACTATATCACGACTATGTCATCAATTTTGATGCTAGTAAATTATTACCATCAGCATACAAATATGCTGTTGTTTTTCTGATCTAAGAAAAAGAATGTCCTTGCTTTTCTTCTGATGCCAGCTGTCATCCCATTTTTTGCTCTACTTTTCAGCAAAACATCTTAAAATAGTTGTCCATACTCTCTTTCTTCAATTCGTCTCCTCTCATTGTTTCTTAAATATATCCCAATCAGGCTCTCTCCCCCTTTTTCGATCATGATATTGACACCACTTTTGTCAAAGTTACCAATAATCTCCACATTGCTAGATCCAATGATCATTTTTCACTATAACTTTAATTGGCCTATTAGCAGCATTTGACACAAATAATCACTACCTTCTTCACAGTATAATTTCTTCACTTGGCTTCCAGGATGGCACATTCACTTGATTCTCAGCCTGTCTCACTGGAGCTACCACTTCGGCTTCCTTTGTTTCTTCCTCATCTTTTGCATGACACCTCCTATAGGAGAGCTCCAGAGCTCAGTTCCTGGTCCTCTTCTCTTCTCCCTCACCACACACTCTTTGGAGGGGCTCAGCAAGTCTCATCCCTTTCAATTCTCCTTTTGGACCTCCTTTTGAACTCCAGGCTTATAATAAATTATCTAACGGCATAACTGATATATCTACTTGGACACTTGATTTCAAAAGTAATATATATCCAAAACTGAACTCACGATTTTCCCTCAGAAACCTCTACATACAGATTTTCTCTTCTTGCAGAGTGCCATGGTCAGCATTGGAGCCTCTCTTAGCTTTCCTGTCCACTTTCATCTTCAGCAAGCCTCTATCTCTGCACCTCAAGAATCTCTCAGGGCTCCCATCCCTTGCCCAACCACGGGCAGTAGCTGCCTCACACTCAGTGAAAGACCAGAAAATCTACTTCTCTCAGCTACCTGCCCTCCCCTGCCTTCAGACCTCATCAGGCCTCTCTTCTTATGCACCTGTGAGAAAAGAGAGTGAAGGGGGGATTCTCTCAGCTCCCCAACCCACTCCCCAGTAACAGAGGATTTTCCCCGATTCTCACAGTGCGACCTTTACCTTTCTCCAACCTCAAATTGCAGCAGTTCCTACATGCCTGTCCCTCAAAAGTGTCGCAGGAAGTTCTCCTGCTCTCCATCTGATTTTACCTAGGAGCACACAAGATAGGTCATGAAAAAACCATTAGTGGGATCACACCTGTAATCCCAGCACTTTGGGAGGCCAAGGCACTGTAATCCCAGCACTTTGGGAGGCCGAGGCACTGTAATCCCAGCACTTTGGGATCATGAAGTCAGTGGCCAACACGGTGAAACCCTGTCTCTACTAATACAAAAAATTAGCAGGGTGTGGTGGCACGTGCCTGTAGTTCCAGCTACTTGGGAGGCTGAGGCAGGACAATCGCTTGAACCCTGGAGGCGGAGGTGGTAGTGAGCCGAGATCATGCCATTGCACTCTAGCCTGGGTGACAGAGTGAGACTCTGTCAAAAAAAAAAAAAAAGGAAGAAAAGAGAGAAAGAAAGAAAGAAAGAAAGAAAGAGAAAGAGAAAGAAAGAAAGAAAAGAAAAGCATTAAAGCATTAGTGAGTGAGTGAGTGTGTTTGGGCCCCTACAGATGCTAAACTATCACAAGCCCACATTCAGCCTTTCAACATTTGCTTGAGGTTCACTTGTTTCCTTCTTATCTCCATCAAGGGCAGCTTCCTCCTGCTTCTGCTGCTGCAACTCAGGTACACACAAATCATCTGTGGATCCGTTCTTTTTTCAGTAGGGCTTCATTACTCTGAATTTAAGTTAATTAGCTTTTTTTGAGACCTCAGCTCTGTCTTTTAAAATGAAATCTATGATCTATAGATTATCCAGCTTATTCTCTTGGTCAGGGCAAGAGCATTTTTCTATAGCTTTCTAAACTCTAAACAAAAGTAAAAGTTCACTTCTTTTCAGAATCCCCCCATGTCAGAAAGTATTACTATTATCATCAGTTTAGTGATATTTATGGAATTCCAAGTTGACTCTGAGATCAGCTTTTGGGTTAAATTCTTTCTTCCTGATATATAGCCTTTGAAATTTTATTTGCTGCAGATCTCTTGATAGTGAACAATTTTAGTTTTTATCTGTCAATTTCATATTGTTATTTTTGTTCTTGAAAGACAGCATTACTGAGTACCCAGTTCTATACTAACAGTTATTTTCTCTCAATATTTGTTGATACTAGTTTACTCATTTTTAGTTTTTGCCTTATTATAATAATCAGATAAATATTATTTCATTATAAATTGCCCTTTTTTCAATGTTTGTATGGTCTGGTCTTTGGTTTTAATGTTTTATAATTTATAATTTAACTAATGTGAATTTATTTTTATATCATCTGTTAGAAATACGTTCTTTGAATCCATGGATTTATACTTTTTCCTAATTTCTTTTGAGACTCTCTTGAAACGGTGAATCCTCTTACGCTTCTCTCCCCCCATATTTGAATTAAATAAATGTTAGACCTTGTGTTTCCATGCTACATTCTGGGTATATCATTTAAGCATTTTTTTCTTTACTAATTATCCTGTTACCTATATCTAATATATCATTAATAACTTGCATTTATTTTTAAATTTTTTTTATTCAGACCTGCCTTTTTGTTTTGTTTTGTTTTTTTTGGAGACAGAGTCTCACTCTGTTGCCCAGGCTGGAATGCAGTGGTGCAATCCTGGCTCACTGCAACCCCCACCTCCCGGGTTCAAGTGATTCTCCTGCCTCAGCCTCCTGAGTAGCTGGGACTACAGGTGCACATTACCATGTTCAGCTAATTTATACATATATACACTTTTTTTTTAGTAGAGACAAGTTTTCACCATCTTGGGCATGCTGTTCTTGAACTCCTGACCTCATGACCCGCCCGCTTCGGCCTCCCAAAGTACTGCGATTACAGGCATGAGCCACGACGCCCAGTGAGACCTGCCCATTTTTTCTATCATCTATATTGTTTTACTATTGTTTTTACATCTTTGTAATAGTAGATTGTTTCTTTAAACAATCGATACACAGCTGCTTAATTATTTCTCCACATTGACAATTTCAATACATTTAGTTTTCAAAGATTTAAATGTGCTATTCATTTCATTAACTTTTATTCATGGTGTCTTGCTTACCTGATCATTTTTAATACTGAACTCATTGCTCATCCTTAATCTGCCATCATTCTATGGTCTGAAATGAGAATGCTATTATCCAAACTTCCTCTGTGAAACTGACTCAATGCTTTATCTCAATATAGAAGTTCCAGGATTAACGAACTGGAATTTCTGATGGCCCAAGAGTCAGTAGTACCACCATTAGCATTGCTGATAATAGCAGATCTTCCCAGAAGATCTGGGAAACCCTCACACCCCTCCATCAGCTAGCCAATACAAAGTGCCCAGTGCTCAAGCTCCAGTTCACAGACTATTTTTGTGTTTGAAAAAGGAGATATTTTAAAAACTTGCCTAACCGTTTTCAAGAATAGAAATGTTTCAAAGAGATCCTCTAAAATGTATTTGTTCAATAGCAGCAGTCATTTGAGACCAGCTAACTTGCAGTCATGGCCAAAAGCCTAAATCTTTCTTTCATTCTAATCACACATATATTGTACCTTTCGGAGATATCTCAGATTCAGATGTATTCATACTGTTCTATGATTTGGGACACTGCTATAGATTCTTCAAAATGTTACAACATTCCAGTGGTATTTTGGGAGGTATAGAAGGAGAGGGAAAACAATGGGCTCAAGTCTCCCCTGACTTCTCTTCTTACAACATATTTCATTGTCCAAAACTTTTAGAACTATATTAATATAACATTGACAGTGGGTATTCTTCTTTTCCTTCTGATTTTAATAGGATTGAAGGAAGTGTTTTGCTATGAAATTGCTATATGGGTTGTAATCAGACAAATTTTGACTTTTTAAAGGCAATATTCTTCTCATTATTTTAAAATGTTTACCAGGATTCACAGTATTATTTTCAATTCTCCCCGTTCAAAGGCATATTTAAATAACTTGATGAAAGGGGAATATTATATATGTTACTCTGCTATGGAAACAGAAAAACCACCACCAAATTGTATTCTAGATACTTTGTACACCAATTGCACCATCTTTTTTTATCTAAGACATTCAATTCTTCCACAGGTGGGAGCACATGAATTAGTATCATTTACTACTTGTAGTTTTCACTACAGACTTTCAGACTTATGGTGCCTAAAGGAAATAGAATGCTTCTAGCTGGGTTTAAAAGCTACAAATAAACAGAGGAAATATACACTATTTTGAAAGTACCATTTGAGTGTTATGTATGTATTTCAATATTATGTTGCTAATTTTAATTGTTCAAGGTTAAAGAGCTTAAACCTCCTCCTCATGCATTCCTGAATCATCATTACTCCCACACATACATTGTTTGATACAGCATAAACCTAAGTAAGTAAAGATGTGGCAAAATGAAAAAAAAAATAATGTTATATCATTCTCATCTAGGAATGGCATCAGTAGACAGATGTGAATAAAAGTAATGTGATTATAATTTTAAAAATCATATTTAATAGGATCCATTTATTATTAAATGAACATTAAATTACTTAATGTATAATAAATCCTTAACACAATGAAAACTCTTAATGCAGAGTGAGACCAAAATGAAGGTATTAACTGTTTTCTTCCTAATCCTTGCTTTAGTTGTTCTTTCCACCAGATCGTCACTTTATTTGAAGGATATTGTAATAGCACAAAGCCATCAGCTTTACCATTAGAGAGATCTTCATTAAATTATCTTTGTTGTAATAAAGGTCATCTGGAGGAAATACTGGTCTGAATACAATAATAAATGTTAAGCTTTCTAGTATTTTCCACTTTTAGACACAAATTGAAAGAATCATTTATAATGTCAAAAACACTTTTTTCTAACTAATCTATTCTATGACTAAGACACTATTAGCAATTAAAGTAGATAGATCAAATCTAAATGTGGAGAGAAAAAGTAATTTCTACTTATGTTTAAACAGATGAAAGCATGAATAAATTGAAAGCCTGAAATATTAGCTTGGGGGAATAACGTCACTTTCGGGGAGCAGGAGCAGGATATACCAGCCTTTAGCTCTACACACTCCCCCCAAGAAAAAAATATATAGATAGTTATGTACAAACCAAAATAGCTCTGGGAGGGTTCAAGGGACCATTTAAGAAACTATGGCAACACAGTGAAGCCAACAAAAAAAAAAGAGAGAAAGAGAGAGTGAAAGAAAAAAAAAATAGCCATATAGAAAAAACAGCTGCTGAAGTCTGCATACCTGAGATGCGAGAAACATCTTTTTTGGCTAGAAACAAAAGCAGAAAGGGACTATCTGTATCAGCCACAAGGTGGAACCACCATGGCCCTCAGTAACCCACTCTGGCAGAAGACACTGGCATTTTTTGCCACTGGAGTAAGCAACATCCCTTTCTGACAGAAAACCCAGAGAAAAAGATGAAGATGTACCATCTCCTCCCACATCCCTTTTCCCCACCAAAAATGCAGTGACTGTTGGGCCAAACCAGGATTGGAACTGCTACCTTTCTTAAACTGCATATGTCTCTGACATATGAGCAGCAACCATTTCAAGAGCTCCCACATAAAAACGCTCATACTAAATTTATTCTGTTACTTAAGTGTGTTTATGGATTGACATTCCATTTGTGGACTAACTATCTCACTGGATCTTCTTTCCTGCAGTAAGAGGTGCTTTGGGTCCTGCGGAAGTTCATTGTCTCAGTTTGTCTGGTGTTTGCAGAAGAGATGTCTGCAAAGTAGTAGAAGATCAAATTGGTGCCTGCCGAAGAAGGATGAAGTGCTGTAGAGCATGGTGGATTTTAATGCCAATTCCAACACCACTTATCATGTCAGATTATCAAGAACCCCTTAAACGTAAGTTGAAATGAAACTGAGACAAAATAAAAATACATCAAAAGTGAAGTTATCTGCATCTAAGAATATTAAAATATACATATTAAGTACTTCCATCTTGATAACCATCTTGCATTTTCACTTATCAACATAAATGAATAAATACTAATTTCAAATATACCCAAGTACTATTTCTTTGTGAATCATTAACAGATCTTAACAAAACTTTTAAAAATGAGAAAACTGTTACTTTTGTTTTCCAAGATGGTGGACTGAAGGCATTGTTAGTCTGCCTCTTGCACTTGGAAAGACAAAATGCTGTGTAGAGACTCACACTGTGAACTTTCTTTCAAGAAGCTACACAGGAATTTAACAGGAAAATTGAAAAAAGCCACAGACCATTTGAAAGAAACAGCAGGATGCAGCTTACACCATAAGCTAGGCAGAAAATTGTAAGTTTCCAGGGTGTGACAGGAGGGTAAACTGACTCTAAGATATACACTTCCACTGGGAAACCTATCAATCCAGGCCGTGAGGGAAGGCCTTAACCCTACTCAGCGCTGGAGCTGATTTAGGGAAGAGTGGTGAGTATATGAGGAGTGGCATTGGGATGTGCTTTGAATCTCCAGCACATTCCCAGTTTCTGGTAGAATGGAGGGAAGCCATTTCTGATTCTACCTCAGACAGGACCTCCTAGAAGTCTGCCAGCTAACTCAGATGGTGGTCACAGGTTGAGACAACCTCCCAACTGAAATGTGTGATATAATCTTGACTGGGGACAAACTCCCCAGGCCAGAACTGAGAGGTGAGTGGGAAGTGTGCTGCAGCAGCAAGCACAGGAGCTGGGGGACCCTGCTCTGTAGGTGGATCAGGAAGGGTGTGGCCTGAAGGTTGCAGTTGCTGTCTCCATAGGAGAGGCTTATGGTATGGGTCAGTTTTGAGTTCTGAGCTCAGACTTCTTGAAACTTAGCTAGCTACTCCCAGTGGAACACTGTGGGTGTGAGACCTGCCTTGCCAAGTGTGTGGGAGCTGGATGGGGCTTACTACCAAGCTGCTACTCCCCATTCTTCATATGGACTCTCCTTGTACAGAGGCAGAGACAGCTTCACTTCTCTCTGGAAAATTACTCCAGTGGCCCAAGAACTGCCTTCCAATTCCCACTGGATCCACTGCTTGTCCCACACATAGAGAGCCAGAGCATCACCTTACCTGACCTAGTTCCCACTTGGTTTTGCTCAACCACCTACCCTGGTAGATTAACACAAATAACAGAAGAAACTTTTAGAAGCTCTATGGCTCCACCTATTTCCTGAGACACCAGAGTGCCTCCCATGGGTAACATAAGGCAAGTCCAAATCTCACCACTACCACCACAGCTGGCAGTCTTTTGGAAGCACCACCTCCTGGCTGAAGGCCTACTGACAGTCCTTTACAGCATCTGCAGGTAGAATAACATAGCACCCAGGAAGGAGAAAAGTTGTGAGTGACCACATCTGTTACCATTGCTTGCATCACTCTGGCTAACCAGGAGGCCCTGAGTCTGTCCATGTGATGAGTTCATTACTACTACAACTGGCATTTGAGAAATCCAATACACAACACACTAGGACTATTTATAACCAAGGAATCTTTCAGAGTCTACATCACTCCCCTGCCATCCCCATCTGATCAGCTGCTGATACACACTGCTGTGAGACTTGAGGACAGATTACATCACTGGGTCCATTGCAGACATTCTTGAGCACCAGCCTAGTGTGCAGCAGCCCCACTGGGTAGCTAGACCCAGAGAAGCAGCAGCAGCATATGCAGTAATCAGAATTTCAGGGACTCCCCTTGAGTCCCAGAACATTCCACTTGTGGGAAGTTGTTTGGTGGCTTGTTTGGTTTTTTTTTTTTTTCCAGCAGAGGAACATGTGCATGCTAGGCTCAGCGAGGAAAGTCTGTAGCTATATCTCAACAATCAGGCAGACTTGATGCTCAAGAAGAGTCTTGGAGAATGGAGATTTATTTTCCATGTCATACACTACTGCAGACACAATAGTACTGTACTCAGAGTCAGTGTACTGAGGTGAGTGGCCATAAAACCTACTGAGACACCAGCCAGGACAGCTAAAGGAGTACTTGCATTACCACTCCCCCAACCCCAGGCAGCACAGCTTGCAGCTCCAAAAAAGACCGCTTCCTTCTGCTAGAGGAGATTAGAGGAAAGAGTAAAAAGGACTTTGTCTTGCATCTTGGATATCAGTTGAGCCACAGTAGGATAGGGCACTGGTCAGGGTCATGAGGTCCCCATTGTGGATGTAACTAACTTTTTTTTTAATTTTATAGGCTGATAGGCAGAAGGGACTTGTCTCAAATAAGACTTTGGACTTGGAGTTTTGAGTTATGCTGGAATCAGTTAAGACTTTGGGGGACTGTTGGGAAAGCATGATTGGTTTTGAAATATATATAAAAGACATGAGATTTGGGAGGTGCCAGGAGCAGAATAATATGGTTTGGCTCTGTGTCCCCACCCAAACCTCATCTCAAATTATTATCCCCACACATCGACAGAGGGACCTGTAATCGCCATGTGTCGAAGAAGTTTACTTCATGCTATCCTCATGATAGTGAGTGAATTCTTAGGAGATCTGATGGTTTTAAAAGTAGGAGGTTTTTTTTTCTGTGCACTCACTTCTCTCTCCTGCCACCTTGTGAAAAAAGGTGCCTGCTTCTGTCTTGCCTTCCACCGTGACTGTAAGTTTCCTGAGGCCTCCCCAGCGATGCAGAACTGTGAATTAATTAAACATCTTCCCTTTGTAAATTACCCAGTGTGGGGTAGTGTCTTTACAACAGTGTAAAAATGGACTAATACAGGATCCCTGAAATATTCTGAGTCCCTTTGGAGGCAATAATCTCTTCATACCAGCATGGTATACTGATGAAGTTCATCCTGATCTCATGGGCTGAGAAAGAATTTATACATACCCTTTATGTGCCAGCAACTCTATGTGCAGGCTTTTGAGCCCCAGAATGGGCTTTCTTGCCCCATCTAGTCTATCTAACATTTTTCTAAGCCAACTCAATATCTCTCATCCACACTGGGATAGGTCCTAAATTGCTGTCTGTTGCTCACCTGAGATAATGAGATGTTGTTAAATCAGGTGTGTGTGACCCGGATACGTCTATCTGGAGTGGCAGGAGAGGGTCTATCTGTTCACAAGAGTCTCTGCAACATTTTCTAAGTCAGTTCAGAAGCTTATTGATTCACCTTTGCAGGCAACGTAGCCATAAGAAAGGTCTCCAAAAATTCCTGACCTTCTGGAAATTTTTAAAGTCTCCGCAGGTGTCCAGAGGTGACTGTAGCTGTACAGAAAGTCACTGCCTGGATAACTGGCCTGTTAAAGCAAATGAAAAATACGCTAAGCCCACTAAGGATACCCAGAAGCCATGGTATTCAGGTAATTTTTGTCTTTCTTGCAAGTGGGAGAATACTGAGGATTATGCCCTCCTATAGCCAGTGAAGGTTACTCCAGTGCCTAGATGTACCAGTCAAGAGAGGCCATGGGAGAGCAGATGGCAGAAGGGCAGCCAGGTCCTTTCACTGGGGTTTACTGCTTGTCATGAGCTCTGCTGCTGGGCAGCATGTGTGATTTCTGACTGCTGCCATGTCTTCAAGAAGCCTTGCCCCATCAGCCAGCTGTCCTACCTCCTGAAAGCTGGTGCATGTTTGTTAGCATGGAGATCCAGAACAAGAGTCACTTTAGTATTTATCCATAGAGTCCCCATGTGTGCACACGCCTACCTGCAGGTTGTTTTTCCTATTTTTCTGAATGTTAATCTTTGCCTTCTGGAACTCAATATTACCCCATGTGGCCAAATACGGGATAATTGTCAGGGGAAACTGCTCTTTAGGTCCCAAGTCCACGGGGTTAGTAGTATTATCAATATTAAAATTATTAATTATGGATATTAGTATCATAATAATCATCATCATTCCTGTTAATACTCATCAATATGTTTATTATTACTATCATTAAGATGGTTTATTAATGTTATTATTCAGTAATAAATGTTTAGTTTCTCCATTCACTCAGTCAAACTGGAGACTGACTCCAGATATGACTATGGATATGACTGCATATGACTATGAGGGTTACCCTGCAGATATAGACATGAACAGCTGTCCCAGAGACAGCTCTTGCAGCCACCAATTGCTCTTTCATAGGATGAGTTCCTTACAGGAGAGAAGGGCTGATCTCCATGATGTGGTTTCCTCAGGGTCTCATTAACAGCTGGTGATACAGGAGCACTGCCTACCCCTCTTCCTCACGTGAGAGTGGTACATTCTCTGTTGTCATGGCTGAGATGGCTCCATCTTGAACATATAAATTCCAGGTTGTAGAAGCAAAAAAGCAAAAAATGCATTGGATCTGCATAGGGAACTGCAAGCCATCCAGGAACCTCAGGACACACTCAGAAACAACCACGTGGACCACATCGCCCAAGCTCAGCTGCATGGCTCTCCGTTGGGCTAGGATGAGGACCTCTTCCACCAGGCTCAACTGGAGTCCTATCCCTGGTCCCAGGACCACAAGGAGCATCTCTTTTTTTGGAATCACACTGCTCCACTCGAAGGACAGCCCTCAGTTCTCTGTCTTCAAAAGAGGCTGCAAATGGTGCTGATTGGGAGGGAGCCGCCAGCAGCATCACCCTCTACAACTTTAAAATAAAAATGTCTCCCAGAGTGGGATATTATGCTGACCCTACCTAAAAGCACATTCCCTAGATGTTGCTTGTTGCCTGGAGTTTGAACAGCATTGTCCAAACTTTGCCATTGAAGAACAAGGAAACTTACCTGGGGTAGTTGCAGGTGTAGGCCTAAATCCAGGTGTGAAGATCCTTGAACTGGGGGTGTTTCTGTACCTGTAGAGATTGCAGACTGGGAAAGGTAAGGCTCTGGTCCTGCAAGACTCTCTAGAGGTTAAGAATGTGATCTGCAGAAAGACATGAACTAGCACAGGCAACTGTAGAACATCTGCCCCCAAGAATCATAAATGCCTTTTCACTCATCCTGCAGAATGTATTCTCTACTTTAATGATTGTGTGGGATGTGACTTTAATTTCTAGGCATGGGGATTGATCTTAAGAAAAAGCAGGGAAAGTGCCTTACCTGTCCTGGGACTCTGCTCCACTTGCCAACATTTGAGTGGATTAATTTGTGTGGTAGTCAAGCTACAGGAAATAAAGGGACCAGTCAGTCTTCCACACAATGACACAGAGGCCAATTATCACAAGTCCAAATCTCCATTTGTCATCCAGCTCACATTCCCGCTGTGGCACAAGGTCACATGCACTCGTGTCCAACTCCAAATAGTAGCTTTGCATAGTATGTCAGCACTCTCCCACCCATCACTTCTTCTAGAAGGTCTTCCTCTGGATTGGAAATGGCCTGTGATAAAAGATAATGACCACAGGAAGCAGTTGTATTTTTAGGATCTGATCCACATGAGAAGGTAGGACATCTAATTTGGTCTGAGGACTTTACCTATGCTAACATTTCAGGTAACTGACCCCTGTGTCTATAGATTTACAATGGGAATGGAGTGAGAGATGATGAAAACTGTTTTCTTTCCTAGTGAGTATGAGGTGGAACCCTTACATCATGCTCTCAGTTGCCTGTTCTCCATACAGAGCCATCTCCCATTTAGAGAGAAGACATGGATTGTCAGTGGGAGCAAGCCTGAGACATGCCCACTGGCAGCTCCCAGAAACCCCTGAAACCTGGCCACATCATGAAGTTTCAACTGTGGGTCTCATGCCTCTCTTGGTATCTTGAATTCAGAACATTTAATGTCATGGCAGGCCAGGGAACCTCCTCTGCTCTAGTTTGGCTCTCTATCACACATTCACACACACACACACACACACACAAAGTCACACACACTCACACATCAACCTACTGGCAAACCAAGGTAGAAACACACACACACACATACCTGCTCAATCCAGGCCAATATCCCTGATGAACATCAATGCAAAAATTCTTAATAGAATACTAGCAAACAGAATCCAGCAGCACATCAAAAAGCTCATCCACCACAATCAAGTCGGCTGCATCTTTGGGATGAAAGGCTGGTTCAACATACACAAATCAATAAATGTAATTCACCATGTAAACAGAACTAAAGACAAAAACCCCATGATTATTTCAGTAGACTCAGAAAAGATCTTTGATAAAATTCAACATTCCTTTATGTTAAAAACCTCATGAAACTAGGTATTGCTGGAACATATCTCAAAATAATAAGAGCCATTTATGACAAACCCACAGCCAATATCATATTGAATATTCAAGAGCTGGAAGCATTCCGTTTGAAATTCGGCACAAGGCAAGGATGCCCTCTCTCACCACTCCTACTCAATATAGTACTGGAAGTTCTGGCCAAGGCAATCAGGCAAGAGAAAGAAATAAAGCATATTCAAATAGTAAAAGAGGAAGTTGAACTGTCTTTGTTTGCAGATGACATGATCCTATATCTATAAAATCCCATCATCTCAGCCCAAAAGATTCTTAAGCTTATAAGCAACTTCAGTAAAGTCTCAAGATACAAAATCAGTGTGCAAAAATCACAAGCATTCTTATACAGCAACAATAGACAAGAAGAGAGCCAAATCACAAATGAGTTCCCATTTACAATTGCTGCAAAGAGTATAAAATAGCTAGGAATATAGCTAACAAGGCAAGTGAAGGACCTCTTCAAGGAGAACTGCAAACCACTACTCAAGGAAATAAGAGAGGACGCAAACAAATGGAAAAACATTCCATGCTCATGGGTAAGAAGAATCAATATCATGAAAATGCCATACTTCCCAAAGTAATTCATAGATTCAATGCTATTCCCATAAACTACCATGGACATTCTTTACAAAATTAGAAAAAACTACTTCAAAATTCATGTGGAATGAAAAAAGAGCACATATACCCAGGACAATCCTAAGCTAAAATAACAAAGTTAGAGGCATCATGCTACCTGACTTCAAACTATATTACAAGGCTATAGTAACCCAACAGCATGGTAGTGGTACAAAACAGACACATAGACCAATGGAATGGAATAGATATATCAGAAATAAGATTGCACATCTACAACCATTTTATTTTTGATGAAAACCAGCAATGGGGAAAGGATTCCCTATTTAATAATAAATGGTGCTTGAAAAACTGGCTAGACATATGCAGAAAACTGAAACTGTACCCCTTCCTTATGCCTTATACAAAAATGAACTGAAAATGGATTAAAGACTTAAATGTAAAACCCAAAACTGTAAAAAATCCAACCCCATATAAAAGTGGGCAAAAGCTGGGTACAGTGGCTCATGCCTGTAATCCCAGCAGTTTGGGAGGGTGAAGTGGGCAGATAACTTGAGGCCAGGAGTTCAAGATCAGCCTGGCAATGCTGGTGAAACCACGTCTCTACTGAAAATACAATAAATTAGCCGGATGTAGTGGTGCGGGCCTGTAATCCCAACTACTCAGGAGCCTGAGAGAGAAGAATCACCTGAATCTGGGAGGCAGAGGTTGCAGTGACCCAAGATTGTGCCACTGAACTCCACCCTGAGTGACAGAGCAAGACTCTGTCTTAAAAAATAAAAATTTCAAAATTTCAAAAGTGGGCAAAGGACATGAACAGACACTTCTCAAAAGAAGACATTTATGCAGCCAACAAACATGAAAAAAAAGCCCAACATTACTGATCATTAGAGAAATACAAATCAAAACCACAGTGAGATACCATCTCATGCCAGTCAGAATGGTGATTATTAAAAAGTCAAAAAACAACAGATGCTGGTGAGACTGTGGGGCAATAGGAACACTTTTACACTGTTGGTGCGAATGTAAGTTAGTTCAACCACTGTGGAAGACTGTGGTGATTTTTCAAAGATCTAGAATCAGAAATACCATTTGACCCAGCAATCCCATTACTGGGTATATACCCAAAGGAATATAAATTCTTGTATTATAAAGATACATGCATGCATATGTTCATTGCAGCACTATTCACAATAGCAAAGACATAGAATCAACCCAAATGCCCATCAATGATAGACTGGATACAGAAACTGTGATACATATACACCATGGAATACTATGCAGCCATAAAAAGGAATGAGATCATGTCCTTTGCAGGGACATGGATGAAGCTGGAAGTCATTATTCTCAGCAAACTAATGCAGGAACAGAAAACCAAACACACATGTTCTCACTTACAAGTGGGAGATGAACAATGAGAGAACATAGACACAGGGAGGGGAACAACACACACTGGAGTCTGTCTTGGGGTGAGTGGGGAGGGAGTGCATCAGGATAAATAGCTAATGCATGTGGGCTGAATACCTAGGTGATGGGTTGATAGGTACAGCAAACCACCATGGCACACATTTACCTATGTAACAAACCTGCACATCCTGCACATGTATCCCAGAACTTAAAATGAAATAAAATAAAGTTTTAAAAAACTTTATTTTTTCTAACCTTCCAAAATGCAGGGATTACAGGTGTGAGCTACCATGCCTGGCCCTGTTTTAACATATCTGAACAAGATTTAAGACATCAGTTTGAAAAGAGACCCTCTATGGCAGCAACATGAATTCTGTCAAACCTGAAGCAAGAACAAACATCAAATTTACGGTGAAGCTGGGGTACAAAAAATGGTGAAATAAATTATTCTTTATGAAAAGTCTATGGGAAAAATGACCTGAAGAATCAGTCATTTACAAATGGATACCTTATTCTAAGAAGAGATAATACAATGTTGAAGATGAAGTCAACAGAGGAGGGACATCCATACCAATTTTTGAGAAAAAAAAATCGTTTCTATGCCCTAATTGAGGAGGATTGACAATTAACAAGAGATATTATAGCCAACACCACAGACATCTCAATTGGTTCAGCTTACACAATACTGACTATAACGTGAAAGCTGAGAAACTTTACATTTGATGAGTCCCAAATACCCTTGTGCCTAGATCAGCAGTGGACAAAAGCAGAGCTATTAGTGGCTATTTTGAGCAAGCGGAATCAAGATCCTGAAGCATTATTTTGAAGAATTATAACAGGGAGTGAAACTGGCTTTATCAATAAGATCCTGAAGACAAAGCACAATTCGAGCAATGGCTACCAAGAGGTAGAAGTGGTCCAGTCAAAGCAAAAGCAAACTTCTCAAAAGCAAAAGCCATGGAGGTTTTGGGGATGCTCAAGGCATTTTGCTGGTTGACTTTCTGTAAGATCAAAGCACCATAACATCTGCTTACTAGGAGAGTTCTTAGAGAAAATTAGCAAGTACTTTTGCAGAAAAGCGCCCTGTAAAGCTTCACTAGAGAGTCACTCTGCACCACAACAACACTTCTGCTCCTTCCTCTCATCAAACATGGGTAATTTTGCAAGAGTTTTCATGGGAAATTATTAGGCATCAACATTACAGTCCTGATTTGGTTTCTTCTGACCTTTTTTTCCCTAATCTTAAAATAACTGTAAAGGGCACCCGTTTTTCTTTAGTTACTAATAGAAGACTGCATTGACAAGGTTAAATTCCCGTTACCCTCAGTTGTTTAGCAATGGACTGAATGGCTGGGATCATCCCTTAATGGAGTGTCTGGACCTCAGTAGAGCTTATATTGAGAAACAAAGTTTATATTTATATTTTTATTGTTAATTCCATTTTTCACTGACATTTTTAAATCCCTTCACAATTCACATTTGTCTCAAAGGTATTTAAATTTAGAAATCATATCAAGTGTGAAATAAAGAAAATTATATAGAGAGAGGGAGAACAGAACCTATAAATATGCATGTTTGTGTACATACATCCATATACATACATATGTGTGTGCATGCAGTAATTTTATTCTCCTAAAGCAATGCCTCTGCCTTCCACCCTCACTGCACATGTCCTAGTCCTGTGATGTCCCTGGAACTGAGCACCTGATTTCCTTCTCTGCCTCCCACATGAACAGGGAATAGAAATGGAAACCACGCTCTGTGGTTGCTGTTGTGAAAATCCATGTTCCCCACAGGCTGAGTTTGGCATCTTACATTCTAGTTCCCATTGTAAAAAAGCAAGCAACAGACAAAAACTACAAAAGAAAAAATGAAATAGTTGAAAGTCTAGAGCCACAGAGGTTCCGGATCCACCCACCGCCCACGGTGACCTCCACAGCCCTCCAGGCCTGAGGGCAGTTATGCCTGAACAGCCTGCCTCTTCACCATCCACGCAGGAAAGTGACTTTAAACTTCAATAGCTATTACTCTGTTCCACAAGGAACCAGGTCAACATTCAAAGTCAGTGGTCTGACAACTCTAAGCTTTGGCCGGAAAGTATTGGAAGCATTTAACTTGCAGTGGATGAAGCAGCCCGGCCCCACTGCACACAACACACTCACAGGGACTCAAAGGAAGAGACTCAGGATCCGCTGGGTGGAAGTGAGGACAGACCCAGAAACACAGGGGGTGGGAGGTGGTCAAACCAGGAAGGCTCAGGACCTGACCTCCTCCTAGGCCCTGCCCCTCTAGAACTCGCACTTTTTTCTGACCCAGAAGCGGATTTCACTGATGGAAAAGATGTTCAGTATTTCTGGTCCAGCCCAGTAAGCTGCTCCCCTTGCTCAGCCTTCCACACCCCTGCAGACGTCACAATCCCTGCACCCACTAACCTGACAAGGGAGCTATGCATCACCTGGAGACAGTCCTAGGCCTGCACTCCTGTGATGGGGTCCAGAGTCTGCATCCATTTCTGGTTAAAACTGCTGTAAGGCTGGTGGCTGTCTTGGCCTTCCCTGCTTCCTCTCTGTTCACTTCTCCCCTCCTCACCCCATGTGAAGTTTTTACTCAGGAGATGGATTCTCACCCCTCTTGGAACATCAAGGACAGTGCCAGGACACCACACCATCCCCTTGACCCTGGGATTCTGTAGACCTCAGTCTTCTCCTGAGGTCCCCTCCCTCCCTACCTCATTTTTTCCATACTTCTGGGGCCTGGGCCTGCTACACCTCAGGCTTCCTCTTCACAGTCACAGAGTGAGGGAGTCCCCTTCATCCTTGGGCTCTGGCCACAGCTCACCTGCTGCAGGACACTCAGCAGCTTTCAGGAGTTCATCCAGACATCCAGCTGGAAGTGGGATTTCCTGGAAGGAAAGCAGGAACCCAGAATTACACTGAATTCTAACACCAGGGCCCAGATTCCCCTTCTGCATGGGACACTAAGCTGCAAACACTACACAGGCACTTAATGCTCAGCTGTCCTTCTAACATCTGGTCCAATTGTGTCCCTCCTCCTTGGAATATCTCAGAAAATGTATCGCCACCTAGAGTTGTTTGAAAGCATCATCCTATGTGATTCCAGACCATCAGGGGGTGCAATGGGTCCTCACCAGTATTTCCACTCTGCTTGGAAGACTTAGAAAATCCTGAGGCTGCTCAGAGGGTCAGATTCCCATCTCTGTGTTTCAGTAAAACTTCAGTCTTCCCCGGACAAGTGAGGAGACAGAAAATGTCTAGTCCCTGGCACATCTTTTGCAAGCAATGGCGGCTCCCAGGAATCAAAATTATCAACGAATATATTTTTGAGACTCTGGTCAAAAGAAGAGTCATCCTGCAATTTCAGGTAGGATGGAGTGGTTCTGTGGCTCCTGAGGTGACTTTGAAAAGATCTTGACTCTCAGAAGGACCAAGGAGGACATTTCTGGCATTTCCAGACCAGGAAGAGTGAGTGATGGACCTCCAGTGTTACTTGGAAAACTTTTTGTTGGACAGCTTTGTAATAAGAGGATCTTGCTTTGGCTTTCAGGCCTTCACATAGGTTGTTTAGCTCATGGAAGTGTTTCTGCATTTCTGCATAGGGTCAGGATGCCTTCTCAAGTCGTCCCTGCAATTATGAGACAGTTGCTTTCTCCAGAGGTCACTTAGAATAATACAAGAGGCTTCACCCTCAAAGGGACACCAGACAATATAGCCACAGTTCAGCCAAGATTATCTGTATTTACATACCTGTAAAGTAACACTCCTAGTGATCTCCATTAACTTGGACATCTTTCATGAATAGAGAAACTCTAGTGATTGTTATCTAACAGCTGCCACAAAAATTAACCAATAAAAAGAAATGATAAATGAAAAATAATTAATAATCATGATAATGAACGCAATGACCTAAATAGTATGAATTTTAATACTGGTGACAATATGAACATAAGGATACAAGAATTAATGTGGAGCTTCCCCTAAATATATGAAGACTTCACAAATTGGGTCCTCCTTGTGTAATTTGGAGTCAGAGTCAAAGAATTTCTCTATGAAATGTGTTCCATGATGGCAAACATCAAAAACAGGAGGTGAAAGAAAAGCAAGCCGCAGGAGACCGTGGGCTAATATGAACACTTGTGTGCAAACCTCTCTCATCAAGAACTACCAGCCAGAGATGAAGGGACTGTGATTTGTGTCCTGCCCACCACTGGGTACACAAAAGCTTTCAGTAGTGCAACCAGATGGCTGGTTTGGCCTGGCTCCCTGCAAGGAAGACACGTCTCTGATCCCCACCAGCCCATCAGTCCTGGAACTCAGAATCCTACATGCAGTAAACATGAAGCTCCAACTCCATAGCTGACTTTACTTCCTTACTGTCCTTCTGCCATTTGGTGTTGCAGGTGCTCTCCAGATCTGGACTTATTGGCTCCCCTACCTTTACCAAGTGAACTCAGGATGTATCATTCTCAGTCTTCTCCTGCCAGTCCAAAGTGAAACTCACCAATACGGGCATAACCTGGATGGGCTTCCTTGGAATATTTAGAAAACAATGAGCTTGCTCGGGGGTGGTGTGAGCTCTAGGAGTAGAGTTACAGTCTCCCATGGAAACCTGAGAGGACTTAGAATATTCCCAAAGGCCTAAGCTCTCCAATCTGTCCTGGAAACATCAGGAATGATATACTCGGTCTTCCTGAGGCTCCAAAATTTTTCTAAATAAACTCAGAGGTTACAGAACGATTTTTCTCTTGGGAACTGAAGTGGAGTTATTTGCCTTCTGCCAGCATCTCACTTTTTTTTTCTCTAAGTTAGCTTTTGAGCCCAGAAGTAGATATTCCTTGTATTTGATTTACACAGGGAGCTTCCTAGAATGCCCGTGCCTCTGGATATTTTCTGCATTCACTCAGGTATTGACAAAATGCTGCAGTTCTACTGAAAATCTCTGAAATGACCATTTGATCACCTGAGTAACTTTAGAATGTGTCTTCTATGGAAGCCCTGGAGCCTCCCTTCTGGTATTTCATACATTGCTGGTACCAAGTACCCAGGGTGAAACCCTCCATCAGACATTGTTGGCAATTCCAGTATGGAGATGACACTAACGTGATGGGGCTCAAGAATCAGATGGTAGAAGACCAGCTGGGAGGTGAAGTCTCAGTAGGCTAGGGGCTTAATGTTCGACGCACACCAGACTTCTGAGACTCAGGAGGCAGGTGTGGATCTGTCTGCCCAGTGCCTCTCATCTACAGCCTGGACCAGCTATTTCTTGGGGTGAACTACTGAAGGCTTTTGTACGACCTGTGTCAGGCAAGACTCTGGCCAGACCCTTTGCCATAGTCCATTTGTAATGTATTTCCACATGGCACAGGTATCTCCACTTTTGCCCATGCTCTCATGTGGCTCAGAATTATTCTCCCTACTGCCACTCTTCTTTGCCATCACAGAATATATTTCAAGATGTAGCCCTAAGCTTCTCCATCTAATCAATAACATGAGGGCTCGTATGGGAATATTGCCACAGGCTTACAGGAATATTTCTTAAATATCTGCTTTTTTATTACTCTCTTCATTAAATTGACATTTATATCATCACCATTATGATTGTTATTAATGTTATTATTATATTGGTACAGTTCTTTATCATGGATATATTTGTGGTAGTTTTTATGCAATGTTGAATAATTTTTTTATGTTCCTGAAGACTGTTGAATTTGCTGAAGATGATTAAAAGACAACCTTAAAACATAAATACCACAGCAACCCCAGGACTCCTACTGTACTGCCTGGTGTCCTGTAGAAGAATGGGCTTCCTGAATTATTCTTTTATTTTTCAGGCAAGTACCTATTCATACCAGCATAGGAGACTGATGAAGTGCACCCTCATCTTGCCATGGGCTCAGAAAGAATTCATACATATGCTTTATGTGATAGCAACTCTATGTGTAGGCCTGTGAGCCCCAGAATGCACTTTTTTTTTTTTTTAATGTTTTTTTTTTTTTTTTTTTTTTTTAATTGATCATTCTTGGGTGTTTCTCGCAGAGGGGGATTTGGCAGGGTCACAGGACAATAGTGGAGGGAAGGTCAGCAGATAAACAAGTGAACAAAGGTCTCTGGTTTTCCTAGGCAGAGGACCCTGCGGCCTTCTGCAGTGTTTGTGTCCCTGGGTACTTGAGATTAGGGAGTGGTGATGACTCTTAAGGAGCATGCTGCCTTCAAGCATCTGTTTAACAAAGCACATCTTGCACCGCCCTTAATCCATTCAACCCTGAGTGGATACAGCACATGTTTCAGAGAGCACAGGGTTGGGGATAAGGTCACAGATCAACAGGTTCCCAAGGCAGAAGAATTTTTCTTAGTACAGAACAAAATGAAAAGTCTCCCACGTCTACCTCTTTCTACACAGACACGGCAACCATCCGATTTCTCAATCTTTTCCCCACCCTTCCCCCCTTTCTATTCCACAAAACCGCCATTGTCATCATGGCCCGTTCTCAATGAGCTGTTGGGTACACCTCCCAGACGGGGTGGTGGCCAGGCAGAGGGGCTCCTCACTTCCCAGTAGGGGCAGCCGGGCAGAGGCGCCCCTCACCTCCCGGACGGGGCGGCTGGCTGGGCAGGGGGCTGACCCCCCCACCTCCCTCCTGGACGGGCCGGCTGGCTGGGCAGAGGGACTCCTCACTTCCCAGTAGGGGTGGCCGGGCAGAGGCGCCCCTCACTTCCTGGATGGGGCGGCTGGCCGGGCGGGGGGCTGACCCCCCCACCTCCCTCCTGGACGGGGCGGCTGGCCGGGCAGAGGGGCTCCTCACTTCCCAGTAGGGGCGGCCGGGCAGAGGCGCCCCTCACCTCCCGGACGGGGCGGCTGGCCGGGCCGGGGGCTGACCCCCCCACCTCCCTCCCGAGCGGGGTGGCTGGCCGGGCAGAGGGGCTCCTCACTTCCCAGTAGGGGCGGCCGGGCAGAGGCGCCCCTCACCTCCCGGAAGGGGCGGCTGGCCAGGTGGGGGGCTGACCCCCCCCACCTCCCTCCTGGATGGAGCGGCTGGCCGGGCAGAGGGGCTCCTCACTTCCCAGTAGGGGCGGCCGGGCAGAGGCGCCCCTCACCTCCTGGACGGGGCGGCTGGCCGGGCGGGGGGCTGATCCCCCCACCTCCCTCCCAGATGGGGCGGCTGGCCGGGCAGGGGGCTGACCCCCCCACCTCCCTGCCGGACGAGGTGGCTGCCGGGCAGAGACGCTCCTCACTTCCCAGACGGGGTGGCTGCTGGGCGGAGGGGCTCCTCACTTCTCAGATGGGGCGGCCGGGCAGAGACGCTCCTCACATCCCGGACGGGGTGGCAGGGCAGAGGTGCTCCCCACATCTCAGACGACGGGCGGCCGGGCAGAGACGCTCCTCACTTCCCAGATGGGATGGCGGCCAGGAAGAGGTGCTCCTCACTTCCTAGATGGGATGGCGGCTGGGCAGAGACGCTCCTCACTTTCCAGACTGGGCAGCCAGGCAGAGGGGCTCCTCACATCCCAGACGATGGGCGGCTGGGCAGAGACGCTCCTCACTTCCCAGACGGGGTGGCGGCCGGGCAGAGGCTGCAATCTCGGCACTTTGGGAGGCCAAGGCAGGCTGCTGGGAGGTGTAGGTTGTAGCGAGCCGAGATCACGCCACTGCACTCCAGCCTGGGCACCATTGAGCACGGAGTGAACGAGACTCCGTCTGCAATCCCAGCACCTCAGGATGCCGAGGCTGGCGGATCACTCACGGTTAGGAGCTGGAGACAAGCCCGGCCAACACAGCGAAACCCCGTCTCCACCAAAAAAATACGAGAACCAGTCAGGCGTGGCGGCGCGCGCCTGCAATCGCAGGCAGTCGGCAGGCTGAGGCAGGAGAATCAGGCAGCAGTACCGTCCAGCTTCAGCTCGGCATCAGAGGGAGACCGTGGAGAGAGGGAGAGGGAGACCATGGGGAGAGGGAGAGGGAGAGGGAGAGGGAGAGGGAGAGGGAGAGCCAGAATGCACTTTCTTTCACCAACTAGTCCACCTAACTTTTCTAAGTCAAATCCCCTCTCCATGCTTGGATAGGTCATGAATGGCTTTCTGTTACCTACCTAAGATGAAGGGATATTGCTAAATCAGGTTTGTGGCCAAGAAACTTTTACCTGGAGTGGCAGGAGAGGGCCTATCTGTTCACCAGAGTGTCTGTAACTTTTCTTTTTTCTTCCTTTTTATTTAATTAATTAATTAATTAATTTATTTATTTATTTATTTATTTATTTTTTGAGATAGAGTCTCGCTCCGTCGCTCAGGCTGGAATCCTGATCTTGGCTCGCTGCAACCTCCGATTCCCAGGTTCAAGCGATTCTCCTGCCTCAGCCTCCTGAGTAGCTGGGATTACAGGTGTGTGTCACCATGCCCGGCTAATTTTTGTATTTTTAGTAGAGAGGGGGTTTCACCATGTTAGTCAGACTGGTCTCAAACTCCTGACCTCATGATCCGCCTGCCTTGGCCTCCCAAAGTGCTGGGATTACAGGCATAAGCCACCGCACCTGGCCTCTGCAACATTTTCTAAGTCAGTATAGAAGCTCTTTGAACCACCTTTTCAGTCGAAGAACTCATGAAAAAGTCCTCCAAGAACTTGTGACCTTCTGGAAATTGTCAAAATCTCTACAGGTGTCCAGAGTCATCTAGATCTGTATTGCAAGCCACTGACTGGGTTCCAGCATTATTAAAGCAAATGCAAAATATGCCATGCCCAGCAAAAAAAATCCAGAAGCCATGGTATTTAGCTGTTTCCATCTTTCTTCCCTCCTGCAGTTGGGAGAGTACTGAGTATCATGCCCTCCTGCAGCCTCTGGAGGACATGCCAGTGCCTAGAGGTACCAGTAGAGAGGGGCCATGAAAGAGCAGATGACAGCCAGGTAGCTGGGAATGACATTGTCCTGGGGCTTATTGCTTGTCATGAACTCTGCCACTGGGCAACATGTGCAGGTGTGGACCCGTGCCTTCTCTGGATCCCTGCCCCATCAGCCAGCTGTCTTATCTCCTGAAAGCTGGTAGGTGTTGGTCAGCATGGTGTTCTAGGACCAGGGTTATATTAACATTCCCTCTTAGGCTGAAACACCAGAAGTTAACACAGGAGTCCACAGGTGTGCACATACTAACCTCCAGATTGTTTTTCTTCTCGTTCTAGATGTTCATCCTTGCTTTTGGGACTTGAAATAACCCTACACAGCCAAATATTTATGCCTATTATCCACTTATGGAAAACTTATATGTCCCAAGTCCATAGGGTTAGTATTATTATCAGTATTAAAACCATTAGTACTAGTATCATGATGATCATTATTCCTGTTAATAGCCATCAATATTTTTATTACTGCCATTGTTAATATGGATTTTTCATTATTGTACAGCAATGAATATAGTTTATCCATTCACAAATGGTGTTCAGTTACCAAAGATGTCCAACAAGGCATGTTCTACAGACATATACATACACAGCTGTCCTGGAGACCCAGCTTTGCCACCAATTGCTCTTTCGTAAGATGAGATCCCCCAATACCCACCAGTTTTTCAGGACTCGACCTGAGCTGGCTCAGCTAGACCTGGAAAAGTTTCCTATGCCCAAATGTACTTGGAAAAATTTAAAAGTCTCTTCAGAGGCCCAGTAATAGCTTTTGGCAGCTTCTAAGACCAGGGAGGGTTTCTTGGCCATCCAGAGCCATTCAAATATTCTAAGTAAACTCAAGGATCCAGAAACCCCACTTGCAGTCATGAAATACCAGTGAATGGCCTCTGTGAGTCTCTTCAAGTTTTTCAAAGATGACTGCCTGGGAAGGCTGGCCAGGAAGTCACCCAAGCCCAACCTTCTGCAGGATGTTCTATGTCAGCCAGGGACCCAGTGAATTGCCATTGAACAGAAGGGAGGAACAGAGACAGCATGCCTGAGCTTCTGGAAACATTCTAAGTGTCCTTGTTGGCCCAGAAAAGACTGGTGCTACCATATGAGGCACAGACTTGGCAACCTACCTACTCCAGGAACCACAGAAGGTTTAAAGGTTCCCAGGAAGTCCCAGGAAGGGCAGCCATGGCCCTTTAGAGCCATCAGATTGTATTCTAAGTCTACGTGGGAGACAGTGCGCTTAGCTTCATAAAAACACCAGTGGAGGTGCTAACACTTGCCCCAGTATCCAGTCTTTTCTACCTCATCTCAGAGCCAGGCAGCCACTATTTCCCAAAGCTGCTGTGCAATGAAAGGGGAATATTCTAAGTGCTCTCCTGTGCCCACGAAATTCTGTGGCTGTGCTGAAAGACAGGAGTTGTCCTCCGGAATGCTCTTCAGAAATCTGACAGCACTGGTCAAGATTAAAGAAGCTCAATTCAACGTCATACAAAACCAATCCCCCCCAAAAAAAAAAAAAATGCATAGTGAGACAAAATGAACACACCTGCTAATAATCATAAATGACAATAATAACAACAATGATGATCTTAGTGATAATGCCACCAACACTGTTAATGGCAATAACAATAAACCTGAGGTAATGAGTGTTAGGGTCCCGATTCACCGATGTGAAGGATGGCGACAATTTCTGGCCTCACAGAAATAAAGGAAAAGTAAACACCTGGAGGAGGAGGAGGTGAACCTGGAGCTCCCGCCGGCCTCTGGGCGCTCCTTGGTGGAAGGAGAGGGTCTTGGTCCTGAGCCTGCCCGGGATCCACCTACACCAGAACCCCGGAGTCCCAGTCCCTGGATGGGCTCAGTCCCACCCAGGCCAGACGCCCCGGAGCCCCGTAGCCCGGGTCCTCCAGCCCTCGCTGCCGCCTCTTCTCGCGGAGCCGGGGCCGCCCCCGCGCCACCTCAGCCTCTGCGGGGCTCTGGGAGGGCAGCGCCGAGGATGCTCCGGGCCCAGCGCGGGTATCCGAGCCCAGAGTGGGTATCCGGCCTCAGGCGGATACTGACGCCCTGAGGGCGCGGAATAGGGCGGCCTGCGCAGGGCCCGCCATCTCGGGCCTTGCAAAAAGAGCGGCCTCTCCAACGCCCCTACCGGAACCTCCCCGGAGGCCCCAGCCCCAAAGCCAGGGCGATGGCGCCTCCCTGACCATGGGTGAAGAAAAACTCAGGTCCTCCCTGGAGACCCGGCCCGCCGCGGGAGGCAGACCGCGCATGCGCCCTGCATGGCCGGAAAGATGAGTTTCATTGCCCTCTGCCTGCCATGAGGTGGCAGCACAGGACGTTTGGCCTTAGCGGTGGACCTGAGTCTGAATCACTGAAATTCAGGGGTAGATTATTCAGTACTTTTCTTTTGGAAGATCAAATGGAAATTGAGTACGATATCTTGTGCTTTAATTGAAGAAGATGGAAATAAAGAAGCAAATTCAAAAATCAGTATACAAAAGTCGATTGATTCCCTCTATGTGGAGGGAAGATGAGCTTGAATAAGAGAAGCATTCTGTGTTACGCTTTAATAATGGCTGGAGATCTGCCACCATGCATTTGTCAAATCCCATAGAATTTCATAGCACAAATAGTACATCTCAATGTGGCTCAGGAGTACATATAATGTCAGCCACAGTTTGTGGGTAAATTACATATTTAATTAAATAGATTAAACAATAAATAATGATATGAGCTCTGCCTGGACACAGTCCTTGCCTCTCCAACCAGTTTGCCAAGGGCTTGAATTTCTTGCTCATTATCCTCACACTTGACATAAACCCTGGCTGCAGAGTAAAATCAATCACTTGTGGAGATTTTTTAATATATTGATTTGTCAACTTCAACCACGGATAAGGCCATTTAGCCTTAGTAAGGCCGATCGTATTAAGATTGTGCCTGTTTGGCAAAATTTCAAGTCATCCCACTTGATATTCAGGAAACATTTTCTCTTGAGTTTTAGGTTCAGTACTGAGGCTCCTTCACGGACAATACATTTTCCAATTCTGAGGACAAGGCAGAGGAGGGCCCCTCTGTGAGAACTTTCATTTTGCTTCGGGAAAAGTACATTGAATCGAATATAGGAAAGGCTTGCAAGGTGGCTGACAGGTTCGGCTGTTTTATCATGCTGGTGTTTTATCTTCTGGACTGCAGTAAAAGGAGCACAGCTGTGTCTGTCTCTGTGTAATAACTCAGGACTCACCTGAATAAAATGTGGGGTGTCATGAGATGAACTGCTACTTCCAGTTAGAGAGGCTCCAGGGACAAAATTTCAAGAGCCTTCTGAGGGATAGAAGAGAAGAGCTGCCTTATTCTCTGATCCCAGGTAACTGCTCAGAGACAGAGGCAAGGGCTGCGGACACCCAAATGCATATACTAGGGGTCTTTGATACAGCCTCCATTTCCCTGCTAAATCTATGCAATGACACACTGAGAAATCTAGCAAGTGGGGCTGAAGATCCCTGGTGTGTCAACTCGAGGGTTGGATGGAAACAAGTGGTTTTAGTGGACGTTGAAGTAAAGGGAGGTGAGCTGTGAGGAAAGAGCTGTTAAAGACTGGGGAGACTCAGAAGTTGGGGTAGAATCTCGACCAAGAATCTCACCCAAGGAGTGCAGATGCAAATCGATTTGTTAGGGCTGCATAAATGAAACAAGGGCTTCGCCAACATACTAAGTTTTTTCAACAACAGATTGTATTCTTTCAATATTTGTAAGTATTGATCTTTTGGAAAAGTTTAATGAGATTTCTTATATAATTCTGCATTCAATTTATTCCCTGGTCACTTTACTATTATGCATTTATATGCCACATTTTTATGAATAGATATTTTCTCAAATTTCTGAATTATTTTGCTAAAGTATGTGTTAAGAGTTTTTTCTAGAGGTCCACCTTCTTGACTCACTTTTCTGATGAGAAATCTATCAGGTTTCTCCACAGTGATTTTCAAGTTTGATAGCTCCTCAATGTGAGAAACTTAATGTCAACTAAGAAATGAATTACCACTAAAGAATTTTCTCCTTTCAGGATGCTAACCATGTTTTGTCCAGTGTGAAATCTCACATGTGCCACAAGTGTTGCTCTATGAAGAAAGGATTTCTCATGATTTTTCATTGCATAACTTCTCCAGTAAGAAGTATTTGGTATTCCAAGAGAATTCATTGCCCTTGGAAAGACTTTCCCTTCTTATTTAGCTTATGAAGGCTTTCCTCTCTTATTTTCCATTTTAGCAGCATTTTATCACTCTGTTTTCTTGTGAACATCAAGCCTGGTGCTTGGCTGAATGTTTATTCACAGAAAATACAAATAAAGGGTTCATCCAAGTAAAGTTTTCTCATGTTATTTGACAATAAATTGCAAATAAAAATATTTTCACACTGAATGCAGAGTTAGAGATTCTCTACCTGAAAGTCCCACATGTTTTAAGTTAAAGCTGTTGCTGAAGACTTTTAGTTGACTATGTTGACAGTTTCAGCTCTCTCATGTCATTTATGCTCAGATCACTAACAAGTCTTTGGTACATACATGTCATACAATTTCTCTTCCATATGAATTTATTGATGTGGACTGAAGAATAAAGGTAACTGAAGTATCTTCCATGTTGATTCCAGTATTTCTTCAAAATATGAGTCCTTTGGCATGTTTAGATGCTACAACTACAGCTGAAGTCTCTTCCACATTCCTTACCTTCGTCATTCCTAACACAGTGTCATCTAAAGTCAGAATATGTTCTGAAGAAGTTTATAATTTTCTCTCCAGCGTGAATTTTCTGATGCTATTTAAGACTAGTACATTGACTGAAGGCTTTCCCACATAAATGGCATTCATATGGCTTTTCTCCAGTGCATGTTCTCTCATGTCATCTAAGGTCGGAAGACAGACTGAAGGCCTTCCCACATAGAAGACAAGCATGTGGTTTCTCTCCAGTGTGAATTATTTTGTTTCCTCTAAAGCCAGAGCTTTGACTAAAGGCTTTCCCACTTTTATCACATTCATAACACTTTTTTCCAAGGTGAGTTCTCTCATGTCTTCGAAGGTTAAAGGATTGAATAAAGGCTTTCCCACATTGATGACACTTATATGGTCTCTCTCCCGTGTGAGTTTTCTCATGTCTTCTAAGGTGAGAACACTGAGTGAAGGCTTTTCCACATAGATGACATGCATATGGCCTCTCTCCAGTGTGAGTCATCTTGTGCCGTCTAAGGCGAAAGCAATTAGTATAGGCCTTTTCACATAGATTACATTGATATGATTTACCTTTAGTATGAATTTGTTTATGTGGTTTAGGGGAGAAAAGATTACGAAGAGATTTTCCACACTGTTTGCTGACATAGGGTTTCTTTCCACTGTGAGTTAACAAACGCTGAGTTATTGTGGAACTGTGAGTGCAATCTTCTCCCGAATCATTACATTCAAAAGGATCCTCCAGAATGAGAGAGTTCTCCTTTGGGACAAAGATTAAAAGCTCTTAATGGTTTACCCACATATATCTATACATTCATTTCACTACCTTTGAATCCTAGACCAAACATTCAGTGGTAGACCCCAGTTGAAAGCTTTCCAATGTTTCTTGTGTGAAAGGAAATTAAATTTTGGGACCCCAAACTCATTTAACCAAATGGAAAAATCAAGCTGGGAACTGGGTCACAGAAACCTGCCTCCCCCTTCTGGTTCCTAAATAATACGGCTACAAGATGAAAAGCTACACGCCTCCCCCATATTTTGCCCACAAGGAAATTCCTCATGAGCTGTTAAAATTACACCATGGCAATGCAAACTGATAACTTGTCTTTACAGGTGCAGTCATCCCCAGTTCACCAGACACAAATGCATATCTGATTGTTTCCCTGCCCAATTTTGCCTATGTTGTCTTATGTAAAATGCAGCTTTCCTGCATTATTCCTCTGCCTCATTTGTTTATGTCATCTTATGTGAAAAAATCCAGATTCACTGAGCCAGAAAAATGCATGAATGACTATTTTTTCTACCTACCTTTTACATGAAAATTGTGTACTTCTCAATATCCCACCCTTTCCCCTTTAAATTTGGAGCCTTCAAAATCTTCTTTGGAGAAAGGCATACACCTGTCCCCTGGGTGCATGTCCTTAACTTTGGCAAATAAATCTCCTAAAATGATTGAGACTTGTCTTGTCATTTTTCTCGATTGACATTTGCATACACATTATCTCCTGCAGACACAGATATGTTCTCTTCTGTAAGATCTCAACTGCAGAGTTATTGCATAATTGTGATGATATCAATATCTTTCAATGTCTGGGCATGAGCAATGTATATGCACTTGTTCTATTTTAGAGATCTCATGTTATGGTTTAGAACACAGTTCAATGTATTCACTAAATTCAAAGTATTCAATTTTTTTTTGCTTAGAAAGCACTTAATGCCAGCCTAATTACACTCAGGTGATTGTGCTTCATTACTAACTTAACCCATTACCATGTCTTTAACTTAGATGACTGGTGTACACAGCTATAAAACTTACCATTGTCATACTGGTGGATGCGTCTTTTCTGGTGATAGGATGCATGGATATCATGTGTTTTTTCTTAAGGGCACTTTCCCTGTCTGAAATAATTGAAAAATAAATTGTTACATTGGTATTATGGTAATAAAATTGTTTGAAAAGCCCCAAGGCCCATTTACTTTTTTTCAAAAGTTGACACTTAGATGTGGCAAGTGTGTCAAATGAAGAAACTACTTGAATAGAAGAAATAGATTGTACAGTGTCGGCAATTAGAAAAGATTTTTAAAATTAAAATGTGAAAAGAGTTAAAATGGAGATGAGATATCAGGCAGGTAAATAGAGGGATAGTCTTCACAGGGGTATCAGGGAAAGAGTCAGCATATGAAAGTTTAACCCCAGCCAAGTACATGAATTATCCTTTTCCTAAAAGTGAAAGAAAAGTAAAAAAAGAGGACACAAGAGTAGCATCTGACACATGAACAAAATGACAATAACATCTAAGGAATTCTGCTCCAGTAGCCTAACCTACATTTTAGAAATTATCACTCATTTAATAAAACCACTAATTAATATTCAACTGATATTATTCATTGACAAAGCACCTCCTCCTATTAGAGCACAGGACCCTGTTGCTTACCTGGATTCTGGTCTTGAAGAAATTCTCTTCCTTCCCGCCACAGCTCTTTTCCTTGCTCCAGCTGCAAAATTATATAGGATTTGCTTATCTGGTACCCTGTTAGTGGAAAGAATACATGTGTTTTGAGTTCACTGTCAATAAATGTGCATTATCACCAAGTGTAAGGCAGGCTATCAAGGAAGAATAAAAACAGTGAAGGTCAGCTCAGGCCACAAGACCTAGAACACAGAAAACTCCCCAGGACTTTTCTGACCCAACATGAGACTGGAAAATAAATCTAAACAAAAGGGCCATCAGGAAAAGGAAATTCAAAACAGTCAGGACCTATGAATGCTGAGTCCATGCCTAAGTTCCAAGACACAATGCATAATACACAATCTTTTCAGAAAGAGAGTAATTAAATCTCTGCACAGTGTGTTTATTATTATTCTCACACAGAACAAAAAAAAATTCGATTTACAAAAATAATTGGTGTTCTATATGGAAAAGATATTGCTATTGTTTTCACTAATTGGTCTCAGCCTAAGCATAGACTAAAGCAGAAGAGTTATTTAGAAAATATTTAATTTAATACATTGAAAATATTCGTTAAGTTCCCAGGTCTGTTATGAGTATTAGAGACTGAGTACCAAAGAAACCATGAAATCCTTGTCAAGACTACATTCTAATTGAGTGACAAACTAAATAAAATAAAATAAAAAGAAAGATATTTATTTCAGATAGATTTAGAAAGTTCAAACTTTTTTCAGATGAGATCTGTGAGAGAAGCAGAGAAGAGATTAGAGTGAGATATGGGGAAGCTGTTCTAACACTTATTGAATGAATGAGCGAATGTGTGTCTACATATGTACGTGAATGTTGAGGGACTCACCGAGGGACACCAGGTGACTGATATTTTCCAGCATCACATCTCTGTACAGCTTTCTCTTGGATGTGTCCATCATGGCCCACTCTTCCTGGGTGAAGTCAATAGCTACATCTTCAAAAGTCACTTTCTTCTAAAACATCACAGACATTTTAGTTTAGACAGAGAAATCCCTTTCAATGTCCGGAAGAGGAAGGCTGAGATGACATAGCTAGGAGCTGGGTATGCAGAATACTCAGTGTTTTGGGTTCCAGCCAGTTCATTCTCAGTACTAAGCTGGTATCTGCCTTTCAGATTCACTCACAGAGATATACCCACTCTGAATCCATTAAACTTTACTATAAAGAAATATCGCGTGAGGTGTGGCATAATATAACCCAGATATTTTTCAGTAATGTGTTAATCACCTCTACATAACTGATTATAAAATTTTCACTTGAACATTCATAAATAAAATGAAATTTACCATGAATTTCAAGTAAATTACGGATTTGTCACAAGGCAAATAACCATGATTTACTACTTTTTAAACATGACTGTGATGAAATAAACTATTTCTCTAATGAACCACAGGTTTCTCACCAATCAAATGGTTAAGAGACCTATGATGTGTTTTGAATAATCTAATGGACTAATAGAAAACGTGTTTCCTATCTAGCAAATATTTATTAAATATAAGTCATTGATCCCTTATTCATTAAAAAGTTAGAAAGTAATGAACCAGACTCCAGCATTCTTCAGAACTGAAAAAGCTTTATGCAGAATATAGGATTCAATTCATACATATAGTCTCTTTAACGTTATATAATTCAGGTGTTCATGACAAGGCTTAAAGACAGTCTAGCAGCACAAGACAAGACCGCTGAGGCTGCTATACTGAGGAAATCTTAGTCCGATGATTCCTGTGATATGAAGCCTCCTGTTCTCAACTTTCTCTCGGCAATCCAAACATCAGTTATCATTGTTTCTCTTTTAAATTTACCTTCTCACTTCACTTGTTCAAAGATTTAAAAAGCCTCTTCATTGTTTTTTTTCTAACCAGCCCGTATAAAGCATTTCCACAGAACCCTAAATTGTACTCTATCTACTATATTCCTTCTTCTGAGTGTGCAACCGTAATTAAATAATTATATTTCTTATATGTTACTTTCACTTACCAGAAGGCAAAAAGGTTAATTACCAAAAGGTAAAATGAATGGGGATAAGAATAATAATGACTTCTTTAGTTGTCCTTTCACAAAGTTTTTAGAAGCTCAAATATATTTTATCAAACTCTTCTTTTCCCTCAACACTGCACAGCAAGTCCTATCACACTGGATTTATTGAACTCAGCTGCTAGAACATCAGACTCATTGTTGGGCTGTGATGTTCTGCTCTTCGCTCATCTCTATCGCTTGCATTCATCACAATCCTAAGTCTATTTCAGCCAACAGTACAGTTAATGGGTCAATTATTTCCCTATGAGATTATAGGATGGATAGAAGAAAAAGAAATATATAAATGAAACCTCTCATATCTTTTTTTGTAAATAGCCTTAATAGGGGCTGGAATAAAATAGTGTAATATTAGAAATTATATTGATAATTTAGGAGTCTTTGACACACGATACCCCACCTAGAGTCCTGAGAAAACTTAATTGGAGGCCAGATACCTGAAAGCCTCCTGATTGCATTTGGAATACCCAGGCTAGGTGGATTTTACATCATAAAAACAAACAAACAGAAAAGAATAAAAATGAAACACCCATGCAAATTGGAGAAAAATGCCCACTTGCCAGCAATATGGGTATAATTTCAGTAGAAAGAAGCATCCCCTACTCACTAGTGAATGCATTGTCCGGAACTCAGTTTCTCTCTGTCTACCTCTGGATTTCCATGTGCAGACACTTTAGGCACTAAGAAAAGCTGAGGTTGGAGAAAGAACATGTGAGACAGCAGTCTTGTGCACAATTTTCAGATCAACCGATGAAAAGCCAGACTTTCACTGAAGTGTGACACCAGCTGCACCACAGCCTAACCAACAGACACAAACACGCAGAGGCCTCTCCTCTTTTCCCGTGGTCAAAATTAGGAAGCCTATGACTATGGTTGCTAATAAAGAAGGAACACAGATATCTTGTGAATGAGAACATCAAAAGCACGGAGTTTTGTATGTTAATTGGCACAAGTCCAGATATTCAATTCCCTCACTGATTTTAAAACACAGGGATCCCTGACTCCATCCACATGTGGAATATGATTTCCACCTATAGATAAACACTGGGATTTCTCAGATTTTATTATCCTAGCTTTATGCCCTAGCAATGTTTCTCCAACACCCACCACAGCCTTCTGAAGCTTTACTCCACTTTTATTTTCACTCAACTCTGACTTTTGTATTTCCCCTTGGAACCTGGAAATAATCAAGTAAGAATCTGTTTTAGGGTCGAGTGTGGCGGCTCATGCCTGTAATCCCAGCACTCTGGGAGGCCAAGGCAGGTGGATCACCTGAGGTCAAGGGTTCAAGACTAGCCTGGCCAACATGGTGAAACCCCGTCTTTACTGAAAATACAAAAATTAACTGGGTATGGTGGTGCTTGCCTGTAATCCCAGCTACTCAGGAGGCTGAAGCAGGAGAATCTCTTGAACCCGGGAGGCAGAGATTACAGTGAGCCGAGATCCCACCACTGCACTCCAGCGAGGGTGACAGAGCGAGACTCTGTCTCAAAAAAAAAATCTGTTTTAGGATGGGGGTAATCAATCCAGGGATTTATTTCACTTAGAGGGTCAACACTCCCATCCTGCTAATCTAGCCCTTAAAATCTCCTGCATCAGAAATTAGCAGGAGTACCCTGAGTCATGGTGTTTCTGTCCTGTGCATACAGTCACAATCCTCTAGGATGCTCAGAAAACACAAAATGACGTAGGGGTGGGAGAAATTTAGCAGCTCAATCTGATATTTTACTAACGTGGTATCTAAAATTCTTGCAATCGTGGTTTATATTAGTCTTTGTTAGTTGCAATATCTCTGATTATCATGATACATATTTGCTGAGAAATACCGATGTCCATGTATATATTCGTACATAGATATGTAGGTATATAGGTGCATATGTTTATATGAATGTATGTGTTTGAGACAGGGGGAAACATGCATGTATTATTTCCCTGCTAAAAATATAAAAATAATTAAATACATTTTATGTACAAGTGATAATTATGTGTCATAAACAAAAAATTTACTGACCCATTTGTACATGAAGTCCAGGAAAAATAAAAAGGGTAACTTTGTATTAATTGTGACATTGTGCTTACAGATGTACATATATTTCCTTATTTAACCCTCATAATAACCCTGCTGATTATAATTTATTTACCAATTTAATAAATGATCAACAGAGTTTGAAAAATATGACAAAATTACAAAATTAGAAAATGACCCAGCAATACTTTTAATTATATTCTGCCTGTCACTGCCTCTTCTTGCTTTTTGACAAAATTACTCCCCTAACCAAGGTTCTCTATGATTCTGGGGACTCCAGAATTTAGACCCCAATTCCCAAACATCATTGTGTCTATTTTTACTGCCACATTTAATGCACATTTACAGACTTCAACAAGCACTTTTCAATATCAACTTTTTTCTTATTCCTTGGACTATTTTCTACATCTGTTCATCAGGACTCCAGTAACATATGACTCCATCTGCCTTCCATGAATGTACCTGACAGTACATGTATTATGTAGTCTATAATTCAAGCAGAACAGCTATTCCTTCAAAAAAATAAGATATTAGAGAAGGCCTACAAAGCTTCGGTGAAACCAGCTGTAACCCTTAATATTATTACCATGTAAGCTCTTCCTCGAATATCAAAATAAGATTTGGGCTTTAGAGAATATTTGTGTGTAATTATAACCCAAACATGAATGAAAAGTCATTACCTGGTCATATACAGACTGTGCCAGGGACAAAAAGGGACAAATATTATAAGAAAGTTAAAGCATACTTATTTCATAAAGGACTCTTGTGTGGAATCTATAAAAACTATTTCAAGATGTAGAGATTAAATATATTTTAAAACACATACATACACAAGCAATCTTTAGGAGAAACTTTTAAAAACATGTTATGGGTCTAAAATTTTCATTAATTCATGGAAAAAAATGTATTGACAAACTTTTCACCAGAGCAGGAATAACAACTTATGTATTTGGTGACTTCAAGATGAGAGCCTGCACAGCTTAGGATCTCCCTCCAGATGTCTCTCTCTCCTTTTTTTTTTTGGGGGGGGGGGGAGAGTTTCGCTCTTGTTGCCCAGGCTGGAGTGCAGTGGCGCGATCTCGGCTCACTGCAACCTCCACCTCCCGGGTTCAAGCAATTCTCCAGCCTCAGCCTCCTGAGTAGCTGGGATGACAGGCATGCGCCATCGTGCTCGGCTAATTTTGTATTTTTAGTCGAGACGGGGTTTCTCCATTTTGGTAGGGCTGGTCTGGAACTCCTGACCTCAGGTGATCCGCTAGCCTCCGCCTCTCAAAGTTCTGGGATTACAGGCGTGAGCCACCGTGCCCGGCCCAGATCTGTTAAAAAGTCATGAGGAAGGAGCCATTCTGCACCCTCAATATTACCTTAATGTTTTAACGGCAACTGTAAAAATTAAGAGGCCGACTTGTGACCTCCTAGCCCTTTCACGGCTATTTAGACACACCTTAGTGAAGTATTAGGAATGCAGTATTAGGTCTCAAGTTCCTGGACAACAAAACCATGTTCTCCAACAGATCTTCAGTAAAAATAGCTGATGTCTATATTCTTTTGCCTGTCTTTTCCCTTCCTTTAATTCACAACTGCAGTCTCGAAGAGTGCTATTATTTAGTAGATTCTCTCACTTCTCAACACCAGTGCTATACAATGTTGAATGACATCTGAGGTGCTAGGGAAACAGCAGCTGACATTCTAGCAATGAACACATAGAAATGCAAAGACCACCACAGAGTAAAGGAGAATAGATTTTTTTAAAGTATGAAACCAAAACGAATATATATCAGATTACACTATAAATGGAAAATCCTGTTATCTTGACGGGATTGCAAGTCAGATTACACTATAAATGGAAAATCCTATTATCTTGACAGGATTGCAAGCCTCTCATGGCTTCCAACATCCAATATATTCAAAGCAGTTCAGGAATGGTGAAAGTGGAATGGAATTTAAAATTATTCTAAGGTTTTATGTGTGAAAGCACCGTGCCCTGAAACAAAATATTTATTTTTAAAGTGCATAATGAACACTGCATACAAAGTTTGTGTAACAGGAGAGAGGAAAAATCTCACATTTTAAAAAAAGGAATATGCAACATATTTACATACAATAAAATAAAATTAAATTAAAATACAGCAATAGAAGACAGAATCTAACATCTGAAAATCAAGGGAGAAATCTATTTTAAATAAACTTGGCACAATTTTTAAAGTAAGTTATGAAAAATAATAATACCTGAATATAGTACGTAAAAGTACCAATACAATAAAGCTAAAACAGTATCCATAGAAAAATTATTTGCTGTACATTATTTTAAAAAAATAATCTAAGTACTTACCTCAATAAGGTAAATGAATGAAATTTAAAAATTGCTTGAGAAAATCTGTGACAGGAAATGAATATAGAGAAGCAGAATATAATTTAACTATAAACCACACAAATAGAATTTAAAAATAAGTGGTAGCCAACATGCCCAACACGATTTTCTGTGATGAAAGAAATTCTCTATATCTGCATTGTCCAATGCAGTAACTACCACACATATGTAGTTACAGAATTTCTAGTTTGGCCACGAATTTGGCTATTACTACTAAGGATATGCCATTTAGTTATTTAATTATAATTAATTTACAGTTTATAGTCACATGTGACTAGTAGTTACTATATTGGCCAATGCAGATCTAGAATCTTGGAGGAGGCAGTTCAAATAATGAGATATGGTCAAAACAAAAATGGAAAAGGCACACAAATAATGAACACAGAATATGAGAATGTCAAGTAACAATTCACACAATAAAATGTAATAATGAGATGCTGCCTTGATGGGACAAATGTCTAATGATATACAAGGCTTGTCTTGTTACAGATAGAAGAGCATGAGCAGGGCAGGAGAGGGCTCTTCCCCTACCCACTAGAAATGTCAGGTGACGGCCTGTCAGTTATCACATTGCCTCTCTAAAAATGATAATTAGGCAGCATCAGAGAGAGGCCGTTTCCTGATGGTCTACACCTGTTAACATCAAAAATGTGAACTAAATGCAGACCCCAGGAAGAAGCAACTTCTTGGGCGTGCATGTTAAGAGACAAAAATGGCAAAGCATAATCTTCCGGGGGCACACTCCACCGGAAAAGGAAAGAAAGCTTCAGATGGACATGGATATAACTCCCTAAACACACCGTGCATGCTCAATTTCAAAGGGTAAGGAAACCACTGTGCATGCCGGAAACTCTCCCTAAAGGAAGAATCATGGGAAAGTGGCAAACCCATCGCAGGATCAAGGTTAAAGCCTCTTCTCTTTTCTTTCTTGGACCTTCAGGCATCTGCCTGGGTCTCTTCCAAGAGAATTTTCCTCTCCTTCCTGTTCTAAAGCCTTTTTAAATAAACTTCCACTCCTGCTCTGAAACTTAGCGCTCAGTCTCTTTTTCCGCTGTATGCCCTTCAGTCGAGTTCTTTCTTCTGAGGAGGCAAGGACTGAAGTTTCTTATGGACCCATGCAGATATGCTGCCAGTAACTGGAATCTCTTCTACTGGTAACAGTATCATTGTAAGGGAATGAGACCAGTTCACATCTCAGTGCTTGGAGAACTCACCAGAAATAAAAAGTGGGAGGATGCAGTGAACTTATCTACCTTCCAAGGCAAGTCCCACAAGCAAGCAGCAAGACTCTCTTTCCCCAAGGTCTTAAACTCTTCAGATGCTCTTTCTCTGGGAAAATGCATCCTCTGATTGGCTTCCCCTTATATATGAAAAAAAATTAATAAACCTAATCACCACTACATTCCAAGAGACATGCCCTGATTGCACAGACACTGAACCTAATCAAAAACTTCCTTCTGGAGACACTCCCTGTTCAGTTTGATTGGATTTTTGAGACTACTACTAAAAACCCTCACACAAAGTTGGAAACCAAAGAGTTAAGGCTATTTTGAAGTAAAAATGTGAAGATTAATTCCTTTTTTTATTCATAAGTACTTTTGAGTGTATTATATGTACTAGAAAGCATTCCCAGTCAAGGGATACAGCAAGAAACCAGACAAACTAGAGTCTTATGGAGACTCTATATTCTAAAATTCTTTGGAGGTAAACTGGACTTGAAAACAAATGGAAGGTGAATAGATATAAAAAGTTTCAATGTTCATCATGATGTAAAAAAATAAAATATATTGCAGAAATGAAGTCAGGAAGTGTTATAGGGGTCATGTAGCACTTGTAAGACCACTGGTATTGTCTGAAATTCAAGCAGGCTGCAGAAATTTGGGTAACTAAAAGGAAAGCAAATGCTAATAGAAGACAATGAAGAAAGGGCCTCAAAGACATTTCAGAGACCTTGGCTGGTGGCAGCCCCTCCCCTCAAAGGCCTGGAGGCCTAGGAGGGAAGAATGGTTTTGTGGGCTGGGCCCAGTGCAAGCGCAGGACAGTGCTCACAGCATTCTAGGTCTCAGCCACTCCAGCTCCAGCCATGGCTAAAAGGGCCCCAGACATAGTTTGGGCCACCGCTTTAGAGGGCGCAAGCCACAAGCCTTGGCAATTTCCATGGGGTATTAAACCTGCAGGTGCACAAAGTACAGGAGTGCACTGCTGATAAACATATACCTGAGACTGGGCAATTTACAAAAGAAAGAGGTTTAATTGGACTTACAGTTCCACATGGTTGGGGGGAGGCAGAAGGCAAAAGGCATGTCTTACATCACAGCAGGCAAGTGAGAGAATGACAGCCAAGCAAAACTGGTTTCCCCTTATCAAACCATCAGAACTTGTGAGACTTATTCACTACCACGAGAACAGCATGGGAAAAACTGCCCCCATGATTCAGTTATCGCCACTGGGTCCCCCCACAACATGTGGGAATTATGGGAGTACAATTTGAGGTGAGATTTGGGCGGGGACACAGAGCCGAACCATATCAGAAGCCTTCACCTGGATCTCTAAAGATGTATGGAAAAGCCTGTATGTCCAGTAGAAGTCTGCTGGGGTGGAGACTTCATGGCGAATGTCTACTACAGCAATGCAGATGGAAAATGTGGGGTTGGAGCCCCCACAGAGTCCACACTGGGGCACTGCCTAGTGGAGCTCTGAGAAGACAGCCACCATCTTCCAGACCCGAGAATGGTAGATCCACTGACAGCTTGCACCCTGAGCCTGGAAAAGCTGCAGGCACTCAACACTGGCCCTTGTCAGCAGCCATGGGGACTGACCCTTGTATCCAAAAGAAAATAAATTGTTCTACCATAAAGATGTGTGCACTCATATATTTATTATAGCATTATTTGCAATAGCAAAGACATGGAATCAACCTAGATGCCCATCAATGTTAGAGTGGATAGAGAAAATACAGTATATGTACACCATGGAATACTATGCAACTGTAAAAAAATTATGTCCTTTGCACCAACATAGATGAAGCTGGAGGCCATTATTCTAAAATAATGCAGGAAGAGAAAACCAAATACCATATGTTCTTAATTATAAGTGAGAACAAAGCATTGGTTACACATGGACGTAAAGATCGGAACAACAGATACTGGGGACTACTAGAGGGGGAAGGGAAGGTGGGGACAAAGGCCTGAAAAACTATCTATTGGGTATTATGTTTTCTATCTGGGTTACAAGATCATTCATACTCCTCAGCATCACACAATGTGCCAATGTAAAAACCTGCACATGCATCTCCTAAATCTAAAATAAAAGTTGAATTTTTTTTTTAAATGGGCAAAGATCTGGCTAACACGATGAAACCTTGTCTCCACTAAAAAAAAAAAAAAAAAAAAAAAAATTTAGCTGGGCGTGGTGGCAGGTGCCTGTAGTCCCAGCTACTTGGGAGGCTGAGGCAGGAGAATGGTGTGAACCTGGGAGGTGGAGCTTGCAGTGAGCCGAGATCACGCCACTGCACTCCAGCCTGGGTGACAGAGCGAGACTCCATCTCAAAAAAAAAAAAAAAAAAAAAATGGGCAAAGATCTGAGTAGACATTTCCCAGAAGAACGGATACAAATGGCCAACAACTATATGAAAAAATTCTTACCATCTCTAATCATCAGGGTGATGCAAATAAAAACCACCATGAAATATCACCTGATAACTCTTAGAATAGCTATTATCAAAAAGATGTATAACAAGTATTAGTGAGGATGTGGAGAAAACCCTTGTATACTTGTGGTGGATATACAAATTACTATGTCCATTTCAGATAATAGTATGAAGGTTTCTCAAAATTTTTTTAAATAAAACTACCTGCTGATGAGGCCGTTGAGATATAAGAACACTTTTACACTGTTGGTGGGAATGTAAATTAGTTCAACTATTGTGGAAGACAGTATGGTGATTCCTCAAAGACCTACAACCAGAAATACCACTTGACCCAGCAATCCCATTACTAGGTATATACCCAAAGGAATATAAATCATTCTATTATAAAGATACATGCACACATATGTTCATTGCAGCACTATTCACAATAGCAAAGACATGGAATCAACCCAAATGTCCATCAGTGACAGACTGGATAAAGAAAATGTGGTACATATACACCATGGAATACTATGCAGCCATAAAAAGGAATGAGATCATGTTCTTTGGAGGAACATGAATGGAACTGGAAGCCATTATCCTCAGCAAACTAACCCACGAACAGAAAACCAAACACTGCACATTCTAACTTACAAGTGGGAGCAGAACGGTGAGAACACATGGATATTAGGAGGGGAACAACACACACTGGGGCCTGTTGGGAGGCAGGTGGAGGGAGAGTATCAGGATAAATGGCTAATACATATACGCAATGGAATATTATTCAGTGTTACATAATAATGAAACCCTGTCATTTGTGACAACATGGATGGACTTGGAGGGCATTATGTTATATGAAATAGGCCAACCACAGAATGACAATTACTATATGATTTCACTTGTATTTGAAATCTAAAATAGACAAACTCACAAAAGCAGAGAGTAGAATGGTGGTTGCCAGGGGCCCTGGTGCTGGGGAAATGGGTAGATGTGGTTAGAGCACAAAGTTTCAGATATACCACGTAAGTAAGTTCTGGAGGTCTCGTTTACAGCATAGTGCTTACAGCTAAGAATACTGTATTGCATACTTAAAATTTGCTAAAAGGGTAGATTTTGTATTCTTACCAATATTTCTTTCCAAAATAAAAATAATAATAAAGGGGGGGACTCAGGGAGGTGAAGGATATGTTTATAATCTTGATGGTAGTGATGTGTTCATGGTGTGTACTTATCCCCAAGCTCACTGAGATGCACACCTTAAATATTACAGCTTTTTAAATGTCATCATAGCTCAACAAAGTCGGTTAAAAAAAACAAGAAGGGGGTTGGTTAAAAAACTTAAAAGGAGGGGTAGATGTTCCCTTGTTTTTCTCTCTTGGCTTTTTTCCTTCCTGCTGCCTGGAATTCAAAAATGATAGGTGGGGATTTAGCAGCCAAACTAGAGCCTCTTCTAAAGTATAGCAGAACAGAGAGCTGGAAGGGGCCTGCGTCCCTAATGAATTTGGCAGGTATCTGTACTAGCCATGGTAGGTAGAACTATAGATTTAAGTGAGGGAGAAACAAACTTCTGCCTTGTTTAAGCCACTTTGTTCAGACATTAATTTTATATACATATAGAGAACATATGCTCCTTTATGAGTAGGAAAAATGTTTATGCCATATGGTCCATGATGGGTGTTCAACAATGTAGGATGAGGCTGATTATGATGACAATGGTGACAAATAGCATGAAATAATAAGCAATGAAAAAAGGTGGCCTAATAGTTGTGTATGGTTACTCTATTTAAAGATTCTGCTGCTAATATCATTCAATGTATTTGTATGCTGGTGGGAGTTTTATTAGATGTAGACTAAGAAAGTTTACATTATTTAATGAAAAATACTTGACCAATTTAAAAAAAAATAAAAATATCATGAGATGGAACTAAGCGTCTGTATTGCAAAGTAACCCTCCCAGTTGATTTTCTGCATAGTAATGATTGAGAATCCCCTGATCTAGATCCAACAGATCTCGATCTTTATAGGTGCTATCAAGGAAGCACCTAAGGAAGACAATTTTCCTGACTATATCCATACCTCCAGTTAGTAATAGATCTAGAGATCTAGAATCCAAATCCAGACCTCCTGCCTCCATGTGCGGTGGTCTTTCGCTGTTGTTTTGTTCCACTTGGTGAAGAGGATTTGAGAATAGATAGCCACATGATTCAACTCCCTCCTCAGTTCTGAGGAATATAGCCTTGTCCTAGCAAGCAAGAAGTTCATACAGTAGTGGATGAGGCAAATATACATTCACTAATCTAACATACAAGGCAGTAAGTACTGTAACATAAACAAAGCACTTTGGAGTTTCAGACCAGGAGCAAGTGGGGTGATTAATTCTTAGCAGTGCTAGTAAAGTCTGGGAAGTGTTCACTAACAAAATGTCTGGTCATTAATGAAACCAACTGTGACAGTATCTCTCACGTGATGGGCTTAGACAGCATTTCGCTCTTGTCTGATAGCACCCATTTTCCCTTGTGGCTTTCTTTGACTCCTACTTCTTTTAACTTTTCTTGCTCTCCGTGGGAGAAGATAGGGACTGCAGCTGGAGGGGGAAGACAAAGGATTAGGTGGGAAATGGATGCTGCTTGAGAAGAGGCAGCTTGTTTGGCTACTTGGTCAGCTAGATTATTCCCTCAGCTCTTGAAGGAAAGATTCTTCTAGTGACCTGGAACATGAACAACTGCTATCTCTTCTGGCAGCTGTAAGTTCTCTAGTACTTGGATTATCAAGTCTCTATAGACTAAGTTTCGGCCTTTACTGTTAATGAGGCCTCGCTCTGCCCAAATTTTCTGAAAGGTGTGGACTACTCCAAAGGCATACTTGGAGTCAGTATAAATAGTCCCTTTCTGGTTTTGCAGAAATTTTAAGACTTGATTTAGTGCAAACAACTCACATGTTTGCCCAGACCAGTCATTAGGTAGGGTGTCTCCATCTACTACTGAGTACCTGTTATGCCTTTTCTCTTTTATTACTTGAGAACAACCATCTACAAAAAGGTGTCTTCTGGTTTGAAAGGGAGTTTATCTAAACATTTATGCCCAAGTTCTTCTGGTCTGGGGGCATAGGTTCTTTTCTGGGTTTGAATTTCCTGTTAAGAAGGCAGCAGGGTTAAGTGAATCATCAGTGGTTAGGGCTAAATCAACTTTTTCTAACAAGATAGCCTCATATTTTAAAATTCTTGATTCAGTAATCTACCTTTCTGCCTTCTGACTTAGGATAGTTCCGACCTGGTGAGGTGTGCTCACAATGGAGTTTCCTCCAAAAGTTATTTTTCTACTTTCTTCTGTAAGCAAAGCAGTTGCCGCTACAGATTGAATGCATTTGGGCCATCCACAGGTTACTGGGTCAAGGATTTTTTATAGGAAGGCTATGGGTTGCCGGCGGCCTCCGTGCTTTTGGGTAAGTACTCCTAAGGCTACTTCCTTGTTTACTTTGACAAAAAGATGGAATGGCTGCCTAAGGAGGGTAAAGCTAGGACAGGGGCAGTTACTAATAGATGTTTTAACCTTTCCACCTGTTGCATTTCTGGTAATTGGAACAGGAGATATTACAACTGACACCACTGATCATTCAAGGCTACTATGAACACCTTTATGCACATAAACTAGAAAACCTAGAAGAGATGGATAACTTCCTAGAAAAATACAACCCTCCTAGCTTAAATCAGGAAGAATTAGATACCCTGAAAGACCAGTAACAAGCAGCAAGATTGAAATGGTAATTTAAAAAATTACCAACAAAAAAAAGTCCAGATGAATTCACAGAAGAATTCTACCAGACATTCAAAAAAGAACTGGTACCAATCCTTTTGACACTATTCCACAGGATAAAGAAAGAGGGAACCCTTCCTAGTTTATTCTGTGAAGCCAGCACCACCCTAATACCAATACCAAGAAAGAACTTAACCAAAAAAGAAAACTACAGACCTGTATCCCTGAAGAACATAGATGCTAAAATCCTTAACAACATACTAGCTAACTGAATCCAACCATGATCAAATGGGTTTCATACCAGAGATGCAGGGATGGTTTAACATATGCCATTCAATAAATGTGATACACCACATAAACAGAATTAGAAACAAAAATCACATGATCATCTCAATAGATGCAGAAAAAGCATTTGACAAAATCCAGCATCGATTTATGATTAAAACTCTCAGCAAAATCCGCATACAGGGGACATACCTCAATGTAATAAAAGCCATCTATGACAAACCCACAGCCAACAAAATACCGAATGAGGAAAACTTGAAAGCATTCCCTCTGAGAACTGGAACAAGACAAGGATGCACACTCTCAGTACTCCTCTTCAACATGGTACTGGAAGTCCTAGCCAGAGCAATCAGAAAAGAGAAAGAAATAAAGGGCATCCAAATCAGTAAAGAGGAAGTCAGCTGTCACCGTTTGCTGATAATATGGTCATTTATCTCGAAAACCCTGACGATTCCTCCAGAAAGCTCCTAGAACTGATAGAAGAATTTGGCAAAGCTTCTAGATATAAGATTAAGGTACAAAAATCAGTAGCTCTTCTATACACCAACAGCAACCAAGTGGAGAACCAAATCAAGAACTTAACCTCTTTTACAACAGCTGCAAAAAAAAAAAAAAAAATACTTAGAAATATACCTAACCAAAGAGGCAAAAGGCCCCTGCAAGAAAAACTATAAAACACTGCTGAAAGAAATTATAGATGATACAAACAAATGGAAACACATCCCATGCTCATGGATGGGTAGAATCAATATTGTCAAAATGACCATAGTGCCAAAAGCAATCTACAAATTCAACACAACACCCATCAAATACCATCATCATTCTCCACAGAATTAGAAAAACAATTCTAAAATTCATATGAAACCAAAAAGGAGCCTGCATAGTTAAAGCAAGACTAAGCAAAAAGAACAAATCTGGAGGCATCACACTACCTAATTTCAAAATATATTATAAGGTCATAGTCACCAAAACAGCAGGGTACTGGTGTAAAAACAGGCACATAGACCAATGGAACAGAATACAGAACCCAGAAATAAAGCCAAATACTTACAGTCAACTGATCTTCAACAAAGCAAACAAAAACATAAAGTGGGGAAAGAACACCCTTTTCAACAAATGGTGCTGGGATAATTGGCTAGCCACATGTAGGAGAATGAAACTAGATCCCCATCTTTCACTTTATACAAAAATCAACTCAAGATGGATTACAGACTTAAACCTAAGACCTGAAACCATAAAAATTCTAGAAAATAGCATTGAAAAAACCCTTCTAGACATTGGCTTAGGCAAGGATTTCATGACCAAGAACCCAAAAGCAAGTGCAATAAAAACAAAGATAAAGAGCTGGGACTTAATTAAACCAAAGAACTTTTGCATGGCAAAAGGAACAGTCAGTAGAGTAAACAGCCCGGAGACTGGGAGAAAATCTTCACAATCTATACATCCAACAAAGGACTAATATCCAGAATCTACAACGAACTCAAACAAATCAGTAAGAAAAGAACAAACAAAAAAGAAAACAAACAATCCCATCAAAAAGTGGGCTAAAGACATGAATAGACAATTCTCAAAAGAAGATATACAAATGGCCAACAAACATATCAAAAAAAATCCTCAGCATCACTAATGATCAGGGAAATGCAAATCAAAACCACAGTGTGATACGACCTTACTCCTGAAAGAATGGCCATAAAGAAAAAGTCAAAAAACAATAGATGTTGACATGGATGCGGTAATCAGGGAACACTTCTACACTGCTGGTGGGAATGTACAGTCACTATGTAGAAAAGTGTGAAGATTCCTTAAAGAACTAAAAGTAGAACTATAATTTGATCCAGCAATCTCACTACTGGGTATCCACCCAGAGAAAAAGAAGTCATTATACAAAAAAGATACTTGCACATGCATGTTAATAGCAGCACAATTCATAATTGCAAAGTCATGGAACCAGCCCAAATGCCTGTCAATCAACAAGTGGATAAAGAAAATGTGGTGTATATATTTATACCATGGAATACTACTCAGCCATAAAAATGAATGAAGTAATGGCATTTGCAGGGACGTGGATGAGACTGGAGACTATTATTCTAAGTGAAGCAACTCAGGAATGGAAAACTAAACATCATATGTGCTCATTGATATGTGGGAGCTAAGCCAGGAGGACACAAGGCATAAGAATGATACAATGGACTTTGGGGACTTGGAGGAAAGGGTGGGGGGACAAAGGATAAAAGGCTACAAATAGGTTGCAGTGTACACTGCTCGGGAGATGGGTGCACCAAAATCTCACAAATCACCACAAAAGAACTTACTTATGTACCCAAATACTCCCTGTACCCCAGTAACCTATGGAAAATTTTAAAAAATAAAAATCAATAGTGAAAAATCTTAAAAGTAGTCAGGGAAAGGAAATATATCATATCCAGAGAAAAAAACGTAAAGAAAAACCCAAGACATTTCATCAGATGTTTGGCATATTTATAAAGATACACTTACAATTGCCATTTGACGCATCAATTTTATTTCTAGAAACGTATTCAAGAGAAGGGAAAAAATATTTACAAAAATACTTCCACATAAATATTTATAAGAGATTTTCTTAAAGGCCAAATCCAGGAAAAAAACAAATTTCCATCAATAGGAAAATGTATAGATATTTATATGTATGTTGCATTTATACAATGAAATACTACTCACTAGTAGAAGGAAATTAACTACTGGCAGCAAAAATAACATAGATAAATCTCAAAAACAGTATGCTAAACAAAAGAAGCCAGACACAAAGGAGAACATACTGTATAGTTTTGTTTGGATGAAACTCTAGAAAAGAAAAATATAATCCACATTTAGAACAGCTCAATGGTTGTTTGGGGTTGGGTGGAAGCAGGATTGACTAAGAAGGGGTTTAGAGAACTTTGCGGGTAATAAAAATGTTCAATTTGATTGCATTTTAAAGAAGAAAGAAAAATTATCTGAGAATTGAGGGTCCTTTTAAATTATCAGGCCTAGAGAAACATTAAAATGAGAGCAAACACATCCTACTCCCTTTCTTTGAGCTATGTATTCATGTCTTAAAACTGCTTGCTATTGCCAGGAGTGATTACAAATTAACTTAATGATGTCACACTGGACACTATAATCCATGATCTATAGTTAATTATTTATAGCCAATCACTAATCAGTGTTATTTCTGTGAACCAATGAGAATTCCTGACAAACAATTGTGTACCAACCCACTCACTGTCTGCCTCTTTTTCCTTTAAAAACCTGCCTGTAACAAAGGCCAGAGGAAGCTAACAGCCAAGAGTATTTGGGTCTGTTCTTCCTGGCTTCTGCCCTCACTTTGGCTCAAGAAAACTCTAATTATAATTTGTGTCTCAGCCCCTTCCTTTTAGGTCAACATTTCACAGTTTACAAGTATAAAAACTTGTCAAACTCATTGAAATGTTTACTTAAATGGATATATTTTGTGGTATACAAATTTTACTTCAACTGATTCAAAAAGAAGGCAATGAGCATGATAGAAACCATTTTCTCTTCTCCCTATACTCCTTCAATTCACCCAGAAGGAATTTCCATTAACAAGTCCAACATGTTTCCTATTTCTTCATTTCTCACAATATCCAAAACACTTTATATAGGGTCAAATGTTCTCATTATTTCCACTGGAGAGAATTAATTAATCAAAGGCCAGTATTCAAGTGTTGCTTTTCTCAAGGAAGTGAGAGGAAGGACTTCTTTTTTCCCCCTCAGGCAGCCTATACAATTCTCCCAAAAAGGGTTTCTATTTTAGACTTGGGTTTGGGCATAGTAGGAAATGCTTTTTGGCTTTAAATCCAATTCACATGTTTCAGTACAGCTTTACCAGTAATAAAGTGAGTGTTTAGATTGCTTCCTGATTCTTTTGCCTATTTCATAATTTACTTAGAATTCAGACTACAGTGTCATTTCAGCCTATTAAGTTTGAAATGCTTATTTAGGGTCTCCAGTTGAAGCAGCAGGACTTACATGGAATTCATAACAGAGAACAAGCTGAATAGGAATGTGGACATTAGAACAGGAAGTCTGATTACTCATGGCAAAGTTATACCTTTAAGCGGAATTGCATTTCAAAGTAGATCAGGAAAAACCCCTTGCAATTTTCCATTATGCAGATTTTTGACGAGTCACTGGAAAAGAGGAAGGTGGATTAGTTCCCTTAGACTTCATTATGTCTGTCAAGCTAAAGAGTTTCATGTTCTTAAAATCCTTCAGAACACAACCCTCTCACAGAGCAGCTTAACCGTAATGTCACCCTTATTCTCTCTCATGTGTTTTAAGATTAAAACTGGCATCATGATTCTGACTCAATGTCAATTCTCTCCAATCCTCCTGAATATACTCACTCTTCTACATATCCAATCCAAGAAAGAAAACTTTCCTATCTCAGAGCTTGCTTATATTTATTTTATCTGTTTATAGATTTACATATCTTTTCAATGTCCATCATATTAAAATGGAAAAGCTACAGTTCAGAGCAGGAACTCTGTTACATGCCTCATTGTTCCCCTAATACCAGGAAAATACTAATTACCCAATAAAAATTTGTTGACTCACTGGCTGCCTGTGTCTCTGTATTTTATTTCTGAAGAAAACTCATGGGCCTTTTTAGAGTTTCTGAAGTTTTCTGACTGCTATTACCTATTTTTTTAAAATAAGGAGTAATTTTTAACTAAACGAGGGAAGGTTTTAATGTTTTGATATATCTTAAACATCTCGCAATAAAAACTATCTTTATGTTTTTGGCGAGAACATGCACTGATATCTTTGTTTTCCACTTCATCTCTTTACTCCTTTAGTTCATTTTTTTGTGATTTGTGAAGACTCAACCCAATTTAATTACTATTCATTTTTCTTAGTCTATCTACTTCCCCTTGATTACTGATTTATTCTTAAACTCAATTCTCTCTAGCACTTGATCTTGAAAAATGAAATTGGAACTAACTTGGGTGACAATTCTGTTTCTTTCTAATATCCTAAAGTCTGTGATATTCTTTTTTTAACATCCAAAAAATTTTTTTATTTATCTAAATCGTCATGTTTCCAATTTACATAAGATAGCACCTTAGGTTACTCTCCCACAGACTCTTATTATATGTTTTTTATCACCATATCAGAAAGTAGACCTATTTTTTAAATCAGAAAAATAATAAAGCAGAGAAATGGGAGATCTTTAAAGCCTGTCACAATAGCAAACCTTAGATATTAATTTGGTGGTGCAGGAAACAAAAGATATATCTCACTGCCATATTCCTTGATGAAATTATTCTTTGAACACATTTTTCTCTAAAAGTATAAAAAACTCTCACATTAAGATTAAAGACACTAGTCTAGATATTATAATTATGGAAGATGCTAATTACTTTGAGTATGACTTTTTGATCCATTTAAGCACTGGCAACCCTAGAACTGGTAGTAGCAATTTGTTTGGTGAGTACCACATGCATGGATGAGTTCAGAACCAAAATTGGGAAAATACAGCTAGACTCAGGCAAATAAACTAAAAATGAGAGCCAATTATCAAAAAGCATATTTTAGTACTTTTAAGGTCAAAGAAGAAAAATAATCAAGTCTATAATACATATTTGAAATCTGTTTTTTTTTAAAGGTAGAAAAATTAGAGATTGGCATGTTAAGAAAAAGAGAAATATTTTGAGGGACATTTGTTTAAAAAGCTATATCATAAGTGATGAAAAGATAGTTCCATTTCAAGTAAGAATTTACAAAGTCAACTACAATGAAACAGCCACTGAGAAGTTGGGTGGAAACCACAGGGATACTCTCTGAGGCTTCTCTTGGGTCTACAAGCTCCTTCTATCAAATATGCAAGACCAAAAGCAGAGGTTTATACTTTTCTCAGTCAAAAGGCTTGGGAGACCAGTTACTTAGGAGTCTGGAGTATAGAAAATGATGACTAATAACCTAAGATTAATAATACTGGGGAAAATTTAAGCTAGAAGAATCCTAGAAACATCCTGTAATCAAATGGCCAAATACAAACTTAGGCAATACAAAGCAGTCTCAGCTTACTATTATCTTTTTCCTTCAAGAGCATCCTCCCTTTGATACCCTAACTTTCCCCAATTTTTACTATTTTCTTCAATTTTTCCACTCCCAAATTTGTTAGTTTTTCTTCTCCTCTCAGTTGCCCTTAAGTGTGACTTATTTTCCTAATTTCATCATTTTCTAACCTATTATCATGTTTCAATCTCTATTTCAGTCCTAAGATTATCTAACTTTACAATTCTTCCACTTTGTACATTTGTTTACTTTAAAAAAAAATCAGTCTTAGATTTAACATCAATTCCTAATCTTCCATTCTTGGTTTTACTTTTAATCTCCTCCCTGTAACTAAAAAGAAAAACAGTTCTCATTTCCACTCTGTGGTTATTCTTCTAGAATCACTGCATGTACAACTCCAAAGTGAGGCAGACAGGAACCACCTGTGTGGGTTTCTTTGAAGCTCAAATCTCATTCTTTATCTTGACAAAAATACAAGCAAAAGAACATTCAAAAATTTAAAGAATGTTGACTCTCCAAATATGTTCAAATAATTCTCATGATGTTTTATGTGAAGTTTCTCTTTTTGATTATCATGGTTGATCATGCAAAAAACAAGCATTTAAATGGCATAAAGATAATTTGTTTATATGCCTTCAAAATATAAACAAATATTCAATATCACAAAAATCTATTGCTATTTCTATATACTTTTCTTAATGATAAGTAGTCATTCGAAGTTGTGTTAATAAGTTAATGTCTTAAGAAGAAACACAAGAGAGAGCTGAATAGTAACAGCTCTGGTCTGCAGCTCCCAGTGAGACCAACAGAGAAGGCGGGTGATTTCTGCATTTCCAACTGAGGCACCTGGCTCATCTCATTGGGACTAGTTAGACAGTGGGTGCAGCCTGTGGAGGGTGAGCAGAAGCAGGGTGGGGTGTTGCCTCACCCAGGAAGCACAGGGATCGGGGAAGTCCCTCCCCTAGCCGGGTGTAGCCATGAGGGACTGTGCCATGAAGAACAGTGCTATCAGGCCCAGATACTATGCTTTTCCCATGGTATTCACAACCCACAGACCAGGAGATTCCCTCAGGTGCCTACACCACCAGGACCCTGGGTTTCGAGTGCAAAACTGGGCAGCCATTTGGGCAGACACCAAGGTAGCTGCAGAAGTCTTTGGGTTTTGTTTTATTTTGTTTTGTTTTGTTTTTATACCCCAGTGGCACCTGGAATGCCAGCAAGACAGAACCATTCACTCCCTTGGAAATGGGGCTGAAGCCAGAGAGCCAATTGGTCTCATCAGTGGGTCCCAACCCCATGGAGCCTAGCAAGCTAAGATCCACTGGCTTGAAATTCAACCTGCCAGCACAGCAGTCTGAAGTTGACCTGGGATGCTTGAGCTTCACTGAGGGGGAAAAGGGTGTCTGCCATTACTGAGGCTTGAGTACGCAGTTTTCCCCTCACAATGTAAACAAAGCCACCAGGAATTTGGAACTGGGTGAAGCCCATCACAGCTCCACAAAGCCAGAATATAAATGACTAAATGGAGCTGAAAAATACAGCACGAGAACTTCGTGAAGCATACGCAAGTATCAATAGCCAAATCTATCAAGTGGAAAAAAAGGATATCAGAGATTGAAGGTCAACTTAATAAAATAAAGTGTGAACACAAGATTAGAGAAAAAAGAATGCAAAGGAATAAAAAAAGCCTCCAAGAAATATGGGATTATGTGAAAAGACCAAACCTATGTTTGATTGGTATACCTGAAAGTGATGGGGAGAATGGAACTAAGTTGGAAAACTACTTCAGGATATTATCCAGGAGAACTTCCCCAACCTAACAAGGCAGGCCAACATTCAAATTCAGGAAATACAGAGAACACCACAAAGATACTCTGCAAGAAGAGCAACCCCAAGAGAGATATTTGTCAGATTCATAAAGGTTGAAATGAAAGAAAAAATGTTAAGAGCAGTCAGAGAGAAAGGTCAGGTTACCCACAAAGGGAAGCCCATCAGAATAACAGCAGATCTCTCTGCAGAAACCTACAAAGCAGAAGAGAGTGAGGGCCAATATTCAACATTTCTAAAGAAAAGAATTTTCAACGTGGAATATCATATCCAGCCAACCTAAGTTTCACAAGCAAAGGAGAAATAAAATCTTTCCACACTTGCAAATGATAAAGGATTTTGTCACTACCAGTCCTGTCTTACGAGAGCTACTAAGAAAGCACTGAATATGGAAAGGAAAAGCCGGTACCAGCCACTGCAAAAACATACCAAAATGTAAAGACCATCAACACTATGAAGAAACTGCATCAAATAATGTGCAAAATAACCAACTAGCATCATAATGACAGGATCAAATTTACACATGACAATGTTAACTTTAAATGTAAATGGGCTGAATGTCCCAATTAAAAGACACAGACTGGCAAATTGGATGAAAAGTCAAGACCTATTGGTGTGCTGTATTCAGGAGACCCATCTCACGTGCAAAGACAAACATAGGTTCAAAATAAAGGGATGGAAGAATATTTACCAAGCAAATGGAAAGCAAAAAAAAAAGCAGGGGTTAAAATCCTAGTGTCTGATAAAACAGACTTTAAATCAACAAAGATTTATAGGACAAAAAAGGGCATTACATAATGGTAAAGGGATCAATGCAACAAGAAGAGCTAACTATCCTAAATATATATGCACCCAATACAGGAGCACCCAGATTCATAAAGCAAGTTGTTAGAGACCTACAGAGAGATTTAGACTCCCATACAATAATACTGAGAGACTTCAACACCCCACTGTCAATATTAGTCAGATCAATGAGACAGAAAATTAACAAGGATATACAGGACTTGAACTCAGCTCTGGACCAAGCAAACCTAATAGACGTCTACAGAACTCTCCACCTCAAATCAATAGAATATACATTCTTCTCAGCACCACATCACACTTATTCTAAAATTGACCACATAATTGGAAGTAAAACACTCCTCAGCAAATGCAAAAGGATGGAAATCATAACGAACAGTCTCTCAGACCACAGTGCAATCAAATTAGAACTCAGGATTAAGAAACTCACTCAAAACCACATAATTACATGGAAACTGAACAACCTGCTCCTGAATGACTACTGGATAAACAACAAAATGAAGGCAGAAATACAGAAGTTCTTTGAAACCAATGAGAACAAAAACACAACGTACCAGAATCTCTGGGACACATTTAAAGCAGTGTGTAGAGGGAAATTTATAGCCCTAAATGCCCACAAGAGAAAGCAGGATAGGTCTAAAATCGACACCCTAACATCACAATTAAAAGAATTAGAGAAGCAAGAGCAAACAAATTCAAAAGGTAGCAGAAGACAAAAAATAACTAAGATCAGAGCAGAACTGAAGGAGACAGAGACACGAAAAACCCTTCAAAAAAATAATTGAATCCAGGAGCTGGCTTTTTGAAAAGATCAACAAAATAGACTGCTAGCCAGACTAATAAAGAAGAAAAGAGAGGAATCAAATAGACACAATAAAAATTGGTAAAGGGGATATCACCACTGATCCCACAGAAATACAAACTACTATGAGAGAATACTATAAACACCTCTACATGAATAAACTAGAAAATCTATAAGAAATGGATAGACTCCTGGACACATACACATTCCCAAGTCTAAACCAGGAAGCAGTCAAATTCCTGAATAGACCAATAACAAGTTCTGAAAGTGAGGCAGTAATTAATAGTCTACCAACCAAAAAAAGTCCACAACCAGATGGATTCACAGCCGAATTCTACCAAAGGTACAAGGAGGAGCTACTACCATTCCTTCTGAAACTATTCCAAACAACAGAAAAAGAGGGAATCCTCCCTAACTCATTTTACTAGGCTAGCATCATCCTGATGCCAAAACCTGGCAGAAACACAATAAGAAAAGAAAATTTCAGGCCAATATCCCTGATGAACATCGATGTGAAAATCCTCAGTAAAATACTGGCAAACCAAATCCAGCAGCACATCAAAAAGCTTATCCACACAATCAAGTTGGCTTCATCCCTAGGATGCAAGGCTGGTTCAACATATGCAAATCAATAAACGTGATCCATCACATAAACAGAACCAAAGACAAAAACCAGATGATTATCTCAATATATGCAGAAAAGGCTTTCAACAAAATTCAACACAACTTCATTCTAAAAACTCTCAATAAACTAGGCATTGATGGAATGTATCTCAAAATAATAAGAGCTATTTATGAAAAACCCACAGCCAATGTCATACTGAATGGGCAAAAGCTGGAAGCATTCCCTATGAAAACCGGCACAACACAAGGATGCCCTCTCTCACCACTCCTATTTAACACAGTATTAGAAGTTCTAGCCAGGGTAGTCAGGCAAGAGAAAGAAATAAAAGGTATTCAGATAGGAAAAGGGAAGTCAAATTGTCTCTGTTTGCAGATGACATGACTGTACATTTAGAAAACACCACCGTTACAGCCCAAAATCTCCTTAAGCTGATAAGCAACTTCAACAGAGTCTCAGGATACAAAATCAATGTGCAAAAATCACAAGCATTCCTATACACCAATAACACAAACAGAGAGCCAAATCATGAATGAACTCCCATTCACAATTGCTACAAAGAGGATAAAATACCTAGGAATACAACTTACAAGGGATGTGAAGGACCTCTTCAAGGAGAACTATAAACCACTGCTCAAGAAAATAAGAGAGGACACAAACAAATGTAAAAACATTCCAAGCTCATGGATAGGAGGAATCAATATTGTGAAAATGGTCATATTGCCCAAGGTAATTTATAGATTCAGTGCTATCCCCATCAAGCTACCACTGACTTTCTTCACAGAATTGGAAAAAAACTACTTTAAATTTCATATGGAACAAAAAACGAGCCCACATAGCCAAGACAATCCTAAGCAAAAAGAACAAAGCTGGAGGCATCACGCTGCCTGACTTCAAACTATACTACAAGACTACAGTAACTGAAACAGCATGATACTGGCACCAAAATAGATATATAGACCAATGGAACAGAACAGAGGCCTCAGAAATAACATCACATATCTATAACCATCTGATCTTTGATGAACCGGACAAAAACAAGAAATGGGGAAAGGATTCCTTATTTAATAAATGGTGTTGGGAAACTGGCTAGCCATATGCAGAAAACTGAAACTGGACCCCTTCCTTACATCTTATACAAAAATTAACTCAAGATGGATTAAAGACTTAAATGTAAGACCTAAAACCATAAAAACCCTGAGGAAAACCTAGGCAATACCATTCAGGACATAGGCATGGGCAAGGACTTCATGACTAAAACACCAAAAGCAATGGCAACAAAAGACAAAATTGACAAATGGGATCTCATTAAGCTAAAGAGCTTCTGCACAGCAAAAGAAACCACCATCAGAGTGAACAGGCAACCTACAGAATGGGAGAAAATTTTTGCAATCTATCCATCTGACAAAGGACTAATATCCAGAATCTACAAAGAACTTAAACAAACTTACAAGAAAAAAACAAACAACCCCATCAATAAGTGGGCAAAGGATATGAACAGACACTTCTCAAAAGGAGACATTTATGCATCCAACAAACATATGACAAAAAGCTCATCATCACTGGTCATCAGAGAAATGCGAATCAAAGCCACAGTGAGATACCATCTCACACCAATTAGAATGGCAATTATTAAAAAGTCAGGAAACAACAGGTGCTGGAGAGGATATGGAGAAATAGGAACACTTTTACACTGTTGGTGGGAGAGTAAACTAGTACAAACATTGTAGAAGACAGTGTGGCAATTCCTCAAGGATCCAGAACTAGAAATACCATTTGACCCAGCCATCCCATTACTGGGTATATACCCAAAGCATTATAAATCATGCTACTATAAAGACACATGCACACGTATGTTTATTGTGGCACTATTCACAATAGCAAAGACTTGGAACCAACCCAAATGTCCATCAGTGATAGACTGGATTAAGAAAATGTGGCACATATACACCATGGAATACTATGCAGCCATAAAAAAAGGATGAGTTCATGTCCTTTGCATGGACATGGATGCAGCTGGAAACCATCCTTCTGAGCAAACTATCACAAGGACGGAAAACCAAACACCACATGTTCTCACTCATAGGTGGGAATTGAATAATGAGAACACTTGGACACAAAAAGTTCGAAGAACTTTTTGATTTCTGCCTTAATGTCATTATTTACCCAAGAGTCATTCAGGAGCAGGTTGTTCAATTTCCATGTAGTTGTGTGGTTTTGAGTGAGTTTCTTAATCTTTAGTTCTAATTTGTGCTGTGGTCTGAGAGACTGTTACTATTTCAGTTCTTTTGCATTTTCTGAGGGGTGATTTACTTCCAATTATGTGATCAATTTTACAGTAAGTGCCATGTGGCGCTGAGAAGAATGTATATTCTGTTGTTTTGGGATGGAGAGTTCTGTAGACATCTATCAGGTCCACCTGATCCAGAGCTGAGTTCAAATCCTGAATATCTTTGTTAAATTTCTGCCTTGTTCTGTCTAATATTGACAGTGGAGGGTTAAAGTCTCCCACTACTATTGTGTGGGAGTCTAAGTCTCTTTGTAGGTATCTAAGAACTTGTTTTATTAATCTGGATGCTCTGTATTGGGTGCATATATGTTTAGGATAGTTAACTCTTCTTGTTGAATTGACCCCTTTACTATTATGTAATGCCCTTCTTTGTCTCTTTTGACTTTTGTTGGTTTAAAGTCTGTTTTGTCAGAAACTAAGATTAGAATCCCTGCTTTTTTCTGTTTCCCATTTGCTTGGTAAATTTTTCTCCATCCTTTTATTTTGAGTCTATGTGTGTCTTTGCATATTAGATGGTTCTGTTGAATACAGCACACCAATGGATCTTCACTCTTTATCTAGCTTGCCATTCTGTGTCTTTTAATTGGGTCATTTGGCCCATTTACATTTAAAGTTAATATTGTTATGTGTGAATTTCATCCTATCATCATGATGTTAGCTGGTTATTTTGCAGACTTGTTTATGTAGTTGCTTCATAGGATCATTGGTCTGTGTACTTCAATGTGTTTTTGTAGTGGCTGGTAATGCTTTTTCCTTTCCATGTTTAGTGCTTCCTTCAGGATCTCTCGCAAGGCAGGCCTGGTGGTGATGAATTTCCTCAGCATTTACTTGTCTGAAAAGGATTTTATTTCTCCTTCATTTATAAAGCTTGGTTTTGCTGAATATGAAATTCTCAGTTCAAAATTGTTTTCTTTAATAATGTTGAATATTGGCCCCCAATCTCTCCTGGCTTCTAGGATTTCTATTGAGAGGTCTGCTGTTAGTCTGATGGGCTTCCCTTTATAGGTGACTTGGCCTTTCTCTCTGGCTACCCTTAACATATTTTCCTTCATTTCTACCTTGGAGAATCTGATGATTATGTGTCTTTGGGTTGATCTTCTTGTGGAGTATCTTACTGGGTTCCTCTGTATTTCCTGAATTTGCATGTTGGCCTGTCTTGTTAGGTAAGGGAAGTTCTCCTGGATGATATCCTGAAGTGTGTTTTCCAACTTTGTTTCATTCTCCCTGCGTCTTTCGGGTATCCCTATCAGTCGTAGGTTCAGTCTTTTAACATAATCCCATAGTTGTCGGAGGTTTTGTTTGTTTCTTTTCATCCTTTTTTCTCTAACCTTGTCTACCTGCCTTATTTCCACAGAATTGTCTTCAAGTTCTGATATCCTTTCATCCACTTGTTCTATACAGCTATTGATACTTGTGTTTGCATTGTGAAGTTCTCATGTTGTGTTTTTCAGCTCCATTGAGTCATTTGTGTTCCTCTCTAAACTGGTTATTTTGGTTAACAGCTCCTGTAATGTTTTATCATTATTAGCTTCTTTGCAACGAATTAGAACATACTCCTTTAGCTCAGTCAAGTTCATTATTACCCATCTTCTGAAGCCCGTTTCTGTCAATTCATTCATCTCAGCCTCAGCTCAGTTCTGAGCCCTTGCTGGAGACATGTTGCGATCATTTAGACACTCTGGTTTTTTGAGTTTTTAGCACTTTTGCATTGATTCTTTCTCATTTTCATAGGTATATCTACCTTTGATCTTTGAGGCTGCTGATCTTTGGATGAGGGTTTTGTGGGGTCTTTTTTGTTAATGTTGTTGTTGTTGCTTTCTGTTTGTTTTTCTTTTAGCAGTCATGCCCCTCTTTCCCACGGCTGCTATGATTTCCTGGGGGTCCACTCCAGACCCTATCCACCTGGTTCCCTCCCACCCCTGGAGATGTCACCAGTAGAGGCTGCAGAACAGCAAAGATGGCAGTCTGCTCCTTCCTCTGGGAGCTCTGTCCCAGAGGAACACTGACCCCATGCCAGCCAGAATGCTCCTGTAGGAGGTGTCTGGAGACTCCTGTTGGGACATTTCACCTAGTCAGGAGGAGCAGGATCAGGGACCCACTTAAATAAGCAGTCTGGCTGCCTCTTGGTGGAGCGTGTGTGCTAAACTGGGAGGAATCCTCCTCGTCCAGACTGTCCTGATTCTCCAGAGCCAGGAGGCAGAAAAGACTAAGACTGTTGATCCATGATACCACAACCGCCCCTCCTCCTAGGAGTTCCTCTCAGGGATATCAGTGTTCTGTCCATAAACCCCTGGCTGGGGATGCTGAAATTCCCACAAGGAGGCCCCGCCTGGTGAGTTGGACTGGATTGATGTCCCGCTTAACGAAGCAGTCTGGCCACGAACTGTCCTAGTCACTGTGCTGCGCTGTAGGGAATTGCTCCCTGTCCAAACCGCCCAGTCTCGCTGGGAGGGGTGGCAGAGGAAAACGGCCAACTGGAGCCGCAGTGATGGCAGCTGCCCCTCCTCCTGCAGAACTCCGTCTTCTTAGGCAGTCTCCAGCCTGCTGCACTGGCCGGGAGGGATTCCAAGCCAGTGGGTTTTAGCTTGTGACTTCCGCGGTTTCCATGAGAATAGGGCCTGCTGAGCGAGGCTGCTTGGCTCCCTGGCTTTAGCCCTTTCCCATGGGAGTAGACAGATCTCTTGCCTCACTGGAATTCCCAGAACTGGAGTATGCAAAAACTCCTGTGTCTCAGTGCCTGCTCCAGCAGCCACCCATCTGAGCAGCCACCGTGAGTCTGCACAGCTCTGTGTTTGCGACCCAAGGCCCTGGTGGCATGGGCTCACAAGGGGACCTCCTGACCAGCTAGTTGCAAGGATCCCTGGGAAAAGTGTGGTTTTCAGGGAGGGGTAGCACAATCCCTCACCTCCTCCCTTGGCTGGGGGAAGGAGCTCCCTTTGCCCCGTGCAGCTGCCGGATGGGCCCTCACTCCACCCTGCTTTTCCTCGCTCTCCATGGATCGCACCAACTTGCTAGTTAGTCCCAGTGAGAGAACCTTGGTACAGCAATTGAAGATGTAGAATTCATTCGCCATTTTCGTCCTTCTTGGTGGAAGCCGCAGAGTTGTTTCAATTCTGCCATTTTGGCTGCTCCCCTCTTGATGGAGTCTTCAGAATTTTCTAAGTATAAGATCACATTGTCAGCAAAGAACTGACGTGAGGTATTTGGTTTTCTGTTCCTGAATTAATCACTAGGATAATGGCCTCCACCTGCATCTTTGTTGCTGCAACGGCCATGACTTAATTCTCTCTTTTTTATTGTAATTTGTTCTTTTTTTTTCTGTTTTCGACTTTTATTTTAGGTTCCAAGGTACATGTGCAGGTTTGTTACATAAGTGAATTGGGTATTGCTTAGGTTTTTTTGTACGAATGATCTCGTTACCCCAGTAGCGAGCATAGTACCCAATAGGTATGTTTTCAACCCCTGCTGCCCTCCCAATCTCCCCCCTCTGGTAGTCTTCAGTGTCTCTTGTTCTCATCTTTATATCAGTGTGTACTGTGTTTCACTCCTACTTATAAGTAAAAACCTGCAGAATTTAGTGTTTTGTTCCTGTGTTAATTCACTTAGGATAATAGCCTCCAGCTGCATCCATGTTGCTGAAAAGGACACGATTTCATTTTTCTGGCCGTGTAGTACCCCATGGTGTATACGTACCACATTTTTAAAAATCCAGTCCACGGATGATGGGCATCTAGGTTGATTCCATGTTTATGCTATTGTGAATAGTGCTGCAATGAACATACAAGTGCATGTGACTTTATGATAGAACGATTTATTTTCTCTTGGGTATATAACTCAGTAATGGGGTTACTGAGTTAAATCATAGTTTTAAGTTCTTTGAGAAATCTACAAACTGCTTTCTACAGAGGCTGAACTAATTTACATTTTCACCAGTAGAATGTTTCCTTTTCTCCACAGCCTCGTCAACATCAGTTATTTTTTGTCTTTTTAGTAACAGCTGTTCTGATTGGCATGAGATGGTATCTCACTGTGGTCTTGATTTGCATTTCTCTAATGATTAGTGATGATGGGCATTTTTTCTTGTATTTTTTGACCACATGCATATCTTCTTTTGAGAAGTGTCTGTTCATGTTCTTTGCCATTTTTGTGGGATTGTTTTTTGCTTGTTGAATTGTTTTTTGCTTGTTGAATTAAGTTCCTTATAGATTATGCATATTAGACCTTTGTAAGATGCATAGTTGGCAAATGTTTTCTCCCATTCTGTAGGCTGTCTGCTTAGTCTGCTCTTTGGGGTTAGTTACTACAGAATTATTGTGTTTCTTTGGTGGTATCATGTTTTCTTGCTTTTTCATGTTTCTTGTGTCCCTGCTTTGACATCTGCATGTCTGGTGGATCGTTCACCCCCTCTGAATATTACAGGGTGGCTTTAATAGGAAAGGCATTCACCTGCAGATGGGTCTTAGTGTACCCATTGGGAAGGATATGGTGGCTCTACTTCCCAATAGATGCAGTGGCATAGCCTCTGTGCAGCTTCTTCGGCTGCAGTCAACATCAGTGATGACTATGCATGTCTCAGCCAAAATATCAATTCCTCAAGAGGCAATATATTGCTTCAGTACTGGCCCAGGGGTCATGGCTGCTCTGGGTGACCAAGGCATTAATTCCCTAGGAGGCAGAATGCCATTTCAGAGTAGGCTCAGGAGCATGATTCCTCTGGGCAGCCAAGATACCACTTCCCCAGGAGACAGGCTGCCATTTCAGCTCAGGCACAGAGGGTTGCAAGTGCTTTGGGCAGCCAACACACTATCTCCCTGGGAGGCAGTGTGCTGCTTCAGCTCAAGCCCCTAGGAGCAGGGCACAGCAGCAACTGGGAGGTAAATAATGCCACTCTGCCACAGGTTAGTCCCACAGGGTAGGGTGTAGCAGCACCTCAGCTCAGGGATGGTATTCCACCAAGCAGGGGTGGTTCAGTGGCAATGAAGTCTCAGAGACAGAAGTGTGCCATAGCCTCTCACATGTAGAGCAGGACACACTCCAGCAGTGGTTCCAGGTCCAAGATGCTGCAGTACAGCAGCCCCATCAGCCGTGATGAATGGGGCACAGTGTCAACTCCTCTGGAAGGAGCACAGTCATGTGAACTCCAAGAAGCTCCCTCAGGTGGGCTATGCACCTGTGACAACTGCAGGAGTTTCCAGTGGTGAGGACTATAGATGTCCAATGTGGCAATAGAGGCTGCTGAGGGCCTCTTGCTTATCTTTTTTCTGCAGTGAGAAATCCTCCCTGGTTCTGACCTGATCCCATCTGGTGGCAGAGGCAAGGTGTTTCCTTCCATTCTCTATGAGACCATCCTGGGTTTCTATGCTCTACAGGGTTTCTGCTTCTCCTTTGCTGTACTCTGGTGCCCTCTTTTAGCTGTTCTCATCAAGATGTAGTTTTTCAGTCATGCTTTTGTCCTTGTGTGGGGATGAGCACTAAAGGCTTCTAGTGTAGGTTAGCTTGCTAATATTACTCCATTTAAGTATTTCAACACATAAACATGGGATATCTTTTCATTGCTTTGCGTCTTAAATTTCCTTCATCGATGTTTTATAGTTTTCAGTGTACTGATTTTTCACCCCTTTGGTTAAATTTATTCCTAAGTAGTTTATTCTTTTTGACAGTTTTGGAAATTTTTAAAATAATAACTATTTAAAATAATTATGTAATAAAGTTATTTCTTAATAATTAAAAATAGTTAACTACTTTAAGTGATTATTTAGTAATAATTTTTAAAATAAACTCCCAGGTATATGGTCAACTAATATTTGACAGGGGTGCCAAGATGAAAACAAGATAAGAAAGGACAGTTTCCTCAGTAAATGGTGTTGGAAAAACTGGATCTCCACATTCAAAAGAATGAAACTGAAACCTTATCTTCCACCACTCATGAAAATTAATTTAAAATGTATCAAAGACTTAAATGTAAGGCCTAAAACCATAAAATTCATAGAAAGAAAAACAGGAAAAAAGCCACTTGCCATTTGTCTGGGGAATGATTTTTTTAATAGATATAAGAAGAAAAGCTCCTGTGAACATGGCACTGAGAGTGGCGTGGAGCTTGCAGGCAGTGGTCTGTAGTCTGCATGCACCCTCAGCACCTGCTGGGCCCTGCCTGCAGAGGCTCTGGTGGCTGAGGGTGGGTGCCTTCCAGACACGTTCTGCTTTCACTGCATAAATTCACAGAGAAACGTCAACACATAATAACAGAAAATGGTATTGGAACAGTGGGAATCAGCAATTTGCACAGGAGTCTTTGGGAGCTGTTGTTTACTGTAGTTGGCCTGAAGTTGGGACAAAATTGGGGCAAACAAGATGAGTTTGGTGCTTTGGAAAGTATGAAAGCTACTAATGAACTGTTTTCTCCTTTATCAGAAGTAACTGAAATTAATGAATCCCTTGAAGAAAATCCAGAGTTGTCAACAAATCCATCGGGGAACCAGCTCCCAGTATTTCAACATAGGTTCTTTTCTATTTTCCTTAAGTGTTGGCCAGTCTGAGAAATAAAGAGAAAGAGTACAAAGAGAGAAATTTTACAGCTGGCCTCTGGGTGTAACATCACATATTGGTAGGACTGTGATGACCCCGAGCCGCAAAACCAGCAAGTTTTTATTAGGGATTTTAAAAGGGGAGGGGGTGTACATACAGGGAGTAGGTCACAGAGATCACATGCTTCAAAGGGCAATAAAGATCGCAAGGCAAGGGCAAAATTAGAATTACTGATGAGGGTCTATGCCCCGCTGTGCTGATGAGGGTCTATGTCCCACTGTGCACGTATTGTCTTGATAAACATCTTAACAGGAAACAGGGTTCGAGAGCAGAGAACCAGTCTGACTAGAATTTACCAGGCTGGAATTTCCCATCCTAGTCAGCCTGAGGGTACTTCAGGAGACCAGGGTATATTTCAGTCCTTATCTCAACCGCGTAAGACACTCCCAGGGAGGCTGTTTATAGACCTCCCCCCAGGAATGCATTCCTTCCCCAGGGTATTAATTATTAATATTCCTTGCCGGGAAAAGAATTCAGCAATATCTCTCCTACTCACACGTCTGTTTATAGGCTCCCTGCAAGAAGAAAAATATGGCTCTATTCTGCCGGACCCCGCAGGGAGTCAGACCTTATGGTTATCTTCCCTTGTTCCCTGAAAATTGCTGTTATTCTGTTCTTTTTCAAGGTGCACTGATTTCATATTGTTCAAACACACACGTTTTACAATCAATTTGTACAATAGTGGTCCTGAGGTGACGTACATTCTCAGCTTACGAAGATAACGTGATTAAGAGGTTAAAGTAAAGACAGACATAAGAAATTATAAAAGTATTAATTTGGGGAACTGATAAATGTCCATGAAATCTTCACAATCTATGTTCAGAGATTGCAGTAAAGGCAGGCATAAGAAATTATAAAAGTATTAATTTGGGGAACTGATAAATGTCCATGAAATCTTCACAATTTATGTTCTGCCTTGGCTCCAGCCAGTCCCTCCGTTTGGGGTCCCTAACTTCCCGCAACACAAATCTTGTTATGAAGACGATTGACTGATCACGATGACACTCAGTAACCCTTCAGAACTAGATGAACTACAACTCACATCTGTAATCCCAGCACTTTGGGAGGCCAAGGCAGGCAGATCACCTGAGGGCAGGAGTTTGAGACCAGCCTGGCCAACATGCTGAAACCCTATCTCTACTGAAAATACAAAAATTAGCCGGGTATGGTGGCACATGCCTGTAATCCCAGCTACTCAGGAGTCTGAGGCAGGAGAATCACTTGAACCCGGGAGGCAGAGGTTGCAGCGAGCTGAGATCGTGCCACTGCACTCCAGCCTGGGTGACAGAGCAAGACTCTATCTCAAAAAACAAACAAAAAAATTTTCTAATGATTGCAGATAAATACAATATGCTTCTTTTTCACAGTACCCTATGATTTTTAGACTAGGCTCTAATATTCAGAATTCATGAAATTATCTATGGTAAACCTAGTTATTAATATTATGTAATTCAAGGATAACATTGTTGTCTTAAACCTAATATAATATTGTAACTTGCTTACATCAATATCTGGATTTGGGTCAAAATACTTAATCATCTTTCCATTGGAAGTAATTGGGAGTAGAGAACTTTTTGTTGGTGGATGTACATACAGTGTCAGATGAAGAACAACACTATCTTAATTTCCCAAGATAGTACATTTGCTGGTGCTATTTTTATACAGTGAAGCAACAGCTTTGAAGCAAAATAAGAAATAAAATATTCAACTTCATTTAAAAAAAGAAAACTGGGAAAGAAAAACAGAAATAGACAAATAGGATTGCATCAAAATAAAAAGCTTCTGCACGGCAGTGGAAACAATCAAAAAATGAAAGAGTAGCCTACAGAATGGGAGAAAATATTTGCAAACTATATATCTGACAAGGGGTTAATATCCAAAATATGTAAGACAGGGGTGTCCAATCCTTTAGCTTCTCTGGGCCACATTGGAAGAATTGTCTTGGGCCACACATAAAGTACACTAACATTAACGACAGCTAATGAGCTAAAAAATCTCATAACATTTTAAGGAAGTTTACAAATTTGTGTTGGGCTGCATTCAAAGCCATCCTGGGCCACATGTGGCCTGCAGGCTACAGGTTGGACAAGCTTGATGTAAGAAATTTGTACAACTCAACAGCAACAAAAAAAACAAATAATTCAATTTACAAATGGGCAAAGAAACTGAATAGACATTTTTCCAAAGAAAACATACAAATGGCCAACAGGTACATGAAAATATGTTCAACATGACTAATCATTAGGGAAATTCAAATCAAAACTGCAATGAGATACCACCCACACAGCTGTTAGAAGAGCTATTATTAAAAAGACAAAAACTGACAAGTATTGGTAAGGATATAGATAAAAGGAACCTTTGTGCTCTGTTGGTGGGGATATAAATTAGTACAGCTATTATGGAAAACAGTATGGAAGTTCCTCAAAAGACTAAAAATAAAACTATCTGGCGGGGCGTGGTGGCTCACGCCTGTAATCCCAGCACTTTGGGAGACAGAGGCAGGTGGATCATGAGGTCAAGAGATCGAGACCATCCTGGCCAACATGCTGAAACCCCGTCTCTACTAAAAATACAAAAATTGGCTGGGCATGGTGGCGTTCACCTGTATCCCAGCTACTTGAGAGGCTGAGGCAGGAGAATCGCTTGAACCCAGGAGGCAGAGGTTGCAGTGAGCCAAGATCATGCCATTTTACTCCAGCCTGCCGACAGAATGAGACTCCATCTCTAAATAAATAAATAAATAAATATAAATAAAACTATCATATGATCCAGCAATCCTACTTCTGGGTATATACCAAAAGAAAATGAAATCATTATCTAGAACAGATATCTGCACTTCCATGCTTATTGGATCATTATTCACAATAGTGAAGACACGGAAACAACTTAAGTATTGGCCAATGGATGAAAGGATAAAGAAAATGTACTATGTATATAAAATGGAGTAGTATTCAGCCATAAAAAAAGGAAATCCTGTCATTTGCACAACATGGATGAATCTGGAGGGCATTATACTAAGTGAAATATAATAAGTCATACAGAGAATGACAAATACTGTACAATTCTACTTATATGTAGAATCTTAAAAAGTCAATCCATAGAAACAGAGGGTAAAATGATGGTTGTGAGGGAATGGAGGGCAGTGGAGAAAATCAGGCAATGTTGGTCAAAGGGTACAAATTTTCAGTTCTAAGATGACGAAGTTCTAGAGATCTAATGTGCTGGATGGTGACTATAGTTAATAATGATGCATTGCACACTTGAAATTTTTTGGGGAGTAGATCTTGCTTTGTGTTTGTTGATACCAATGGACAGAATGGAGTAGATCTTAAACGTTCTCACTACACACAAGATTGTTAACTATGTAAGATAATGGGTGTGGGTTAAGTAACTTGATTACGGTAATCATTTTACAATATATATGTATGTCAAATCACCACAGTGTAAACCTTAAATATATACAATTTTATTTGTCAGTGTATATATATATATTATAATATATATATAAAATATAATATATATATATGTCAGTATATATATACAATTATATATCAGTATAGTAGGGATGAAGAGAAAACCAGACAGGAGGAGACACCACATCATATAATTTTATTGGTAAATAATTCTTTAGCAACCAGATAAAAATTAAGAGAGACTCATGTTCTCTCCATGTGTGCACAATGGGGGCCTCCAGTACAGGCTCTGGCACATGAAAAAATGCTCAATAAATGCTCACTTTATGAAAAAGTGAATCAGTCAATGTACAGACCAATTCTCTCATAAGTAGAATAGTTGACAGACCACCTAAATTCTATGGACCTCCCTTACACATGAATAAGAAGAGCTTATTATCTATCCCTACAATGACAGATACCAATCCAACCACCTGTTCATGGAGAATGTTCAGTTCATAAGTGGATCTTCATCATCTCACAAACTGACCTTTGAGGACCAAGACAATTAACATCATTCCAGCCCCATCTTTTGGGTGATTTACGAAAATTTAGCACAACGCAGCGCTCATTGGGATCACTGGGCTCACGTGGATGCCAGAATCTGAAAGCGACAAAAAGGATGAGGGCATTTCTTCAAACAGAGCTTTGAAAAGGGTTAGAGACAGGGGTGAGGAGCGAGGGATGAATTTCATGGAACATAGGGTCAGATATGCCCAAATCCACCTTTCTGCTACTCATCATGCAGCTTCTCCTCCATCTGCATTTCCGGCATTTCCTTTGAAAACTGTGCCTATGTCACTCAATGTTCTCTACCTTACTGCTTTGAATATCCTCACCATAGATTTTCTAGAGGTTCTCTTCTATTTGTCCATCCTTATGTCCTGTTCCTATGGGTCCATCAACCTATAGGGTGTCCTTGTATGATGAAAAGATTTTACCCTGGTCCCACTTATCAATAGAGTTTTTTCCTTTTTTTAATGCACTGTTTTTAAAGTCTAGAGAACTAGTAAAATCTTTTGAATCTTCTACTTATCCTTGTTATTGGACAAGTAATTTAACTTCCCTGATTCTCAGTTTTTCTATCTAAAAAATAAGGACTAGAGTAATATCACTATTTATTTCATACAGTGGATATGAAGATCGAAGGTGGTAATCCAGTAAAGTATGTATTTTATGTAATTTATGTAATATATGTAAAGTATGTAATTTATGCAATTAAAGAATTACATAAATATGAGATATAAGATTATCAGAATTTAGCATTTTTGCTTCATAAGAAGCATTACATCTTCAGCCTGACTGGGTGTGGTGGCACATACTTGTCATCCTAGCAACTCAGAAGACTTGGGTGGGAGGATCAGTTGAGCCCAGGAATTCAAGGCTGCAGTGAGCCATGATTGCACCACTGCACTCCAGCCTGGTTGACAGAGTAAGACCCTGTCTCAAAAAAGAAAAAAAAAGCATTATTAAATCTTAATAATTGGTTATGATCTTAATCAACATGGGTTTTCACTATGTAGAGACAGGTAAATATACGGGTTAAAAGCACAGTAAGATCCACCTGATTTGAGAACAATTGTTGACACCACTGGGTGACCTTAGCTGAATTATCTACACTCTCCAAGCTCAATTTCCTCATATCTACAGTGGGAAAAATAACAATGTGTGCCTCATAGGGTTCTTGCGCAGATTAAATGAGATAATGAAATTATTTAACCTAGTACCCAAGAGCTAAAAGAAGAGTGAGCTATTTTACTTTTATAGCTGATAGCTAGAATACCCTAAGCTCTCTGCATGATCCAGGACCCAAGATTCTTTTATCTCATTCTATACTCACGTGGAACTTTCATTGTATGGTGTCTGATCAACCCATTGCCAATGTCGCTGACCTTCTGGATCTGAGAGCCCCACAAAATAAGCAGATTCTTCTTGCAGATTCTGGAAGATGAAATCCTGAGGGGGGAAAAGAAGGAGTCACAGCCTTTACAGTATTCAGCTTAAACTGAATTCTTAATACCTTAGAGAAACAAGAAGAAAAGGAGAGGATCCAGCAACAGCTGCATTAGAGCTCTACGTAGGAATGGGGATCTCTGGCTGAGCAGGGCAGAATCAAAGACATCGCTTGTAAGCATGATGTTCAGTACATACGGAAGGAATTTTTTTTTTTTTTTTTTTTTGAGATGGAGTCTCACTTTCTGTCCCAGGCTGGAGTGCAGTGGTGCAATCTTGGCTCACTGCACCTCTGCCTCCCAGGCTTAAGCGATTCTCATGCCTCAGCCTCCCCAGTAGCTGGGACTACAGGTGTGTGCCACCATGCCTGGCTAATTTTTGTATTTTTAGTAGAGGCTGGGTTTCACCATTTTGGCCAAGCTGGTCTTGAACTCCCGGCCTCAAGTGATCCGCCCGCCTTGGCCTCCCAAAGTGCTGGGATTACAGGCATGAGCTAGCATGCCCAGCCAGTATGGAAGCAATTTCTATGATCAGAATGAATTCTCATCTCAGGTTTACTTCCCCTCTTTTCTTCACTAAGGGATTACATTCTTCAAAGTTGTACATGAGAAAATTTTGGCAGATTCAGTCATTTTCCTTTCATAACTTCAGGGATTCTTTATTTTCATTCCTGAGTGTTGATTGTGATTCATCATGAGTTAACTTTATTTCTTTTCTCTATTCAACTTAATACCTCTTCTTTGTTAAGTAGTTAATCATGTATAAAACATTTACATATTGAAATAACAAATTGATATTTCAGACTGAAACATTTTCATCCTTCCATTCAACCCTCATATATTTTTAATGTCACAATTTCTTCCGGGGAGGTTAGTTTTACTGAAGCAGGAAGGAGGTATGGAATATAAAGGCTTAGGAGCCCTTTCTACCTATTTTATTGAAAGCCTTCTGCCACAGCGCAAATATCCCAAAGTAACAAAAACCTCCTTCTTAGCCAAGAGAGATATACAAAGATCAGGCAGGGCTCACAGCCCCATTATCTATTAGAAAGTACCTGCTCTTCTTGAGTGTTTATCACCAGCAGGTGAGCCTCCATTCTAGCACAGTCCTTCTCACTGTCTTGCCAAGATGCTGATTCAGTAGAAATAAAGTAGCAGTTGGAACTAAATGACTTCCAATTCTTTGGGCAACAGCTCCAGGCTGTCTCTGTATTGGGAAGAGGGGCACATACGTGCAATATAAATAATCACTCTTAAAAGTGTGTGTATTATTAAAATTAAGAGCCAAGAGAGAGCACATGGAAGCTGGAACTCCCCTCCACACTCAGATGCAACCAGGAGCCCCTGCCCCTCAGGTGTCAAGGAAGCCAAGTCTACCTCAATCAGGCAGTAATGAGGCAGGGCCCCTTTTCTCCTGCTGAAGTGCCATCTGAAAAGCCCAGCTATTACGAAAACATGTTTAAATAAGATCCAGACTCTGAGAATATAATGCAAAAATATCCAGAGTTCAATAGAAAATAAGTCATTATGCTAAGAACCAGTAAGTTTTCAAATTTAATAAAATATAATAATCAATAGATGCCTACAATCAAGACAACAAAAATGGGGCCGGGCACGGTGGCTCACATCTGTAATCCCAGCACTTTGGGAGGCTGAGGCAGAAGAATCGCTTGATCCCAGAAGTTCAAGACCAGCCTGGGCAACACAGCGAGAACCTGTCTCAAAAAAAAAAAAAAAAAAAAAAGATAATAAAATTGTTAGAATTATCTGACAAAGATTTAAAAGCAGCCATGATTAAAAAAAAACAAAAAACAAAAACGCTTCAACAAGAAGATACAGACATGCTTGAAACAAATGAAAAACTAGAAAGTTTCAGCAAAGAACTAGAAGATATAAAGAAAAACCAAGATTTCACCATGCTTGGGGCGCCTTCCTTCCCCATGGCGGGACACCTGGCTTCGGATTTCGCCTTCTCACCCCCTCCAGGCGGTGGAGGTGATGGGCCAGGGGGGCCGGAGCCGGGCTGGGTTGATCCTCGGACCTGGCTAAGCTTCCAAGGCCCTCCTGGAGGGCCAGGAATCGGGCCGGGGTTTGGGCCAGGCTCTGAGGAGTGGGGGATTCCCCCATGTCCCCCGCCGTATGAGTTCTGCGGGGGGATGGCGTACTGTGGGCCTCAGACTGGAGTGGGGCTAGTGCCCCAAGACGGCTTGGAGACCTCTCAGCCTGAGGGCGAAGCAGGAGTCGGGGTGGAGAGCAACTCCGATGGGGCCTCCCCGGAGCCCTGCACCGTCCCCTCTGGTGCCGTGAAGCTGGAGAAGGAGAAGCTGGAGCAAAACCCGGAGGAGTCCCAGGACATCAAAGCTCTGCAGAAAGAACTCGAGCAATTTGCCAAGCTCCTGAAGCAGAAGAGGATCACCCTGGGATATACACAGGCCGATGTGGCTCACCCTGGGGGTTCTATTTGGGAAGGTGTTCAGCCAAACGACCATCTGCCGCTTTGAGGCTCTGCAGCTTAGCTTCAAGAACATGTGTGAGCTGCGGCCCTTGCTGCAGAAGTGGGTGGAGGAAGCTGACAACAATGAAAATCTTCAGGAGATATGCAAAGCAGAAACCCTCGTGCAGGCCCGAAAGAGAAAGCGAACCAGTATCGAGAACCAAGTGAGAGGCAACCTGGAGAATTTGTTCCTGCGGTGCCCGAAACCCACACTGCAGCAGATCAGCCACATCGCCCAGCAGCTTGGGCTGGAGAAGGATGTGGTCCGAGTGTGGTTCTGTAACCGGCGCCAGAAGGGCAAGCGATCAAGCAGTGGCTATGCACAACGAGAGGATTTTGAGGCTGTTGGGTCTCCTTTCTCAGGGGGACCAGTGTCCTTTCCTCTGGCCCCAGGGCCCCATTTTGGTACCCCAGGCTATGGGAGCCCTCACTTCACTGCACTGTACTCCTCGGTCCCTTTCCCTGAGGGGGAAGCCTTTCCCCCTGTCTCCGTCACCACTCTGGGCTCTCCCATGCATTCAAACTGAGGTGCCTGCCCTTCTAGGAATGGGGGACAGGGGGAGGGGAGGAGCTAGGGAAAGAGCACCTGGAGTTTGTGCCAGGGCTTTTGGGATTAAGTTCTTCATTCACTAAGGAAGGAATTGGGAACACAAAGGGTGGGGGCAGGGGAGTTTGGGGCAACTGGTTGGAGGGAAGGTGAAGTTCAATGATGTTCTTGATTTTAATCCCACATCATGTATCACTTTTTTCTTAAATAAAGAAGCCTCAACACAGTAGATAGACAAAAAAAAAAAAAATGGAAATTTTATAATTGAATAATATAATAACCAAAATAAAAAGCTCAGTGGATGGACTCAGCAGAATGAAGGGGATAGAGAGATTAGTGAATTGGAAGACAAAACAACAGAAAATGTCAACTGAGCAACAGAAACAAACTAGACAGAAAAGGCTGGGCACAGTGGCTCACGCCTGTAAACCCAGCACTTTAGGAGGCTGAGGCGGGCGGATCACCTGTGGTCGGGAGTTCTAGACCAGCCTGGCCAACATGGCGAAACCCTGTCTCTACTAAAAATACCAAAAAAAGGCTGGGCGTGGTGGCTCACACCTGTAATCCCTGCACTTTGGGAGGCCGAGGTGGATGGATCACCTGAGATGAGAAGTTTGAGACCAGCCTGACCAACATGGTGAAACCCCATATCTACTAAAAATACAAAAATTAGCAGGGCATGGTGGCGCACACCTGTAATCCCAGCTACTCAGGAGGCTGAGGCAAGAGAATCGCTTGAACCCAGGAGGCAGAGGTTGCAGTGAGCTGAGATCGCACCACTGCACTCCAGCCTGGGCAACAGAGCGAGACTTCGTCTGAAAAACAAAAACAAAAAAAAAACAAAAACAAACAAAAAAACCCACAAAGAAACAAAAAAACTAGACAGAAAAAAAAATAAACAGAGCCTTGTAAAGTGACCCCAAATGTGTATACACCAAACAAAGCTGCAAAATGTATAAAGCAAAACTGATACAATTGAAAGAGGAATTGACAAATATACAATTATAGGTGGATACATCAACACCTCTCTCTCAACCATTGACAGAACTACACAGAAAATCAGCAAGAACATAGAACTTATAAACATCATCAATTACAAGGATCCAATCCACATTTATAGAACGCTCCACCCAACAACAGAATACCCATTCTTTTCCAGTGCCTCTGGAACATATGCTGAAACAAACCATATCTCGGGACATTAAATAACATCGACTAATTTAAAATTGCTGAAATCATATCGTTTTCTCCAACCACAGTGAAAAGAAACCAGAAATTAATAAAAGAAATAACACAGGAAAATCTCCATACGCTTGAAACTAAACAACACACTTTTAAATAATCCACGAGTCAAAGGAGATGTCTAAAGGGAAATTTTTAAAAATACATTGAACTGAATGAAAATGACAATACAAATTATCAAATTTCATAGGACACTATTCTCCAATCAAAGGAACTAGGGCTCCTCAAAGAAATATCTGATTCCAGGATAGGGACATGAAATGTACAATGTGAGTCTCAAGCATTTTGCAGTCCCAGAAAGTGAGGAAGTGCTAAACCAAAACAAAAGAAAAAACACGTGGTGATATGTTAAAGGGTCACAGGAGTCAAATGAAAAAGTTCCCAATGTCCAAAGCTGGAACTACAAAATAGAGCAGTATTGGATTATAAACCAAAATTTAAAATAAATATCCATGAGTTGGACACACAGTGGGGAACAACACACACTGGGGCCTGTGGTGGAGGGAGCAAGCCGGGGAGGGAGAGCATCAGGAAGAACAGCTAATGGATGCTGGGCTTAATACCTGGGTGATGGGTTGGTCTATGTAGCAAACCACCATAGCACACATTTACCCATGAAACAAACCTGCACATCCTGCACATGTACCCCAGAACTTAAAAGTTGAAGAGATATATATATATATAGATATATATATCTCCATGAGTACATGCAGATATAACTAAATGATTATATAAATAAATAAATGGAATAAAAGAGACAAATATCACCTGGACAAAATTTCAAATAAATTATATAGATACTTGTGATGGTTAATTTTATGTGTCAACTTATCTAGGCCACAGTGCCCAGATATTTGGCCAAACATTCTGGATGTTTCTGTGAAAATGCTTTTGGATGAGATTTACATTTAAATTGCTGGACTTTGAGTAAAGCAGATTGCCCTCAATAATGTAAGTAGATTTCATCTAATCAATTGAAGATCTGAATGGAACAAAAAGAGGGACCTCCTCTGAGCAAGAGGAAACTCAGTGGACTGCCTTTGCACTTCATCTGCAGCACTGGCTCTTCAAGGTTCTGCAGCAGATGGTCTTTGGACTCAAACTGCAACTCTTACTCCTTCCTGAGTCTCCAGCCTGCTGACCATGACTGATACCATAATCCACCCTCATGAATGGAGAGCATAACTCCCCAGTCCTTAAGTGTGGACTGAACCTTCCAAAGAGTGTAGTATGGAAAGGGGTGGGGAGGGAAAGAGTAACTTCACAGTGGAGAAACTTGACAAACACTACCTTAACCAAGTGATCAAGGTCAACATCAATAGTCAAGAATCATTTTGATAATATATGCCCTTGATATGATGTAATGAAAATAGCATTTTACATCTGTGATCTTCCTCCCAAAAACCAATAATCCCAGTCTAATTATTAGAAAAACATCAGACAAATTCTGATAGATGGACATTCTATAATATACCTGACCAGTATTGCTCAAAACTGTCAGGGTCATCAAATATGAGGAAAATCTGAGAAACTACCACAGCCAAGACGTGCCTAAAGAGACATGAGAATTCAATGTAACGTGGTGTTCTGGATGGGGATCCTATTACAGAAAAGAAAATGAGGTGAACACTAAGGAAACCTGAAAATTGTGAATTTTAATTAATAATATACCAATATTAGTTGATTAGTTGTAAGAAGTATACTATATTCATGTAAGATGTTAACAATAGGGGAGAGCATGTGTGCAGAGCAAGGGAAAAATGAGATCTCTTTGCATTATCTGCTCAATTTTTCTGTAAATATAAAACTGTTCTTAAAAATAACCTATTGGCCGGGCATGGTAGCTCACTCCTGTAATCCCAGCACGGGGAGGCTGAGGTGGGAGGATTGCTTGAAGCCAGGAATTCAAGAACAGCCTGGCAACATGGCAAGACCTTCTCTCTACAAAAATTCAAAAAATAAAAATAAAATTGGCCAAGTGTGGTAGTGGGCACCTTTGATCCCAGCTACTGGGAGGCTGAGGTGGAGGATTACTTGGAACCCAGGAGATCAAGGCTACTGTGAGCTGTGGTCACACTACTGAATTCCAGCCTGGAAAACAGAGTGAGATCCTATCTCAAAAATAATAATAATAATAACAATAATCTATTAATTTAAATAATTTAAATAATTCACATCCATAAAAAAATCATCATCACATTTTCATCACATGGTTTTAACTGATATGTGAAAAAAAGAGCAAATGTGTATAGAAAGTTCCGAAAGAAGCAAAGGTCGAAGAAGTCTAAAAGCAATGTAACCTTTTTCACAATTAAGCTTCTATTTTTTTCCATAGACAAATTAAAGATATATGAGTACATATACGAATTTTAGGACCAGGCACCGTGGCTCACGCCTATAATCCCAGCCCTTCAAGAAGCTGAGACAGCCACATCACTTAAGCTTAGGAGTTCAAGATCAGCCTGGGCAACATGGTGAAACTCCATCTCTACAAAAAATACAAAAATTAGCTGAGTGTAGTGGCGTGTGCTTGTAGTCTCAGCTACTCAGGAGGCAGAAATGGGAGGATCACTTGAGCCCGGGAGGTCGAGGCTGTAGTGAGCCATGTTCGCACTACTGCACTCTAGCCTGGGCAACAAAGTGAGACCCTGTCTCAAAAAAACAACAACAAAAGAATTTTATGTCCTATATATTTGTTTTTTTGTCTTTTGGGTTTTTTTGAGGCGGAATCTTGCTCCGTCGCCAGGTGGAGTGCAGTGGCACAACCTCGGCTCACTGCAACCTCTGCCTCCCGGGTTCAAGCGACTCTCCTGCCTCAGCCTCCCGAGTAGCTGGGATTACAGGTGTGTACCACCATGCCTAGCTAATTTTTGTGCTTTTAGTGGAGACGGGGTTTCACCATTTTGGCTAGGATGGTCTCGATCTGTTGACCTTGTGATCCACACGCCTCAGCCTCCCAAAGTGCTGGGATTACAGGTGTGAGCCACCATGCCCAGCATGTCCTAGATATTTGTACATTTGTAGCTTAAATTATTGTGAGACTCAACTTTTCAGTATGATCTACCTGGGAATCTTACTGGAAATATTGATTTGGGATCCTTACATAGTACATTCAGCAACTGAATTCTAGGCACATTAATTTTTACCTTCCACGGGCATATTTTTTTTCACACACTCCAATGTTGTATGAACCAGCTCTTTTGTAGTCTTTTTTTCAAGAAGCTGAGAATATTTTTGAAAGAAAACTGGAAAAGAGAATAAAGACCATTTATTTTCCTGGTAGCATTATGACTTTGCTCTTTATCGTTACTTTCTTGCATTCTTTATTGAAATAAAACTTACAAATGCCCTATTACTGGAGTAGAGGGAAAAGATTTCCCATACTGAAACTATAGATATCTCTAGGAATAGCTGAAAGATCAGTAGTTGGAAGAGGACACAACAGTTCCATCATAATGGATCTAAAGGGACTCCACATTCTCCTTCAATACTTAATATAAGATGCATGCAAAGGCTAACTCTTGGGGGTGGGGGGATGCAGGGCAATAAACACTTGTATTTAAGGATGTGCGCACCCTGGGACTTTGGAGCAGATGGGAGAGGGGCAAATTAATTCTGAGGAGTTCTGGGTTACCTTGAAGAATGGAGAATTTTAAAAAGAACCCCACATGGATCAAGAGGGCATTATTTTCTTCCTCTTCTCTCCATTACTCTCTCCATCCCAACTGGCTCTTACTCCTCAGCACACCAACGCTCTCATGTTTCTCCCAGTTTAAAACTAACCCACCTCTCCCTCTAGAAACTGAACTTTTGGCCGGGCACATTGGCTCACGCCTGTAATCCCAGCACTTTGGGAGGTCGAGGCAGGTCAGGAGTTCGAGACTAGCCTGGCCAAGATGGTGAAACCTCGTCTCTACTCAAAGTACAAAAATCAGCTGGGCGCAGCGGCAGGTGCCTGTAATCCCAGCTACTCGGGAAGCTGAGGAAGGAGAATTGCTTGAACCTGGGAGGCGGAGGTTGCGGTGAGCTGAGATTGCGCCACTGCACTCCAGCCTGGGTGACGGAGCAAGACTCCATCTCAAAAAAAAAAAAAAAAGAAATTGAACTTTTTGTCTTTCCTCCCTACCTTTCATTTGCTCCTTGACCCATCATAGTCTGGGTTTTACTTCCACTATTTCACTAAAACCATCCCTAAAGTGGATCCTCAGTAATATCCTAGGGTTACTTAGTCCTCTTCCTATTTGACTTCCTTAAAGGCTTGACCCCAGTTGCCTTTCCCCTTAGCTCTTGGGACACTACTCTTTGTTGTTTTTGTCTTACCTTTCTTGCTGCTGCTTCTTACACTCTTTGATGAGCTCCGTTTCCTCCATCCACCTCTTTTAAAATGTAACATTTCCCAGAGTTCCATCCTTATCCGTCTTTCTCATACTAAGTTATCTCCGTGAGTGATATCATATATTCCCACGGCATCACCTGCTACCTCTATGTGAAGGACTTCCAAAGCTCAGACCTCTCTCCCTAAATCCAGACAAATGTGTCTCCCAGTAGACACATCCATTTGAGGTTCTCACAGCCATATAAAACTCAACATGCCCAAAACTTAAATCACCATCTTCCAACCCAAACCTGCTACTGATCCTATATTGTCTACCTCTTTGAAAAACTTAATGATTTCTGAGTTTACAAAGTCAGAATATTGGAGCCATACTTTACTTCTCTGGGTCCCTTATTTCCCAGAACTGAATATTCATCAAGCCTCTACCTCCTTTATCATTCAAAATTACTTCATCTTCTCTTTTTTCGCTAACACTAGCCATAGATCAGTCTGACAATATTTCTCAATTGAATTAATGAATTATCCTTCTAACCTCTCTTTCCCTCCAAATTTGTCCTCATTTATCCATTTTCCACACCTCTGTAAAAATCATGTTTCTATAAGTCCAATCCAATTATATCAATTCCCTGCTTAAAATTCTTCAATTTTCTCTATGACTGTGACATTGCAAAAATGGCCACAACTTTCAACATACCCTGTATCTACACTGCTTTGCAATGTGATTTTGCAGCTTCTTCAATCAAGAAATGTGGTCTATTTCTCCACCGCCTGGATCTGGGCTGCCTGTAAGACTTCTTTTGGCCAATAGAATGTGCAGGAGCAACTCTGCGCTAGTTCCAAGGTGAGATTTCAAAAGGCCTTGCTTACTTCCGCTCTCAGTCTTAAAAGCCTGCCAGTTGCCATGTGAACAAACCCAGGCTACCCTGATGAATGATAAGAGAAACGTGGCCAAATCTCTCCTGCCATTCCATCTAACATCCTGTTCCTCAGAAGCTAAGTTGCCTGTGGCCAGTACCCAACCACATATACATGAGTGAGTTCAGCCAGGACTGGGGAAATCTCCCAACTGACACCAGTCTCAATTGCCAAGACACAGATTTATGAGCTAAATAAATAGTTGCTGTTTTAATCCACTAAGTTTTAGATTGGCTTATTAACCAGCAAAAGATAATTGATAAAATAACCTTTAGGAGGGAAAAAATCCAAACTCTTTATCATGATATACAGCAGTCTTCATGATCTGAGTCCTGTTTCTTTCTGCCACCTACAACTTCATTTCTTAGTTCTTTACTTAGCACCATATGTTCCAGTCATGCATACTTACGTTTCCCCAAATTCCATGCTCTCTCATATCTCTAGGTCATTCTTGGTACACACAGCTCTAGATGTCACCTCCTCCGGAAAGCCTACCTCAGCCTCTTGCACTTATTATACTTCTTAACTGTACAACACTTACCATACAATGTTATAACCACTGGTTCATTTTATCATTCTCTAAATTTCTTGAGACCAGGGGCTGTGGCTCTGTCTTGACTCTCTGTCTGGCACAGTGCCTGACATACAGTAGATGGACAATACTTATGAAATGACCAAAGAAATTAATAAAGAATCTACCTAAATGTATACTGCTTTTTATGCCTTTTAAAAATTTTGAGCCAGGCGTAGTGACTCATGCCTGTAATCCCAGCACGTTAGGAGGCTGAGGTAGGCAGACTGCTTGAGCCCAGGAGTTCAGGACAAGGCCAGGAAACATGAGAAAACCCTGTCTCTACTAAAAATACAAAAAAAAAAAAAAAAAAAATTAGCTGAGCATAGTGATGCACACCTGTAATCCCAGCTACTTGGGAGGCTGGGGTGGGAGAATCGCTTGAACCTGGGAGGTGGAGGTTGCAGTGAGCCAAGATTGCACCAATGCACTCCAGCCTGGGTGACAGAACCAGGGGGAATAAAACTCAACAAATGCTGAAAGCCAAAGATACGCAGCAATCCACCTAATTTGCAAAATTGACTTTTAGATCCCACACAGTCTTGAGCAGGGCAGGAATAATCAGAGTAAAAGCCAGTGGAGAACTCTTCCTGAAATATTTCTTCCCATCTCCTTGTTGTCTACCTGCTCATCCCAAAACATAAATGTCTGTGCATTCAAATCAGACTGGCCTGATAAATGCTACCAAGGAAACATAGATTTGTCCTCACTTACATAGTGTCTAGTATAGAGATGATGCCCCATAGATTTCACTCTACAACACAAATACATACACCCACATTTATGCTTCAGTTTCTCTAAATGAGAAGGGATTCCATTATTTTTACAGGACAGTAACTAAATCCAAATAAAGAGCAAAATTCACAGTGGATTCCCATGAATTATGTCTCCCCAGAGAAAATTTCATTTCAGATTTCTGGATAAGCTCATTTTCAAAAGTCAGTTTTTAAAGGATACCCTCTGTTCATGGACAGCAGATATTGCTTATTGGTTCAGTTGGCATACTTACTGACAAAAGCAATAAAGAATGAGATTGCCAATAGCAGGAAAAATATCAACAGTGAGGCACAAAGCAGCTTGGGGAATCCGGTATTACTTTTGTGAGGGGCAGTCCTCTCCTTGGAAGCTGAAGAAGAAGCCAAATTAGTTTTATCAGTAATAAGTTTGGTCTTTACTTCCTCTTCTTCCTCCTCCTCTTTCTCTCTCTTTTCTTGGATGACACACAGTTACTAACGGTATGACATTTGAAATCACATGAGAATAGGAATAGAAAGGATATAATAATATTCACTGTAGAAACTTTAAAAAATACATAAAAGTACGAATTCCTACAATTGAGGATAACTGTTATGCCATATAACTTATAATATACCATAATATTTTGGTATATATCTTTCTAGCAATTTTTTGAATGTATATATACACATATGCAAATTTTCCCACGATTGACATACCATAAATACTGATTTCTGACCTATTATTTTCCTTTACACTATATCATGAACATTTTTCATACCATTATATTTTCTTCTTTAACACTCCTTATTATGGTTGCATAGTATTTCATCATATATTTAAATAATGGTTTCCAACTTTAAATAATGCTATAGCAAATAAATCTTTATAATCATTCCTCATCACATGTTTAGAATAAAGTCAGTCTTTTTAGTTACCATCTCATGGTTAGGAATCACTTTCTTCGAGTTATGATATTTTGTCAAATGATGGGGGAAAAAAATTCAGTATTATATAATATGATTACATTTTTAGTAAAATACATATGCACATTATATGTATTTGTATGTGGAAGGATATTCACTAAATTGCAAATTATGATTTTCTCTAGATGATAAGAGTAATTATAATTCAAATATCTGTGTACCTCTGGTTAATTTTTTCTACAATGAACATTAATACTTGTGTAATAAAGAAATTATATAAAGTTTTTAAGGAGAAAAAATTTCCCTAAGTGCTCTCCACACCTTCACAGAGGTATTTTAGAAAGCGTAACTATAGTCCTGACCCCTTCCCCCATAGTTTCTTGTACTCTATATACATTCTTTTCTCTCTTTTGCTCTATACTTGAGATATCACACATGACACCCAAATCACCTTGCATCTACTCCCAAACGTAACAGAGTCTGTCTCAGAGATGCAACACGCAATAGGTTCTCTGATTTCAGAAAAAGTTTCCTGGAGATTTAAGAGACTTTCTTTGTAGACTTTCTAGTCTTTCATTTGCAAAGGCCTTTTGTTACATTTCCATCCATTACCAACAAATATACCCTCACCACTGTCCACCCAAACTCTTTCCCTCTAACTGATCAAAAAACAAATCTCACAAATTCATCAGGACCCCCTGCATCTGGATTGATGGTTTCAGAAGCTGTACTCAATCTCTTAACCCCAGCCCCACTCAGCCTCAGAAAACACAGGGGCATCAGAGCACTCGCCTTAGCTCAGAACTGGAGTGGATTTCTCTCACCTCTGTTTCAGTAAGCAGAGTGGAGGCTGAAGAGAGTGGCACAAAATCTTTTCTTCTCCACAATACAAATGTACACCCCGTAATGCGTATCTGCAGGCCACTCAATCTTCTGGGACTCTTGTGTTTCCCAGACATACTCAATCAGACAACCAGCAACTGAAAACACCTATGCCTTATTCATAAACCCTCTCCTCATCCTTCACCTCGTCATTCACTCTGACCCCTAGAAAATGATCTTTACCTGCAGAAGAGGCTGTGTTGATGCCTGAGGACTTGAATTCATTTTTGAACCTCACTTCAGCATAAGTGATTTCCGAAGTCATAATGGGAAGAGAGCTTCTGCTTTCTTCAGAAAATCTGTTTCAGATCTTTCTTAAAACATCTTATAAACAGGAACCAAACATGGTGGTAAATTACCTCCTTCCTTTCACTCAACTAGTGGAGAGCAGAGGCACCAGATAGGCACATATCCTCAAGAGGGGTCTCATGAGAACTAAGAACCACAATAAAAACTAAAAACCGCAGTTCACAGAAGCCCTTTCCTCAGGACCAGTATAGTGAGAATCACAGCCTTGAAACAAATGCAAGCAAATGCAATAAAAGTGGGAACTCAAAGGGTTGCGGAAAGAGGAAGAAAAATAAAAGAAGAACCAAGCACTTAGAGTCTTTCTGGAGAACTGCGTTTTTCACCAGTAAAAAATACAATTTCTGTGCTTCCACACACAAATGTAATTACTTTTGACCAAACATCCTGAACATAGACTTATGTTGCATTCATCTCATCAATTTTGACTGATCAGGCAACTTGTTAGTACCACATTCTAAGAGTATCATTGACACAAAACTCACATATCAGCCTCCCCACCTTCACGAATTAGTTTCCTGTAGCATGGTGGGGATGGCAAAGTTTAAACCCCATGTCTTCTGAAGCTGTTCCTCCATGCTCTCTGTGTTTCCTTGTTGGTAACTAACTCTATCAAAAGTCTGCATTCATCTTGCTAGAATCTCCAGAAAGCAGCTCCCTTTACTGGATGTTGGAGGAGAGGGAAGGCCAGCCTTTATTCCATGCTTCCCTAACCTTTTAATCGCCACATCACCTCCAATATATATGACTATTTTTTAACAGTTAGGAGAATTATATAGAATCACAGTATAGAAGGGGATAAACTTAAACAAAGTACTAAATATGACTTTTTCCAAAGGCCTAGAAGAAAACACTCCAAATATTAAATCCTTCATGTGGAATCTCTCCATAGACATGCTCCCAGCTCACACCTGGATTCTCTGCCCTCAACTCTCCGCAAATGATCCTCCTTTTAATCTCCCCCAGCTGATTCCTTCTCCTGCATAACACACATGCATACATGCATGCACACACACACAAACACACACGTCTATATTTCTATATTATTTCTATATCTAAATATATTGAACACCATGAGTTCACACTAATTCCTCTAATTCCAATCTAACACCACAAGTTTCATTCTAGTTTTCTCCCTTCCCACATTCCTAACTCCTTTCTGTGACACTAAGAAACCTGCTTTCATTGTCTTTCACTTATTCCTTATTTGATCAATCTCCTGGATGTCGTCAATCTCCCACCTGCTAAGATGTCCCTCTCTTCCTAGTTGGGCTCTGACTCCCCAGTCCAAGCCACCATCCCCTGCGCGGATGCCCTCCCTCCTCACTCTGAGAGTGCCGGCAAAGGGCCAGCCCACTCCCCACCCCCATGAACATCCCCCAACAAACATCCCCCTCACCCTGCCAAGGCTCTGACTCCCTGTGCTAGGCCATTCCTCTGCAGGAAAGCCCTCCTCACTCTGCTTGCACTCTGATTCCTGATGCTGGTCCCCTAGTCACCACTTAGACCCCCTTAGGTTCTAATGCTCCACACAAGGTCACCCTATGGGTGGAAGCCCTCCTCACCCTGGAGGGGTCTGATTTCCTCACCGGGCTATCCTACCACATGGACCACCTCCTTATCCTGCTAAGTTTCTGAAACCCACACCAAGTCCTCCCTCTGCATAGAAGCTTTCTTCATCCTGCTTGGGCTCTGACACTCCATGCAGGTCCTCCATCCCCCAGCAATAATGTCCATCTTACCCTACTTAGGATCTGAGTTCCCTCACTGGGCTACCCCACCACATGGACACCCTCCTTATCATGCTTGGTCTCTGAAACCACACCAGGTCTACCCTCTGCAAGGATGCTCTCTCTCCTCATCCTGCTTAAGTGCTGAGTCCCAACCCCAACTGGGCCAACACTAGGCATGGGTGCCCTCCTCACCTCTCCCACATGCTGACATACATACCAGGCTGGCCCTAGAGTACTCTGCTCAGCCATTTGCGACTCTGACTCCCTATAGAAGGTAACCTCATACATGGATGCCCTCCTCACCCTGCTTGCACTCCAACTCACTGCACCTGACTATCCCACCACATAGATGCCTTCTTTACCTCTCAGACTCTGACCTCTCACATCAGGCTACCCCTACTATGGACACCCTCCTCAATCTTATCCTCTGACACCCTGCACTGGGCCATTGCCAGGAGTGGACATCTCCTCGCTCTGGTTCCCCATGCCAGGACACTTTCCCACCCCTAAGGGATGTTCTTCTCACTCTGCTTGGGCTCCAGAACCACTGTCAAGCCAATACCCTGCATAGTCACCCTTCTCACCCTGCTAAAGCTCTCCCCCTGTGCCAGGCCACTGCTGCTCTCCCAGCCACCTCACCATAGACACCTATCTTGCTACTGCTTTATTTAGAATCAAATTATTTAGTAAGAAAAGGGAAAGGGGAATGACAAAGCATAAGGGAAGGATAAGGGAATTTTAAGTTCTCCACAAATTAATGATTGGGCCTAACCAGCACATGCACGTAGACAGGTATACATGCACACATATTCCCTGAAATAACAATCATTGATTCTCAGAGTCTTTACAATCTAAGCTCATAATTAGAAAGCAAACCATATTCCTAAAACTATAGCTCTCTCCCTGGAATAAGTCACATTATAACTGGATTACACCGTATCACCAACAACCCCAAAATCCAAGTGGCTTACAACAACAAACATGTATTTCTCACTTACATTACACTTGTGCTTAGGGCCACCTTGGAGTTGACTGCAACTCTGCTTGGCCCCTCTCCAAGTGTTTTCTCATTCTGGAAGCTGAGATCACAGAATAGCTCCTTGTAAGCTGAACCATGTAGTAGCATCCTTTATTCAGATAAGGTGTACGTTGTATTTGCTCTGATTCTGTTGGCCAATGCAAGTTACCTGAACAAACCTGCAAGTGAGACAGGGAAATATACTTTGTCTACAGAAAGACATGTCAAGGGTATCAAAGTTTAATCCTTTCACAAAGGAGAACACAGACATTTGGAAACAATAATAGAATCTATCCCCTTATCCCTTTAAATTATTTATCCAAGAGATCTCTTGGGCAGTGATCTCCAAAATGGGGCACAAGTACCTTAGGCAGTATAAAAGAGGATCTGCTAAGGCACAGAGAAAAAAACACTAAAACATCTATTTACATTTATTTAAAGTTTTAAGGAAGATAAGCTTTACTAGTATTGATTGCATGTCATGTGTGGTATGGTACCTATTATGAGGGAAGACTGGAAGTTCCACAACTCTGAGAGGCTGACAGTGTGCCTTCACTTGTTCGTTCACTCTCTGAATATTGCATCATGTTGCAGTTAACCTAGGTAATAAAGAATTTGCCTGGATTTTGTTCCCACTTCCTGGAGGTAGCCTTTAAATCCTTGGAATTTTCCAAATAATAGGATTGTCTTTGTTATTCATGGTGGGCCCGTATATCTCATGCTAATGAGGTCTCTCATGATGGGCTCTAAGATAGTTTATGCTAAGAAGGTGATTCAGGGTGGGGCTGGCCATGCCGGAAAGACCAGTCATGTGATTGGCGCATTGAAGCCCTGAGCCATGTTATATCAGCCCAGGTGGGGAAGGGAAGCTAGAGACTGAGTTCAACTTGTGACCAATGGTTCAATCAATCATGCCTACATAATGGACCCCAGTAAAAACTCTGGGCACTGAAGCTCCCCTGATTGGCAATACTCTGTGTATTATCACACATTAAAGTTCTAAGAAAGTGATATATCAATGGGGTCAATGGAAATTTCCATTTAGGACCCTCTCAGTCCTTACCCCATGCATCTCTCCCTCTGGCTGGTTCTGATTTGTATCCTTTTGCTATAATAAAACTGCAATCATAAGCATGGCACTATCCTGAGTTCAGTGAGTCATTCTAATAAATCATAAAACCTGAAGGGATCATGGGAAACCCCAAATTTGTAGTCAGTTGATCAGGAGTGAGGACACCCCTGGGAACCCCTGAACTTGTGGCTGGTATCTGAAGTAATGGCAGTCTTATGAAGGGCGTGCCCTCAACCTGTGAAATTTGGCCTAAGTCCAGGTAGTTGATATCAGAAGTCAATTTAATAGCTCAGTATTGTTAATTTCATGAAAACAAGATATTCGTTAGACTATTTATATTGATATGATGGCAAGTGACCATTCTGTTCACTGTGAAATTAATCTCAGTATTTAGAAGTAAGGATGGAGTAAATAGGGCACTTTTATTTTTAAAGATTTTTTACTGTTTGATATTTTATAAGCATGTATTTCTTTCATAATAAAAAGACACAGGCTAGGCATGGTAGCTCATGCCTGTAATCCCAGCACTTTGGGAGGCCAAGGCGGGTGGATCACCTAAGGTCAGGGGATCGAGACCAGCCTGACCAACATGGTGAAACCCCATCACTACTAAAAATACAAAATTAGCCAGGCGTGGTGGTGCATGCCTATAAGCCCAGACACTAGGGAGGCTGAGGCAGGAGAACCACTTGAACCTGGGAGGCAGAAGTTGCAGTGAACTGAGATCGCACCATTGCACTCCAGCCTGGGCAACAGTAGCGAAGCTCTGTCTCAGAAAACAAAAGCAAACAAATAAAAAATCTATCTTATTTTCACCAAAGATGAGACTAAGACCATTTTTGCAGCAAGGCTAGCTAATTCAGCTGGTATTAGCTTAGTGTTTTTGAGGTTCATCCATGTTATAGCTCATATCAGTTTCTCAGTCCATTAGTGTTGTTAACAACAAAATACCTGAGACTGGGTAATTTATAAAGAAGAGAAATTTATTTTCTCAGTTCTGGAGGTTGGGAAGCCCAAGATCAAGGCACCAGCATATTCAGTTATCTGGTGATGATTGTATCTTCTAAGGGGAGGAACTCCATGTCTTCACATGGCAGAAGGCAGATGGGCAAGAGATAGACCAGCAATGCATGATGCCTTTTTTATAGGAGCCTTAATTCCATCCACAAAGCCCTCATGGCCTAACCACCTCTAAAAGGGCCCACCTCTTAATATCATCACACTGGCAATACCTGGGTTTTGGATGATGATGTGGTTTGGATCTGTGTGCCCACCAAATCTCACATCAAATTATAATCCTCAGTGTTGGAGGTGGGCCTGGTAGGAGGTGACTGGATCATGGGGGTAGATTTCCCCCTTGGTAGTGTCCTCGCCATAGTGAGTTCTCGTGAGATCTGGTTGCTTAAAAGTGTGTGGCACCTCACCCCTCTCTCTCTTCCTCCTGCTCTGGTCGTGTGAAGTGCCTTGCTCCCACTTTGCCTTCCACCATGATTGGAAGCTTCCTGAAGTGTCCTCAAAAAGCAGAAGCTGCTATGCTTCCTGTATAGCCTGCAGAACTGTAAGCCAATTAAAGCTCTTTTTCTTTATGAATTACCTAGTCTCAGGTTTTTTTTTTTTTTATAGCAGTGCAAGAATAGACTAATACAGAGAGGGACACATTTAAACCACAGCAATCAGTAATTCATTCTTTTTTATGGACAAATAATATTCCATTGTATGTTGAATCTCAACCTGACAATGTAAATTATTAGCTTATCTTCACAGGTAGAAGACAAGAACAAGACCAGAAATCATCCCTCTGTCTACTCCCAGATGAATGCATAAATGACTTTTCTTTTACCCCCACTTTTCACATGTAAAATGTAGATTCATTGAGTGCTAACCAGAGCCTCACAAGAAAGTAACCACTTGCCTCCTTGTCTACTCTCCCTTGCCTTTTTTTTTCCCCTTTCCTCCTTCCCCTCCTGCTTGCTCTTTTCCCTTAAAATACTGAGGTCCTCAAAACCTTCTTTGGAAAAAGCACCAATCACAGATGCTCCTGTGATTTGTGTTTTGTTCCTGGGCATGCCCTCAACCTTGGCAAAATAAACCTGTAAATCAATTGAGACCTGCCTCAGTCACTTTTTGGTTTACGCAAGTAATGGTTGTCATTCTTTTTGGCATCTAATTCTCCTTATGTTTGAAGAATATTCCCACTTTATGAAACAGAGCTCTTCATATTCTACAACAGCTGCAAATCCAGGCATTTGCTTTCAGAAATTGTACCATAAATACTTGAAAGCTATAGAAGTGAAATAGAGGAAACTTGAGATTTATTATCCAATCTGGTTGAAGCTGAGAAAAGAGAAAGCACGACTAGTATTAACAGATGGGACTTGGTAGTCCTTGCCATGCAATGACAAAATAGGCAAATTGAAACACATTGTCACCTAAAAAAAAAGTTCCCATTGGAGACAAGCCTTTAAGAGCCCAAGCAGGCTGGGTGCGGTGGCTCACACCTGTAATCCCAGCACCTTGGGAGGCCAAGGCAGGTGGATCACCTGAGGTCAGGAATTTGAGACCAGCATGGCTAACTTGGTGAAATCCCATCTCTACTAAAAATACAAAAATTAGCCAGGTGTGGTGATGAGCACCTGTAATCCCAGTTACTCAAGAGGCTGAAGCAGGAGAATCACTTGAACCCAGGAGGCAGAGGTTGCAGTGAGCCGAGATCGTGCCACTGCACTCCAGCCTGCGCAACAGAGAGATTCCACTTCAAAAAAAACAAAAACAAAAAAAAAAAGAAGAGCCCAAGCAACCCCAAGGGAAAGAATTTAAGAAGTGTAGAGTAGAATAGTTGCTTCTTATGGCACTGGATAACCCAAAGGAAGAGAGTAACAAACTCAATATATCCTAAATTCTTGACCCAAGGAAAAAACTGAAAACTAGAATTTCTATAACTATATTAAAAGAATTCTTTATTGCTTGTAGCTGCAGGCTGAAGAGACCAAAAGCCAAAGTTTTAGTTGGACTCGATGGTTAAAAATTGCAAATCCAGTTGAATTCAAGCTTTGCTATGTCTCCTAAGTGAAAACGAGAGGCTTGATTGTGATAAAATGTGATCTCAAGAACTGATAAAGAAATATATGGAGGATACCCATATATTGCCCAAAGCATCACAAACACTCCAAGTCCAAGAAGTTTCCTATCCCCACAAAAGCAGCAGGTATAGTGAGAGCCTGAAGTCACCCTCCGGTTATTTCCCAAATTCCTGTTGTCCAGAATCCCCACACTGTCTCCCTGACCTGTGAAGTAAGGTCCATTATGATGGAAAACCAAATTGAAGCTCCTGAACTTCCCCTTCCTAGCAAAATAAAATCAAAAGCAGTAAAGCATCTATAATGAAATCACAAAGATTAGTACCACTAGCAAAGGATTCAAAACTGAAGCATAAGCAATTCCTATTATATTCTTGATTTAAATCACTCATCTTGCCAATACAGATGGGTCATAAACAATGGGAGTAGATGATCATACATTTAATCAGGAGGTGACTCCAATTTTAGCTGCTTTCCAAATGCGAGGTCTAGAGCAAGTCAATACAGTACTCGGCCCTTAATGTATACCTATTAACGGCCAGGTACGATGACTCACGCCTGAAATCCTCACACTTTGGGAAGCCAAGGCAGAAGGATCGCTTGAGTCCAGATCTTTGAGACCAGCCTGGGCAACATAGTGAAACCCCACTTCTACAAAAATAAAAAATAAAAATTAGACCGGGTGCGGTGGCTCACACCTGTAATCCTAGCACTCTGGGAGGCCGAGACAGGTGGGTCATTTGAGGTCAGGAGTTCAAGACCAGCCTGTCCAACATGGTGAAATCCTGTCTCTACTAAAAATACAAAAATTAGCCAGGCAGTAGTGGTGCACACCTGTAATCCCAGCTACTTGGGAGGCTGAGGCAGAAGAATCGCTTGAGCCTGGGAGGCAGAGGTTGTGGTAAGCCGAGATCACACCTGCACTCCGGTCTGGGTGACAGAGTGAGACCCTGTCTCAAAAAATATATATATAGATTAAAAATTAGCCAGGCATGGTAGCACACACCTATAGTCCCAGCTTCTTAGGAGGCTGAGGTGGGAGGATCACTTGAGCCCAGGAGGTTGAGGCTGCAGTGAGTTGTGATCGTGTCACTGCACTCCAGCCTGGACAACAGGGCAAGACTCTGTCTAGAAAAAATTAAATATATATATATGACATATATGTATATTATCTGGTGGATATTATTTCTTCCAGTTAATAAATAAGCAAAAAAATCATCATCAAATTGCTTTTCTCCTGGCAGAAACAATATACCTTCATCATCTTCAGACCTATATAACTCTTCAGATCTATATAACTCTTTCAATCTGGCCTACCATTTACCCTGCAGAAAACTTAAACATCTCACCGTTTTACAAGATATCCTGCTGGTTCACTCCATTGATGATATCCTACAGATGCTACAAGGAAAGCAGGACAATACAGTACCCTAGATGCCTTGGTAAGCCTCATGCCATTGAAGTCCTGGTCTATCAGGCAGTGGTTCTCAGTGTGGTCCTAAACCAACAACATCACCTGGGAACTTGTTAGAAATGCATATTCTTAGGCTCCACCTTAGATGTACTAAATCCATAATTTTGAGAATGGGGCCCAAAAATTGGTGTTTTAACCAGCCCTTCAGTTGATTCTGATTGATGTCTGGGGCACTTAAATATCCCCTCCAAAATATCAAATAATGTGCCATTTTGAAAGGCAGGATTCATAGGCCTCTTTGGATTTTTAAGGCAATATATTTCACATTTGGGTGTTCAAACATATTTGCCAGAAAATCGAAAAGCTTCCAGGATTTGGTGACATACTGAAAAGGCTGTTCAGGTGGTCCAGGCCACAGGTAGACAGACAGTCTGCACTTAGCCCTAATAAACTAGCGGTGCTTGAACCCTCTTTGGCAAATCCATGCAGATTGGAGCCTAAAGCAAACCAACCTGGAGATTGGTAGGAGAATTCAAAGGAGGCCAGTAGGATAGTTCAGAGGAAATCATTCCCTCTCAGCGAGTAATTGGTCTATTCTTGAGAAATGCTATTGGGTCCTCAGTGAATCAGAATATAGCAACATGGGACAACAGGTAAAGATGCAACTTGAGGTAACCTTCATGAGCTGAGAGTCATCTAACTGGAGTAGAAAATCATTAGATGCAGTAATGGCTAAGGGTTTGGATTTAAATACACAAAAAAATGAGGAAACAAAGCCTTGGACAAGCACTAAGCAGGGAGCTGGAATTGAGACTTCCATATAATTCATAATTTTTGCAAAACTGTAAATTAAGCAAAAGGTAAACTAGAAAGAGTTCAGCAGTAATACCTCTCCCTGGGCTTTGGGTGAAAAAAGAAAAATTCGTAGGAAAGTACAAGGTGAGTCTACAATATTTTGTTCCATCAGAAATAAAGGAATTGGCCGGGCGCGGTGGCTCACGCCTGTAATCCCAGCACTTTGGGAGGCTGAGGCGGGTGGATCACGAGGTCAGGAGATTGAGACCATCCTGGCTAACACGGTGAAACCCCGTCTCTACTAAAACTACAAAAAATTAGCCGGGCGTGGTGGCGGGCGCCTGTGGTCCCAGCTACTCGGGAGGCTGAGGCAGGAGAATGGCGTGAACCCGGGAGGCAGAGCTTGCAGTGAGCCGAGATCACGCCACTGCACTCCAGCCTGGGCGACAGAGCAAGACTCCATCTCAGAAAAAAAAAAGAAATAAAGGAATTGCTCAAACATTAATGCAAGTACGTCAAAAAGCAACAAATTAGCTTGAAGGCTACTAGCCAATTTTAGGGCAATTTGAGCACCGTATGGACTCCTCTTTTGTAGGTATCATATCTTCACCTTTTACTTCAGCTCTTGCTACAGAAACCAGCCTCGGGCAAGTGCAACCTGATAACACCTTGCCTCAGCCAACCATGAATCTCTTGCTTTCCGTCCCAGGGATCCTCTGACATTACAAGTACGAATGCCCCCTGTACAGAACAAACCTGAAACTGTGCAGGTGCCAACACACCATGAGGAAACCCTGATCCAATGATGGAAGGAAGCTAGTGGATAAATTGTCCCCTCTTTTATCACTTGGGGACACAATTTTAAGGTGCATTCTACACAGCTCCTCAGAGCTCCAGAAGAATGGAGTCTCAGTTGCCCAAAGCAGTAACCAACTTAATAATGCACCCTTGTATTAGCTTTCCCTCTTCCCCATTTAACTCTTCTAGTCTCTCATTCCTGTTAGGCAATAAGAACCTGGGTAGGGGGTGAGACGACAATAAGATCCAAGAAGAGAGAAATCTGAAAGGTGAGCAGATTGCTACAACTGCTTTATTCTGAGGTTTGCTAATTCTGAGCATGGGCAGGAGGCTGAGAATCTGGTCTTTGTACCTGCAGATGGCTGCTGCTAAGGGACAAAAAAGCCATTGGAGCTTTTGGTAGAGCTTTAAGGAGACTTCAAGTACATTGCTAATTTCTCCCTAGAACGTTTTCTGAATTTAAAGACTGTACAACTCAACACTAAAACAAAAACCAATCACCTAAGCAGAAAGCCAAATTTGTCAAAATGTCAACAATTGTTAAATATGGACAATGGACCAACAACGACAGACTGGATTAAGAAAATGTGGCACATATACACCATGGAATACTATGCAGCCATAAAAAATGATGAGTTCATGTCCTTTGTAGGGACATGGATGAAACTGGTAACCATCATTCTCAGCAAACTATCGCAAGGACAAAAAACCAAACACCGCATGTTCTCACTCACAGGTGGGAATTGAACAATGATAACACATGGACACAGAAAGGGGAACATCACACACTGGGGACTGTTGTGGGGTGGGGGGAGGGGGGAGGGATAGCATTAGGAGATATACCTAATGTAAATGACGAGTTAATGGGTGCAGCACACCAACATGTCACATGTATACATATGTAACAAACCTGCACGTTGTGCACATGTACCCTAAAACTTAAAGTATAATAATAAAATAAAAAAAAATGGACAATGGATATATGGTTATTAACTGTATTATTCATTCAACTTCTTTTGAAAATATTCATGATAAAAAGTGGAAGGGAAAATCCCAGGCCTCTGTGTATGTAAGTTTGGAGTACCAACTTATATTATCTATGATATATGTAATTTTGGAGTACAAACTTATATGACTTAGGATATAAAGGAGACTCTGAGCCAGGAATTTAACTTAAAATTAGGTCTCAATCTGATAATAACCCTGAGGACTTAGAAAAGGCAAATGCAAAACCACTCCAAAGAAATACTCCCACAACTGAGGTAGAACAGGATTGCCCATAAGGAAAACACACTAAAGACAAACTCACAACTAAAACTTAAACACATGACAACACATGAAAAAAAAAGATAGTAAATAAATATATGAAAAGAGCACAATCTCACTGTAGTAAGAGAAATGAATATATTTTTCACCCAATATATTAACTAAATATTTTAAAAATAAACTGTTGACAAAATAGAGAAACAAACAGCCTCAGAATTTATATTAAGTATATGAATTAGGCAGAAGATAATATAGAAATAAATCTATCAAAATTTTAAATGTTGGGGGAGGGAGGAAGGGAGACAAGGGTTGACACATTACTGGATACTATGCTCACTACCTGAGTGATGGGATCAGTCATATCCCAAACTTCAGCATCACGCAATATACCCACGTAGGCCAGGTGCGGTAGCTCATGCCTGTAATCCCAGCACTTTGGGAGGCCAAGCTGGGCGGATCACCTGAGGTCAAGAGTTTGAGACCAGCCTGACCAACATGGAGAAACCCCATCGCTACTAAAAATACAAAATTAGACGGGCATGGTGGTGCATGCCTGTAATCCCAGCTACTCAGGAGGCTGAGGCAGGAGAATTGCTTGAACCCAGGAGGCGGAGACTGAGGTGAGCAGAGATTGCACCATTGCACTCCAGCCTGGGCAACAAGAGCAAAGCTCTGTCTAAAAAAAATAAATAAATAAAATACACACACACACACACACACACACACACACACACACACACATATACACACTCACATAACAAACCTGCACATGTACCCCCTGAGTCTAAAAAAAAAAGTTGAAGTTTTTTAAATTTTAATTAATCGCATTTCACCCACCAAGTCCATTTCTGGGGAATCTATCCTTTAAATTTTTCATTTAAGTATATATTATATGTAAAAGATGTTCAGTGTAAAATTTAGTGTCAAAAATGTCAGAAATGTTACTATCAACAAGGACAGTGGTTAAATATATTACGGTACATCCATACTTTAGAGAACCTGAATAGCTCTAAACATAAACTAAACATAAGCAAATACAAATGCATAGGCAAAGAAAGAACTTCAGAACATTATTAATTTTTTAAAAAATAATATAAACAATTTACATGTAATTTTTATTTTATTAAAGGATCTTTGCATAGGCAGATACACACAGAGAGAGAATGCTTTAAAAAATGTCTAGAAGGCCAGGTGCAGTGGCTCACACCTGTAATCCCAGCACTTTGGGAGGCTGAGGCAGGTGGACCATCTGAGGTCAGGAGTTCAAGGCCAGCCTGGCCAACATGGTGAAACCCTGTGTCCACTAAAAATACAAAAATTAGCCGGAGGTGGTGGTGCACGCCTGTAATCCCAGCTATTTGGCAGGCTGAGGCAGGAGAATTGCTTGAACCTGGGAGGCAGAGGTTGCAGTGAGCTGAGATCAGCCACTGCACTCCAGTGTGGGCAACAGAGCCAGAGTCTGTCTCAAAAAAAAAAAAAAAAAAAAGATGTTGGGCCAGGCGCGGTGGCTCACACCTGTAATCCCAGCCCTTTGGGAGGCTGAGGCAGTGGATCACAAGGTCAGGAGATAGAGACCATCCTGGCTAACACAGTGAAACCCCATCTATACTAAAAATACAAAAAATTAGCCAGGCATGGTGGTGGGCACCTGTAGTCCCAGCTACTCGGGAGGCTGAGGCAGGAGAATGGTGTGAACCTGGGAGACGGAGCTTGTAGTGAGCGGAGATCACACCACTGCACTCCAGCCTGGGCGACAGAGCGAGACTCCGTCTCAAAAAAAAAAAAAAGTGTCTAGAAAGATGCACACAAAATTATTGACAATGGTTTACTTTGCAGAAGGGACTGAGGAGAGAAAAGGGCAAGCAAGGGGGGCACTCACACTGTTCCATATACTTTATCATGTCTTTATCATGTGACAAACACTGTATTAGGAGTTAGGGGATGGGGGAAGGAAGGGACATGATTCCTAATTTAAAAACCTGATGTCTAATAGAGAAGCATGTAAATAAATAATTTCAATACAATGGGAGAAGCACAAGACCCCGTTATACACTGTGCAGTGGTGGCACAAAAGAGAAAGAAGAGATGGTTTCTGCTTGAGCTTATGAGGAAAGGTTCTGTAGTGGATGAACAGGAACTTGGGAAAAAAGTATTTGAGGCAGAAAGACCAAAGGACGTAAAGGCACTGTAGTATGAAATAGTGCAGCATATAATTAGATCGGTCTGGCTGGAATATTAACACAAATATGGAGGTTTCCTTTTTATAAAATGAAGGTACAGAGGTAGGCCACAATCAATTCATTAATTATTATCTTTGACACTAGCATGTTGTCACTTTAGGTACAAATTAGTAAAGTTTTTTTTAACCTCTCTATGCCTCTGTGTCCTCGCCTGTGAAATATGGATAACCATATTTCACCCCAGAGGGTAAGAATTAAGAAATCCCAGAAGTAAGAATCCCAGGGGTTTGTGTGAAGATTGAGTGAGACAATCTTTATAAAGCACTTCCCCTAGCAAATGATCGGTGCTCAAAAAATACAGGATAAGAAGACAGTTGGTTTGGGGTTTCTTACTTATGTGAAAAGGTATATACTATAAAAGCTATAAAAGGGGTTGAGCAGGATTACAAAGACAGAATAAGAATTTAAATCCTTACTATGGAATCAGTCTGAAATATGTTTCAGAAGCATGTCTCCCTGTCATCCCTTACTCCCCGTTTCTCCTCTATCAGATGACTCTTCCTACTTCCTGCCCCAATCTTGGGGCATCTACCTCACTTCTAAGACAATAAAAAAAGAACTCCTGTCATTTCGCCCTTACACCATCCCATTACACACCTGGAGAGCCAGAATTAGAAGCAGTACTAGTACCAGCAACAAATATTTAAACGGCACTTACCATATTCCAGGCCCTGTTCTAGGGACTTCAATTACTTTATATATTTTTTAGAGACAGTGTCTCACTCTGTCACCCCAAGCTGGAGTACAGTGGCACCATCATAGCTCACTGTAACCTCAAAATCCTGGGCTCAAGCGATTCTCCCACCGTAGGCTCCTAAAGCACTGGCATTACAGAAGTGAGCCACCATGGCCAGCTAAGCAATTTAATTTTAAAATTTGTTTTAAAGTCACAATATTCCATAGGTACTATTTTAATTTCGTATATGAGGAAACTGAGGCAAACAAAGTTTAACTAATTTTTCCAAGGTCAAAAAGCCAGTAAGTGGCAGAGACAAATTTTGTAGCAAAGTAGTCTGTCTTCTCCCAAATCCATGTTCCTGACCACTACTCTTTACTGCCCATTAATCCTCTATTATGGGTGGAGCTAGGAGGAGGGGGTGTCATTAAAATTAAGTATATTCCCCATTCAAGTATTTATTAAAGTATTAAAGTATGAAGAAGGGATCATTTGGTACTTCATTTTCTGCCTGCCCAAACAGCTATTTTTCTACATTCTCAACAAACTTTGGATCAGTTACAGGCTTAGACCAGACTAAATGCCCCCATCCAGTCTTCATTTCTTTCTTTTTAAATGCTTCCCCTGTTCTCGTCCTATCTTAGATTGTTGAAAAAGAAAATAAAAAATAAAAAACAAATGCTTCCCCTGCCACCAGGAGTCTGAGCAAATTCCTACAACTATTTCAGTTGCTAGGAGGAGCATGCCCTCTAGTGGTCGCATGCTAATATGCAGCCAGATGCAGCACTGACACAAAGTGCTTCAATGACTTTTTTTTCCAATAATAGGTACGTTGGCAGAATACAAATAGTAGGAACAAAGAAAATGTTGAAAAGCAAGTCAAAAAATCCATAGTGGGTCTTAATGCATTATTTTGTTTAATTGAGGGGATGATGTTATCCTTAGATTGATGGGGCAGAACATGAAGTCACAATGGACAATTATTTCACTACTGGCTCAGATGCAGGCAATTTAAGTATACCAGAGCTTTTTTGAAAATATACCACCCTGTATTGTAGGTCTTTGAAAAGGAAACTGAAGATGACAGTTCTAGCAAAATTTTGAAATAAATGTCAAACCATAAAAATGCTGTGAAAACCATCTATATAAACCCAGGCTAAGGACCCACAAGTAAATAAAATTCTCCCTCTTTCCTTCCTTTGAATATGTGACTGATGGAGAATATGTGATTGATGGAGAACTCCTGAACATTAGTCCTATAGTCACATATGTATTTCCTTCATGTACAATTCAGAGGCAATTTAAAAAATGGTTTTTGAAAAGGCTACAAAAAAACTAAAACATGAGCAAAGTGCAATGCAATTTTAGCCACTTATAATTAAAATGAGACGGTAAACTACCAAATGTATCAGCAACTCTACTACATGGTACCTGGTGTTCCATCCCCAGGCCAAAAAGTCTATATACCAAAGTAAAATCTGTCTTCATTACTACTTACTTGGTTCTCTCATATTGACTGGCTCTGAAGCACAAAAATGAGATTTTCTTCACTCAAAACCATACAATTGCATGGAAATTAAACAACCTGCTCCTGAGTGACTTTTGGGTAAACAATAAAATTAAGGTGGAAATCAAGAAATTCTTTGAAACTAATGAGAAATATACAATATACCAGAATCTCTGGGACACAGCTAAAGCAGTTGTTAAGAGGGAAATTTATAGTGCTACATGCCCACATCAAAAGGTTAGAAAGATCTCAAATTAACAACCTAACACCACTCCTAGAGGAACTAGAGAAACAAGAGCAAACCAATCCCAAAGCTAACAGAAATCAAGAAATAACCAAAATCAGAGCTGAACTGAAGAAACTGAGTAGCAAAAAGCCATACAAAAGATCAAGAAATCCCACAGTTTGTTTTTTAAAACAACAAAGATTAATAGACCACTAGCTAGACTAATAAAGGAAAAAAAAAAAAAGCAGAAGATCGATATAAATACAATCAGAATGACAAAAAGGGCATTACCATTGGCCCCACAGAAATACAAAAAACCCTCAGAGACTATTATGAACACCTCTATGCACACAAACTAGAAAACCTAGAAAAACTAGAAATGGACAAATTCTTGGAAACATGCAACCTCCCAAGATTGACCCAGGAAGAAATTGAATCCCTGAACAGATCAATAACAAGTTCTGAAACTGAATCAGTAATAAAAAGCCTACCAACCAGAAAAGGCCCAGGACCAGGTGGATTCACAGCCAAATTCTACTGGATGTATAAAGAAGAGGTTCCTGCTGAACTATTCCTACTGAAACTGTTCCAAAAATTTGAGGAGGAAGGACTCATCGCTAACTGATTCTCTGAAGCCAGTATCATCCTGATTCCAAAACCTGGCAGAGACAGAATAAAAAAGGAAACCAGGTCAATATCCTTGATGAGCATAGATGCAAAAATCATCAACAAAATACAAGCAAACCAAATCCAGTAGCACATCAAAAAGTTAATCCACCATTATCAAGCAGGCTTTATCTCTGGGATGCAAGGTTGGTTCAACATACACAAATCCATGAATGTAATTCACCACATAAAGAAAACTAAAAACAAAAGCCACACAATCATCTAAATAGATGCAAAAAAAGGCTTTTGATAAAATTCAACATCTCTTCATGTTAAAAACCCTCAACACACTAGGCATTGAAGGAATATACCACAAAATAATAAGAACCATCTATGACAGACCCACAGCCAACATCATACTGAATGGGCAAAAGCTGGAAGCATTCTCCTTGAGAACTGGAACAAGACACGGATACCTACTCTCACCATTCCTATGCAACATAGTACTGGAAGTTCTAGGCAGGACAATCAGGCGAGAGAAAGAAATAAAAGGTATCCAAATAGTAACAGAGGAAATCAAATCATCTGTTTGCAGATGAGATGATTCTATACCTAGAAAACCCACAGTCTCTGCCCAAAAGCTTCTAGATCTGATAAACAACTTCAGTAAAGTTTCAAGATAGAAAATCAGTGTACAAAAATCCAACGTCCAAGCTGAGAGGCAAATCAAAAATGTAATTCCATTCAAAATGCCACAAAAAATAATCATAAAATAAAATACCTCGGAATACAGCTAACCAGGGAGGTAAAAGATCTCTACAGCAAGTATTACAAAACACTGCTCAAAGAAATCAGAGATGACACAAGCAAATGGAAAAATATTCCATGCTCATGGATAAGAAGAATCAATATTGTTAAAATGGCCATACTGCCCAAAGCAATTTATAGATTTGATGCTATTCCTATCAAACTACCAATGACATTCTTCACAGAATTTTTTTAAAACTATTCTAAAATTCATATGGAACCAAAAAAGAGCTCAAATAGCCAGGGCAATCCTGAGCAAAAAGAACAAAGCTGGAGGCATTGTGTCGCCTGACTTCAAACTATACTACAAGGCTACAATAACCAAAACAGCATGGTACTGGTACAAAAACAGACACATAGACCAATGTAACAGAATAGAGAGTCCAGAAATAAAGCTGCACACCTACAACCATCTTATCTTTGACAAAGTTGACAAAAACAAGCAATGAGGAAAGGACTCCCTATTCAATAAATGGTGCTGGGATAACTAGCTAGCGATATGCAGAAGATTGAAACTGGACCCCTTCCTTATACCGCATACAAAAATCAACTCAAGAGGGATTAAAGACTTAAATATAAAACATAAAACTATAAAAACCCTGAAAGATAACCTAGGAAATATCATTCTGGACATAGGAATGGGCAAAGATTTCATAAAGAATATGCCAAAACCAATTATGACAAAAACAAAAACTGACAAATGAAACCAAATTAAACTAAAGAGCTTCTGGACAGCAAAATAAACTATTCACAGAGTAAACAGACAACCAACAGAATGGGAGAATATATTTGTAAACTATGCATCTGACGAAGATCTGATATCCAGAATCTATAAACAGCAAATTAACAAGCAAAAAACAAACAACCCTTTAAAAAGTGGGCAAAGGACAAGAACAGGCACTTTTCAAAAGAAGACACATGGCCAACAAGCATATGAAAAATTGCTCAACATCAGCCGGGCACGGTGGCTCATGCCTGTAATCCCAGTACTTTGGGAGGCTGAGGCGGGTGGATCATGAGGTCGGGAGTTTGAGACCAGCCTGGCCAAGATGGTGAAACCCCGTCTCTACTAAAAATACAAAAAACTTAGCCAGCCGTGGTGGCACACACCTGTAGTCCCAGCTACTTGGGAGGCTGAGGCAGGAGAATTGCTTGAACCTGGGAGGTGGAGGTTGCAGTGAGCCGAGATCGTGCCATTGCACTCCAGCCTGGGTGACAAGAGCGAAACTCCATCTTAAAAAAAAAAAAAAAGAAAAGAAAAATTGCTCAACATCACTAATCATTAGAGAAACACAAATCAAAACCACAATAAGATACCATCTCACACCAGTCAGAATGGCTATTATGAAAAAGTCAAAATAACAGCTGTTGATGAGGCTGCAGGAAAAAGGGAACACTTATACACTGCTGGTGGGAACATAAATTAGTTCAGCCATTGTAGAAAGTAGCGTGGTGATTTCTCAAAGAACTTAGAACTACCATTCAACCCAGTAATCCCATTATTGGGTATATACCCAAAGGAATATAAATCATTCTACCATAAAGACACATGTATGCCGCATACGTATGTTCACTGAAGCACTATTCACAATAGCAAAGTCGTGGAATCAACCTAAATGCCCATCAATGGTAGACTGGATAAAGAAAATGTGGTATATATACACTATGGAATACTATGCAGCCATAAAAAAAGAAAAAGAACATGTCCTTGGCAGCAACATAGATAGAGCTGGAGGCCATAAACCTAAGTGAACTAATGCAGGAATAGGAAACCAAATACCACATGTTCTCACGTGTGAATGAGATCTAAACATTGCATACATATGGACACAAAGAAGGGAACAACAGACATTGGGTCCCTGAGTGGGGAGGGGGAGAAGGGAGAGGATTGAAAAACTACCTATCAAGTACTATGCTTATTACCCAGGCGACAAAATAATCTGTATATCCAACCCCCATGACATGCAATTTACCTATATAATAAACCTGCATATATACCTCTGAATCTAAAATAGAAGTTTTTTAAAAAAAGAAAGAAAAGGTGCAGGGAAACATCAAAGATATGGTGGAGAAGGCAGGGATGGTTTGATTGTTTCTTGAAGAGAATCAACTGTCCTGTATTAGGATTCATGGAGAAGCCAGCCGTAGGCTTTCGTATGCACAGAAGCACCCAAATGGCTTGATTTGTAATTATGACCACAGAAACCAATTTATTTGCAAGGCATAAAGTACTTGTTTGCCATCCTAAATACAGAGGAAAAATGGGGAAAATGCACTGGAATGAAAAAAGGAAAATGGAATTTAATTTATTCTGAGGTGGCTTACAATTCAAGGTAAGACCAAGTATTTGTCACAACTGGTGTATCTCATCTAGAAAACATTTAAGGTAATGGACTGGCCTTTCTAAAATGTACTGACCTAAAAAAAAAAAAAAATGAGATTTTCTGCCACTATGGCAAAGCATATAAGGAATACTTAAGTCATGTAGCCAGGAGCAACCCAAATGAAAATGAGTAAAATACAGAAAACACTCAACTTACCAACTTCTAGTCCCTCCTCACTGAAATCACTGTTAATTCCACAAGTACTTCATGAGCATGTACTATCTAGAAAGGTGTATGGGAAGTACTGCAAGTACATAAAAATGAAGACATACATGGTCTTTATATTCAAAGAGCTTAAAACAAGTGAGGAAGAGAATTTCAACAGCAACACTCCCCACCCCTTGCCCCCTCAAATAAACAGATCACCTTTCAGATTGGAAGGATAGGTAAACATTTCATGAAGTAGTATTTGGGCGAGCATTACACAATGGGAAGGACCTCAACAGGCAGGTATAAAAGGGAAGGTATTCTAGGCAGAAAAAATTTTAATTTAGCAAGCACTCAATACTTGTGGCATATGAAAAACAACTAGTGGGGCTGGGTGCAGTGGCTCACGCCTGTAATCCCAGTACTGGGGACGCCAAGGCAGAGGGATCATGAGGTCAGGAGATCAAGACCATCCTGGCTAACATGGTGAAACCCTGTCTCTACTAAAAATACAAAAAATTAGCCAGGCGTGGTGGCGTGCCCCTGTAGTCCCAGCTACTCGGGAGGCTGAGGCAGAAGCCGGTGTGAAGCCGGGAGGCAAAGCTTGCAGTGAGCCGAGATCATGCCACTGCCCTCCAGCCTGGGCGACAGAGTGAGACTCCGTCTAAAAAAAAAAAAAAAAAAAAAAAAAAAAACAACAGAAAGAAACAAAGAAACAACTAGTAGTTCTTAAGTTTGTTAAAGCACATTGTGAGTCAATGGGAAAACTGAGTTGAAGATGAAATTATATTTTGGACTTTATAAGCAAAGAAGAATTATTAAAGGCAATTAATAGGAGAGTAAAAAACATGAGCAGAGCTTTGTTTCACAAACATTACTTTGGGGTTAACATGTAAGCTGAATTAGAACTAAAAAAGCCATTGGCAAGCAGACTGCCTAGGAGGTTATCAGAATGGAGGAAGTGAGGAGTAATACAGGCTCACATTATAACAAGACAAGTAGTATCAAATATAATTAAGGGGAGTTGAGCTAGAAAATTGATTGTCCACATTTTTTTTCCCAAACAAAAACTTAAGGTCTAAGATATACCTCTGTCAATAGCAGTGCCTCAAAATCTCAGTAATGATAAGAAAAGACGCAGTTCAGGAAGTCTCTTAAGTCCTCCTACAGGAAGGCAAAAGCGGGAGGTATATCAGAATCTCTGAAGAAAGCAGTATGTGTTACTTTTTACATATACATATATATATCTTTTTTCCAGCTTTATTGAGGTATGGTTGACAAATAAAAATTATATATATTTAGAATATACAATGTGATATTTTAATATATGTATACATTGTGAAATGATTACAATTAGGCTAATAAACGTATCCATTACCTCACGTAGTTACTTGTGTGTGTGGTGAGAACACTTGAGATCTACTCTCTTAGCAAATTTCAGGTATGCATTATTATTAACTATAGTTACCATCCTGTACATCAGGTCTCGGTGCTTATTCATCTTATAGCTGAAGGTTTGTACCCTTTGACCATTATCTTCCTTCTTCCCTGACCTCCTAGCCTGGGTAACCATGATTCTACTGGGTTTCTGTGAGTTTAACTTTTTCTAGATTCCACTTGTAAGTGAGATCATGCATTATTTATCCGTCTGGCTTATTTCATTTAGTGTCTTCTGCAAACAAAGACAATTTTATTTCTTCCTTTCTGATTTGAATGCCTCTTATTTCTTTTTCTTGCCTGATTGCTCTGGCTAAGTCTTCCAGCACTATGTTGAATAGAAGTAGTGAGTGGGCATCCTTGTCTTTTTCCTAAATTAGAGGAAAAGCTTTCAGTTTTTCACCACGGACAATAATGTTAGTTCTGGGCTTGTGATATATGGCCTTTATTGTGTTGAAGTAAGTTCTTTCTATATCTAAATTGTAGGGTATTTATCACAAAAGAATGTTGAATTTAGTTAAATGCTTTTTCTGCATCTATTGAGATGATATGGCCTTTGTCCTTCATTCTGTTAAGACAGTTTATCACATTTGATTTGTGTGTGTTGAACCATCCTTGCATCCAAGGGATAAGTCCCACTTGATCATGGTGTATAATCTTTTAACAGGCTCTATTAAATATACTAGCCAAATTCAGTTGGCTAGTATTTTGTTGAGGATTTTGCATCTGTGTTTATCAGGGATACTGGGATGTAATTTTCTTGTAGTGTCCTTATCTGGCTTTGGTATCAGGGTAATGCTGACCCTGTAAAATGAATTTGAAATTATTCCCTCCTCTTCAATTTTCTGGAAGAGTTTGAGAAGGATTGGTATTAGTTCTTTCTTTTTAATGTAGGAGAAAAGGCATATAAATTTCATTTATTTCTGCTCTTTTTTTTTTTTTTTTTTTTGAGATGGAGTCTCACTCTGTCACCCAGGCTGGAGTGCAATGGCACAGTCTCGGCTCAGTGCAACCTCCGCCTCCTGGATTCAAGCAATTCTCCCGCCTCAGCCTCCCGAGTAGCTGGGACTACAGGCGCGTGCCACCACACCCAGCTAATTTTTGTATTTTTAGGAAAGACAGGGTTTCACTATGTTGGCCAGGCTCGTCTCGAACTCCTGACCTCGTGATCCACCTGCCTCGGCTTCCCAAAGTGCTGGGATTACAGGCGTGAGCCACTGTGCCTGGCCTGTTACTTCTTTCTTTCTGCTAACTTTAGGCTTTGGCTAGTTCCTGTAGGTGTAACATTAGCTTGTTTGAGATCTTTCTTTTTTCTTAATGGAGGTATAAACTTCCCTTTTAGAACTACTTTTGCTGCATCCCATAAATTTTGATATGCTGTGTTTCCACTTTAATTTGTCTCAAGATATTTTTTTCTTTTTTGATTCTTTGACCCATCGATTGTTCAGGAAACTTTTTAATTTCCACATGTTTGTGAATGTTCTGGTTTTCATCCTGTTATTGATTTCTAATTTCAGACTATTATAGTCAAAAGATACTCAATATGATTTCAATCTTAAATTTGTTAAGACTTGTTTTGTGACCAAACATATTTATACTGGAGAACATTCCACGTGCACTTGAGAAGCATATGTATTCTGCTGCTGTTGAATAAATGTTGTGTATATGTCTCTTAGGCCCATATTGTCTGAAGAGCAGCTCAAGTTCAATGTTTCCTCTTTGATTTTCTGTCTGATCTATCCATTGTTGAAAGTGGGGTATTCTATTGCTGTCTATTTCCCTCTTCAAGTCTGTTAAGAGGGCTGTTCTGCCATTCTTTTGTTCCTTTACTTTCTTAATAAACTTGCTTTCACTTTTAAAAAAAATCTGTTATTTGCTTTATATATTTTGATGCTCCAATCATCTTGATGAATTTACCTCTTTGGGCCAGGCACAATGGCTCACACCTGTAATCCCAGCACTTTGGGAGGCTGAGGTGGGTGGATCACTTGAGGTCTGTAATTCAAGACCAGCCTGGCCAACACGGTGAAAACCCATCTCTACTAAAAATACAAAAATCAGCCGGGCGTGGTGGTACATGCCTGTAGTCCCAGCTTCAGGAGGCTGAGGCAGGAGAATCACTTGAACCCAGGAGGCAGAGGTTGCAGTGAGCTGAGATCATACCACTGCACTCCAGCCTGGGCAAGAGGGAGATTCTGTCTCAAAGAAAAAAAAAAAAGAATTTACCTCTTCAACGTTTATGTAATGACCGTGTCTCTTGCTCTTGTTATAGCTTTTGACTTAAAGTCTATTTTGTCTGAAATACATACAGTATTCCCCCCTTATCCTGAGGGAATACATTCCAAGATCCCCCTTGGATGCCTGAAACCACAGATGGTACTGAACCCTATATACATTATGTTTTCTCCTATATATACACCTATGATAAAGTTAAATTTATAAATTAGGCACAGCAAGAGATTAACAATAAGTAATAATAAAATAGAATAAATATAACAATATGCCAGAGTCACCACTCTTGTGCTTTGGGGCCACTATTAAGTAAAATAAGGGTTAACTGAATTTGTACAAGCATTGCAATACCACAACAATCTGATAACTGAGAGGACTATCAAGTGTCAAATAGGTAGGTAATGTATATAGAATGGACACATTGGACAAAAGGATGATTCACATCCAGGGCAGGGCAAAGGAATATGGTGTGAGATTTCATCACACTACTCAACTGTGTGCCACTATTTTTTTTTTTTTTTTTTTTGAGACGGAGTCTCGCTCTGTCGCCCAGGCTGGAGTGCAGTGGCGCGATCTCGGCTCACTGCAAGCTCCGCCTCCCAGCTTCACGCCATTCTGCCTCAGCCTTCCGAATAGCTGGGACTACAGGTGCCCGCCACCACGCCCGGCTAATTTTTTCTATTTTTTAGTAGAGACGGGGTTTCACCATGTTAGCCAGGATGGTCTCGATCTCCTGACCTCATGATCCACCCGCCTCGGACTCCCAAAGTGCTGGGATTACAGGGGTGAGCCACCGCGCCCGGCCCCCAGTGTGCCACTTTTAAACTTATGAATAATTTTTGTAATTTTCCAGTTAGTATTTTCAAAGCACAGTTGACTGCAGGTAACTGAAAGCACAGAAAACAAAACCTCAGATAAGGAGGGACTATATAGTAATATAGCTACCCCTGCCCTCTTTTGGTTTCCATTTGCATTAAATATCTGTCTCCATGCCTAACTTTCAGTCTCTATGTGTCCTTAAAGGTGAAGTGATGCTCTTGTAGGCAGGATACAGTTGAGTCTTGTTTTTTTAATTCATTTAGCCACTCTGTCTTTTGATTGGAGAATGTAATCCATTTTGCATTCAAAATAATCATTAATAGGTAAGGACTTACTGCTGCCATTTTTCAAATTGTTTTTTGATTGTTTTGTGGGCCCTTTGTTCCTTTCTTCCTCTCTTGCTCTATTCCTTTGTTATTTGATGATTTTCTATAGTCCTTTGATTGTTCTCTTTATCTTTTGTGTATCTACTATAGTTTTTGCTTTGTGGTTACCATGAGGTTTACATAACACTTTTTAACAGTTTATTTTAAGCTGATAATTTAAATCACATACAAAAACTCTGCACTTTAACTTTCCCTCCCATATATATTTTTTGTTTTGTTTGAGACAGGGTCTTACTATGTTGGCCAGGTTCGTCTTGAACTCCTGGTCTCAAGCAATACTCCCACCTCAGCCTCCCAAAGTGCTAGGATTACAGGCGTGAGCCACCACACCCAGCCACATTTTGTTTTTGATACCAATTTTCATATTTTCATACTGTGTATCCACTAACAAATTACTGTAGCTATAGTTTTATGGTTTTGGGGGGGTTTTGTTTGTTTTTTTTGGAGATGGAGTCTCACTGTCACCCAGGCTGGAGTGCAGTGGTGTAATCTTAGCCCACTGCAACCTCTGCCTCCCAGGTTCAAGTGATTCTCCTGCCTCAGCCTCCAGAGTAGCTGGGATTACAGGCACCCACCACTACGCCCAGCTAATTTTTGTATTTGTAGTAGAGACAGGGTTTCACCATGTTGGCCAGGCTGGTCTCGAACTCCTGACTTCTGGTGATCCACCCGCCTCAGCCTCCCAAAGTGCTAGCATTATAGGTATGAGCCACCATGCCCAGCCTTGATTCATGTTTTTTGTTTTTTCTTTTGAGAGAGTCTCATTTTATCATCCAGGCTAGAGTACCATGGTACAATCACAACTCACTGCAGCCTCGTCCTCCCAGGCTCAAGTGACCCTCCCACCTCGGCCTCCCAAGTAGCTAGGACTACAGGCACATGCTGCCATGCCCAGCTAATTTTTAGATTTTTTGTAGAGATAAGATCTCGCTATACTGCCCAGGCTGGTCTTGAACTGGCTTCAACCAATCTTCCCACCTTAGCCTCTCAAAGTGCTGGAATTACAGGAGTAAACCACCAACCACATCTAGCTAATTTATCTCCTGTGGCAATCACTGAACAAGAACTCCCAAGACCTTTTCTGGTTTCCAAAGTCTGTGGTTCTGACCTTAGTTATTTCTCTTATACTGATCCCTTTCATTTCTGCTGATTACAGTTAAGATATAAGAGGTGGCCTAGATCATGAAGATAATTTGAAGCAAATTAAATTAACTGTACCAGAAAATAAATAATGAATATTCATTGATTACACAGAGTGCTCTGTCATTTTAGAACCATGAACACAGAGGTCTAGTCTCAACTTCTTAAAAGCCTTATTTCTTAATAAAGAGTGATATAAATATCCTTTATTAACTACTGGTCCACTTATATTTGGTCAATTAAATTTAAAAGGTAATCAAATAAGCAAATTAAAAGATAAAAGAGACACTTTTTTCATATTTTTAATTACCATTATTGCACCAATACAGCATACACTTTATATACATATATCTTAAACATTTTCCATTTTTCAGGAATTCAAATACATAATATATTATCATCTCAAGAATACAAAGAACACAACATGGAGGAAGATTGAGAAAATAGGTTCCCAGTATTTAGTCACTAGTGATTCCACAGACTTTCCTTTTAGTGTTTTCTATTGGAATTTTAACATGTCCTGCTATGGCTCTGCAAGAATAGAGCTGCCTGGAAAAGGAGGCAATGAAAAGAAAATGGACCCAAAGTCAGAAAAAGTGAAGAAGAGAATCCAGGAAAGTAATATATTTTGAAACTAAACATAAGGACTCCCTTCGGCCAGAGTGTACATACCCAATAGGTGCAAAAAGGAAGCAATGATATCTTCCCATTTCATCCTCAAAATTGCTCGTTTAGAAACAAAATAGAAAGTACCCATTCACCTAAGAAGCAGAACTTTTTTCACAGCATTGTAATAGGAATGGCAGGGCAGAGGGAAAGGAAAGTAGTGGGAGAACAACTTGCTTTTAAGATACCCTGGGTGACAGGTATCAAAGCCTTGGGCAAAACCTGTCACAGTAAAGCTGTGACTCTCCAACTTCCTTCACAAATGACAATATACATAATAGCAGCTTTCTATTAAAGAACTACATGAACTGAAAAGAAATGTTTATGGAAAGGGGCCAGATACCCAGGCAGCAAGGCAATGAGGATACTAAACAAGAGTTAAGTGCTTTCAACCTCTCTGCTCTACAGATCAGGTTAAAAACTCTAAACCCTTCAACTTTAGGTCAAAGAACAGGGCAAATACAAATTAATGCCATGCTTCAAATGCAGCAACCAGATGGAGCTGCAAGAAATTAAACACTCCTATAGACTATCACTTGGAAAGCACAGCCTCTTGAACCTCCTTCATTACAGATACACCCACTGATCAAAGATGTTAACACAATTCAAACTCAACAAACAGAAAAGAGTAGTGGAGGTGCCACCAACACAACCCTCTTATCATAGAAAGAGACATGTAAACACACAAGAGGGTGATGGAGCTGCACCCAGCACTGGATGTTCACTGAGCACAATAAGCCTGAAGGAGACTACACAGCAGAGACCCAGGAAATAGGTCTTTCTCCATATCTACCCCTATCAAAATTCTGAATTTGTAAACACTGAGGTCAGCCTGTCCATTTTTAGTCCTGGGTTAGTGGAGAAGGAAGTTGCAAGGTTTTTGACTCCCCTGAAATTGCTAAATAGGGCTTCACAAAGAGGCACACAAGGGTCATGAGATGATTTTGAAATAAGTTAAAGAAATTAAAAGATGAGACAAATTTTACAGATGTTAGAGGTCATTCCCCCTCAAACAGACGCTGGCCTTTTAAGCCCTGCATAGTCAGCCAAAACTATGATAAGATCCACTAGTCCCCTACCTTGGTACTACGCAGGAGATAACAGATACTTTCTTGGCTGTACAAGTAACAACACAGGGGAGTGACATAAACCAGCTTGAATGTGATGGAGAAGCTATGAAAAAGATTGTCCAGTCATTCTGGTTCTGGGGAGGAAATGGGTTCCTAACTTCCCTCACAGATTGGTGCCCTCAAGGTCATTTTTATTCCTCAAGTCTGTCCTTAATGTCCTGCCAATGCCATTCAGAACTGGACCCAGTTGGATGGCTGTGGTGCCTGGTTTGGAACAGAGCTGCAAGACAGGAGAACAGAGAAAGCCAGAGACATAATATTAGGATAACAACTCCATTCTTTACTTAATAGTTTCTAAGAAATCACTGCCTAGAATTTCCAAAACCACACTTCATGGCAATTCTACTTACAAAGGCCTGAAATATCCCACTCAAACCTCATCCTACAGCTTTTTTGTCCCCCCATTCCCAGCACTACTATATTTCCTTCACTAGAACTCTTCCAAAAGACTCTATGTGACCTGCATATCCATTGCTTCTCCAGATCAAAGATTTCAATTGACTGTACATATCTCCTACACCCTGATTGAGAGTATGCTAGTTTCACTATGCCCATTACCTGGAGGCAGTGCTGAAGTCTCCCCACAAGTCATTGCTTACAGAAACTGGAGTTGGTGCTGGTGTCGTGACAGGAGCAGGAGAATCCAAATCTAAAAGGATATCTAAACACAAGGTAAGAAAAGAAAAAAGAAAAACATAATCAAAATCTTGGAAGGGCCGGGCGCGGTGGCTCACGCCTGTAATCCCAGCACTTTGGGAGGCCGAGGCGGGTGGATCATGAGGTCAGGAGATCGAGACCATCCTGGCTAACAAGGTGAAACCCCGTCTCTACTAAAAATACAAAAAATTAGCCGGGCGCGGTGGCGGGCGCCTGTAGTCCCAGCTACTCGGGAGGCTGAGGCAGGAGAATGGCGTGAACCCGGGAAGCGGAGCTTGCAGTGAGCCGAGATTGCGCCACTGCAGTCCGCAGTCCGGCCTGGGCGACAGAGCGAGACTCCGTCTCAAAAAAAAAAAAAAAAAAAAAAAATCTTGGAGATGAGAATTTATGTTTGCACAAAAATCTGTATACAAATGCCACGGCAGCTTTATTCATAATGGTCAAAAACTGTAAACAACCTAGATGTCATTCCATGGGCAATAGTTACACACACTGGTATATCCATACCATGGAATACTATTCAGCAATAAAAAGAAACAGACTATTGACACACAACTTGAATGAATCTCAAGGGAATTATGCTGAGTGGGAAAAGCCTGTCCCAAAGGTTACATGCTGTATGATTCCTTTCATAGAACATTCCTGAAGTGACAAAATTATAAAGATGGAGAACAGACTGGTGATTGCCAAGCGTTAGGAATGGGGGAAGAAAGGATGAGAGGGAGATGGGTGTGGTTGTGTAAGGTTGACACAGGGGATCTTTGTAGTGATTAAACTGTTCTATAACCTGAAATGATGGTGGATCCATGAACCTACACATGACAAAACTGCAAAGAACTGGCCAGATGCAGTGGCTCACACCTGTAATCCCAGCATTTTAGGGGGCCAAGGCAGGAGGATCACTGAAGTCCAGAAGTTCAAGGCCAGCCTGGGCAACGTAGTGAGACTCTGTTGCTACAAAAATTAAAAAATTAGCTTGGTGTGGCAGTGTGCACCTGTAGTCCCAGATGTTTGGGAGGCTGACGCAGAAGGATCTCTTGAGCCCAGGAGTTTGAGGCTGCAGTGAGCTATGACTGCACCACTGTACTCTAGCCTGGGCAACAGTGTGAGACCCTATCTCAAAAAATAACAAAAAATCCTGCATAGAACTAAATATACAGATCCACACAAATATACACAGATGAGAACATGTAAAATGGTGTAAGCTGAGTAAGATGAGAAAGTGGTATCAACATCAATTTTTCATTTGTGATACTTGACAATAGTTCCACAAAATATTACCAATTGAGGGAAACTGGGAAAAGGGTAAACAGGATCTCTTCATATTATTTCTTACAACTGCATGTTAATCTACGATTATCTCAAAATAATAATTTAATTTAAAAAAAATCTTAGATACTATCCCCAGTGGCTTCTGGCAACACTTACCAAAAGAAGCAGGCTATAATATTTTCACCTCAAAAATTCCAGAAAGAGAAAGCTTACCCTTAGTAATCAATTCAACAAATTATCTGCACTGTCCAATACATTAAGTTAAAATTCTCAGATTCTAAGACACAGTTCTCTAATCTCAGAAAAATTCTTTTCTCAGTTCCAATGCTCTCATTTTTCAAATGAGAAGATATAACCATATTTATTCTTTCTCCCACCAAACAGAAAGAAAGAATGAAAGTGTATGGACAAACCTAGATATCTTCTTTTCTCCCAATTGCTCTTGTGAAGAAATGGGAAAGTTTAATAACATTTACTAAATGCCTACTATGTTCCAAGTGCTATGCTAGGTGCTGTCAATCATTTAACCCTCATGACCTTGGGGTGGTAATTATTTTATTTTATCTATTTATTTATTTATTTATTTTTGTTTGTTTCTTTGTTTTTTTATGAGACAAGGTCCCACTCTGTCACCCACACTGGAGTACAGTGGCACAATCATGGTTCACTGCAGCCTCCCAGACTCAAGCCATCCTCCCACCTCAGCCTCCCAAATAGCTGGGTCTACAGGCGTGCACCACCACGTCCAACTAATGTTTGTATTTTTTTTGTAGAGATGGGATTTCATCATGTTGCCCAGGCTGATCTCAAACTCCTAAGCTTAAGCAATCCACCCACCTCAGCCTCCCAAAGTGCTGGGATTACAGGCATGAGCCAAGGTCCCCGCTGGGGTGGTTTTACATCTCCAGTTTGTAGATAAGGCAATTGAAACTCAAAAAACTTAAGTAATGTTTACCAAGCACATTCAAATATAAAGTAGCAGAGCCATGACCAAAATCTTGGTCCATCTGACTCAAAAGCTTATAAGCATCTAACCAAGAAAAAAATGAAGGAAATTGTCATTTTAATAAGCAAATATTTTCTGCCAAAGAACCTATGAGATACTATGACTCTTAGTTCACTAGAAAAGCTTTGATTCCTTGCTAGAAGCTGACAGAATCACCTTGTCAGTACCATGAGCTATTTCATAGCAAAAACATTAACTCTCCTTGACAAACAGGTGTTGCTTAATTAAAACATAAGATTGGATTTCTCAAAATTAGAAGTACTAGATTTACCTGCATCACTGCCTCCATGGTTAGATTTCGGAATGGGTGGTGGGGTGACATGATTGCTGATGGCAACTGAGGAGGATGGTGGGGGAATAGTGACTTTGCCTCCTGGCGGGGGTGGGAGTAAGCTCAGACCCCCACCCCTTGCAGTCCTGGGCTTAGAAGCACCTCCTTTCTTGTTTGTAATGTTCTACAAAAGAAAAAAAGAAGAGCAAGAGAAAGATGTCATAGGCTTATGGAAGCACAGGAAAACAAAATTTTTAAAAACCATACTCACCCCGATACACAACTTGATGGTTTGTCCTTCCTTGAAGCCCAGATCCAACTTAGGACGAGCATCCATTTCTTGAGATTCCTTGGAAATCTCAGATTCCTGCTTTACCCACCTTTGGGAACACAGCAAGTTATCTTAGTTTGAGATTTCCTGAAAGCAGAGTCTGACATACAAATTTGGGTGTATTTACTTTTATGAAATGAGATTCCAGAAAACACAGTGAGAGATAAAAAAGAGTGAGAAACAGAAGGGAAAAAAGCCAAGAAAGAAAACAACTGGGGTTCAATTCCACTGGGGACTCTCTGAGAAATCTCACGGAATACGTATTAGAATTGCCCCTTCCAGAAGGATGGTATTTAGCCACCAATTCCCATTCCCCACAGTTGAGGGCTGCTCCTGAGGGGGTGTTAGTTTCTTAGTCTTTCCAAGTTAAAGCTTGCTCTTAGCTTTCTATAACTTCAGAGAGTCCTAAGGCAGAAAAGGAGAGATATGCTTGCTCTTGAGGTAGGAAGCTGACAGTGTGCACAGTGCTGTCAACCACAGCTGCACCAAAATCAAGTGGGCTAAAGAAATGTTGCAAAAGTCACAAAACATGTCAGCTACATAAGGTAACAAGAGTGGCACACGACTCCCCACATAAAGCCCTGCTGTTACCATAGGCCTCCCTCTACCACCTAAAAGACGGGGCAAATTCGACAGAGCATCATTTCAAACTACTGCACAAGGGATCTGAAATATATTGCAGGCTATAAGGAAAGGAAACAGAATAGATACAAAGATGACCTAAGGAAACAAAAGTGAATGGGGAGATTTATATTCACAATGAAATAGTTTAAGAAACAAAGAAACCAGGAGGAAAAGAGATACTGCCCATTCATGTGAGAAGCAGCATTCCTATAAGCATTCAGCCTCGTAACTAAGGACAAGCTTCACTCACTTGAAGTGATCCTGCAAGGAGACATTAAAGTCGAAGGCATCTCCCCGATCTGTGAAGCCAATGCCAATGAAAGCACTGCGCCCTGTGGAAAACGTAGGAAGACTCGACTAGGAAGTATCCTCTATGGCAGGAGCCCCCAACCCCCGGCACCAGTCTGTGGCCTGTTAGAAACCAGGCCATGCAGCAGGAGGTGAGTTGCACACGAGAGAGCAAAGCTTCATTGTATTTACAGCCGCTCCCCGTCACTTGCATGACCACCTGAGCTCCGCCTCCTGTCAGATCAGTGGCAGCATTAGATTCTCAGAGGGGTGTGAACCCTACTGTGAACTGCACATGTGAGGGATCTAGGTTATGAGCTCCCTATGAGAATCTGATGCCTGATGATCTGTCACTGTCTCCCATCACCCCCGTCTAGTTGCAGGAAAACAAGCCCAAGGCTCCCGCTGATTCTACATTATAGTGAGTTGTATAATTATTTCATTATACATTACAATGTAATAATAATAGAAATAAAGTGTACAATAAATGTGATGCACTTGAATCATCCTGAAACCATCCCCTAATGCCGGTCTGTGGAAAACTGTCTTCCACAAAACGGGTCCCTGGTGCCAAAAAGGTTGAGGACTGCTGCTCTATGGCAAATTTTGCCCAATGAAAATATAACAGTCACCCTAACTAGACAAAGTCTGAATGTGAAATATCTTCTCATAGACCAAGAGTCGATAAACTACATAGAGCCCATGGGCTTTATCCTGCCATAGCCTGGTTTTGTAGAAGAAGTTTCATGGAACATAGTGGTATCAATGTGTTTACATATTTTCTACAGTGATTTCACACTACAACAGCAAAACTGAGTAGTTGCAACAGAGGCCACCTGACCTGCAAAACCTAAAACATTTATTATTTGTCTGTTTGCCAACCTCTGTTATAGACCATGGAGAAAAGAGTAAGAATGACTGCCCCACACGTAAGATGATTCAAGATAGTCCCACCAAAAACTACCACGAACAATAAACGGGCAAAAAGTGTTCATTCTTTTTTTTTTTTTTGAGATGGAGTTTTGCTCTTGTTGCCCAGGCTGGAGTGCAATGGCGTGATCTCGGCAACCTCCACTTCCCCAATTCAAGTGATTCTCCTGTCTCAGCCACCCGAGTAGCCGGGATTACAGGCACCTGCCACCACGCCTGGCTAATTTTTTATTTTCAGTAGCGACAGGGTTTCATCATATTGGTCAGGCTGGCCTCAAACTCCTGACCTCAGGTGATCCACCCACCTCGGCCTCCTAAAGTGCCAAATGTGTTAATTCATTTGTTAGATATGTGTTTTTCATTTATTTAAGTCTACATATGAATTACCACATCTTGAACTCGTGCTTATCTATTACAAATAACATGTTAATACTTTTCCTTTAGCAACTAGAGCAACTTTAGAGAAAGGGAAGAAAAAATGAAGTAAACCAAAGAAAGATAAATGCAATCGGAAACACTTTTCATGGCTGTGCATTCACCTGTTTTCCTAACTTCGTTCCACTCAAAATCCCAGTTCTCTTACCAGTACCATCCTGGATCCGGATTACAAAGTAGCGGCTAGAATCTGTCACCGTCTCCACAGCAATACCAGGATATTGTTCTACTGGTGCCTGAGCAAAGAGCTCCCCTGACAGATAAGAGAAAGACTTTTTTGAGTAAAGCAAGCCAAAATCCAGAACCCCAATTAACAAGTAGTATTTCCATTCCAGTCCCCAAATTGAAGGTACTTATAAAAGCACACCAAATTAATATTCTTAATGTTAGAGGGTCACCCGCAAAGATTACCTGAAACTTTATCCTCGAGTTTGATATAGGCAGTCTTCCCTTTTGAAGTGATTCGGAGGCGACCAGTCCAATCAGGCTGGTCTAATTTCCAGTCAGAGGCCCTAGGACAGGAAAAGAGGAAGCCTCAGGCACATGTCCTTAATTTACTAACGCCCACCCACAATCTTTGACTGTATTTCTATTTCCCTATCCTGGATTGCCTATTCTTTCTACCTATTAATCAACAAGAATAATTCATGATCTATTTAGATGCCTCATGTTACATACAGTCCAAAGCAAGTAAAAGACAATGCTACTACTTGAGGACTTTGGAGTCCAATAAGCATCATTAAAAAGATGGAAAAGCACGAATAAAAGCAATAAAAAATAAAATTCTGGCCGAGCATGGTGGCTCAAGCCTGTAATCCCAGCACTTTGGGAGGCCAAGGTGGGTGGATCACTTGAGGTCAGGAGTTTGAGACCAGTCTGGCCAACACGGTGAAACCCCGTCTTCTAAAAATACAAAAATTAGCTGGTTATGGTGGCGTGCGCCTGAAATCCCTTGGGAGGCTGAGGCAGAATCAACTGAACCTGGGAGGTGGAGGCTGCAGTGAGCCGAGACTGCGCCACCGCTCTCCAGCCTGGGCGACAGAACGAGACTTGGTCTCAAATAAAGAAATAAATAAAATTTCTCATAACGATGCTATTTTCAAACTATAGATGGTATACTAGATAACCATGCTTTACTAATCAGATAACAACAAAGTCTACTACATTAAATATCCTAGGTAATGGGAGCCCTCCCAAATCAGTAAATATACTATCTTTCACTGAATTCAATCAATATTTATACAGTACTTATTAGGACAGATGCATCACTGTTCCAGATGCTTAGGATACAACAGCAACCAAAACAAAGATTCCAACCCTCATGAGGCTTACATCCTAACAGAAGATAGAAAATAAAAAAGAAACATAATAAACAGCATAATTAGTATCTTAGAAAGTGGTGAGTTCTAAGGTAAAAAGAAAATGTAGAGGCAAATTAGGAAGATTAAGAAGACAGTGGGAGAATGAACAAGTTGTAGCATTCAAGAGGGTGGTTGGGGTAGGTCTCATTAAGGTGAAATGTGAGCTAGAATGTGAAGCAAGAGAGTTATCCATACAGATGTCTGGGGGAAAAGCATTCTAGACATAAGGAACAGCTAGCCCAAAGGTGCTACGGTGGGGGCATGCCTGGCATGTTTGAGAGACAACAAGGAAGCACTGTGGTTAGAACAGAGGAAGAGACAAGGTGGGAGAGGTAACAGACGGCCAGATCACGCAGGGCCTTGTGGGTCATAGTAACAACTTCAGCTTTCACTCTGAGTGAAAAAAGAGCTATTACAAATTTTAAGCAGAGGTGTGACATGATCTCCCTTATATTCTAAAAAGATTACTACATCTGCTGTCTGGAGAAAAGCTGTTGGGATAAGAGGACTGAAGCAGGGGGATTAGCTAAGAGACTACTGCAGTAATCTAGAAAAGTCACAATGGTAGCAGAAGTGGCTATATTCTGGATATATTTAGGGTAAAAGTAGCAGGATTTTCTAATGGATTAGATATGGGATAGAAGAGAAGGATATATTTAGGGTAAAAGCAGCAGGATTTTCTAATGGATTAGATAGGGGATAGAAGCCAAGGACAACTCCAAGGTGTTTAGCCTGAGCAAAGAGTTGCCAATTATTGAGATGAGAAGGAACACATCTAGGAAGAAGGATCAGGGATTCAGTTTTAAATATGCTGAGTTTGAGATGTCTAGTAGATTTTCAAGAGATGTAGAGTAGGCAGTAAAATATATGAGACGAGTTCAAGAAAGACATCTGGGCTGGAGATACAAACGGCCATGAAAACATCAGAAATTTATAAAACGTGTTATAATCAACTTGAACAACAACTAAGATTATTTATGATGAATTTTACAAAACATTGTATTTGTGATTTGTTTTGCCAGGAGTATGGAAAACAGATTAGCAAAGTAAAAGTTATTAATAATTCATCTTCTAAGAAACCAAAGACTAATACTTAAAGACTAAAAAAGCAACCACAAGGTATATTTGAACAAGAATGAGTTTAACAAGATGAGAGGTAAAAAGCTGAAAGGAGGAAAATGAAAGTGAAAATTAGCACAGGTTTTGAACAGGATCTGTAAAATAAGTCCTTCCCATTCTCTTCCCTCTTGATTCCCTGCCCTCAAAGACCCTCAAGTACCTAAATCTGATCCAGATTAGAGAGCTCTAAAGTTCCTCATCTATTATATTAATGAGTTATTACTTATTATAATCATGCCACCAAGAGCTCATGTAAATGGGCTATTAAAAATATTAGGAACAGCCAGGCACCGTGGCTCACGCCTATAACCAGCACTTTGGGAGGCCAAGGCAGGAGGACTGCCTGAGCCTAAGAATTTGAGGTTGCAGTGAGCTATGATCGCCCCACTGCACTCCAGCCTGAGCAACAGGGTGAGACCCTGTCTCTAAAAAAAAAAAAAAAAAATTAGGAACAAGTCTATTAAATGTGTTTTTCTTGGATGAGTTCCTTATTTCTCTTGTGTATCTAGTGTCCGATACTTAACAAATTCTGTAAGTAAATGGATATTCATGGCAGCAGATTCCCTCAGCCTTGAGCCTTAGTTCCTTTCCTACTCCAAGACCTAATCTAAAGAACTCTTGATTTTGCTTGTCCTCTGACAATACTTTTAACTTACCTTACAAATTTTCATTTACCTTAGTAATAAAACTTTATATATATATAAATAAAAAACCACTATGATGATTCACAGTAAGATTCCAAATGTACATCTTATTATGTCCTTATAGTAGATATGTGAAATAGGCATGAAAAGCCTGTCATACCTCTCTTTCTCTCTAAATGATGGAAAGGATAACACAGTAAGTAATAATGCCTAACTTTAAAGTCCATTATTCTTTCATTACACTGAAACGCATTATAGAGGTTAATATTGATTTAGCTAAGGGAAGAGGGTAGTGAAGAATTTTTTTTTAAAAAAAAATAGTTTTATAGGTTGGAAAACTGTTTTCTAACCATTTATTTATTTGTGTGTGTGTGTGTGTGTGTGTGTGTGTGTGTAATAGAGTCTCACTCTTCCACCCAGGCTGGAGTGCAATGGCGCGATCTTGGCTAACTGCAACCTCGGGTTCAAGCAATTCTCTTGCCTCAGCCTCCTGAGTAGCTGAGATTACAGGCACAGGCCACCATGCCCAGCTAATTTCTTTTGTATTTTTAGTAAAGACGGGGTTCCACCAAGTTGGCCAGGCTGGTCTCAAACTCCTGACTTCAGGAAATCCGCCCGCCTTGGCCTCCCCAAGTGCTGGGATTACAGGAGTGAGCCACCGCACCCAGATTGTTTTCTAAGCATTTGTAAGTTTCCTTTTTGTTTGTTTTGAGACGCAGTCCTGCTCTGTCGCCTAGGCTGGAGAGCAGTGGCATGATCTCAGCTCATTGCAACCTCCGCCTCCCGGGTTCAAACAATTCTACTGCCTCAGCCTCCCAGGTAGCTGGGACTACAGGTGTGCGCCACCACGGCTGGCTAAGTTTTTTGTATTTTTGTAGAGACGGGGTTTCACCATGTTGGCCAGGCTGGTCTGGAACTCCTGACCTTAAGTGATCCGTGCGCCTCGGCCTCCCAAAGTCCTGGGATTACAGATATGAGCCACCGCACTCAGCCTGATAAGTTTCTTGTCAACCCAAATTTTCCTTCCCATAGTCTAGAAGTCTGGTCAGTGAAAGTCTGGGAACGAACAGCTTACACTAGGTGAATTAAAATCAATTATTCTCTCTAATCTTACCAGTCACTCAAAGGAAAAATTCCTCCTGCTTTCTAAAAAGCCCAGTTTGTCCTTTAATGTCAGCCTAGAGAATAAATCCTGCTTATAATATAAAGTGGGTTCTGGTAAATAAGAAAGATTATGCAAACAAAAAGAAAACCAGCATTTATCAAGCATTTATTATGTGCCAGGCATTATGCCCATTCTCGTGAAAATTAAGTGAAAGGGCCAGGCGCAGTGGCTCATGCCTGTAATCCCAGCACTTTGGGAGGTTGAGGTGGGTGGATTGCCTGAGGCCAGGAGTTCAAGACCAGCCTGGCCAACATGGTGAAACCCCATCTCTACTAAAAATACAAAAAATTAGCCAAGCATGGCAGTGCACATCTGTAATCTCAACTACTCAGGAGGCTGAGGCACGAGAATCAGTTGAATCTGGGAGGCACAGATTGCAGTGAGCCATGATCACACCATTGTACGCCAGCCTGGGTGACAGAGCGAGACTCTGTCTCAACAACAAAAAAAAAAAAAAAAAAAAAAAAAAAAAGAAGATTAAGTGAGAGGATCCTACAAGGTAAGTATTGTTATAGTCATTTTTACAAATGAAGAAACTAACATTCAAAAGTGGTGATTTGCCAAAGGTAACCCAGCAAATAAATATCGTTATTCAAACTTAATTCCGCTCTCTTCATGTGCTGTACTAAAAAAGTGATTGATGATAAGGTGCCTCTTGGAGGATAAAAAATGCCAGTAGACATGGAAAACACAGAAGGATAACAGGAAAAAGAGGAAAATTAAGAAACTGCTTTAATGGCTCAGTGCAGTTAACTGATGTAAGTATAAAGGTTGTGGAAAACTAAGAAGTGAAGATAGAGAAGATGGGTGAGAGGGGAGGTGTTTTAAAAAGCTTGAAGTAGGCCGGGTGCGGTGGCTCACGCCTGTAATCCCAGCACTTTGGGAGGCCAAGGCAGGCGGATCACGAGGTCAAGAGTTTGAGACCAGCCTGGCCAACACAGTGAAACCCCGTCTCTACTAAATATACAAAAATTAGCTGGGCATAGTGGCACGTGCCTGTAGTCCCAGCTACTTGGGAGGCTGAGGCAGGAAAATCACTTGAACCGGGGAGGCGGAGGTTGTGGCGAGCTGAGATTGCGCCAGCGCACTCCAGCCTGGGCAACACAGCCAGACTCCATCTCAAAAAAAAAAAAACTTCAAGAAAAAGAATATAATCCCACTTCAATATGTATCATATCCTTTAGGAGTCTTAACTCCTAAAGTTGGAAGTAATGAGCTATTTGACCTTATTTAACAGTTCAATCAATGCCACTTTATGTGATTAGGTTTCTCTGTGTAATCTACTGATTTCTTCTTTCAGTCAACATTTACAGGGTGCCCAAAGTGTACCAGATACTGTGCTAGACCCTGGGAATATAAAGTTAAAAAGATCTCAAGTTGTTCACAGTCTAGCCTGGAGAAAAAAGGAGACTAAACAATCCATTGTACAATCCACTGTAATCCATTACAATACAAAATGAAGAGCCCTGGAATAGAGATAAGAATAAAGTGCTATGCAGGAACAGAAAACCAAACACCACATGTTCTCACTCACAAGTGGGAGTTGAACAGTGAGAACGCATGGGCACAGGGAGGGGAACAACACACACTGGGGCCTCTCGGGGGAGGGGCGAGGATGACAGGTTGATAGGTGCAGCAAACCACCATGGCACATGCATACCTATGTAACAAACCTGCACATTCTGCACATGTATCCCAGAACTTAAAGTAAAAAAGAAAAAGAAAAAGGTGCTATGGAAGCACACAGGGTGCATATCTAAACCAGAATGGAAGGGTCACATAGGGCCTCCCAAAGAAGGTGATGTTTAAGTGACTCATATAGTACCTGTAACTACCATCTAAAAGCATGTTGATTTCTACTTAGGGTCAGTTTGGGGTCCAACTAAAAGCTTATTAAAAACAGAACTGCTACCTCTTTGCCAAAGGTGCAACCCACAGGGCCCAGCGCACAGGTCAGCAAGCATAAAAATATTGATTCATGATGAATAAAACGCCAGTAAGGGGCAAAATAACAGACATAAGGAGAGGGTAACTTTTCAGCCAAGGTAATGATAAATGCCAGGAGGAAAAATCACAATGATGATGTGGGTCAGAGAGAAGAATAAGAACAGTATCTTGGCCAGGTGCAGTGGCCCACACCTGTAATTTCAACACTTTGGGAGGCTGTGGCAGGAGAATCACTTAAGGCCAGGAGTTCGAGACCAGCCTGGGAAATATATCAAGATCCTGTCTACACAAAAAAATTTAAAAATTAGCCAGGCATTGTGAGGCAATGCCTGTAGCCCTAGCAACTTGGGAGGCTGAGGTAGGAGGATCCCTTGTGCCCAGGAGTACACAGCTGCCGTGAGCTGTGATTGCACCACTTGCACTCCAGCCTGGATGATAGAACGAGACCCTGCCTCTCTAACAAAAAAAAAAAAAAAAAAAAACGACGGCTGGGCGTGGTGTCACGCCTGTAATCCCAGTACTATGGGAGGCCAAGGTGGGCAGATCACAAGGTCAGGAGTTCAAGACCAGCCTGGCCAACTTGGTGAAACCCCATCTCTACTCAAAATACAAAAATTAGCCAGGTGTGGTGGTGCATGCGTGTAATCCCAACTATTCAGGAAGCTGAAGCAGGAGAATCGCTTGAACCCAGGAGGCGGAGGTTGCAGTGAGCTGAGATTGAGCCATTGCGCTCCGGCCTGGGCAACAAAGTGAGACTACATCTCAAAAAAAAAAAAAAAAAAAAAAAAAAGAACAAACAAATAGTATTTGTAACTGCTTTATTGCATTTCCTACATTCTTTCACATCCATTATATGATTTAATTTTACTCTCCCAAAAACCCTTGTTAAGCACATTATAAGAGCGCAGGTATCATCACTAACAGGTTTTTTTTTCTATTTTACAGATGAGAAAATTGAGGCTTGGAAAGGGCTCACACTCATATGGTTTAACATGAAGCCCAGTGAACTGTCTTTCAACTACATAATGTCCTATAGCATCCTCAGAACCTCACAGTCATTGGATTACAAGGTAGGTAGTTAGGCCCAACAGAGAAAAATGCTGCCTCAACTTTGGAGGGAAAAGGTGTAGGAGAGGTTAAGAAGGGAGGTAGGGAAGGAAGACAGAAAATACTATATAATCATCAAGAAAATACAATGAGAAGAAACAGAATGAACAACCGTTGTAAAGCTTATGATCATAACCTTTGCTCACTGGTAAAACTGCTGAAGGAAAAACCGAATGGTGGATGATGACAGTTGGTGACGAAATTGACAACAGTACAAAAAATAAATCAGATAATCCAGAGTGGCAAGCAACACGATTACCCATAAATGTGCATGGGGAACTGGAAAGGTGTGTGTGTGTGTGTGTGTGTGTGTGTGTGTGTGTGTGTGTGAGAGAGAGAGAGAGAGAAAGGATGAGGATGATAAGCTGAAGGACGCAGGGAAGAGCGAATGAAAGGGGACTGGCAATGGAGCAAGCACGACTGAAAGTGCATGATGGGGAGCAGATGGGTGCCCCAGGGGATTACGGGAGAGGCAGAGTGGAATAACGCAGAGTGGTAATTTAATAAAAAACAAAACAAAAAAAAAAACGGCAGAAATATGGTGATGACAGTCCAGAGTGGAGATGGAGCAGGTGGTCAGGGAGATGACAACCCAGGTAGGGAGGCTAGCAAGGTGACAATACAGAGGTAGTAGTGGCAGGGACGGACAGCGTGCTAGCTGAGAAGGAAGCTGTCATCTGCGACAGAGTACGCGTGTGCGGCAGCGCCTCGGGGTTAGTACCTGTAACCGCGGTTGGAGGCCCGGGGCGGAATCCGGTAGACGCTGACGTCTGGCTTCACACACAGCACAGACTCGTACTCCAACTCGGTCGCCATCTTGGGTCCGCTGTCGGCGCTGCCGGGGGCGAAACGTAAGACCGGAGGCGGAGCACGGGAGGCGGAGATGCAAAGCGCGACAACTTCTGTTGCGTCACTTCCGCGCGAGTTCAAGTTAGTTTCTGAGATTAACCTTTTCGGTGACGCGGGGAGCCATATTGAAACCTGGAAACGATGAGGCTGCACGGCTCACCGTCTTGGATAATGGCAAAGATGGCCTGCAAGTGCGTGACTCTCGTTATGGAAATCTCTGTCCTGGAGAGGTGCTTACGAAAAGCGCCATCTTACTCTAGGCAGGTGCCTGGAGTGTCCTACGAGGACGAGGACCATATTGAATCGTGACGGATTTTCTTACAGGAGTCACTTCCTAACTGTAGTCTCCTGGCAGAAAAGAGGCAACCTCCAGCCGGTAGTCCCAGACGAGGTACCTGCAGAGAATGATGTATGATCTGGTCATAGACACCGTGGATTTCAACTCTCCAGAGTCTAAACGCTGAAAACACCCAACTTGATTTAGTGCCTTACACTCTTTATCTCCGATTTTTCAGGACGACACCTGTTAAAATGTTTTGCCACACTTTCGGCGTGTATTCCGATTATCTTTTTGGAAAATTTGATCCTGTTAAATAGACTATACGTGGGATCAACCCAATTCCTGATAAAATCGGAAGCATAATGAACTATCTAATGGCCTATATTAGCTCCCAGTTCTATTATAATGATAAATGCTACCGAACTCTCACCATAAATATGCTTTTTCTGCGCCCCAAAGGTAAACTTAACCACAACACCCTGACAGTACAGATAGCAAGTGGCAAAACTGAGACAGAAACTCAAGCCTGCCTCATTACAACAGCAGCAGTCTTCACCGCTGCTGGAGCTGGCAAGGTCACCAAGTCTGCCCAGAAAGCTCAGAAGGCTAGATGAATATCATCCCTAATACCTGCCACCCCACTCTTAATCAGTGGTGGAAGAACGGTCTCAGAACTGTTTGTTTCAACTGGCCATTTAAGTTCAGTAGTAAAAGACTGGTTAATGAAAACAATGCATCGTAAAACCTTCAGAAGGAAAGGAGAATGTTTTGTGGACCACTGGTTTTCTTCTTCAGAAGGAAAGGAGAATGTTTTGTGGACCACTGGTTTTCTTTTTTGCGTGTGGCAGTTTTAAGTTATTAGTTTTTTAAATCAGTACTTTTTAATGGAAACATCCAAAAATTTGTCACAGAATTTTGAGACCCATTAAAAAAGTTTAATGAGAAAAAAAAAAAAAGCAAACCTGCCTCTAATTTGTCTGCTCCACCTTGGAAAGTGATATCTTAAATTTCAAAAAGAATTACCACATTTATCCCTGGCGAGGACGTGAGGAACAGTCTAATCTCATACACTGTTGGCAGGAATGTAAATTGGCACGGCATTTTTAAAAGGGAAATTAACAGAATTTATCAAAATATTAATTGGACGTAATCTTCAATTTAGCAGTTTCACTAATAAATATTGTAGAGAAATCCTTATATGCACAAAAAAGTATGTACAATAATACTACAGCATTGTTTGTAATAGTGAAAAAAATGGAAACAAAATGACCATCTATCAATGGGAAATGGTTAATGGTATATCTATTACTATGAGATGTTTTGAACTAAAGGGTTAGCCATTGAAAGAGATCCAAGATTTTTTAAAGCCAACTGCAAAAAACATACAGCATTATCAACTTTTGTCGAAACACCCCAAAATTATATATGCATGCATGTAAATGCATTGAGAAGGCTTTCAAAGGATATAAGGCTAAGTGGGGGAAAGAAACTTATTTTCTCCTCCATATATTTCTCTGTTGTTTAAGATTTATATAGCTATTATTGTCACTGAATACATGTTAAAAGAAAAATAAAGACAGAAAAGTGGTTTATTACTTGTTGTTCCTTATTTCTGACCCTATGATCTCATCTGAAGCCTAGGTCATATGACTACACCACATTGTACCTCTTTTTTTTTCTCTGTTCTGTGTTATCACTGGCAATCATTTTTGGAGGATTCTGGCTTCTGGTTCACCTTCTTACTAGTTTATACTCTTCCTCTTCTCCCAAATCTTTTAGAGATTTCAAAGCCCATATAGTTAACTCTTCCTAGCCATACAATCTCTTGACATAAATTCTAACTATCTTTACCTCTCTTTTCTACCTCACCTGTTCTTCTTCATGTTCTGCACATTGTTAGCCTTCTCTTTATTCCTCCCATCTCCTTGTTTCAACAGTTCTCTTGCCAGCATCCTTAAGTTTCCTTTCCTCTTTGTCTTTCCATCACAGCCAACCCAAAAGACTCCAGTCTTATATATTCCAACCATCTCCCTCCATCATTCTCCAAAAGCAAATCACACAATTATAAAGATTGGTGTCCCTAAAAGTTTATGGGTTTGAGTCTCAGCTTTGCCCTTAACACCCAGATTTGCCATTGCTAGTTTTTATTTTCATTCCCTTTAATGGTTGTTCCAAATTTTGCTGCCCTTTCAGGCCTTCAACTCTAAGTCTTCTCTTTTTCTTTCTTGACAGGTAAAACATCTTACTACTTCCCTAAGAAAATAAAGTTTGTGTGAACTCTCTCAACTTAATGACACCCTATTCATACTCCTATCTGCATCTTCATCTATTCTTTCTCCTATCCACTTGTGTGTGCCCTGGATTCTCCTCAGGGACCAATCTCCTCAGGGACCTGGTTAATCAGTTATCTCCTTTCTTTCCTGTATCTTAAAACTCATTTTCCATTCACCCCTTTCCCTCACCATGTAAGTATATTCAAGTCCTTTCACCTAAAAAAAAAAAAAAAAAAAAACCCTTACTTAACCATGTTTTTTCTTTATATAAATTTAAATTTCCCTTCTCTTGCTTCATCTCAACAGAAACAGAAAAAAATACAGTCTTCCTCACTCTCACCCACGATGTCTTCTCTAGCTTAACTGATCACATTGCCATAATTTTCCATACATGCCATTTTTATTCATGCTGAACATATTTGTCCAGACTGAAATGCACTTCCCGTTCATTCCTTGGTAAGATGCCTTTAGATCTAATCTAAATATCAATTTATCTCAGAAGTTTTCCTCAACTTCTCTAAATAGAACTGGTAACTGCCTCCTCTATGCTCCCACAACATTTGTACAGCTGTTTTAGTTCTTAGCACATTGCATTCAACTGCTTGTTGGCATCTCTGTTTTCCAAGGGAAAGAAACAGGTTTGTGTTTTCCCAGTATCTAGCACAGTTTTCAGACTATAGTAAGAACTCTGTATGTTTATTTGCTAAATGAATGATCATTTCAGCCTGCCTTAACAGGGATGATTTGTTCTTTCCCAATCAAAATAATTAAAAATGTCTTGGGCCGGCACAGTGGCTCACGCCTGTAACCTCAGCACCTTGGGAGGCTGAGGCAGGCAGATCACTTGAGGTCAGGAGTTCAAGACCAGCCTGGCTAACATGTTGAAACCCTGTCTCTACTGAAAATACAAAAACTAGCTGGTCATAGTGGTGCATGCCTGTAATGCCAGCTACTTGGGAGGCTAAGGCAGGAGAATTGCTTGAACCCAGGAGACGGAGGTTGCAGTGAGTCAAGATCATGCCACTGCACTCCAGCCTGGGCTACTGAATGAGACTCCGTATCAAAAAAAAATAAACTAAAATAAAAAAATTAAAAATGTCTTGTCTCGAACTTATCTTTGCCCACCACCGGGGGGTAGTAGCTACACAGCTCACAGGTTCTGGGCTGAGTAGACTGTGCTAAGTCAAGCTAGTGTTCTTGTATGTGGCTTTGTAAGTATATGATTTAACCAAGTTTAACAAAAGCTTGTTTTTTTAAATGCATTGTTGAAATTCATGGAGGCCTTACCCATCTCAAATCTTGGTCACTTTTAGATGTCATTTAAACATGAAAATAACTTATGGTTTTCTTAACTTAGCCCTACCAGTAACATATTTCCCAGCTCTTCTTTACGCACACACAAAAAGGTATTTATCACAGATTAAATTCTGACTTATCATTGCTCAGGGTACTGCTATCAATGGTATTTGTTAAAGTATAATTTTCCTAAATCCTGAAGTTGCTACACATGCAGTGGTAATAAAAATTGTAATGAGATTCGAATCATAGTTTACAGGATTTTTTTTAGCTAGAGTGGACCTTAGTAACCTTTCAGTTCAGATCTCATCCAAAGACATAGTTGGTGATGCAGTCAGGATCAGAACTTCATATCTCATGATTTACAAACTAACACTCTTTCCACTGTGAGATAGGTAAGGCCTCCATCAATTTCAACAATTCAAAAAACGAACATTTTTTAAAGTTGAAAACGCTGTGTTGGTCTTACCATGATCTCATATTTTAATCAAATAGCAGTTAAAGTCAGCCATTGACCTAAATCTAGCCATACCTACTCCTTGCTCTGCAGTGTTGTGCTGTAGCTGCTGTGTCAGGTTAAACTGGCTTTGCTTGTAAATTTGACAATCTTCAAATCTGAGGGGTAATGAATTCTAACTTTGATTTATTTACTGCTGTATCCCCAACACCTAGAACAGTGCCTGGCACATGGTAGGTGTTCAATCAATATTTGTAGTTTAAATGACAATAATCTAGAAACCTAGAGAGAGAAAAAAATAAAAAAGATTGAGAGTCCTATAACTACAGAACTTAGGATCAAAGCTACTTTAGTATTAATACTATTCATGAAGAAAAGACATCAGGTTCTACAGCCTGAAAAGCAAAGGATACGTCTCACTTGGGACACTTTAAGTTAGAATTCTGTTTCCTGATGATTTAAGGGAAATATCCTTTCCTCCTACATGTCCAAGCTATATAATAGCTTCAGAACATGAATAAAACTTGGCCCCAGGGAGATTTACAGCAATGACTCACCCTTTGTGACTCTCCGCTGCTTAATGAGGATGTGAGGCATCTGGCAGGTGCTGGGTGTAATTAGGAGAAGGACCAGGCCCGAAAACTAAAGATATCTGCTTTTTCCCCCAACTCCATCATCCCCCTACTACACCATCAAACGAAAACCCAGCAGAAAGAATTTCTACTACCTGCTATGGTTACTAGAGTGCAGATGACTTACTAAGGAAATAGCTGATTTCCAGAGTGATGAGCTTATTCATTGAAGAGCCTTAGAGGACATTTCTTACACCCCAGATTGTCAAAAATTTAAATATCTGTCAATACCCAGTGCCGGTAAGGATGTGGGGCAATGGGAACTTCGGCAGTATCTGGTAAAATGGAATATGCTCATACCTCATTACCCCTGAATTCCCTACTTAGGTAGAGCAACTCCTGCAAATATACAGTAGGAAAAATGCGCAAGAATTTCACTGCAGTGCTGTTTACTATTTATAATAGCAAGACATTGGAAATAAATGTCCATCATTAGAACAAACAATGGGATAGTATAAATAGTGAACACAAATGAACTACTTGCTGTGTGCATCAACATGAATAGATGACAAAAATAAAATACTAAGCGGGGAAAATAAATTTAAAAATAAAACTGTCCCATTTATACAATCTTCAAAAAAAGGCAAATCTAAGATTGTGTAAACATTTTATGAAATGTAAGGAAATGATAAATACAGGCTGGGCGTGGTAGCAAGTGCCTGTAATCCCAGTTACTCCAGAGGCTGAGGCAGGAGAATCACTTGAACTCAGGAGGCAGTGGTTGCCGTAAGCCAAGATCATGCCATTGCACAAATACCATTAACAAATATTGCACAAATACCATTAACAAATATCGTGCCATTGCACAAATACCATTAACAAATATCATTGCACTCCAGCCTGCACACAAGAGCGAAACTCTGTCTCAAAAAAACAGAAAATGATAAATACAAAATTTCCAGTTGTGATTACTTGGTAAGGAGGTGCAGGAGGTAGATCAGGGTAGTTTGCAGAGGGTGCTTGAGAGAAAATGGTAGCATTCTATTTCTGATGCTGAATGGTAAGCTCATGGATGGTAATTTTATTATTCAGAATGTATCTATTAATTATATGCATTCTTCCAAATATATGATATAACACACAATAAATTATGGTGAGCAACTAAGTTCTCAGATACCGATTTTAACAATAAACATTCTGTATAATAATAATGACGATCATATTACGTAATATTGATATCAGATCTTTAAGATTACAAAATGCTTTCACGCATACTATCTCATTTATTTCTCACAACAATCTCGTAGAGTAGGTAATGTTATTCCCATTTTCATAAAAAGTATGCTGAGTTACAGAAAGGTCAGTGACTTGCTCATCTAATATTTAAGTGTCAGGAACAGAACCCGAAATTCCTGGTACCAAAGCAACAGCTGACTATAACTTATAGTTAAATGTTTGTATGTATTACTAGCATTGCTATGTCTATGGTTAAATGATAGTAATAACTAACATTTATCAAGTACTGAGTCCTGTTCTACATGCTTATATGCATTATATCACTAATCATATGACATAGGTACTATTATGATCATGCCCACTCTACAGATGAAGAAACTGATACATTGTGATTAAATAATTTGTCCACAGCCATAAGTGGTAGACATATATCTAATTATCTCTAAACCCAGGTCGTTAACCAATATGCAATTCTCTGTCAATAATGTTTTCCTTCTGTCCTCAACCTCTTCATCTATAAAAGGGACAGAATATACAATAGTTACAGCGATTACAGTAGATACTTGTTATTTATGGATCACATATTTGCAAATCAGGTACTTACTAGAATTTATCCAGCTGTCAAACAAGGTGATACTGCCTTCTTGTTTTAGCTTTCATACTATAAACAAGTATCCTTTTCGCAGTCTATTTAGTGCCCCTTTTTTTGAATTTTTGGTTTTTTGTTGTTTTTAAATGATTTTATCATTTAAAATGGCCACCGAGCGTAGTGCTGAAATACTGTCTAGTATTCCTAAACATAAGAAGGCTTTGATACACCTTACAGAGGAAACATGCGTGTTAGCTACACTTCATTCAGGGATGAGTTATAGAGCTTTCGTTATAAAGGTCAATGCTGATAAATCAGCAAAGTATATGAAATAAGCCATTGGCCGAGCGTGGTGGCTCACGCCTGTAATCCCAGCACTTTGAGAGGCCGAGGCGGGTGGATCACCTGAGGTCAGGAGTTTGAGACCAGCCTGGCCAACAGAGTCTCTACTAAAAATACAAAAATTAGCTGGGTGTGCTGGCGGGCGCCTGTAATCCCAGCTATTTGGGAGGCTGAGGCAGGAGAATCGCTTGAACCCAGGAGGCGGAGTTTCCCGTAAGCCGAGATCGCGCCACTGCACTCCAACCTGGGCGACAAGAGGAGGACTCCGTCTTAAAAATAATTAATTAATAAATAAGCCATCTTTAAACAGAAACACACATAAAACAAGATTATGTATTGATCGGTCGTACATGGTGGCAGACGCCTGTAATCTCAGCTACTCAGGAGGCTGAGGCAAGAAAATCGCTCGAACTCGGGAGGTGGAGATTGCAGTGAGCCCAGACTGCGCCACTGCACTCCAGCCTGAGAGGCAGAGCGAGACTCAGTCTCAAAAAAAAAAAAAAGTATTGATCGTTTGATGTGTTCCCCATGACTTTATAAAATATGACTGCCTAAAATAATGAGAGTATTCACTTTTAGGGAAACATTCCAGCTAACAGCAGAAGCTCTGGAGGCCAGCTCTTTGGTTCTAGCTCTGTCATTTACATAGTGGTGTGAACTTAGGTAAATAGCTACTTTGCATGTCAGTGTCCTGTTTGACAATGAGTTACCTATCTCATCATTGGGTTGCTGCGTGAGTTAAACGGCATACAACCAATGAAGTGCTTAGCACAGAGCCTAGTTAATAAACCATCCTGTGTACGTTATTACTAATACTAACTAGCATTTGAAATAAGTATTATGTTTGTTTAGGGAAATATAAACAATGATACAATTGATATTTTGGCACTTCAGAAGATATACAACAGAACATAACAACTAAAATATAATTGCCACTTTGAAACCTTTTCTCGCTAGGCACGGTGGCTCACGCCTGTAATCCCAGCACTTTGGGAGGCCGAGGCAGGTGGATCACAGGGTCAGAAGATCGACGCCATCCTGGCCAACACGGTGAAACCCTGTCTCTACTAAAAGAATACTAAAAATTAGCCAGGTGTGGTGGTGCATGCCTGTAGTCCCAGCTACTCGGGAGGCTGAGGCAGGGGAATCGCTTGAACCCGGGAGGCAGAGATTGCAGTGAGCCAAGATCATGCCACTGCACTCCAGCCTGGCGACAGAGCGAGACTCCATCTCAAAAAAAAAAAAAACAAAAAAAACACCTTTTCTCCTAATGGCTAACAAATCTGCCCAGTGTAGTATGATTTGAAGAGATTTAGAAGGAGCATTTTATCTGAAATGTTTATGTGTCTTCACCTTCTTTTGCCTGCATTTTAGTGGGAATGAAATGGAGAAGAAAGAGCAAAGGAGAAAAGAAATGGAGAACACATTTTCTTCTTTGTTGTTTTTTTTTTTTTTTTTTGAGACGGAGTCTCCTCTGTCATCCAGGCTGGAGTGCGGTGGCACGATCTCAGCTCAGTGCAACCTCTGCCTCCCAAGTTCAAACAATCCTCCTGCCTCAGCCTCCCTAGTAGCTGGAACTACAGGCTTGCACCACCATGCCCGGCTAATTTTTGTATCAAAAATATATCTTGACCTACATTGACGAGAGCCATCTACCCCTCAGTAGTCCTCTATTCTGTCTCCCCTCCAAAAAAAAAGCTTCTATGACTTCTCATTAGATCAGTTGGACATACACAGAAGACTTGTCTCTGTAGCAGGACAAGCCGCAGACAAAACCCCTCAGACGCCGAGTTAAAGAAGGGAAGGAAGGGCTTTATTCGGCTGGGAGCTTCAGCAAGACTCACGTCTCCAACAACCGAGCTCCCTGAGTGAGCAATTCCTGTCCTTTTTAAGGGCTCACAACTCTAAGGGGGTCCGCCTGAGAGGGTCGTGATCGATTGAGCAAGCAGGGGTTACGTGTCTAGGGGCTGCATGCACTGTCATTAGATCAGAACAGAACAGGACAGGGATTTTCACAGTGCTTTTCTATACAATGTCTGTAATCTATAAATAACATAACCAATTAGGTCAGTGGTCGATCTTTAACTACCAGGCCCAGGGTGTGGCACCAGGCTGTCTGCTTGTGGATTCCATTTCTGCCTTTTAGTTTTTACTTCTTCTTTCTTTGGAGGCAGAAATCGGGCATAAGACAATATGAGGGGTGGTCTCCTCCCTTATCTCCTTGTTCACTTTTGCCTTTATAGAACTAAAGTCACAAAGGGTGTTAATGAAACATGTACCTACATTCAGTTTACTTCCACTTCAGCCTCTCCTACCTGGCTATTCTAGATACACTCTATAATAGAAAGTCAAAAACCAATAAATCGATAGAATAAGCAAAGTTTGTTAGATTTTCTTTAAATCACTAAGATTTGTCTGAGTTATCATGCCAAATTTGGCTGATTTCTTTCAAGATCCAGGCATAGATACTTGTTATTATGGTAGAGTTAACAGTTTTTTATTTTATTTACTTTTTAACTGAATTATTTTTAATTTCTGGGCAACTTTGTTCTTCAATTTGTGTTCCTACTTGGCTTTACCATAACTATGTGGATAATTAGGCAGTTATACTCTAGCGGGGAAAGAGTACATCTAATCTACATCTTTGAGGGCCATAGGTTAGAATTTGACTTGACAAAAAGGGTATGATTTCACACTGGGAAGGGAACATTTTGTAAATTATTTGCCACTTGTCTAAGATGGAAAATAATTTTGATCTAATAAGCAACTGTAATTCACATTAGTTTTTTGACATAATAATGGCTAATATTTGTTAAGTTCCGTATATGCTGGTACTGTTTTAAGAGCTTTGTGTGTCTGTTAATCTACTCCTGACAATACTATAGAGTAGGTAGAGAATATTCCCTGAATTAGTCATTTTCCAGCCAGGAAATCTAAAACCATTGTAGGTACTTCAAAAGGGATATATGAGACAAGAACTTGGGCCAGCCATCGTGGTTCACGCCTGTAATCATAGCATTTTGGGAGTTGAGGCCAGGAGTTCAAGACCAGTCTGAGCAACATAGTAAGACCCCATCTCTGCAAAACAACATTTAAAAATAGCTGGATGTGGTGGTGCATGCCTGTAGTCCCAGCCACTCGGGAGGCTGAGGCAGGAGGATCACTTGAGCCCAGGAGTTCAAGGCTGCAGTGAGCTACAATCAAGCCACTGCACTCCAGCCTGGGCAACAGAGCAAGACCCTGTCTCAAAAGAAAAAAAGAAAAGAAAAGAAAAAGAAAAACAAGACTTGGCTACAGAAGTGTCAAAAGAAGTAGAGGAATAAAAAGTGAAAAGATGATATTAGCTGTGTATCAATTACTGCAGGAGGATGCTTTCCTACAATTGGAAGAGAAAAAATGGAAAAGGATATTACCTAGAATAGGCAAGCATGCACTTGCTTTTAAGGATGGGAGTTCTTGCTGCCACTTAACAAGAATCTAAACTCACAGGCCTGCTGCTGCTGCTGCTGCTTGCTGCTGGAACCATTAATCCTGCTGGAGCCTCCAGCAGCCAGCAGCCACTGCTGCCACACCTGCCCCCTCCATTGCAGAAATCAGGTGCTAAATGATATCCCTTTCTCCCATATTGCTTTTCCTTTAACAATTTTAATGTTTATTCTATTTCATAGTCTTTGTTCTTTTATTTATTTTTATTTTTATTTATTTTTTGAGACAGGTTCTTTGTTGCCTGAGCTGGAGTACAGTGGCACTATCATAGCTCCCTACAGCCTCAACCTCCCAGGCTCAAGCCATCCTCCCGCCTCAGCCTCCCAAGTAGCTGGGTCTACAGGTGTGCACCACCATGCCCAGCTGATTTTTTGTATTTTTAGTAGAGGGGGGTTTTGCCATATTACCCAGGCTGGTCTTGAACTCCTGGGCTCAGGCAATCTGCCTGCCTTGGCCTCCCAAAATGCTGGGGTTACAGGCGTGAGTGACCGCTTTCTTTTACTTTTTTTAAAATTTTTTTATTTTTATTTTTTTGAGACGGAGTATCGGTCTGTCACCCAGGCTGGAGTGCAGTGGCGCGATCTCGGCTCACTGCAAGCTCCGCCTGCCGGGTTCACGCCATTCTCCTGCCTTAGCCTCCAGAGTAGCTGGGACTACAGGCGCCCACCACCACGCCTGGCGAATTTCTTTATGTATTTTTAGTAGAGACGGGGTTTTACTGTGTTAGCCAGGATGGTCTCGATCTCCTGACCTCATGATGCGCCCGCCTCGGCCTCCCAAAGTGCTGGGACACAGGCATGAGCCACCGCGCCCAGCCTCTTTTACTTTTAAAATAGATTTGCAATCTCTGTGCACAACCAAGTTATGAAATTAAAAGCAATAGTTCCCCTTTCTCCTTACTTTCCATTGACACATGAACATGTCCTTCCGGAAGATCCTATTCAGAACCCAGCTGGAGAGAAGGTAGAGGAGACATAGTCCATAGGTTTCTAATAGATAATAAGGAAGGGTGTGGGCGGCTTGAGTATCGATAGATGATATCTGACACAGTCCCTGTTTTGCAGATAAGAAAACGAGAACATACAGTGTGAGAAGCTTATTTTCAGTAACACAATTAGTAAGTGGCAAAGTTGAGACTTAAACCCAGGCTTTCTACCTGCCCTCCCTTAGTCCTTAGAATACCCTTTTTACTCCCACCAACGCCATGTACCTGTGCCATTTAGTTGTGTTGGGCTCACCTCCCCCTTAATATGTGCTCATGCTTTTCCCTTGAAATGCCCTCTCAGCTTCAATCTCCCTGCTCAAATGAGAGAATTATAGATTGTTAGATGTAAAAGAAACCTGAAAGACCATTTAATCCAACCTTTAATTTTCCACCTAAGAAAACAACAACAAATTTCTAGGTCAAGTATCTAGCCCAAGGTCGAGTAGTTATTACAAAACTGAAAGTCAAATGTATGTCTCCACATTCCTGGTCTAGTGCTCTATTCACCTCATGAATCTTTTCTTCCATAAAAATTTTCCAGCTAATTCTAGCCACCATCAATCAATCTTACCCTTTGCTGACCAGCCATTGCATTTGTCTGTGTCATCCACAGTTTTTGGCACTTAGTTATATTTAATTTAGAGCATAGGTTACTACAAATTATCTAATAACGGATTTAATCATTTTTTGTTGAAGTCTTTAAGGACAGTAACTTTATAATGTATTTAACTCTCTCAGAGAAAACAAGCTAGAGATCTGTGATTCTAACATTTTTATTTTGGCCAAACAAGCTTTAATACAGATCTCCATCAATTACAGTGTAGAATTAGTCAAGTGACTGGTAAAAGGTTTTAATATGGCTGCCTTTGCAACATACATTCAAATTTTCTTTTTTCCAAAGCATCTGATCTCTGCTTTTAGAAATTTATATTTAGATATTCAGAATAGAACAAAACAGAAGTGAATCACATAACTTCCTCAGAGCTTTCCACAATACACCACAAAACAACCAGTACTTTTTAAGAAGAGAGAGAGGTCATCCAGAAACAGGAGCACTATTCACAACAAGTTTTTAGTAATTTTCTTCCTGAAAAATCCAAAGAACACAGCTGGGAGCTCTTGAACCAGTTTAAATTGCTGTATAACATCCAGCTAAATTTTTATATTTTTAGTAGAGATAGGGTTTCATCACGTTGGCCAGGCTGGTCTCGAACTCCTAACCTCAGGTGATCCGCCCGCCCTGGCCTCCCAAAGTGCTGGGATTACAGGCATGAGCCACCACACCCAGCCACATTGCTGTGTAATCTTTAGAGAGAGAGAAATTAGTAAAAGTGAATTCATGCCAGAAACAACTCTAAGGACTCAAGTTAATTATTTGAATTATATTCAGATGTCAACATCCTTTTCAAACAAACATTCATTCACTTATTGGTGCCACAGACCTGTTATACCAGGCAAGGTAGCAGCCACTGGAGACAGACAAGAAATTCATGGTAGGGGAGAGAGAGAGACAAGGTATTATTTTACAGTACTATTGCCTGACAAATTTCTACCCATCCTTATGGCCCCAATGCTACCTCTTCAGTGCATCATCGTGGGTTTGCTTCCATGAGAATTAGTCTCTTACGGTTTCATATTCCCAGGGTGTATTGTGCCCTCCTAACAGCCCCTACTGTATTACAGTTATATACATCTCTCATTCCTCCTCCATCTTCCGCAGTGCAACACACTGTATCAGGAGCAGGAGCAGAAGCAGAGTATATGTTTATGGTACTGAACTTAGTGTGACAATTTGTGAAGTCTCTTTAGTGGAAAATTCTGTATCTTTCAAAATGTAAAAGTGTGTGCTCTTAGACTTAGCAATTCCAATTCTAAAACTCTATTCTACAGAAATACATGTAAATACTATAGTGCTCATTGAGTTTTGTTTATAATCATTTAAAATTGGATAAAAACAATATTCCACGAAAAATAATTAAGTAAGTGGAATAATATGGAGCAACTTAAAAAGTATAATTTGGGACCGCACGCAGTGGCTCACGCCTGTAATCCCAGGACTTTGGGAGGCCGAGGTGGGCAGATCACCTGAGAGCAGGAGTTCGAGACCAGCCTGGCCAGCATGGTGAAACCCCGTCTCTACTAAAAATACAAAAAATTAGCCAGGTGTGGTTGTGGGCACCTGTAATCCCAGCTACTTGGGAGGCTGAGGCAGGAGAATCGATTGAAGCCAGGAGGCAGAAGTTGCAGTGAGCCGAGATCGCACCATTGCACTCCAACCTGGGTGACAAGAGCAAAACTCTGTCTCAGGAAAAAAAAAAAAAAAAGTGTAATTTGGGCCAAGATGTCCTGATATAAAAAGATAAGTGGAAAAAATAGAACAAAACAATATGCGTAGTAGAATATGCGTATTTAAGAGAGAGACTACATCTGGAAAGTGGAAAGAGGATAGCTAGGTGTTTAGGAAATTTTGGTTTTTACTTTAATCTTCTCATATTTAATTTTTACCATGGGGAATTAATTGTTTTTATAAAATATATTTTAATTAGATATATATGTACATATATGATAATCCTACATTTTATATGCTTTCTGGATACCTATATTATTCAATATTTCCAAATATTGGAGGAAAGAAAACCCAAAATAATCAATAGGATTATATGTACTAACATGGAAGTATGTTTTGATATATTGTTAAGTAAAAAAGCAAGACATAAAATCACACATAAATTACCATCCCATTTATGTTCAAAACTACCTTTTAGAAAAATGTGTGTTAGGCCGGGTGGGGTGGCTCACACCGGTAATCACAGCACTTTGGGAGGCTGAGGCAGGTGGATCACCTGAGCTCAGGAGTTCAAGACCAGCCTGCCCAACATGGCAAAACCCCATCTCTACCGAAAAAATATAAAAATTAGCCGGTTGTGGTGGCACATGCCTGTAGTCCCAGCTACTAAGGAGGATGAGGTGGGAGAATTGCTTGAACCTAGGAGGCAGAGGTTGCAGTGAGCCAAGATGGTGGCACTGCACTCCAGCCTGGGCGACAGACTGAGGCCCTGTCTCCAACAAACAAAATGTGTGCTATATTCAGAAAAAAAAAAATCAGGAAGAATGAACACTAACCTATTAAAAATAGTTACTTCGAGCAGTGGAATTGAAAAGAAAATCTTTCATTTTTTTTACCCATTATAATTCTGTATTATTTCAATTTATCTCTTCTAGAACAAAGTATGTTCTATTTTTGTAATTAGATGATGACAATGGAAATAAACTAATAAATACTACTCAACTCTTGGCATTTTTCTTTTGATCTTTCTGCCTCAAAAATATTCCGTGGTGACTTGACTGCAAACAAGCAGAGGAGCAGATATTATGGTTTGGACAAGTTGATTAATATAGACTGAAGCCTATATCACAGACAACAGTGTTCAAATACATTTGACCCAAATAAACTTTATTTTATATGCATATATCTAAAAGAGTATATGCATATATCTAAAAGAATAATATAAGAATTATTTACAGCATAGTATTCATTAAGCAGGAATTACCTTCAGTCTTCTGTACTCCTTCCTGATGAAACAGCACCTAGACTCCAGCCTGTTCTCCAGTGACCACTAAGCTCTCCCACCTACCTCCCCACCTACCTGCCCTCTACCACCTACCTGCCTTTGACTAGGCTCCACTTATAGCCTAAGCAGCTTTTCACCTTTTTCTGTCTCTAGAATTCCTACAGGTACTTAATTAAGTACTTGCCCACATCTTATTTCTATCTTAAGACTCTCCTAGATTGCCCTGGGTTATATATACCCCTGGCTAGAGTGTTCTATTATTTTACTTCTATTGTTACTTCTATTATTATAGCCTAGTTTGTATTACAGCTTTGTGTGTATATGTATGGGTACATATTCCCACTCGATTGTGAATCTCTGGAGATTAGAATATAGCTTAATTCATCCTGATTTTGACATGGCACCGTTTTTCACATATATCAAGCATTTCAGATATGTTATTTGAGATTAATTAAATGAGTTTATTCAGGTCATTCCTCCCCAACCACTCCCCACTCCAACCCTCACATCTCATAGAGTCTTTTTTTTTTCATTTCTAAACAAAACCTATAAAGTTGAACCCTATGTACAGAGGTACCCTCTCTCTAACCATTCTCTGTGTGCTGCAGAAAATGTCTCAGGATTATAAACTCCTACTTCTGTTTTCCTGCTTTGCCTTTCTAAGCCATTTAGAAATGACTCACTTTGAAACTCTTCCTGTGAGGTCAGATAGTGGTCTAGAGCATAAGACTTAACTTATTGCCGGAAACAGAGAGAGAACAGAAGAAGAGAAAGCTCAGCAAATTTTCTTGCCATACTTCATGACTTCACTGTGGCTAAGTGTGGGGACCAGACAGGACTCGTGGAGACATCCAGGTGCTGAAGCCTTCAGCTACTGTCTCAGTTTTTTGGTAAGAAAACCTAGACCTACCTGATGACTTGTGCTTAGCCTGTTTTGCTCATTATAGGTAATGAGTTTGAGTGTCACTATCTTCTATTTCCCCTATTCCTTCTCTGACTTTGAATTCTTTTATCTTATCTCTATGTCTAACTTCCTTTTTCTAAATATTCCACATTGCATTTGTCTTTGCTTTTAATATTTTCATAGTGGAATTAATAGTGAATTTTTACATCATTTCTTTCCTTTCTTTGAATTGGCTATGTATTTCACCCTGAACTTTGATTCCAGCTGTCCCCATTAATTTGTTTTTCAAATAATTGATTGCACTTTTTTTCCCTTTCCATTTCCTCTTTCTTTTTTTTATTCTTTTGCCCATTCCTTATTGCTACTGACTCTGTTATCCTATTACTACAATTTGATTCTGGGGTCCACTTTTCTTTCTCTATCACAGTGGAATTTTAGTTTCAGGATATTAATTACCTTTAAATTACGGCTGGTCAACTTAGTAATAATTTTTTTTAATCCTCTACTAATCTTAAACACATAAAGGTATGGTATTTTTAGCCAAATTAACTTGAAGAAATGTAAAAAGTAATCTTGCTCTGCAGGACTTTTTTTTTTTTTTTTTTTTTTTGAGACAGAGTCTCACTCTGTTGCCCAGGCTGGAGTACAGTAGCATGATCTCAGCTCACTGCAACCTCCGCCTCCCAGGTTCAAGCGATTCTCCTGCCTCAGCCTCCTGAGTAGGTGGGATTGCAGGCACGTGCTACCACACCCAGTTAAATTTTTTTGTATTTTTAGTAGAGACAGGGTTCCACCATGTTGGCCAGGTTGGTCTCAAACTCCTGACCTCAGGTGATCTACCCGCCTCTGCCTCCCAAAGTGCTGGGATTACAGGCGTGAGCCACCACACCCAGCCTTGTTCTAAAGGACTTTTAATCCCTGACTCCTACATACTTTCATTTCAAAACAGATAATAACAATATTTAACATATAGCTCATGACAGATAACTCTATTTTTATTAAAATTTTGCTGTTTGCAGTCCCTGCTACTTCAGTTCATGCAGTTCTCGGCAGCTTCCCCTTTATTAGCAATACCATATATCTTTTTTTTTTTAATGTGATTTTTTTTTTTTTTTGGTAGTAAAAACAGCATTTGCCTAACAGTCCTCGGACCTGAAATCCAAGAACCTCCCTAGTAATGATTATATGCTTGTAATCTAATTTGCTGAGTTTCACTGTCAAACTTGAGAAATAAAAGCAGAGAAAACGTAGGCTGGGCACAGTGGCTCATGTCTGTAACCCCAGCACACTGTGAGGCCAACATGGGAGGATTGCTTGAGTCCAGGAGTTTGAGAGCAGCTTGGGCAACATAGCAAGACCCTATCTCTACAAACAAACAAACAAACAAACAACAACAACAACAACAAAATGAGGAGAGGAGAGATGATTACCAAGTTTTCTTTCAGCCCTAGCATCCCATGACTCTATTCTTCTCTCAATATTTTAGGGGGGTACCGTGATAGTATTTAAATATCTGAGTAGACAAGGCCATGGAAAGGGGAATGAGAATAATTTCTTCTTCTTTTTTTTTTTTTGAGATGGAGTTTTGCTTTTGTTGCCCAGGCTGGAGTGTAGTGGCGCAACCTCGGCTCACCACAACCTCTGCCTCCCAGGTTCAAGCGATTCTCCTGCCTCAGCCTCCTGAGTAGCTGGGATTACAGGCATGTGCCACCATGCCCACCTAATTTTGTATTTTTAGTAGAGACAGAGTTTCTCCATGTTGGATAGGCTGGTCTCAAACTGACCTCAGGTGATCTGCCTGCCTTGGCTTCCCAAAGTGCTGGGATAACAGGTGTGAGCCACTGTGCCCAGCCCATGTCTTCTTTTTTATTATTTTGTTGACTTGCTATTTTAACTTCTGCTAATCATATGAGGCCCTATGGCAATATTTGGCTGACTCAGCAGAACTACTTTCAAGTCACAAAAATATTTTGAGCCTCTATAAAAGTAAAATGTTATTTTATCCAGTAAAAATTAGGAATTTCACAAAAAGAAAGTTAAAAGGGACAGCATGGGAATTAAGGAAGAGGCCTGGGTAAGGATTACATGGATACAAATTAGAATTTTAGATGTAATTGCAAAAGAAAAAAAAAGTCAACCCCCAAAATGGGCATCCATCTATTCAAGTAATTTTTTTTTTCTTTTTTTTTCTTTTGAGACAGAGTCTCTTTGTCATGCAGGCTGGAGTGCAGTGGTGCAATCTCAGCTCACTGCAACCTCCACCTCTCCAGTTCAAGCGATTCTCGTGCCTCAGCCTCCCAAGTAGCTGGGATTACAAGTGTGAGCTACCACACCCAGCTAATTTTTGTATTTTTGGTAGAGATGGGATTTTGCCATGTTAGCCAGGCTGGTCTTGAACTCCTAGCCCCAAGCGATCTTCTCCCCTCGGCCCCCCAAAGTGCTGCGATTACAGGCATGAGCCACTGCGCCCAGCCTTTCCACATAATCTTTAACCTTGGTGTCTCATAAGGCATTATGTTAAATTATGTGAAATGAGCATTTATGAATAAGACTCCTTTTTACCATCATAAAGTTTAAATCCAGAATAATAGATTAGACAGCCATTATAATTATTGTACAAGATAAAATGTGTCATTGCATATAGAATATGAAAAAAAGGTTCAAACATGCGCACACACACAAATTAAGAAGCTGAAGACTTGGTGAAGGGCATAATTCCAGATAGAAGTAAACAGCATTAGCCATGGAACGGAAAATGGCATTAAGTTGGAATAGTGAATTGTTCAGGAAAGCTATAAAGCAGGGTACATTTACGAGCATGTTCACAGTTAGGGGAAGGTAATATCACAGAGGCCAAGAGAAGAGAGTGTTAAGAAGTCAGTGTATCTAATGACACATATTGTGGAAGGTGACTGAGAAACAAACGTTTGGATTTGGTTTTTAGAAGTAATTTTAGCAGAATTATGGAAGCAGAAGATACATTACAAAGAATTAAGAAGTTGGTGGCCGGCCGGGCCTGGTGGCTCACATCTGTAATCCCGGGACTTTGGGAGGCCGAGGCGGGCGGATCACCAGGTCAGGAAATCAAGATCATCCTGGCTAACATGGTGAAACCCCGTCTCTACTAAAAATACAAAAATTAGCCGGGCGTGGTGGTACACGCCTGTAATCCCAGCTCCTCGGGAGGCTGAGGCAGAAGAATTGCTTAAACCCGGGATGCGGAGGCTGTAGTGAGCCGAGATCGCACCATTGCACTCCAGCCTGGGAGACAGAGCGAGACTCCATCACAAAAAAAAAAAAAAAAAAAAAAAAAAGGGCCGGGCGCGGTGGCTCACGCCTGTAATCCCAACACTTTGGGAGGCCGAGGCGGGCGGATCGCCTGAGGTCGGGAGATCAACATCATCCTGGCCAACATGGAGAAACCCCGTTCTCTACTAAAAATACAAAAAAAAATTAGCCGGGCATGGTGGCGCATGCCTGTAATCCCAGCTACTGGGAGGCTGAGGCAGGAGAATCACTTGAACCCGGGAGGAGGAGGTTGCAGTGAGCCAAGATCGCGCCACTGCACTCCAGCGTGGGCAACAAGAGCGAAACTCCATCTCAAGAAAAAAGAAAAAAAGAAGAAGTTAGTGTTCAGAACAGTAGGCGTAGGCCCCAAAACAAAGCAGTATCCTTGAAAAAGAGAAATTATGCTAAATTAAGAGACTTAAGAAGAAAGTGCGATCTGAAGTAGATATTGTCGTGGACAAGCCAGCTATAAAAGATGTCTTAGGGACAGTTGAAAAATAATCATATAAAAGGGGGGGCATGGTGGTTCGTGCCTGTAATCTCAGCACTTCGGGAGGCCGAGGAAGAATCAGTAGAGCCCAGGAGTTGGAGACCAGCCTGAGCAACATAGCAAGACCCCATCTTTACAAACAGAAACAAAACAGATAAAGGTCGGGTATTCCTTATGGTACATATTGTATAATGTGGAGACTGCTAACTGAAAAAAGAAAAAAATGTATAAAAAATATGTATTTACACCCATGTTCATTGATGCATAATTCACAATAGTCAAAAGGTGAAAGCAATCCAGATGTCCTCTGTGGAATGACTGGATAAACAAAATGAAGTATAGACCTACAATGGAATATTATTCAGCCTTAAAAAGAAAGAAAATTCTGACCCATGCCACAACGCGGAGGAAGCTTGAAGACATTATGCTAAGTGAAATACACCAGACACAAAAAGACAAATACTGTGTGATTCCACTTAGATCAGATATCTAAAGTAGTCGAATTCATAGAAATTGAAAGTACAATGGTGATTGCCAGGGGCTGAGAAAAGGAGAAAATGGGGAATTCTTTCCTGAGCACATTTTCAGTTTTGTAAGATGAAAAAGTTCTGAAAATTGGTTGTACAACGTGAATATGGTAAACACTACTGAACTGTGTACTTAAAAATGGTGAAGATGGTAAATGTTATGATACATGTGTTTGGCAATTAAAATTTTTTTGTTAGGGCCAGGCGCGGTGGCTCGCACCTGTAATCCCAGCACTTTGGGAGGGAGAGGAGGGAGGATCACTCGAGCCTAGCAGTTCAAGAGTAGCCTGGCCAACATGGCAAAACCTGTCTCTGCTAAAAATACAAAAATTAGTTGGTACGTTGGTGGGCAACTGCAGTCCCAGCTACTCAGGAGGCTGAGGCACGATAATTGCTTGAACCCGGGAGGCAGAGGCTGCAGTGAGCCGAGATTGTATCACTGCACTCCAGCCTGAATGACGGAGGGAGATTCTGTCTCAAAAATAATAATAATAATAATAATAAATAAATAAATGAAGCACTGTCCCACATATTAGAAGGCTTCTAGCCATCACAGCCCCTGCTGTCTAAAGATACGCATGTGTATACCTAAATGCACACACACACATAAAAAAAGGTCAAGAGGATATAAATTCAGGTGCTAAAATAATAATCACTGACTAGTGAGTATATTTTTATTTTCTTTTTTGTTTGTCTATATTTTCCAATTTTCTTCATGCATATTTTTTGCTTTTGTAATAATAAAGCTCTTTTCCCAAGTTACGGTCATAAAACACAAATAAATAAGAAAGAAATGATAGGTAGTGAGGAAGTCAATGCAGAGGGCCAACAACTCTTGGAAAATTTGAAAGCAAAAGGAGATGGAGTTGTATCTAAAAGACATCGCTGAGTCTAGAGTACCTCTTTCTGTGGCGGCGAGTCCTCTGAAAATCTGGTGGGGAGAGTGGATGAAGCTTCTGCCCTCAGAGAAATGAGAATATGTAAAGTTGAAGTTTTGCATATCATTTTAGGTGGTGATGGAACTTCCTAAAACCCTTTCGTGACCTCAGGTTGGAGACCTCCAGTCCAGATATTTTTGTGTGTTTACTTATTTAGCTTATTTGTTTATTTTTAAACACACTGGGTGAAGAAAGGAGCCAGTGGAAAAACCAAGATTGAAAGTACAAGAAAGAGGAGAAATTTACACTAATATGGACTTCCAGATGAGGCTGTGATTTTGATACACACATAAATCAATACAGTAGATTTTAAATTGTCTATCATAGGATGGGCATGGTGGCTCATGCCTATAATCCCAGCACTTTGGGAGGCCAAGGCAGGCAGATCACCCGAGGTCAGGAGTTCAAGACCAGCCTGGCCAACATGGCAAAACCCCGTCTCTACTAAAAATACAAAAATTAGCCAGGCGTGGTGGTGCACGCCTGTAATCCCAGCTACTCTGGAGGCTGAGGCAGGAGAATCGCTTGAACTCGGGAGGCGGAGCTTACAGTGAGCTGAAATCAATCCACTGCACTCCAGCCTGCGCGACAGAGGAAGACTCTGTCTGAAAAATAATTAATAAATTAATAAATAAATATAATTGTCTATCAGAGAATGCTTTTATGTGGTCCCGTGTGAGGTGAAGGAAGGCAAACTAAAACAGCGTGAGGACCTTCTGGTTTCATGATCCCACATCTTTATGTGGGAAGATTAGAATCCTAAGAATATGTATGCATTTTCAAAAAGATACTGTTTGTTTTAACATTTTTTTCATCTTTTTGCAGAAGTTTAGCAATGGCGTCTTTCTCTGCTGAGACCAATTCAACTGACCTACTCTCACAGCCATGGAATGAGCCCCCAGTAATTCTCTCCATGGTCATTCTCAGCCTTACTTTTTTACTGGGATTGCCAGGCAATGGGCTGGTGCTGTGGGTGGCTGGCCTGAAGATGCAGCGGACAGTGAACACAATTTGGTTCCTCCACCTCACCTTGGCGGACCTCCTCTGCTGCCTCTCCTTGCCCTTCTCGCTGGCTCACTTGGCTCTCCAGGGACAGTGGCCCTACGGCAGGTTCCTATGCAAGCTCATCCCCTCCATCATTGTCCTCAACATGTTTGCCAGTGTCTTCCTGCTTACTGCCATTAGCCTGGATCGCTGTCTTGTGGTATTCAAGCCAATCTGGTGTCAGAATCATCGCAATGTAGGGATGGCCTGCTCTATCTGTGGATGTATCTGGGTGGTGGCTTTTGTGATGTGCATTCCTGTGTTCGTGTACCGGGAAATCTTCACTACAGACAACCATAATAGATGTGGCTACAAATTTGGTCTCTCCAGCTCATTAGATTATCCAGACTTTTATGGAGATCCACTAGAAAACAGGTCTCTTGAAAACATTGTTCAGCCGCCTGGAGAAATGAATGATAGGTTAGATCCTTCCTCTTTCCAAACAAATGATCATCCTTGGACAGTCCCCACTGTCTTCCAACCTCAAACATTTCAAAGACCTTCTGCAGATTCACTCCCTAGGGGTTCTGCTAGGTTAACAAGTCAAAATCTGTATTCTAATGTATTTAAACCTGCTGATGTGGTCTCACCTAAAATCCCCAGTGGGTTTCCTATTGAAGATCACGAAACCAGCCCACTGGATAACTCTGATGCTTTTCTCTCTACTCATTTAAAGCTGTTCCCTAGCGCTTCTAGCAATTCCTTCTACGAGTCTGAGCTACCACAAGGTTTCCAGGATTATTACAATTTAGGCCAATTCACAGATGACGATCAAGTGCCAACACCCCTCGTGGCAATAACGATCACTAGGCTAGTGGTGGGTTTCCTGCTGCCCTCTGTTATCATGATAGCCTGTTACAGCTTCATTGTCTTCCGAATGCAAAGGGGCCGCTTCGCCAAGTCTCAGAGCAAAACCTTTCGAGTGGCCGTGGTGGTGGTGGCTGTCTTTCTTGTCTGCTGGACTCCATACCACATTTTTGGAGTCCTGTCATTGCTTACTGACCCAGAAACTCCCTTGGGGAAAACTCTGATGTCCTGGGATCATGTATGCATTGCTCTAGCATCTGCCAATAGTTGCTTTAATCCCTTCCTTTATGCCCTCTTGGGGAAAGATTTTAGGAAGAAAGCAAGGCAGTCCATTCAGGGAATTCTGGAGGCAGCCTTCAGTGAGGAGCTCACACGTTCCACCCACTGTCCCTCAAACAATGTCATTTCAGAAAGAAATAGTACAACTGTGTGAAAATGTGGAGCAGCCAACAAGCAGGGGCTCTTAGGCAATCACATAGTGAAAGTTTATAAGAGGATGAAGTGATATGGTGAGCAGCGGACTTCAAAAACTGTCAAAGAATCAATCCAGCGGTTCTCAAACGGTACACAGACTATTGACATCAGCATCACCTAGAAACTTGTTAGAAATGCAAATTCTCAAGCCGCATCCCAGACTTGCTGAATCGGAATCTCTGGGGGTTGGGACCCAGCAAGGGCACTTAACAAACCCTCGTTTCTGATTAATGCTAAATGTAAGAATCATTGTAAACATTAGTTCTATTTCTATCCCAAACTAAGCTATGTGAAATAAGAGAAGCTACTTTGTTTTTAAATGATGTTGAATATTTGTCGATATTTCCATCATTAAATTTTTCCTTAGCATTGTCTAAGTCTTCCAGATTCCATTTAAAACCATTTCTTGTTCTCCTACGTGAGTGAAAGATGATCATATATCCTAATGCTTTGTTGTCGTGTGGTGTTGATGGTTTTAAACGAAAAGAAAGTGCAAAAAGAAAATGCCTGTGAAGACAAGAAGCCATGAGACTGAGTCTGGAGCATAGGGTTATGCAATGATGCCTGTCCCTGGGAACACCCCTGGGTACAGGATATAGAAATTTCCACTATTACATAGAGTTTCCACTATTACAACTAAATAAGCATCTATTGTGTGAAAACTGACTCATGAAATGTTATGAAAGCTGTGGTTTGGGGAGTTCTGTTTCTTCTAACTGCCTACCGGTTGGGCACCTATTTTCCACTCCTCTTCCTAAGCTCCTTAATTTCCTTATTACTCCCCAGCCTCCAAATCTTCCACATCAGACTTTGTGCCTCAAACAACCTCTAATTTCGTAAGATTCTAGTTACTCCCTTCCTCTTGCTCCAAATGAATACTTTCTAAGAAAGTATTTCAAGTGGAAGGAGAAAGAGGGTGGAGGATGGAGCAGCAATTCTTCTACTCTCTGCAACTGAGTACCCTACCAGGCTTGCCATCACATTTTAAAACATGACGACAGGCAACTTACATGCCAAAATTACCAAATATATCTTCTGGGTTTTTTAAATCCTTTTCTTTGCCAAAGTAATACATGCACATAGTTTTAAAATAATTTAATAAGGTATATAATGAAATATGAGGTCTCCTACCTCACTGTGCCCAAAAGTTCCCTCCTCCCACTCTCATTTCCCAGAGATAATCCTTGCACAATTTTAGATGTTTCCTTTGATAATTATCATGATGTTTCTAAATCATGTGCTTATGCTGCTCTTTTCTGGAGGCATGATAAAACGACTTCTTGTTTTGAAAGATGAAGATGTTTATCCAAGCACCCCATATTTTTAATTTGTTTATCCAGCATCCCAACATTCATTAATAACCATATTTTAATTCATTCATGACCACATATTTTTCTTCTACTTTGTCTATACACTCCAACCATTTATATAGCTTTCCTTCTGTCCCTTTTTCATTTAAAACAAAATTACCTAACTCCCTACCACCTTCTCATTTTTCTGTATATATAAATGTTTGTGTCAAACGTCTGAAATTTCTGGCTTGTTTGTATCACAACGTGGCCTCATCTAAACCAAATACAATGATGTAGTCTAAAAACAGAAAATGACATGTGTTTTAGACCTGCAAGACACTATCTGTTCAATGGCTGAGGTGAGGGTCTGGACTACAGATTTTTTATAAAGTATATGCAGAAAAATTACAAATCACTAGGAATTCTTTCAGTTGTGAAGAATGTCTGACATAAGATTTGAAGTGCTACCTTTCCAGCTTATATATTAATTTGCTTATATATTTGATATGAATAAATGCTTTTTTTCTCATGGGTCCTTGCGAGGCTCAGAGATTTATGAATCCTTTTGTTTCACATTCAGAATATATCACATCTCTAAATATGCAGCAAATAAGTCTCCTAGTGAGTGACTATAGACTTGCTATAATAGCAATTAGCCAGGCTTCCAGAAACCCCAGCACATCCCATAAGACCCTGGGAATAAGACCTAAACTCCTGGGGTTAGTGTATAGGATATCAAGGTGAATAATCTTGACGCAGTTATAAAGATTTAATGTACAACGAGTAATCAGCATTTCTGGACTCCTTTTCTTTTCCATTTGCTTTGGAAATGTATTCTGAAGAAATTCCTACAATTAGAGCTCCCTCATTTCTGATGAAAACCTGGTGAGTACCTGTAACTATTTTGTACTGTATCTTCTCCAGGAAGTCCCAGATGGGAACACAGCTCCTGTCCAAAGTATAATATCTTTTCTTTTTTTTTTTGAGATGAAGTATCACTCTGTAGCCCAGGCTAGAGCACAGTGGCACACTTGGCACGATCTCAGCTCACTGCAACCTCCACCTCTCGGGTTCAAGCAATTCTTCTGCCTCAGCCTCTCAAGTAGCTGGGATTACAGGCGCCTGCCACCACACCCGGCTAATTTTTGTATTTATAGTAGAGATGAGGTTTCACCATGTTGGCCAGGCTGGTCTCGAACTCCTGACCTTGTGATCTGCCCACCTCGGCCTCCCAAAGTGCTGGGATTACAGGTGTGACCCACCGCGCCCAACCAATATCTTTTCTTTTTGAGAGAGAGTTTCGTTCTTGTCACCCAGGCTGGAGTGCAACAGTGCAGTCTTGGCTTACTATAACCTCCGCCTTCCAGGTTCAAACGATTCTCCTGCCTCAGCCTCCAGAGTAGCTGGGATAACAGGCATGCACCACCACGCCCGGCTAATTTTGTGTTTTTAGTAGAGACGGGGTTTTACCATGTTGGTCAGGCTGAGCTCGAACTCCTGACCTCAGGTGATCTGCCTGCCTCGGCCTCCCAAACTGCTGGGATTATAGGCATGAGCCACCACGCCCAGCCCCAAAGTATAATATCTTAAATCTTTAAACTATCCTAAAATGCAAGCAAGGTGGGCCTACTCCATATACCAACCTACAAGGGGTGACTGACTCTCCCGCAATATGTCATCATACTTGATAGCATTTGAAAAGAGGCACGTTAAGGACGTGCCTTTGATTCTTCTTTCCCACCAAGGTCACAAAACGTGTCAGGGTCAACTAATTCAACCCAGTGGTGGAAGGTGGAAGAGGAATAAAGACGAACTGAGACTAAATTCTTTCACGTTTCTCTTTTCCTTCCCTGGCCAAAAGAAACTTGAGACCACTACCAGTAAGATAAAACTGTAAACATTCTTTTTTTTTTTTTATTAAGAAAGCATGCAAAAAAACAATGACAACAACTTGTGAGACCATATACCCCCTTCCCAGGATGCAGCAATGCAAAGCATTATGGGTGGTGGCACAAAGGACTCACCAAACCAGAAACATGAGGAGCAGGGACTGAGGAGAGAAAGGTTGGGATGGGTGGATCTATACCAAATAATTACTCCTTTTGTCCCTCTCCTCCACTTTCTCTCTTATTTCCTCTTATAGGCAGTGAGCTTCTGCAGTTTTGCACACATCACCCAATACAACAATAATGACTACACTTTGTGTCCAGCAATGCTAGACCAACAAGAAAAAGTAGTATTCTTTTCATTTCATGAAGGGGAGGGGAAACTGAGGCCCAAAGGGAGTCAGGTTTGCCCTGTGCCACGTAGCAAGACTGGGCTTGGTGGAAGGGAGCTGGAATCTCAGGAGGCCTAATGGCCAATCTCCAGTCCCAGACCCAAACTTCAGCTACCCTGGCTGCACGCCAGAATTCTTCATGAGACTAGTTTGCAGAAGACACAGATGAACAAGGGGCATTTGCATGTATGATCCTACCCTTGCAAATCCTGTATGGATCTGAACAGGAAAAGGGTTTAGAAAAGAGAAGTGATCATTTACAAATGGGGAATATTGAGGAGAACTGATGGGAAGTTTTGTATAGGACACACCCTGACTGGAAGGAATAAGGAAGGAAAAGATGCCTAAAATAGGGACACTGGGCAAAGGCATTTTGCCACCCTCTAAGAGAAATTCTCCTTTCCCCAATGGGAAATATTATGTCATACTTCAACCCCACTAAGTGCCCTCCAACATCATGGGAGATTCAAGCCACTCGCACCCCCATTTCTTTCTTAGAAAGGCTTCAAAGAAATAAAGTGCTCTTTAGTTAACTGCCCTATCTTGCCCCTTTACTTCAGCCTCACTGGACTTCTTCAATGAACTCTCATATATAACCCCCTTCCAAAAAAAGGAAAGGGGTGGATGAAAGAAAAAAGCAGGAGAGCGGAACGCCAAACCTCTTGGAAATTATGGGTAAATAAAATAATATGCATGAAAAGCAGAAATCACAAAGAAAGTGGCCTTGTCTATTCCATACATTTTGTCCCACAGCTTTTCAGCAAGTGAAATAAGGACAGAAGTAAAATTGTTCTTCCCTCTCGTAACTAAAATTCAACAATCAACATTAAATATACACTGAGTACTTTGCAACAGTAAGTCATGGCCACCCCTTGTAAAAGAGATGAGTTAGCTCCATACCTTTTTCTGGGGGTCCCCCTTGGCCCTCACTGAACTCTTGCCTCTAGATTATTTACTCTCCTCCACCAATCTCCTTCACCCCTCAAAGCCTACTTGCAAAAGCTTCAGCCAGATGATCTGGATTCCAAGAGAAGCATCTGCCTATATATTTAAAGAACTAAAATATTCCCTATCCATTTCTTTGCCAGCTCTTTTTTCCTCTCCCCATCCTCCTACCACCAACACTAAAGGTTTGGCTCTGCTATGAGAGGTGGGAATGAGATTCCCATCATGTCTCAGGGCACGACGAAACTCAGAGTGATAATGGGTTACTTTTTCTTTCTTGAGAATCCCAGAAAATGAGGGAAGAAAAAAGATGGGTGGAAGATTTGGGCAAACAATTAAAGGAGGACAAACTAATATTTGCTGAATGGGAAAAAGGGATGGGAAGATCATTCGTAAATGCAAATAAGAGCCACAATTAATTTTCAGAGAAAATTATGTTTAAAAAGCCAAAATAGTTAAGTTGGAATCATCTCCAAGAAGCTAAAACCATGCTGAATAGTTGTCCTCATGCCCTACCATAGAAGCAGAGTTTGGGCTAAAACCAATCCTATCTTCTTAGAGAACAGGCTCAAAACAAGCCAATGGACACTGATGTAACATGGCAGTGTATACTCAGTTTCACACTGACTTATATTCCATCCCTTCCAATGGTCTCCAATTCCACTAGGATTTTATTGTCACCCTCCTGCACCACCATCATCACTTTCACCCTTGATAGGAAATACAGACTGGCAGAAGTAAGGATTGAAGGTATAAAGGGACAAGGAAGACCTCAGAGGACAGAATTAGCACCATTTTAAAACCTCCAAATTCTTGGCTGCCAAGTAATGTTTCAGACCCTTTCTACTTGGTAATGTGGCCTCTCCAGTCCTGGCCTGAAACTGATGGGAACAAAAAACAATTTAGGGCCAAAAGGTGGGATTAGCATTGAGTTTCTCCAAGAGAAAGGTAAACTGGAGTCTAAAACCTTTCTCTGTAGCTATCATGGCTTCATCTTCCAGCCTGATGATTTTAAATTAGCAAAAGGTGGACATGATCCATGATGTAGGGACAGGAGACTATGGACAGTATATAACCAATAATAATAATAATAATATAAGAATAATAATAAAAGAACTAGGAAAAAACAGGAAGGAAGAGAGAAGAATGAGGCAGGAAAGAGAGGGTTATCTTCGGCAGCATCTTGCAGTGGCTTCTCTGACAGAGAAAGAACAAAAAGAGGATATATGTCTATATACAGACGGGGGGAAGGGACGGGCTGGGGTTGCTCTTTCCCCACTGCCAGATTTCACCACGCGGCCCTGGGCTGATGTCCACACTCTGTGATGCACTAAGTGATCAAGTCCCAGTCGAAGTCATCAGGGATCTCCTCATTGGCACCAGGAGGTGGCACTGATGGCCGAGGGACCATATGGTGTGCTGTTAGAAAGAAAGAAAGAGAGTAAAAGGAGAGTGGATGGGAAGCTGTTCCCTCAATTTACAAGGACAGTGCTCAGCCCCAGATAACACCACGAAGAAGGCCTTGTGAGGCTATCGCCCTTATCAGCTGGAGTTAATTTTGGTTGCAGGTCACCATTTCAGTGAGGTCTCAGGAAATAAACTAGAGTAAATTACATTCCACAGCAATTAAATATTATGCTGCCATTAACAATTATACTTCTGACGCCAGGCACAGTTGCTCACACTTGTTATCCCAGCACTTTGGGAGGCCAAGGCAGGCGGATCACGAGGTCAGGAATTCGAGACCAGCCTGGCCAACATGGAGAAACCCCATCTCTACTAAAAACTCAAAAAATTAGCTGGGTGTGGTCACATGTGCCTGTAGTCCCAGCTACTCGGGAGGCTGAAGCAGGAGAATGGCATGAACCCGGGAGGTCTTGCAGTGAGCTAAGACCGTGCCATTGCACTCCAGCCTGGGCGATAGAGCGAGACTCCGTCTCAAAAAAAAAAAAAAATTGTACTTCTGAAAACATATGATAATGATAAAATAACATACAGAAGATAATATCATATGGCTGGGCGTGGTGGCTCATGCCTATAATCCCAGCACTTTGAGAGGCCGAGATGGGTGGATCACTTGAGGTCAGGAGTTCTAGACCAGACTGGCCAACATGGTGAAACCCTGTCTCTACTAAAAAATAAAAATTAGCCAGGCACAGTGGCGGGCGCCTGTGATCCCAGCTGCTCGGGAGGCTGAGGCTCGAGAATCACTTGAACCTGGGAGGCGGAGGTTGCAGTGAGCCAGGATCACACCATTGCCTACTGCACTCCAGCCTGGGCAACAGAAAAAGACTCTGACTCAAACAAACAAACAGAAGATAATATCACATGAAATAGCAGTATAGAAATCTGTATTTATATTATATGGACAAAGAATAGAGAGAGTCAGATGTCACCCCCAAAATTGAAAACACGTGTGGTTAGGCAGAATAACAGTGATTTTTCTATGTGTCTAAATGTGAAGGACCTGTTCATTTTGTTCTGTCTGTGGCAATTTAGTGTCTCCCTGCCCCACCCCCACTATCAGAGATACTTCAGTCCCAGACCCCTGATTCTAGAGATCAGGTGACAGGAAAGCAGACATGGGCACACAGCAAGTATGTGTGGATAACAAATTCATTTTATTTGCCTGAGCACATCTTCCATCTAGATTCCAAAGCCACACAAAAATGTTGCACATAGCTATCTTTTGCTTATATGTATGCTTTCACTTCCTTTTACTATTGCAGTTGCTAATTTTAAAGTACATCTAGCCGGGGCCAGTGGATCACGCCTGTAATCCCAGCACTTTGGGAGGCAGAGGCAGGTGGATCACTTGTGGTCAGGAGTTCAAGACAAGCCTAGCCAACATGGCAAAACCCCGTCTCTACTAAAAATACAAAAATTAGCCAGGCATGGTGGTGTGGGTCTGTAGTCCCAGCTAGTTGAGAGGCTCAAGCAGGAGAATCATTTCAACCCAGGAGGTGGAGGTTGTAGTGAGCTGAGATCGCACCACTGTACTCCAGCCTGGGCAACAGAGCGAGACTCTGTTGAAAAGAAAAGAAAAGGGGAAGGGAAAGGGAAGGGAAGGGAAGGGGAAGGGGAAGGGAAGGGAAAGGGAATGGAAGGGAAGGGGAAAGGAAGGGCAAGGGAAGGGGAAGGGGAAGGAAAGGGAAGGGAAGGGAAAGGGAAGGGGAAGGAAAGGGAAGGGAAGGGGAAGGGAAGGGAGGGGAAGGGAAGAGGAAAGGAAGGGGAAGGGAAGGGGAAGGGGAAGGGAAGGGGAAGGAAAGGGAAGGGAAGGGGAAGGGAAGGGGAAGGGAAGGGGAAGGGAAGGGGAAGGGAAGGGAAGGGGAAGGGAAAGGAAGGGAGGGGAAGGGAGGGGAGGGGACACTGTCTTCGTTAGTCTCCCCGACACACACCTTCTTAGCAGGTAACCCATCCTCCAGCCTTGGGAATTATAAAGGCTCATTCCCTCCAGCGAGATGCAGGCAAAAATGCACAGAATGCCAGCTCAGAGTCAAAGGAAAGCAAAGCAACTCATCAGAGTACAACGGTTTTGAAACAAGCTTCTTAGCTCTTACCTGGGCGATTGTATCCTGCTGAGTCCTGGGTGGGGATTGGGTACATTGGTGATGGGCCAGGGTAGAGGTGGGGAGCTTGTGGGTGCCCATAAGAGTTCACTGCCAAAGCAAGACAAGAGTTACTTGAGTTGGGGGGGGCGGGTCACTGTACTCAACAAAGCAGGGAAGAAAAAAATATACCCTTGCTCCCATCCTCCTTCTCTCTTCCCTGCCCTGTTCTGTAGCTCCTGCAGGCATGAAGGCTTTCTGCAGAAGCTGTCAGTCCTCACCACTGAGGGTAAAAAGAAATGGATAGTACAATTGTGAAATAGGAAAGATATAAGGAAGAAAAATATAGAAACACAGGGCCAGGTATGGTGGCTCATGCCTGTAATCCCAACACTTTGGGCAGCCGAGGTGGGTAGATCCCTTGAGTCCAAGAGTTTGAAGATAGCCTGGGCGACACGGTGAAACCCCAGCTATACACAAAATACAAAAAAAAAATTAGCTGGGCATGGTGGTACACACCTGTAGTCCCAGCTACTCAGGAGGCTAAAGTGGGAGGATCACCTGAGCTCCAGGGGTCAAGGTTGCAGTGAGCCGTGATCACACCACTGCACTCCAGAGCCTGGGCGACAGAGCGAGACCCCATCTCAAAAACAAAAAGCAAGAAACAGGAACATAATCATGACATCTCTCTCATTTCACTAGTTTGAACATCACATAAGCATAGAACCACCATTTCATCCGGTATCACCCAGGCGGTAGGGATTACTGAGACGCAAATTTAAAATACAGCCTTTCTCTAACAAATCTCCTCCCTTTTCTTAAACAATTCTGATCTCCCAAACTGAGGTCTAAAAAGGAATCATACAGTCTATTTCTTTTGCATTTTTCAGTTTAGGACTTCACTGATTCAACAGATATTCAGTCAACTGATAAACTAGTTCCACTGCTCAATTTGGGTCACTGCCCCATAAAATCCTTTCTCTCAGTTCTCTTTTGCCTTTCTCCTATGCTTCCTTTTCAACATAGTCTCCACCTCCATGGCAACTGGCTTGGTGCAGTACCTTGGCTCATGGCTGACTCCTGTTTGCCACTGGTGAGGGCACAGGAGTCAGCAATACGGGCAGGGGCTGGTGGGCGGTGGGTACCCCCTTGAGGGGGCACGTGACCAGTCTGAGTAAGGAAGTGGTTGAGGGAGTCACACAGATTGGCAATGTGATGCTGGTCGAGGGTCCAGTTCTTCTGCTCTGCCTGTCGTAGACTCTCCATCAGTTCTACAAAGAGGGAAGCAAGCAATGCAAACCTTGCAGAGGTAGGAAGCCCCTATCAGACCCCGCCCTATCTCACTGTTCCAAACACACCATCAATCACCCCCACTGATAACGGGCACTAACAATAACAATTTATATCTTTCAGAGCTCTGCATTTTCAAACTCTCATTCTATTTGATCCCTTACCAAATTCTTATAATTGCCATCTTACTGATGAGTAAGATAAACTTTCAATGTGACTGAGTGACTCAGCCAAGGTCACACTGTCAGTGAGTGGTGACAAAACTACAAAATCGTGGTCCACGGTCTCTAAATTCCTGAGGGCCTTCTCCCTCCCAAAGACAGAATGGACTAGGATTATTCACTGCCACATTTTCAGTTAAGACAAGATTAATTTGAGTTAATTTGAAAATAATGTAAATATGATCCATCTTGTGTAAAAAGAAAGAAAAACAATGAAATCCTCATTTCTGCAACTTCATTTAACCACCCCCTTCCGGTTCCAGTTTCTACTGGGTTTTCCCTTACAGTGTATCCCTCTCTTCCTTCGTCCTTTGATCACTAACCTGAGAATTGTGACTGCTCAATGCTGGACCAATTGAGCCGATTCACCATCTTGAAGCTTTCCTTTAAAGAGTCAATATTAGAGCACCAGTCAGAAGGAAAGGCTGTAAAGAGGAGGGGAAAGTGGATAATAAGATAGAGTGAAGTGTAAGACAGCAGTCAACTGATACCAGGCTGACTACATGCAAGATTCTTGCATCTATACAGATTAGCAGTTGCATTTCCAAGTTTTGGACTCTCCCTCCCTGGGAGTTTAGGACTGGAAAAGCTAGCTACGCTTTAAGTACAGCCAGGCTCATAGTCAGGAGAATATGTAAAACAATCTCAATTGATCCAGGAATTCTATAAGACAGAGCTCTAAGTAGTAACTTTGTTCAGATTAGCTCACATGAAGGAGCGAAGCCTAAAAGACCCATCATTAACTTCCTAACTAACTGCACCTCCATGCCGGTGTTAGGACAAGGACATCACCCCACCCTCCTCTAGATCACTGTGCACCCTCCTTACTCACCAAAGCCAGTGTTGTTGATGGGAGCCTGGCCTTGTGCCTGTGGCTGTGGAGGTGGTGGCTGCTGGGCAGGGTGGGAGTGGGGATGGTGCTGATGAGGGTGGTAGCCTCCATGCTGCAGCGGGGGTGGATGCATGGCCATTACAGGGGGAGGCCCATAGCCTTCCGCCCCAGCTTGCTTTCCCCCTGGTGGGGTACAACCATCTGTGCTTGGGGTGTGCAGTGGAGGAGCACCCCCTACAGCTGAGGGGCCCTGGGCAGGTGCCTGCTGCTGCTGTGGCTGGGACTGCTGGGGAGGTGGCTGTGGCGGCTGCTGCTGCTGCTGCTGCTGTTGAGGTGGCGGTGGCTGCTGCTGCTGATACATGTAGTAGTTGTTCGAGGGTGGGATGTCCCCCAGGAGAGAAGAAAAGCCTGCAGGTGGGGAGGAAGCAGGCAAGTGACTTAAGCAATGCATTTTTCACAAAATGGGATTTTCCCTGGGTTGAGATGGGAAGCCTCAGACTAAAACTGTGGAGTTAAAAGGGTAAGAACATTCTAGGGCAGCAAAGATCCCTGTGGCCCTCCTGGCAGGTACAAGAGACAGGAAGGCACTTAGGTTAGAGGAGGGCCCTGACAGTGTGGAGACCACTGAAATCTTACTAAAAAGGTCAGTGTGTAGCATTTAATGCTACTTTTTAGGGATTTGGCTGAAGGCCTGAAATCACAGTTTCCCAGCAGGTGAACTTTAAAAAGGAAACCATCCCTGGTCATCTAGTGTTTAGGGAAAAAAAAAAAAGTAAATCAGAAACAAAACAAAGCCATCAGTTGTCTACTATCTCCTCTTCCTTCCGTTTTTTGTTTTTTGAGACAGAGTTTCGCTCTTGTTGCCCAGGCTGGAGTGCAATGGTGCGATCTCGGCTCACCGCAACCTCCGCCTCCCAGGTTCAAGCAATTCTCCTGCCTCAGCCTCCCGAGTAGCTGAGACTACAGGTGTGTACCACCACGCCTGGCTAATTTTGTATTTTTAGTAGAGACGGGGTTTCTCCATGTTGAGGCTGGTCTCGAGCTCCTGACTTCAGGTGATCCGCCCACTTTGGCCTTCCAAAGTGCTGGGATTACAGGCATGAGACACCACGACCGGCCCCTTATTTTCTCTACACTCTGCTACTGCCAAGTCATTCCTGTACCCTCTATAAACAAATGTAGCTTGGGTAAGGAGCAGAGACAGGATGGAGTTATTTCTCAAGCAGACAGGCTGGGAAGAACAAAAGTCTGAGACTAGGGGCTTTCGGTCACAATAAAACTTGAGTGAACTCTAGGCTGTCCTCACCCAATCTAATTTTTTACTTTATTTCTGACAGTTTCTCATGTTCCCTCCTCCAATCAACCAACCACCTGAGTCGGATTCATTTTTTGAGCAAATGCTACAGTCTTGGACACTACTCTAGGAATTGATCCCCTGTGATATACAAGAAGAAATTCATGAAAATGAATATAAGTTTTCCAAAAAGTGACTCCTAACCAGTTTTTATCATTCCATTCAGCCCCTGCTGCCAACATAGGGCTACTGCACAGAATGAGAAGGTCTAATGCCTCACCTGAAATCAACTTCACCACTGTCTCTAAGTTATTTAAAAAACGAACACACAGATATTGCAGAGGGCCGAACCAGATGTTCTCTCAAGGGGCCTCCCAGTAAAAACTTTAAGTCATTCTCATATGATAATTAGGAAAATGTGCACGGACAAGATACTAGCTGATATTAAGGATGTATTATCAATTATGTTAGGAATGATAATGTCATGGTAGATAACTAGAAGAAAGTCATCATTTAGAGGTGTATATCGAAGTTGTATTTATGAGTGGAATGACATGGTATATGTGAATTCCATTAAATTACTCCAATTTTTAGAAGGCTCAGTGGTAAACAAAACAAGCCTAATAAAATACTGATAACTTAAAGTTGGGGGATGGAACACAGGGGTTTATTATATTTTTCTCCACACTTTTGCATCTGTTTGCAATTTTTCACAATAAAAGTAACATAAATGTAAATACACTAAAAAGAAACTGTTCTCACAATGAAACGCAGGGATTCTTCAGGAGAGGGTACTGCTGCTGCCCCCTCGTGGTCGTCCTCCAAATGACTCACTTGCAGCCCTAAAATCACTGCCCTTAGTCCTGGAAGGGGCAATCCTCCAATTCACTTTCTGAAGCTATTAGCCTAGCTTGCCTCCTGAAACAGCTGTATTTGCACAAGGACAGATGAGCTCACTTGACTCCAAACAGTTTTAGTTCATGAAATATTTCCTCTGAGTAGTGATACCTCTCTTTGTGTTAAAAATAAGAAATATGGGTCAGGCACAGTGGCTCACGCCTGTAATCCCAGCACTTTGGGAGGCTGAGGTAAGTGGATCACCTGAGGTCAGGAGTTCAAGACCAGCCTGGCCAACGTGGTGAAACTCCGTCTCTACTAAGAAATATAAAAATTAGCCAGGCGTGGTGGCGGGAGCCTGTAATCCCAGCTAATTGGGAGGCTGAGACAGAAGAATTGCTTGAACCTGGGAGGCGAAGGTTGCAGTGAGCCGAGATCGCGACACTGCTCTCTAGCCTGAGCAACAAAGAGCGAAACTGTGCCTCAAAAAAATAAAGAAAGAAATATGGCCGGGCACGGTGGCTCACGCCTGTAATCCCAGCACTTTGGAAGGCCAAGGTGGGTGGATCACTTGAGGCCAGGAGTTCGAGACCAGCCCAGCCAACGTGGTGAAACCCTGTCTCTACTAAAAATACAAAACTTAAGCCAGGCACAGTGACTCATGCCTGTAATTCCAACACTTTGGGTGGCCAAGGCAGGCAGATCACCTGAGGTCAGGAGTTCGAGACCAGCCTGGCCAACATGGTGAAACCCTGTCTCTACTAAAAGTACAAAAATTAGCTGGGTGTGGCATGCGCCTGTAGTCTGAGCTACTCGGGAGGCTGAGGAAGGAGAATTGCTTGAACCCGGGAGGCGGAGGTTGCAGTGAGCCGAGATTGCGCCACTGCACTCCAGCCTGGGCGACAAGAGCGAGACTCCATCTCAAAAAAAAAAAAAAAAATACAAAAATTAGCCAAGCGTGGTAGCACGTGCCTGTACTCCCAGATACTCGAGAAGTTGAGATGACAGAATTGCTTGAACCCGTGAGGCGGAGGTTGCAGTGAGCTCAGATCGTGCCACTGCACTCCAGCTTGGACGAAAGAGTGAGACCCTGTCTCACAAAAAATAAAAATAAAAAACTAAGGGAAAAAAGAAAATGTCACCCCACTTGTTCAACAAGATAAAAAAGTCTCCCTGCACCCATCCCAACTCCAGACTCACCGTGCTGAGAGGAGGAAGAGGACTTCTCCAGCATGGACTTATAGAGGTTGCGGAAGGACCAGCTTAGATCCTGAAAGTTGATCTCTGAGTAGGAGAATTTAAAGTCATGGTTGGTGTTATAGAGGGGAGGGGGACCCTCAGCACTTTCTCGGCCTGAAGCCCCTGCTGCCACTGCTCCACCATCCACAGATCCTGTGCCCTGCAAAAACAGGTAAGAAATTCCTGATCAGTGTCCCAGCTGAGGGACCAATAAAACCCTTCAATGGTCACCAGGCTCTCCTGTCTGTCCTCTTCATCCTCGCCTAGCTCTTCAATGACCCAGCATCATTTTCTCCTTCTTTCCTCATTAGTTCTTATCTTGAATCTACCCTCTTTCTCTCATCAGTCTCCATTTCTTCTTTTTTGTTTGTTTGTTTGTTTCTGAGGCAGGGTCTCGCTCTGTCGCCCAGGCTCCACCTCCCCGGTTCAAGTGATTCTCATGCCTCAGCCTCCCAAGTAGCAGGAACTATAGGCACATGCCACCACGCCCAGCTAATTTTGTATTTTTGTAGAGATGGGGTTTTGGCATGTTGGATAGGCGGGTCTCAAGCTCGTGGACTCACGTGATCCGCCTGCCTCGACCTCCCAAAGTGCTGACATTACAGGCATGAGCCACTGTGCCCAGCTTTTTTTTCCTGATGTTTCTCAAAGTTCTGCTATGCCTTTCTATTTCTCTCTCTCTCTATTTCCCTCTTTTGCCTTCCCCTTCCTTCTCAATTTATCTGCCTCATATATCACAGATACTCAATACATAATTCTGAATAAACAGGGAGACATCTGAATCTATTCACCACCCATCCCATGACCCCTGCCATATCTGCTTCCTACCTGGCTGTAGCTGGCTATAGATGTGGGGCTCTGAAGTGACATCTGCGGATTCCCCTCAGGAGGCAGTGAGGCTTCTCCACTCCCTGCAACGCCTCCCCGTGGGCTCTTGCTTGCCTCCTGTTCTGGTGAGTCTTGGGACAGCTGAGGGTTGTGAAAAAAAAGAAATCTATAAGCAGAGGCGCAATATCCTCCCAAGACCCATGGTTTCCCCTCTGCTGGTATTCCTTCCACCTTTGCCTCTGAAAGGACTGAACGTCCATAAGAGGAGGTGGAAGGAGCAGCTGGCTCAGATATGGCATCTCCTCATGAGCTGGGAACTTACATCATCATCTGGAGGGTGTCTTCTCTTTCGGGAAATGTCAGGGCAGGTGTCAATTGTCCAATAGGAACCCTGGAAGGAGATCCCATTCCCACAGAAAACAAAATTGTTACATTCAGAACCTCCCAGGGTTCTGGGTATTAATGAAGAGCAAATTTGTCCTAGAAACTCACTGAGTATGCCAGAGGTAATCCTGTGGTCCAAACACAGGCCTCGATTGTTTTGGAGGGGCAGAACAATGGCATCTAGCTCAAAGAGCTGGAAATGTCCAGACACAGCCTCTCCCTTCCCTTCTGACCTGAGGCAAAACTTGCTTGGACTTTAGCATCCACATCTGTCAAATGGAGAGAATGATCCATCCCTTCTCTTTTACGGGGGAAACACCAGGGACTTTTGTATAGAGATGTTTGTACAAAGGTTATTAAGTCTACCTTTTACATCTAGGAAAAAAGAGTGCCACACAAAAAAGGGGGAGCATGAAAGTCAACTTTACACTAAGTATTTCTATTTTTTTAAAAAAAAGATTTCACAGTCTTTTTTTTTTTTTTTTTTTTTGAGATGGAGTTTCACTCTTGTTGCCCAGGCTGGAGTGCAATGGCACAATCTCAGCTCACTGCAACCTCTGCCTCCCAGGTTCAAGCAATTCTCCTGCCTCAGCCTCCTGAGTAGCTGGGATTACAGGCATGTACCACCACGCCTGGCTAATTTTTTGTATTTTTAGTACAGATGGGGTTTCACCATGTTGACTAGGCTGATCTTGAACTCCTGACCTCAGTTGATCCGCCCGCCTCGGCCACCTAAAGTGTTGGGATTACAGGCATAAGCCACCACGCCTGGCCTCACAGTCTTTCTCAGTCACCCATTCTACTGGGGGCCCATAAGCTTGACAACCAAGCTTCCTCTGAGAAAAAAATAAAGATGCTTCTCTAATTAGCATGATTTCCTCTTCTGGGTAATTAAAACAGCCACAGGACTCTGGACTGTCAACTACTTCACTCTCCTTCCTACTCCTCCTTTCAATGCTTACAGTAGTATCTTACCTTCCCAGGGTCATCCCGAGGTCTGGGCACCTTCCGGAAACACTTGTTGAGAGAAAGGTTGTGCCGTATTGAATTCTGGAGAGGCAGAGAAGCAAGTTAGGCCTGAGCATTATGCAGAGCAGAACATTTTCCAATAGAACACAGAGGGACACACAAAAAAACATAATACACCATGCAGTTGAAGTATCAGGGTAAGCTCAGTACCTCTTAACTACACCGATGGAGGGAATTATGCATCAAATAGCAATAGCAATGAGATAAGAAAAATGCAGAGATTAAACTGATGGGAGGGAATGGCTATAAATTTGATTACTAATGCTTCTGAAAAAACTGATTATATAGTTTTTCAATCTTTCCAGCCGAGTAACAAGTATATAAATGCCTCACAATCACATCTGCCCAGTTCCTCAATCTACCCTACTGATAGCAAAAGAACAATGTTTTAAAACTTTTTATATAAATTGAGTGAAACAAAAACACAGATCACCTTCATTTTCTCAATAGCCCATAGAATGTTCACATTTGGAGGAAAGAAATATTGTATAAGTGTGTTGGGGTCAGGCGTGGTGGCTCACGCCTATAATTCCAACACTTTGGGAGGCTGAGGTGGGCTGATCACCTGAGGTCAGGAGTTCGAGACCAGCCTAGCCGACATGGTGAAACCCCGTCTCTACTAAAAATACAAAAATTAGCCAGGCGTGGTAGCACATGTCTGCAATCCTAGCTACTCAGGAGGCTGAGACAGGAGAATCGCTTGAACCCAGGAGGCAGTGGTGGCAGTGAGCCCAGATCATGCCACTGCACTCCAGCCTAGTGAACAAGAGCGAAACTCCGTCTCAAAAAAAAAAAAAAATGTGTGTGTTGGGTGGGATTGGGGATTATGGTAGCTAGCAGGGACATATTTACAAAGGGAAAGCTCAATGGGCCAGGCACAATGGCTCATGCCTGTAATTCCAGCATCTTGGGAGGCCGAGATGGGAAGATCACTTGAGTCTAGAAGCCTGAGGCCAGCTTGGGCAACACAGTGAGACCTCATTTCTACAAAATAAAAAAAAGTTCCTGTGCATGGTGGTGTATGCCTGTAGTCCCAGCTACTCAGGAGGCTTAGGTGGAAGGATTGCTTGAGCCCAGGTTCAAGCTGCAGTAAGCTGTGATTGTACCACTACAATCCAGCCTGGGTGACAGAGCAAGACCCTGTCTTAAAATTAAAAAAAAAAAAAAGAGAGGCTGGGTACGGTGGCTCACACCTGTAATCCCTGCACTTTGGGAGGCTGAGGCAGGAGGTGGATCATTTGAGGTCAGGAGTTCAAGACCAGCCCAGCCAACATGGTGAAACCCCGTCTCTATTAAAAATACAAAAAAAATTAGCTGGTTGCAGTGGCAGGCGCCTGTAATCCCAGCTACTCGGGAGGCTGAGGCAGGAGGATTGCTTGAACCCAGGAGGCGGAGGTTATGGTGAGCTGATATCACGCCACTAAACTCCAGTCTGGGGACAGTGAGACCCTGTCCCCCACCCCCACAAAAAAAAAAAGAAAAGAAAAGAAAGCTGAGTGCTTTCAATAGTCTCCAACTCACTACATGGTTTGTATGTCAACTGGGGATTTATAGAGTGAGAGAACTACATATAAAGTTCCTATTCCTACTCAACAATTGACAAATGAGCTACTGCTCCAAAAAATTGAGCCTATCAGCCTTCTTGCTTTGCTTAGGAGAGGAGCCCCTTCTTTCTTCATCTCCAGCCAAACAACTTAACTTCTCATTACTTGCTTGGTAGCCAGCTGTTTGTAAAGAACCTAATTATATTATGATTTTTCTTGGAATGCAGCTTTTCAAAAGATGATGACTGTGCAATGGAGCTATGGAAATCTGATGCTCTAGATTAGACTCCTACCTCTAGGTAGGAAGGAGTGATGCCATGCCTTGCACAGTGACTGGAACATCGTAGAATGGCAATAAACATTTGTGAAATGAGTGAATATCCTCTTTGAGGGATCAGAAGACAAGAGGATGTGGGCCGGGTGCAGTGGCTCATGCCTGTAATCTCAGCACTTTGGGAGGCTGAGGCGGGTGGATAATGAGATCTGGAGTTCGAGACCAGCCTGGCCAACATAGCGAAACCCTATCTCTACTAAAAATACAAAAAATCAGCCGGGCACGGTGGCGGGCACCTGTAATCCCAACTACTCAGGAAGCTGAGGCAGGAAAATCGCTTGAACCTGGGAGGTGGAAGTTGCAGTGAGCCGAGATCATGCCATTGCACCCCAGCCCAGGCGACAGTACGAGACTCTGTCTCAAAAAAAAAAAAGAAGATAAGAGGGTGTGATGAGCAACAGCGTCCTGCCATCCCCATCACTATACTTAATGGCTTGGAGTTTCCCTAATATACCTTATAAAAGTTGTTCAACTCTGAAAAAAAAGTAGAGGGCAGAACATATGAGATTTTAAGTTTTCACATCTCTGAGACAAACCAGAGTAAACTGAACAGGTTACAAGAAGAAACAAAACCTTTTTCTCTAAAAAGGCTGTTGAAGCCTAAACCTAAGCCAAGATTATAGAAGCATTCCCACCTTCCAACCAATGCCAGCATTCTTGTAATAGGGGAAGTTATCACAGATCCAGCGGTAAATCTCGCTGAGGGTCATCTTCTTGGCTGGAGAGGAGTTGATGGCATAGGTGATGAGAGTGGCATAGCTGTATCGTGGCTTGCCGTCCTGGTGCACTGCTGCCTCGTCTTTGCTCAGGGTGGCATTAGGATCTGTGGGTGACCCTGGTGAACACTTGCGGCTGCTCCCGGGAGGCCCAGCCTGGGAGGCACTTCCAAGCTTCTCAATGGTAGCTCGGAGGGTCAGCTGGGGGAGCCAGTCTATGGAGGTGAGGCTACTCTCTAGGTCAGAAGCCATGGTACTTCTGGGTTCTGCAGAGAAGACAAAGAGGAGACGAAAATACTGGGGGCAAGTAATACTCAAATCCTTTTGTTTGAGGGAAGTAGAGTTTCTTCCTACTCTCATTCCCATAAGACACCCATGGCATGGCCTTCCACCAGGTGTTCCCAGAATCCCCAAGCAGATCTATCTACCAGATGATGGACTGCTAGTTACCCTACATCTTATTGTGGAGCAGGGCCAAGGGGCCTCTCCATGTAAGACTAAAAGAGACCAAACTTCACACCAAATGGAGCTATTTCCTCAATTCACCTTACTCATAGCCCTACAACATAGTATTTTTAAACTATGTAGGAATGGGTTTGAAAAAAGAAAAACCCCACTTAGATAGCAGGTAAAATTAAAAGTCCATTCTGCAATCATGTGACACCTGTTATATTTTCATACAACATGCACAGATAGACGGCACGAACGTACATATAAAGCAAAAGTCTACCTAAATACAAACATACACGGATGAAGCACACACCAACACGTCTAAAGATGTTTCCTACTAGATGCATTACGAGCACTTGCCCTTTTTATCCCACACACATGTGCACCTGAGGCATATTAGATATATCCCAGGCATAAAGTATACATGACAACCAGCAGACAGACTCATAAACAGTGAAGCACATACACAGAGATCACGATTACATATACAGCATACATTACCACCAGAGGACAAAGTCACACACAGAAGCAACACATCCTGAAGTACACAGCTGCCCTCACACTTTTTAAGCTACCCCTTGCACGCTCCCGCCCACAGACACCAACACCAGGAAGAAGTCATCCACAAGGACCTCCCACCTCTCAGCCTGCTGGGCTTCACCGAGCCAGGGAGACACCCAGCTGTGTGCCTACCGGTAACAATCAGATAGCCTGGCTAAAAATAGCCACTCTGGAGCTCGGAGCTGGCTCCCCTTCTCCGCCCTCCTCCTCCCTCCTTCCTTCCCAGCCAGGCAGGCACGCTCGCTGCACCTCCATGCAAACTCCTGGAGCTGCCAGACCGCCTACGCCTGATGCTTGCACGCCCTGCTGCCACCCACACTGCCTGGGCACTCTTGCCAGCAGAGAGGTATAGCTAGTGACATCTTGCGAGGGAAGGTGAAGAACGATGGGTGATATCTGTATTGCAGGGTCTAGAAAGGCTGGCAGGAACCCCTAGGTAGCCATTTGGCACTCCCCTAGAGCTGATGCCAGCAACCCCCTAAGCACTTGCTGCCTAGCAGGTTTGTGCCTGCACAGCCGCCAGATGCCAGCTAACATTGTCTTCCTCAGTCCCACCAGGGCACTTCTCCTGAGGAGCCAGGACTAGATTGCCTCAAAGTTCAGAATCCTGAACAGAAACGTATGATGTAAGTGATCTCTAAATCCACAGCCAGATATATGCACAAGCGTATCCATAAAATACAACAGATCCACACACTTTGCAGGCCAAAGCTCAACAGCAGATAGGACCATGTCCCCCTCTCTCCTGACTCCAACACATCCTTCAGGGTCTCAGCTCCCTCTTCTATCCTAGGTAGTGATTCTTCTGCCCTTGACCCTTAAGCCTTTCTCCTAGGGGTCAGCATTCTGACTTACTCCCCTCTCCCCAAGGTCCCACCCACGCAGATGGCAATCTGCATGTGTGCACAAGTACCCAGCTCCTAACCAGCAACACACTCACTCCACAAGGCTGAAGGAAACACCTTAGTGCCTCAGGGGCGGGGGCAGCAAGAGACGCAACTCTAACCCAAGAATTGTTTGACAGGAGAAAAGGGGCGGAGCGAGGGGGGCTGGCATGTTTATAAATAGCGTCATGAAGGGTTTCCCCTTTATCCTTAGCTTCTCTCCCACTATCCTCTTCATCCCACTGCCACCTTGCCCTAACCATGGAAACTTGGAAACTAATAGGAACACTTAATCATTCCAGGAACCTCACACCTTCCAATACTACTAAGTCAAAACACCCCAGTCCCTGGGCTATAGCAGATCACATATATACTTGTATACTTGTAGCAGGATCACAGTCCTGTAGCTGGGTCATCTGAGCTGAAGAGTGGCATGCCAATGAGCAGGTTTCCAATGACCAGGGTCCTCCTGGGTCCTCCCCAGATGGGGAGGTCCCTAAAGTACTTCTGCCCTATTCCCTATTTATCTCCTTCTAAAGATCCCTAGGAAATTTCATCTTAAGAGCACGGAGGCCTTCAGTTGATGTTCATTTGAAACAACTTTCCCAGCATTGGACAGGGGCATGAGAGTGGATTTAAAGTGTTTAGAGGGCTTACAGAAGAACCCATTTGGCACATGCCAATCACAGTGAGTTCCTGAAAGGGAAGCACTCTCAGCCTTTTGCAAGTTGTTCTACGCCCTTCCCTACCCTTACCCTAGCACCAGGTTAGGACACTGAGGTTAAATTTAACCTTTCTCCAGCCCCCTTCCAGTCAGCCCTCCAGATACAGCCCCCAGCACTCAAAATATATTCAAATCTCACCAGCTACAAGCAGCTTGTAGCATCTGATTCTTTTGATCTTTCCGCACCGTTCTCCTTTGACCCATCCCACTTCCTCACCCTCTTCACTTCCCCATTTGTGAAGGGCAGCCCAGCATGTAGAGCCTCAGAGACTGAGGTTCCTTGGTTCTATTCCAAATCCTGCTGGACTGTCCCTAACCATCCGTGCCTCTCTGATGAAGTGTTTTTTGTTTTTGTTTTGTTTTGTTTTGTCTTTTTGGAGACGAAGCCTTGCTCTGTGGCCCAGGATAGAGTACAGTGGCGCGATCTCGGCTCACTGCAACCTCCATCTCCTAGGTTCAAGCGATTTTCCTTTCTCAGCCTCCCGAGTAGCTGGGATTATAGGCACACGCCACCACACCCGGCTATTTTTTGTATTTTTAGTAGAGGTGGGGTTTCACCATGTTGGCCTGGCTGGTCTTGAACTCCTGACCTCAGGTGATCTACCCATCTCGGTCTCCCAAAGTGCTGGGATTACAGGTGTGAAACACCATGCCTGGCCCCCAGTGAAGTCTTGATGCCTCAGTTTCCCCCTTCCATAAAAGAGATGAACCCATAAACCCTGCCAAAGCATCGTCCCTGGAGGGAAGTGAATGAAACTTAATGAGCTGGTGGCTGCCACACATTCCACGCTCCCCAAAATAATGGCACGAGGCTAATGTTCAGGGCTATTATTAGAAAGGCAAACAAGAGGTACTTCCATTTCTCAGTCCAACCAACCTAGTTACCCAGACCTCTCTCTCCAGGGCCCTGTGCCACGGGGCTTGGGCAGAACCTGAGTCAGGCCACATTCTTCTCTGTGTGCTGGAAGACTGAAAGGAAATACCCATAGAAGCTGGGAAAGGCAGCCAAAGGGCAGGGTCCATCACATCCACACGACGTCTAATGAAGACTACAGAACTGGGAGAAAGGCAGAGAAAAACAGACACATAGACATTCTCGGAGTGAAAGACCGATCCTGGATGAAACATGTAAGATCCACAATAACAGGCTCAGTTTTCTTCCCATTTTATCTGAAAGGCCACTAATTGTTCTAATGCCAATGTCAGGTAATAAGGTGTGATGACTTCCTGCCCCATACAGAATGCTAGAACAAAGAGGGCAGTGGCTAGGTGTAGCACATGAGGAGTTAGGCTGCCTGAGTTTCAATCCCAGCTCCACTATTTTGATTGTTGTAAGGATTACCTTGAGTTAATATTTTTAGAGCACTTAGTAAGTGCTAAATAAATGTAGCTGTTGTTTTTAAATGGGGAAAAAAGAGAATACTAGAAATTAAAAATTAGCAAACTGACAGACTATAGAGGTAGAAGTGGAAGCAGCAAGCCTGCAGTGGTTTGCATTACAAAGCCTGCACTGCATCTGCAATGGTTTTCAGGATGTCAGAATCTCAAACTTTTCCTTTAGAGATAATATCACCCAGTACTGGCTAATGCTAGGATCAGGAAGACTCTAAGGATGAAGGAATGAGGAACTATCATCTCTTATCTTCCCGGGGGAACTAGGTGTAGTCATAAGACATGGTCTGGGAAAGCACACTCTCTAAACCACAGTTAATCCCACTCAGTAGCCACCTACTTCTAACTGATTCCAGAGAAGCAAGCAGGGTTAGGGAACTCAGTCCAAGCAGGGCCAGTTAAACTGCGTGGCGGTGGTGTACTTGGAGATGTTGTGATATAGTTCACCCTGAGCCATTCAGGCAGGTGCACGCCAGCATCTGGTGAAGTACTTTATAAGAAACAGGCTGCTGTTAACCAGCGAGGCCTCTTTTGTAAAAGGTAGGGGAAGGAGTTCTGGAGTTAGGAGTCAAGGATCCTCATCCTTCTGAGACCAGAGGTATCAGCAATGAAGCTCTCTTATTAGTCCTAGAAGAAATGATCCCAGCCTGAGACTGGGTTGCCCTGCTGCTTAAAGGACTGTCCTGTAGACCGTCACGAGGGCTCCCATTGACTGGGGGGAGGCCAAGCCTTTCCCCTCAGGTGGCCATCCTTACCACCACCTATCCATGTCCTTGTACAGAGGCACCTGCTTCTAGAGGCCCACCAGAAACATACAATTCTAGGTAACTGGAGTATAGTCTGAAAAGCACATAAGTACCTGTCTCCACACACATACCCACTTGAAACAGAGAGCCACATTCACATGAATTAAGAAGTATATGCATGTTGTCCTATAGCACAGCCACACAAACCTGTGCCCTATCTCATATACCACCAGTAGCTTCCAGGACAAATGACTGTACTCAGGAATTTAGGTAGACCTCACCCATGCCCCAGAGAGAGGAGGAAATATGAAAGGCCAAGTCAGATGAAGCCTCCTTCACAACTTGTCCTTGCTGTGAGACAGAAGATAAGGTATCTGCTAATGGTGAGGCAGGAAAGCAGACAACCAGCTAGTGACCTCTCCTAAAAACAGCCTAGGCTTCAGGGGAGGATTTCCTGGTACCCTTTTCCTGCCTTTTCTGAAGATTCTGGACTTTGATAATTCCCTAGCTTATGAAGGAAAACTTTAACACAAGGTTCGAGGGACTCAGAACTGAACAAGAAACAGGAAGGGAGAGGATGAGACTATTAGGTACTTTTCTGGAAGGAAACTTTATATACTCCTCAGAAGTGAAATCTCTCCAGTGGTCAACTTGTTTAACTGGAAGTCTGGACAGAAGCGGAGCAGCAGCCCTCCTCCCTTCGTATCCAGGATCTAATTTTTCCTGAAGAATTGTGAGCAAAAAACAGGAGTCGAGAAGGGGACTGGGGCAGTGGTTCAGGGCCAGCATCAAGGAAGCACTTTAACCCGGGAGTTGGCATTCCCCTGCACACTTTCTTCTCGCCTCAGAACATGTGGGATTCCCATTTTCCCTTTGGATTTTATGGGCAGAGGCATACATCCAGCTAGGAATGGAAATGTCAGGAGAGGAGGCCTCTTGGTATCTGAGATAGGATGAGCAGGAACAGATTGCTTTTCTTGTCAAGGGAGCTATAATTGCAGTAAGCTGGAGGGAACACCTCTGGTGAACACTAAGCTGACCTCGGCATGCCCTGGGCAAGGCCAGGACCCCAGATGCCACCGTGATTTTCATGACAGCCCACTCTCCAGGGGAAAAGGCCCAAGGGTGAAGGGTGGTATGGGAATCTTACCACTGGTTGGGTTGTGTAAATCACTGCTACACAGTATGCATGTTCTCAAAATGCAGCTGTTTTCCGATAACCCTTTTCCTCAGCATGAAAACATCCACTTCCCTAAGGGACCTAAAATGAATCCCATCCCTTTAGTCCCCAAACACTAAGAAACCCATTTCTCAGAGCTTCTGCAGCAAGATGTGGGTTCAAATCCAGGAGCTCCCTTGGATCACATTTCCCATTGGATTTTCTGAGTCATCACTCTGTCTTCCCCGGCAGTGAAACCCACGATCCACCAGCTCAACCCCCTACACCCACTAGTGCCAGACAATGACAGAGAGAAGATGAAAGAAAGCACTAACCTGTCTCCAAGGTTCCTCCGGCAAAGGGAGGGAACCACCTGGTACTGGAGTTTGGGGTTGGAGGGATTCCCCTCTTCAGAGGCAGGTGACGGCTCTCATCCTCAGTGGCTCTTCCTGGACGAGGCTGAGCCTCCCAAGTTGGTGAGGGGAACTGGGTCCCCTGAGGATGAGGAGTCAAGGTTGGAGGAGGGGGAGGGGGAGGAGAAGGAGGTCCTACTTGGGGAAGGTGGCACACCCCCCACACCCTGCTTGTTACCCGGGGGAGGAGGGGAGGAGCCTCTCCCAACCAGGAGTTGTCTCCTCCCCCTTGGGGGAGTTCCCCTCCCCCCCAAACTGGATCTTTCTGAGGTGGAGGGCTCTTTCTGTCTGCTGGAGATAGGAGCGGAGGGGCTCCACCCCGTTCCACTGTCTAGGCACGAGGAAGTTGAGGGGGAGGTCTTCCCCTCTCCAGAAGGCTGAAAGCCGATTCCTCTTCTTTCCCTGGAGTGGCTTCTGAACGTAAGGACTCCTGTCTCCTGTGAATAGTGGTGGGCCGAGGGTGCCTACTCCACAGGCACAGCCCCGTCTCTCTTTGCCTCCAAAGTCCTGAACTGTTGAGAGTGTGTGTTTGGAGGGGCGGGGGCGCGCTAGGGTGGTCTCACTCTGCTTCCCTACGGAAAGCTCCCTTCTTTCCACTTCTGGGGGTCTCCTCCCCGGCCAGTACAGGGGTCTTCCTCGCCTCTAGGCAGGAGAGAGGCGTCCCCTCCAGGGGTCTCTTCTTTCCCTCACCCGAGTGGTAAGGGTCTTTTCTCTCCAACAGGGGGAGAGGTTGCTCGCGTCCCCGCTCCCGCCTCCGCTCCCGGGGTGCCCCAGAGGGTGGGGCTTTCGTACTCCCGGCTGTCCCTGAGCTGGCCTGGGCAGCACGGTCCGGGAGGCCGCGGCTCGAGACTCCGGTCCCTGCTACTGTGGCGGCAGCACCTCCTCTAGGGCCGTCCTGTCGGGTCCGCTCCCTTCGGCGCGTGGGGCTCCCCGCGCTGCCACCGCTCGGGCTCCGACCAGTCTGGGCTCCCGGGGAGCCAGAAGGCGGGCAGACAGTGTCAGGGCTCGGCGCGGGCTCGGGCTCGGCTCGGCTCCGCTGCAGGCCCCGGCTCCTCCCCGGCCTCCGCGCCGCGCTCCGCGCCCCTCCCCCTCCCCCGCCCGCCGGCCGCTGCCGCCACCGCCTCCCGGCGCGGGTTAAGGAGGAGCCGGGAGACGCCGAGCCGCGGGCAGCGCCGAGCCGCGAGCCTCGCTACCCGGTGTGCGCTCCGCCTGGAGAGCCACGGCCGCTCTCACGCCGGCGAGGGATCTCGCCGCCCTCGCCCACCTGCGGCCGCGTGGCTCCGGGAGTTCGCCGTCTACCCGGGATGACAACTCACTGCTCCCCGTCGGGAGAGTCCCTAGTGCGCACCGTATACCGTCAATTCCAGCTGACACCCCAACTCCGGCGTTTCATTCTGTTAAACTCCGTATACAGATGAACAGCCCCAGCTTTCTCAGGACTGTCTTTGATGGGCTTCTCTTTCCCTCGAGATAATTTATAAAGGATCATGAGCATTGAGGTGAAGATTGGGGTGAAGTTTATATGTTACCCTTATATCATCCTGGAATTCAGTAAATGCTCCTTGAATGAGTGGATACATGATAAATGAGCGTGTAACGGTGAAATAAACATCAGAAGATCTGGGTCCTGTTCCTTGTTTCAGCTTCCTAAACTTGTGCATGGCCCTTGTTCTCCGCAATCTTGCTCAGCGAAGAAGGGACCTTGATACTTGGCCTGCTTACCCTTTACAGCTGTCACATCCTGAAGTCATATTATTCTGCTGCAAATTCTCATATATTTCATACTCTGGCTTTTTTTTTTTTTTTTTTTTTTTTTTTGAGGTGTTGTTTCACTTATTGCCCAGGCTGGAGTGCAATGGCACGATCTGGGCCCACTGCAACCTACGCCTCCCGGGTTCAAGCGATTCTTCTGTCTCAGCCTCCCCAGCAGCTGGGATGCCTCAGCCTCCGGAGCAGCTGGGATTACAGGCGCGCGCCACCACGCCCGGCTAATTTTTGTATTTTTAGTAGAGATGGGGTTTCACCAAGTTGGCCAGGCTGGTCTCGAACTCCTGACCTCGTGATCCACCTTCCTCGGCCTCCCAAAGTGCTGGGATTACAGGTGTGAGCCACCGCGCCCGGCCCATACTCAGGCTTTTTAAACTTTTATCAAACTACCCTACTTTCTTTCCTTTCTTTCTTTATCTTTTTCTTCTTTTTAAATAGAGGCAGGGTCTCAGTATGCTGCCGAGGCTGGTCTTTAATTCCTGGGTTTAAACTATTCTCCCTTTTTATGCCTCCAAAGTGCTGGGATTACAGGCAGGAAACACGGCCCGGCCTACTCTCTACTTTATAGCACATAAGATAATAGGAGGCCAGGCGCAGTGGCTCACGCCCGTAATCCCAAAGCTTTGGGAGGCCGAGGCGGGGGGATCACTTGAAGTCAGGAATTGGAGACCAGCCTGGCCAACGTGGTGAAACCCCTGTCTCTACTAAAAATACAAAAATTAGCCCGGCGCGGTGGCGGACGCCTGTAGTGCCGGCTAAGGCAGGAGAATCGCTTGAACCCGGAAAGCGGTGGTTGCAGTGAGCCGAGACCGCGCCACTCCACTCCAGCCTGGGCGACAGAGCCAGGTTCCGTCTAAAAAAAAAAAAAAAAAAAAAGAATTAGCCAGGCGTGGTAGTGCGTGCCTGTAATCCCAGCTACCTGGGAGGCTGAGGCAGGAGAATCACTTGAAACTGGGAGACGGAGGTTGCAGTAAGCCCAGATCGTGCCGCTGCACTCCAGCCTGGGAGACAGTGAGACACCGTCTCAAAAAAAAAAAAAAAAAAAGATAATACGAATACAAAAATATTGCTTGCAAAATATTTGAATTGCCCCCAAAAGACTGCATACTTAAGTTGTATGTATATATTATATGAATAATTATATTTACAATATGCCAGGCATTGCACTGAGCATTCTGCATGTGTTGTCACATTGATGATTCTAGCGATTCCCTAAGACACTATTATTATACTTCTTTTACAGATGAGAAAATTGTGACTTACAGATACTATGTGTGAGTTCGCTTAATTAGTAAGTAGCAGAGTCAGGACTTAAATCCAAATGACTCCGATGCCCAGCTCTTGACTTCTATACCATTGTCCGGAGCGATCAGAATTTAAAGTCATCCTCAAAATTAAAGGCAGTAAACCAAAACAAGCCTGTTCTTCCTGCTCACACTTCCTATATTCAGGTTTAAAGATGTATTTTTCCTCTCTTTGAGGCATTAAATAATTCTCCCACACGCAGATAATTTGGCGGCAAATCTTTCTTGCTATGTATTAGATGTTTTGTTATGTTTCAACCGTTTTTGACATTTCCTGTGTATGGAAATTGGAGGGCTTGAGTGACAGGCAGTTGTACTAAAAATGGAAACATGAGGGAAGGATTAGAATCTTCCTGGCAATTTGGAAAAATAAAAAGCTCAAGAAATTATTTGGTTTTTACAAGACATTTGCTGCAGTATTTTTTGTAACTGGAAAATTAGAAAAGACCTAAATATCCAAAATAGGGTAATTTTAAATATATTATGGCACATCTGTACAACAGAGTACTATTTAGCATTTGCAAGAATAATTGTATTTATCTCTGAAAGGTAGAGTGAGTGGAGTTGTTTTATTTTTATAATGTTCTTTATCATTTAGATATTTTGCAGTAGGCATACATTATTTTAAAGAACCATTGTTTTATATATCTGACTTATTTGAGTGAGAAAATAATATTTTAAAATTTGTATAATGCAATCATATAGTTGCTTTTTAAAATATATATATGTTCATGCATATATTTGTGTGCATACCAATAGACACATAGAAGATGGATACACACCAAAGATGTGAGTTTATGGATTATTTTAATTTACTTCATTTTTTAATGTATCTATAATTAGTGTTTGTGTAGATTTGCTTATGTAATTTTTAAAATTAAAAGAAACTGACAAGGCTGGTTTGGTATGGTTTTGCCCTAAGATTGGGGGGAAGCACTTACATTCATTCTCACTTTACTTTCTATTAAGGCGGGTAATACGGAGAAGGATTTTTTAAGTCACTGAAACATACAGAAATTAAAATGTAAGGATCCACTCTTCTTTGTAATAAAACATGTTATATAATTATTCATGAGTGTTAATTTACCTTGAGCAAAACTATTCTTTATAAAATTGGAGACTAATATGCTACAACGCACGTTTTGGAAGCACTTATTAGAGACTGTGTATTACGTGAAACAAAAATAGTGGTTCTCAACTGTGAGTCCTAATAATTGTGAGAATTTAGGTAAGTCATTTAACTGCTTTGTGACTCAGTTTCCTCATCAGTAAAATGGGGATAATAATAGTACCTATTTCATAATGTTGTGAAGGGATTATGTGCCTTTATACATGTAATATATTTAGTTAAATGCCTGAAGGAGGAAGGACCTAGAGACTGAGAGGCTTATCAACCAAATGCAATATATGTGGACCAAGAGACATGTCCATCAAATACAATATGTAGACCTTTTGAGGGATCCTGATTAAAACAAAGCAACTGGAAAAAATATTATGAGACAACTGGTAAAATTCCAATACTGAGGGCGATATCAAACAATTATTGTATACTTTAGGTGCTAATGGAATTACCATTTTATGAATATTTATGAATACTAAAGTATTTAGACATGAAATGCCTGAAATTTGCTTCAAAATAATCAAGTAATGGGGGAGAGGAGTACAGATGATAGATGAAAGATTGAACGAATGTTGCTTTTTACAACAGTTTTTTTAAAATGCTATTCTCTGGGCCAGACGTGGTGGCTCATGCCTGTAATCCCAGCACTTTGGGAGGCCAAGGCAGGTGGATCACCTGAGGTCAGGAGTTCAAGACCACCCTGACCAACATGGAGAAACCCCGTCTCTACAAAAATATGAAAATTAGTTGGGCATGATAGCAGGTGCCTGCAATCCCAGCTACTCGGGAGGCTGAGGCAGGAGAATTGCTTGAACCCGGGAGGCGGAGGTTGCAGTGAGCTGAGATCGTGCCATTGCACTCCAGCCTGAGTGACAGAATGAGACTGTCTCAAAAAAAAAAAAATCTTATTTTCTCTACTTTTGTGTGTGTTTGAATTATTACAAGATAAACAATTTTTTAAAAAGTACTGTTTAGCCGAGCGTGGTGGTTCACACCTGTAATCCCAACACTGGGAGTCTGAGGCGGGCGGATCACGAGGTCAGGAGTTCGAGACTAGCCTGGCCAATATGGTGATACCCCTGTCTTCACTAAAAATGCAAAAATTAGTCGGGTGTGGCGGCACGCACCTGTAGCTCCAGCTACTCGGGTGGCTGAGGAAGAAGAATCGCTTGAGCCTGGGAGGCAGAGGTTGCAGTAAGCCAAGATCGCGCTACTGCACTCCAGCCTGGGCGACAGATCGGAGACTCCATCTCAAAAAATAAAAATTAAATTTAAAGTACTGTTTAAAAATGCTGGAACATAGCTAGGACTATGTTTACTATTATTATATGCTTTGTATGTGTAATACTACCTAATGTCTGTTTACACCTTTCAGATTACAATGTTTTCATTTACACTAGGTCTTTTAGGATTGACACTAAACCTACGAGGTGGGGAAATGTTATTCCCATTTACAAATGAGACAACTGAACCACAGCCAAGACCGCATCTCCACTCTTCCAGATTCCTGGGGACCTGTGATCAACGGAGTAGGGGGTAGCCTGCCGCCACTAGACACAGAGTTCTGACCTCTTTTAATGACTCTAGTCAGGTCTATTAGAGAGAAACTAAACCAACATAGAAACGATTCATTTAGTAATATTTATCAGACAAAATATGAGCTTACATTTGCACCATCAGAAAAATTCTAACTGCTACTTTAAAAGATAATGGGGTCACCATTGACTCTATGGGAATTGAAAAAATAAAAAGTAATGGGGGGAATAGAACGCAAGATATTAAATCATAAAGGTGAAGTTATCTGTATAGTTTGTATTTCCTTTACATAACTGTTTATTATTTACAGTTTTCTACGTTAACTTTCCTTTTTTTTTTTTTTTTTTTTTTGAGACGGAGTTTTCGCTCTTGTCGCCCAGGCTGGAGTGCGGTGGCACGATCTCGACTCACTGCAAGCTCCGCCTCCCGGGTTCACGCCATTCTCCTGCCTCAGCCTCCCGAGTAGCTGGGACTACAGGCGCCTGCCACCACGCCCGGCTAATTTTTTGTATTTTTAGTAGAGACGGGTTTTCACCGTGTTAGCCAGGGTGGTCTCGATCTCCTGACCTCGTGATCCGCCCGTCTTGGCCTCCCAAAGTGCTGGGATTACAGGCGTGAGCCACCGCGCCCAGCTTTTCTACGTTATTTTTCTATCCTCTTCCCAGCCTGTTTGATTTCCACTCCCCTAAAAATTAGACTGGAGCCAGGGAACAAGAGATGAAAAACTGGGAGGCGAGGTTGGGAAGCAGGGGCCGGCACATCCCAGCGGTAGAGGCCCAGCAGCCCAACATTCCTGTTCCACCTTAAGAAGCTTTCGCCTCTGCCCAAGACGAGCAAGCACTCGGCTCCTCCCACCCCCGTGTCAGCTCCGGCCCGGGAACGTGGGCTAGGCAGGAAAGACGCACTGAATGGAAAGGTTGGCGCCAGAGGCAGCAGGTCTCTCCTGCCCCCTACTCCACCGGCGCGGGGAGGAGCGTGTGAAGCACGGGCCATTGGGGTTGGGTTCCTTTCTGGAGGACCTCAGGGATAAGGACACGTCCTACTGAAACTGGGGGCCGGGTACGTGGGCCATGGGGCCCATCTTGGGGTGGGGTCTTGGGGAGACAGAACTGGCACAGGAGATACACAGCACGCCGCGATCGTTAGCAAAAGTCGTAAGTTTCCCTCGTTCCGGACGCACCTCTTCAAATCATTTCCAAAAGAGGTGGCAAGTTTTCCATCCTCCGCCCCAATTCTTCATCTTCCTCTTAATTGGCTGGGGTTCGGGTAGGCCCGGCCCAAGATCGCTTGTTGATTGGCTGCGTTGGTAATCTATCACAGGATGACGCACGCGAGGGGTGGTATTTGGGGGAGGAAGTGAGGATTATTTTGGTACCTCCTACCCCAACTACTGATTGGCTGAGATTTGCAGTGATGTAAAACAAGACATAAAAATGTCCACTAAAGGGAAGGGTCTGTTTGCCATTCTCTCTGGGCCGGGGGGACTCTGTTAATGTAGAGAAGGACCAAACTGATTGAAACACGGAAATGAGTTTAGAAAGGAACTGAAGGAAAACGAGGGAAATCCGCGACACCTTCGTTGCCTTCAAACAAGGTCATTTCCTGCACGGGATCGATGGTTTCCTGTTTACTGCCTCCGAAGTCTGCGTGTACACTGGCTTTCTGGAATCTGCATGATAATTAAATTCTTATGAGCCTTTGGTCCCAGACTTCCCATTTGTTTACGTTACATAAGAGAATGAATGACACGGAGGAAAGGAAAAGGGTTTCACCCTGCCTTTAGACAAGGACAGGGAAAACTAAGTTTCTCTAATATTAGAAAGCTGAAGACTGACCCTGGATCACAGTATTCAAGCAGTTGGGTTAGAAACCATTCGTATAATAGTTGGAGAGAGTAGATGCAGGTGAAAAGAACTGTAAAGATTTCTCTGAATGAAGGGCATTAATCACATACAGAAGCCTTCCTCGTTAGAGAACTACATCTTTTTTTATTTTTTTTATTCATTTTTTTTCTTTAGACAGGGTCTCGGTCCATCACCCAGGCTGAAGCGTGATTTCGGCTCACTGCACTCTCCGGGATTCAAACGATTCTCCTGCCTCAGACTCCCGAGTAGCTGGGACTACAGGCGCCCGCCACCACGCCCAGCTAATGTTTTTTGTATTTTTAGTAGAGACGGGGTTTCACCATGTTGGCCAGGCTGGTCTCGAACTTCTGACCTCAAATGATCCGCCCACCGCAGCCTTCCAAAATGTTGGGATTACAGGCGTGAGCCACCGCGCCTTGCTGAGAACTACATCTTATCTCTGGTGCCCGGCAGTGTCGGATACATAGTAGGTAGTCAACTGATGATGTGAACCAAACCAGAGGGAGAAGACTTTTATAAAGTACACTGCTGGGCACGGTGGCTCACGCCTGTAATCCTAGCACTTTGAGAGGCCAAGGCGGGCGGATCACCTGAGGTCAGGATTTCGAGACCAGCCTGTCCAACATGGTGAAACCCAGTCTCTGCTAAAAAATGCAAAAATTAGCCGGAAATCGCTTAAACTAGGGAGGCGAGGTTGCGGTGAGCCGAGATGTTGCCACTGCATTCCAGCCTGGGCAACACAGCGAGACTCCGTCTCATAAATAAAAAAATAATGCTGGAAAAATCCTAAAAATGCGAGACTTGAAGTAGATCTGCTTCACAAACCTACCTGAGATGCTACTTCACAAACCTACCTGAGATGCTACTTCCATGAGAAAATGCTGTTTTCCTCCTAACACCTTGAGGCCTTTAAAATTTGAAAGCAGATTTCCCCTCAACCTACCTTCCTGGAAAAATTGAAAAGATAGGTGGGATTAGTGAAAAGATGTCCTCTACATTCAGTGAATGGAACATAAAGTGTTTATCCTACAATCTGAGGCAAGAGACTAGGAAGAAATTATTTGAGAGCTTGAGAGGTATCATCTATACTATGTTAGTTATGGAATCATTTGCTTCCTTAGCATGATGTACACTTTTTTTCTAGTCCGGAGTTTTTCTTTCCTTTTTTTTTTAAGACAGAGTCTTGCTCTGTCTGGAGTGCAGTGGCGTGATCTTGGCTCACTGCAACCTCTGCCTCCTGGCTTCAAGCGATTCTCCTGCCTCAGCCTCCCAAGTAGCTGGGACTACAGGTATGCCACCACACCCAACTAATTTTTTTGTATCTTTAGTAGAGGCGGGTGTTCACCATGTTGGCCAGGATAGTCTCGATCTCTTGACCTCGTGATCCACCCTCCTCGGCCTCCCAAAGTGCTGGGATAACAGGCATGAACCCCTGCACCCAGCCTAGTCCAGAGTTTTTCTTATACTTAGAGCTCAGCGATGCTTTAACATTGTCTAAAAACTGCTCTAAACTTGAGGACAAGAATTTCCCTTTCATATTATAACTATCCCTACCACAAGACTCTGCGGGGGCTATTGGTCAAGATTCTGCAACGGTATTTTCTGCTTATCAAAAGAGATCCTATCTTACGATTCTCTAGGGTCTTCTAGGTCAGGTGGTTTACAAAAGAGTATATACAATACTGGCTCTTTAGTATCATTGTGGCGATAGTTTAGGAACAAGGAAAGGAGCAGGAGGCAGCTATATTTGCAATAACAAAAATGCCATGGAAAAATTATTACTGGGCTGTAAATAATTCTGGCATAATAAAGTGTATATTACCTATGCCAAAAGAGAGGGGAGATGTTAATATTTTCAAGAATTGTGTTTGAGGGAAAAGTGCCCTTTGTTCCTAGTGATATTAAATAAATCATGAAAAACATACAAAAAATTATTTTTAGGCTAATAATTCATACACTTACAGCACTGTCACTTTCCCCCTGATGATGGGCAATAAGCAAAAGCAGAAATTTTTTTTAGCAAGGGGAACCTAGAGCCCAACACCAAGTCTGAAGAAGGAAAGAACTGGTATTGTCCTAACCATAGATCTAAGCCCTCCAATTTGTAAAGGGGTGGTACCTTGATTGGTAAGAACATGACATACTGAGTTACATAGAACCTGAGGCCTTAGAAAAATCCTCAATTCATGATTCCTCCTGAAGCCTGGCTGCCTGCCCTTCTTAAACAATAGTAATCATGAGTTTCTTTCATCCCTGGAAGCCCAAGAAACAAACACCAGGCCTCAAAAGACCAGGGATGAAAGCACTGGGTTGCATTGCCTTTGGCATTTATGGAAAGAAGAAAAAGAAGAAAAGGGCAGTGGGCTACTGCTCAATCAGGTATTAGATCTGTCAGGGCTGGCTGCAGTAACTAGAAACCACTTAAGTAGGAAAGGCTTTAATACTGGGGCTTAATGTGCTTACAAAATCGTTGGAAGTACTGGAGAAAGGGGGTTTCTGCTGTATATCAGAAATGGCTCCAAGAATGAGGCTGCTAAATTCACCCACCAGGAAAGCTTTAGAAAGATGAGAAATCAAGACTGTATTGCTGCAGCTGTTGAGTTCAGGAACACATGCCCCTGTACTGACATGAGTATGGAAAGAAAAAAAATTAAAAATAAAGAAAAAAAGGAGAACTTACTGCCCTAGTTGTGATCAAGGAATTGGGCAGCTACTGTTGCTAACACAGCCTCAGCACCTTTCAACAGCCATGAAACGCCGGGCACAGTGGCTCACACCTGTAATCCCAGCACTTTGGGAGGCCGAGGCAGGTGGATCACCTGAGGTCAGGAGTTCGAGACCAGCCTGGCCAACATGGTAAAACCCCATCTCCACTAAAAATACAAAAATTAGCCGGGTGTGGTGGCGGGCACCTGTAATCCCAGCTACTTGGGAGGCTGAGGCAGGAGAATCGCTTGAACCTGGGAGGCAGAGGTTACAGTGAGCTGAGATCGTGTCACTGCACTCCACACTCCAGCCTGGGTGACAAAGCGAGACTCCTTCTCAAAAACAAAAACAAACAAAAAAAAACAGCCGTGGAACTAGTGAATAGACATTGGAACACTGCTGCAGAAAAACCCAGCATTCCCATGACTCTGCTGACCAGCAGCAACAGCCAAAGCGGCCAGCAGCTGACCCCAGCCTGGCTTCCACTTTTCAAGTTTCTTATGTGTGCAAATTATTGATAGATCCACAATTTACAACTAGAATCCTAGTTGCGAAAAAATCTGGAAAGTATAGTTTTTGGTTTTCCAGTCTCTGCAGAGGAAGGTATATAAAGGAAATAGAACATGGGTCACCTATATCCACTACAAGAATATATGGATCTACATTTAAAAGATTTCCCTCCAGGGCGTGGTGGCTCATGTCTGTAGTCCTAGCTACTCAGAAGACTGAAGTGGGAGGATTGCTTGAGCCTGGGAGGTCGAGGCTGCAGTGGAGCTGTGTATGTTCCACTGCACTCCACCCTGGGTGACAAAGTGGACCCTATGTCAATAAATAAATAAGCCGGGCCAGGTGGCTTACAGTGGTGTGGTCCCAGCTACACAGGAGGCTGAGGTGGAAGGATCACTACTGCACTCCAGCCTGGGCAACAGAGCAAGGCCTTGGCTCAAAAAAAAAGAAAAAAAGAAAAAAAAACCCCACAGATTTTCTTAGTAACAAATAAAATGTAGAATGAAACAAAAGGATGTTGAACCAGAAGCAGCATAAGAATGAAGCAAAAGTCTGTTCTAAACTTTTTCATTTTATAAACCAGTGGGGAAATATGAGAGAGCACAGAACTTTTTATATTTTCAGGTAAAGACATTAATTACCAACTAAAGTCTACTATGCCCATCATTTTATAAAAGAATCAACATTTTAATATTAATTAAAACCTTCCACCAGAAAGACAGGAAGGTTATAGTCTCAGGGCTGGGTGCAGTGGCTCATGCCCATAATCCCAGCACTTTGGGAGGGTGAGGATTGCTTGAGCTCAGCAATTCGAGACCAGCCTACGAAACATGGCGAGACTTGTCTTTACAAAAAAATACAATTTAACAAAAAAATTAGCTAGGTGTGGTGGTGATGCCTGTCGTTCCGGCTACTTGGCCAACTTGGGTAGGAGGATCGCTTCAGCCCAGAAGTTCACACCACTGCACTCCAGCCTGGGCGACAGAGCAATACTGCCCCCCCAAAAAATTTAAAATTAAAAAAGGAAAGTTTCAGTCTCAGAATTTAATAACTAAATACATTTAACATCAAGAAAAGTACTACTTTGTCCTGTCCTTTCTGAGTGAACACTTTGGCCAGTATGACAGGGCTCTGAAGCCACTGAGGTAATGTGAGATCTCTGCCATAGTAAGGAGAAAGCTTAGCTTCTTGTCCAGCCTGCTTCGGACTTACTGAACAATTCTGAACAAGTCACTTGACCACTGGGCCTTCATTTATAACTAATTAAAATTAGTACTACAAGTAAATATTAATATTTAAGAGGGAAGGGGCCAGGCGCAGTGGCTCATGCCTGTAATCCCAGCACTTTGGGAGGCCAAGGTGGGTGGATCACCTGAGGTCAGGAGTTCAAGTCCAGCCTGATCAAGATGGTGAAACCTCGTCTTTACCAAAAATACAAAAATAAACCGGGCGTGATGGCAGTGCCTGTAATCCCAGCTACTCGTGAGGCTGAGGCTGGAGAATCGCTTGAACCCGGGAGGTGGAGATTGCAGTGAGCCGAGACCACGCCATTGTACTCCAGCCTGGGTGACAGAGCGAGACTCCTTCCCAAACAAACAAACAAACAAACAAAGAAATTATGGGCCAGGCACGGTGGTTTACACCTGTAATCCCAGCACTTTGGGAGGCTGAAGCGGACGGATCACGAGGTCAGGAGTTCAAGACCAGCCTGGCAAACATGGTGAAACCCTGTCTCTACTAAAAAATACAAAAATTAGCTGGGCATGGTGGTGCACGTCTGTAATCCCAGCTACTCGGGAGGCTGAAGCAGAAGAATCGCTTGAATCCGGGAGGGAGAGGTTGCAGTGAGCTGAGATCGCACCACTGCACTCCACCCTGGGCGACAGAGCAAGACTCCGTCTCAAAAAAAAAAAAAAAGAAGAAGAAATTATGCCAGATGCATACCTTTTTTCCCAAGATAATTTTTGGGCTTCTCTAATAATTAGCATAGGATCAAAGACTATTCCCAGTTGATGGCTTTTGTGTTTGTGCCACCTTCTCCTAGAAGGCAGAGACATCTTTCCAGTCTCCATAGTGCCTACCTCCTATAGTGATTATAAAATGAATGTATGTTGAATTGAATTGAGGGGAAACTTGCACAAATTAACACTTCAGGCCTTTTTTCTTAATCAAAAAACTAAGTAAACCACATGCCAAAAAATGTTCAATTGAATGATTGTTTTTACAAAGTGAACAAGCATCCAAACTGAGTCACACAACACATCCCATAAGCCCTTGCATCCCTTCCATCACAACCTCCCAAAAGGTGATCACAATCTAGATTTATGACACCATAGGTTGGTTGTGCCTGTTTTTGACCTTTCTATAAATTAAATAATTCAATATGTTCTCTTTTGCAACTGGTTTCTTTCAACTTTGTGAGATTTATTCACATGGTTACATGTGGCTGTAGTATACTCACTATTTTATTATTTTACTTTATTATTATTATTTTTTGAGACGGAGTCTCGCTCTGCCGCCCAGGCTGGAGTGCAATGGCGCAATCTCAGCTCACTGCAACCTCTGCCTCCTGGTTCAAGCGATTCTCATGCCTCAGCTTCCCAAGTAACTGGAATTACGGGTGCCCACCACCACACCTGGCTAATCCTTATTATTTTATTAGAGACAGGGTTTCACCATGTTGGCCAGGCTGGTCTTGAACTCCTGACTTTGTGATCTGCCCACCTCTGCCCCACAAAGTGCTGGGATTAGAGGCATGTGCCACCGAACTCAGCCTATTTTATTTTATAAAGACAGGGTCTCACTCTGTTGCCTGGGCTGGAGTGAGTGGCATGATCATAGTTCACCATAGCCTCAATTTCTGGGGCTCAAGCGTTACTCCTACCTCAGCCTTCCAGGTAGCTGGGACTACAATTGCATCTTCACTCATTGCTACATAATAAACAGTCCATTGTATCAATATACCACAACATATTTCTCCTTTCTCCTGTTAATGGACATTTGGATTATTTCCAGTTTGGAGCTGTTATGAATACTGCAGAGATGAACATTTTAGCACCTACTTTCTGGTGAACATATGTATGCATTTCTGTTGAGTGTATACCTAGGAGTGGAATTGTTGGATCATGGGGTAGGCATATGTTCTAATAAATATTGCCAAACAATTTATGAATTTATACCCCATTAACAAATGTGTGAGAGTTCTGAATGTTCCACATTCCTCAGGTTGGGCATTCACTTCCTTTTTTCTCCACACCCGCCCCCCCCACCCCGCCCCACCTTTGTTTTAGCCATTCTAGTGGGCAAGAACTGGTATCTCATGTAGTTTTAATTTGAAGTTCTCTGATGACCAATTCAGTTGCGTGCTTTTGACGTGTTCATTATTGACTGGAATATCTTCATTTGAGAAGTGCAGTATAGACCTTTTCAATAGCCCTTGTTTGCTACTGACTTATCAACCCTTTACTGAAGGCCACGCTGTCATAGTGAGGCTCCAGGTAATTCCAAGGTAAGCCTTACCCTTGGGTCGGGGGAGAACAATCTCTCCAAAACACCTTCGTGCTGTCTGCAGGGGCCTTACCCTGGATGGCACCAACGGGGCAGCAGGGGATGATATTTATTACTCCTAACCCCAAAACTCTATAGAGTCTTTTCCAGGAGGTGGAGAGAACTGCGGGGCTTTTCATCCAAAAAGAGCTCGTGAGTCCGAAAGAACTCTTTGCCTGATCTCACCCTGAGCCTTCTTCCCAGCCCAGCCGGCCAGCCCGCGGCGATAGCCGGGGCACCACCTCCCTGCCGCAGGCGGTGAGGGGCTCGGGTATCTCTTAAAGCAGAAATGTTCACACCCTCCTAACGGCGGCGCCAAGGGTGGTGGGCCCCAAAACTGTTTCCCCGTAAAGGGTTCCCTCTCCCCGGTCGCAGGAAGACGCCTGAGGGGGCGCTCGGAGGGATCCCCTGCAGCCGCCAGGGCTGGACCGTGTGGTGCGCAGGTGAGAAGCCGGGAGGGCCTGGACAACCCCGACCGCGAGCCGGACCCCTGCTCTGACCGCAGGTGGGTGCTTGTCTTGCTTACAGGGAGCGCCCGATGAACCGAGTCACGTTTTGCGACCACATTAACGGACCATTCAAAGTCGAATCCTAGGCTTTTCGAGGCAGTTAGTGGGTCCCAGCGGCTGCGGGCGGGGCCGGCGGGAGCGCAGCGGCGCGGTCGCTGTCACTGCCGGGCGCGGCGGCGGCGGCCTGGGGCCAGATTTGTGCAAGATAAAAATTGGAATTGTCTTAGGAAATTATGGATCATTCATTTATTCAGTGCTGGATTCATTCAGTGATTTATGTCTTAAGTCTGAGAGAATGGGAGTAAGGCCAAATGCCCTTGGTAAAATACTATTATTAGTTTTGTCCCAGTTTAATACACAGTCTAAATTTAGAATTTCCATTGTTTTTTATTTGTTTGTTTGTTTGTTTTTTCTGAGACGTAGTCTCGCTCTGTCACCCAGGCTGGAGCGCAGTGGTGCGATCTCCGCCCACTGCAACCTCCGCCTCCCGCGTTCAAGGAATTCTCTGCCTCGGCCTCGCCTCCCGAGTGGCTGGGATTACAGGCGCCCGCCACCACGCCTGGCTAATTTTTGTATTTTTAGTACAGACGGTGTTTCACCATCTTGGCCAGGCTGGTCTTGAACTGCTGACCTCATGATCCACCTGCCTTGGCCTTCCAAAGTGCCGGGATTACAGGCATGAGCCACGGGGCCCGGCCCTTCATTGATTTTTTTAAGAAGAGTTAATCTGAGCCGGGCGCAGTGGCTCACCTGTAATCCCAGCACTTTGGGAGGCCGAGATGGGCGGATCACAGGGTCAGGAGTTCGAGAACAGCCTGACCAACATGGAGAAACCCCATCTCTACTAAAAATACAAAAATTTTAGCCGGGCGTGGTGGCGTGCACCTGTAATCCCAGCTACTCCGGAAGCTGAGGCGGGAGAATCGCTTGAACCCGGGAGGCAGAGGTTGCGGTGAGCCGAGATCACGCCATTGCACTCCAGCCTGGGCAACAAGAGCAAAACTCCTGAAAACTTCTGACAAGTCCACCGCGCCCAGCCGATGCCATGCTCTTAAAAGGAAAAGGTAATAAGGCTCAAATTGAAAAACGTATTTGAGAAGTCATTGAGCAGTTAGATGTCACAACTAGTGAATATGAAAAGCAAAAACTGAATGAACAGCTGGCGAAACTTTCAGATGGAGTAGCTGTGCTGAAGGTTGGTGTGACAAGTGATGTTGAAGTGAATGAAAAGAAAGACAGAGTTACAGATGCCCTTAATGCTACAAGCTTTGCTGTTGAAGAAGGCATTGTTTTGGAAGGGGGTTGTGTCCTGCTTTGGTGCATTCCAGCCTTGGACTCATGGACTCCAACTAATGAAGATCAAAAAATTGATATAGAAATTATTAAAAGAACACTCAAAATTCCAGCAATGACCATGGCTAAGAATGCAGGTGTTGAAGTATCTTTGATAGCTGAGAAAATTATGCAAATTTCCTCAGAAGTTGGTTATGATGCTATGTTGGAGATTTTGTGAATATGGTGGAAAACGGAATTATTGACCCAATAAAGTTTGTGAGAACTGCTTATTGGATGCTGTTGGTGTGGCTTCTCTGTTAACTACAGCAGAAGTTGTAGTCACAGAAATTCTTAAAGAAGAGAAGGACCCTGGAATGGGTGCAGTGGGTGGAATGGGAGGTAGTATGGGAGGTGGCATGTTCTAACTCCTAGAATAGTGCTTTACCTTTATTCATGAACTGTGACAGGAAGCCCAAGGCAGTGTTCCTCACCAATAACTTCAGAGAAGACAGTTGGAGAAAATGAAGAAAAGGCTGGCTGATGTTTAAGAAATCACTACAACCATCAGTTACTGGTTTCAGTTGGCAAAATATACAGTGGTTTACTGCTGTCCTTGTCCGTGCCTACAGATAATTTATTTTGTATTTTTTAATAAAAAGACATTTGTACATTCCTGATACTGAGTACAAGAGCCATGTACCAATGTACTGTTTTCAACTGAAATCACTGAAGCATTTTTACTACTATTCTGTTAAAATCAGGATTTAGTGCTTGCCACCACCAGATGAGAAGTTAAGCAGCCTTTCTGTGGAGAGCAAGAATAATTGTGTACAAAGTAGAGAAATATCCAATTATGTGATGACCTTTGTGTAATAAAAATTTGTTTAAAGTTAAAAAAAAAAAAAAAAAAGGCCAGGCGCCGTGGCTTACACCTGTAATCCCAGCACTTTGGGAGGCTGAGGCGGGCAGATCACCTGAGGTCGGGGGTTCGAGACCAGCCTGACCAACATGGAGAAACCTCGTCTCTATTAAAAAAAATACAAAATTAGCTGGGCGTAGTGGCATATGCCTGTAATCCCAGCTACTGGGGAGGCTGAGTCAGGAGAATCACTTGAACCCTGCAGGCGGAGGTTGCGGTGAGCTGAGAACGCACCATTTCACTCCAGCCTGGGCAACAAGAGCGAAACTCCGTCTCAAAAAAAAAAAAAAAAAAAGAGCATGGCATCATCTTTGGTCACACTGACCTCTCCAACTTTTCCTAAGTCATGAGGCTGAACGTTTTCAAGATTTAAGGTCAACCTCTCTTCTCCAAACAGTGCACCACCAGTAGCAATAGCCATATCTTTCACCTGGTTCTTCAGCTGGTTCTATTGTCACCAAAAGAGCCTTGACTGCCACAACCTGAAGACCCACATTTAGCCTATTCAAGATGAATGTACTTAGAGCTTCTCCATCAACGTCTTCAGCGATTATGACCAAAGGCTTACGGTGAGCATTGACAATTTCAAGAGCAGGTACAATGGACTAGACACTAGAAATTTTCTTTTCACTCAACAGAACATAAGCATCCTGGAATTCACATTTCTGACCTTTTGGTGTATTAATAAAGTATGAAGAAATATAGCCTCGATCAAACTTCATGCCTTCAATAATTTCTTTTTTTCTTCTTTTTGAGATGGAGTTTTACTTTTGTTGCCCAGGCTGGAGTGCAATGTTGCATCTCGGCTCACTGCAACCTCCGCCTCCTGGGTTCAAGCGATTCTCCTGCCTCAGCCTCCCAAGTAGCTGGGATTACAGGCACACACCACCACGCCCAGCTAATTTTGTATTTTTAGTAGAGAAAGGGTTTCACCATGTTGGTCAGGCTGGTCTCAAACTCCTGACCTCAGGCGATTCCCCCGCCTCGGCCTTCCAAAGTGCTGGGATTACAGGCATGAGGCACCTCGCCCAGCCACTTTCAATAATTTCTAATTCATCATTCAGTGTTTTTCCATCCTTTACTGTGATGACACCCTTTCTTCCAACCTTTTTCATTGCATTGGAGATGATATTGCCAATTTCTTTGTCTCCGTTTGCAGAAGTTGTAGCAACCTGTGCAATTTCTTCAGGGGTGGTCACAAATTTAGACTGCTTTCTAAGTTCAGCAATTACAGCATCAACAGCCAACATCACACCTTTCCTGATTTCCACTGGATTAGCACCTTTGCTAATCTTCTTGAAGCCCTCCTTGGCAATAGAGCGTGCCAGTACGGTAGCAGAGGTGGTGCCATTTCCAGCCTCTTCATTTGTGTTATTAGCAATATCTTGAACAAGTTTAGCTCTAATTTGTATCTATCCTTTAAGTCAGTTGACTTTGCAACAGTCACACCATCTTTTGTTACTTGGGGACTTCCCCAGCTCTGCTCAATAATCACTGTTCTTCCCTTTGGCCCCATCGTAACAGCTACAGCATCGGCTAAAAGGTCTACACCTTGAAGCATTAAGGCTCGGGCATCTGCGCCAAATTTTACATCTTTGGCATAAGCCCGAGTGAGATGAGGGGCCAGTACCCTGGACAGCAGTCTCATCTGGGGAAAGACTGTGGGTAACGGAAGAAGCATTTCTGCGGGGCGGCTGCAGGGCGTGTGCGCGACGAGGCAGGTCGTCGTCCGCAAGTGAGGGTGTTTTACATTTTATATGGCAAGGTAAACCACATTAAATCACAGAATTTTATGACAGCAAGATCACCTAATCCAATCCCTGCTCATTTCGCAGATCGGGAAACTGCTAGTTGGTGACAGAAACGACTCAAAATACAGGAGAGACGTTTTTACCTTACCTTCAGCTGTCTCTCCCCAGAACCCTTATTTGATAAAATGCTTCTCACAAGCTACTGAATGAGTGAGTGGAATGAGCTTTGTTGGAGATCCCAGAATTGAGTCATTCTAAAACATCATTAGAATTATATGAAGTTTCACTTTATTCCACAAGGATTTGTTAGAGTGCCCATTGGCCAGAGGTCTAAATCACAGCCTTTTCCCTCAAGGAGCTTAAGTAGATGCAGTGAATGAATAACTAGCCAATTACAACTTACAGGACACAGTACCTTGAAGAGAAATTGGAGAGGGAGTCAATTCCTAGGATAGCAGAGAGATGGACAACAGACAGAATGTGAGTATTAAAACTGATGTCAGATATCAAATTGGTTTGTCAGGGTTATGTTGATAATCACAGTACCTATCATCTTCCTAAACTTTTCTTGTCTTGATAATGTGTAATATACGTAAGTGGTGGTGGGAGAGACTATTGCAGCCACTAGACTTGGTATATTCCCAAATTATTTTTATTCATAAGTAATTACTATTTGCCATTTGTGGCCTTTTGTGCTTTAATATTATCAAGAACAATAAGAATGATAAAATATTTATGATCAGCATTGTAATTGCAAACAGGCCTCAGTAAAAATTATACACAACTTGTTTTGAGCGAATTTCCTTGAAAAGAACCATGGCTATATAGGTGTGAAGAGTAACATAGCGTAATATATGAATATACACAATAATAGCTATTCTTTTTTTTTTTTTTTTTTTTGAGACAGAGTCTTGCTCCTGTCGCCCAGGCTGGAATGCAGTGGCGTGATCTTGGCTCACTGCAACCTCTGCCTCCCAAGTTCAGGCGATTCTCCTGCCTCAGCCTCCCAAGTGGCTGGGACTACAGGTGCATGCCACCACGTTGGCTAATTTTTGTGTGTGTGTGTGTGTGTGTATTTTTAGTAGAGATGGGGCTTCACCATGTTAGCCAGGATGGTCTCAATCTCCTGACCTCGTGATCCTCCCACCTCGGCCTCCCAAAGTGCTGAGATTACAGGCGTGAGCTACTGCGCCCGGCCAATTTTTGTATGTTTAGTAGAGACGGGGTTTCGCCATGTTGGCCAGGCTGGTCTGGAACTCCTGACCTCAGGTGATCCACCCTCCTTGGCCTCCCAAAGTGCTGAGATTATAGGCGTCAGCCACCGCACCTGGCCATAATAACTATTCTTATAGAGCAGACTATAGAGTGTAACTGTCATTGTACTTGCATACTCTTTTTTAAATTATTTTTTCTATTCTTTTATATTTTACTTTATTTTATTTTATTTTATTTTATTTATTTTGAGACTGAGTTTCTTGTTGCCCAGGCTGGAGTGCAATGGCGCAATCTCAGCTCACTGCAACTTGCACCTCCTGGGTTCAAGCGATTCTCCTGCCCTGGCCTCCCAAGTAGCTTGGATTACAGTCATGCACCACCATGCCCAGGTAATTTTTGTGTCTTTAGTAGAGGCAGGATTTCACCATGTTGGCCTGGCTGGTCTCGAACTCCTAACCTCAGGTGATCTGCCTGCCTTGACCTCCAAAAGTGCTGGAATTACAGGTGTGAGCCACCACGCCCGTCCTATACTTGCATACTCTGAAAAGACTCACAAAAGGTATTAAGCAACATATGAGCCTTTGGAATGGGTTGGAAGGTAGGATAGACAGCATCTAGTGGTTAAATTACATAATGCCTAAAGTGAAGGATTTGCGACATGTGATCACCTCTGGGAATACTCACTAAGCTTGCTTTCTGGGAACTCACTGGCATCTTAAATGCCTTGCATCTCAGACTCTCAGATTTTTTCCTGAACATTTTAATAGACATACTTAGAGAAGCAGAGCATACTTAGTGAAGGGTAGCAGTTCCTCTTCCTAAGGAGTCAACACATTTTAAAGATGATAGGTTTACATGACAATTGTTAAGACTGTTTTGGAAGGACTTTAGAGGAAGCACTGTAAAAGCAAGATATGAGGCGCGGTGGCTCATGACTGTAATCCCAGCTCTTAGGGAAGCAGAGGCAGGAGGATAGCTTGAGCCCAGGAGTTCGAGACCTGCCTGGGCAATATAGCAAGACCCCATTCTCCACAAAAAGGAAAAAATATAATAATAAAGAAAATAAATAAAACAAGATATGAGACACAGAAATTAGTCAGAGAACGATCCCCTTTTTTGGGTGTTTATTCCTGTACCAACCAAGAAGGAAGCTGCTGTGCCCCCCACCCCCAATCCCAGCTCCCCACCCAACTCCCCCTACTGCAGAGCCTGGCTGTGCCTCCCGTACTTATTTAACAATTAGATCTTACTACTTAAGACCTGAAGTTACTTGTTTTTTTTGTTTGTGTGTTTTGTTCTGAGATGGAGTCTCACTCTGTCGCCCAGGCTGGAGTGCAGTGGTGCAATCTCAGCTCACTGCAACCTCCACCTCCGGGGTTCAAGCGATTCTCTTGCCTCAGCCTCCCGAGTAGCTGGGACTACAAGTGCACGCCACGACACCCAGCTAATTTATTTATTTGTTTATTTATTTATTTATTTTTTGAGTTGGAATTTCACTCTTGTCACTTAGGCTGGAGTGCAATGCACAATCTCAGCTCATGGCAACCTCCACCTCCTGAGCACAAGCAATTCTCCCGCCTCAGCCTCCAGAGTAGCTGGGATTACTGGCATGTGCCACCACAGCCCTGCTAATTTTTGTATTTTTAGTAGAGACGGGGTTTCGCCATGTTGGCCAGGCTGGTCTCAAAGTCCTGACCTCAGGTGATCCACCCTCCTTGTTCTCCCAAATCACTGGGATTACAGGCATGAGCCACCGCGCCCCAGCCAGACATACTATTCTTTTATTCAAGTACTTTTTCTTTTTTTTTTTTTTTTTTTTTTTGAGACAGAGTCTCGCTCTGTTGCCCAGGCTGGAGTGCAGTGGCACGATCTCTGCTCACTGCAAGCTCTGCCTCCCAGGTTCAAGCAATTCTCCTGCCTCAGCCTCCTGAGTAGCTGGGACTACAAGCACCCGCCACCACGCCCCACTAATTTTTGTATTTTTAGTAGAGACGGGATTTCACCATATTGTCCAGGCTAGTCTCGAACTCCTGACCTCAGGTGATTCGCCCGCCTCGGCCTCCCAAAGTGCTGAGATTACAGGCGTGAGCCAGCACGCCCGGCTTATTCAAGTATTTTTTTCTCTAACAAAGCAATTTACAGGTTAATTTTCTGGGAAGATATAGTAGTTCTTTATGACTCATTCATTCAAATATTTCTCAAGTAGCTATTATACTACAGGCACTGTTGGTGCCTGGGACTGCCCTGATAGAGAAGGAAATGATAAATTCTAAGAAGAAAAATAAAGCAAGATAAGGGGATAAAAAATGGTGGAATGGTTAGAGAGGAAGGATACTGATTATTCTAAATACAGGCACACCTCAGAGATAGTGCAGGTTTGTTTCCAGACAACTGTGATAAAGCTAGTATTCAATAAAGTGAATCATAGAAATATTTTGGCTTCCCAGTGCACGTAAAAGTTATGTTTACACTATACTGTAGTCTGTTAAGGGTACAATAGCATTGTGTCTAAAAAAAATGTATATACCTTAATTTAAAAATACTTTCTTGCGGCCGGGCGTGGGGGCTCACGCCTGTAATCCTAGCACTTTGGGAGGCCAAGGTGCGTGAATCACTTGAGGTCAGGAGTTCAAAACCAGCCTGGCTGACATGGTGAAACCCCGTCTTTACAAAAAATACAAAAAAATTATCTGGGCGTGGTGGCGGGAGCCTGTAATCCCAGCTACTCAGGAGGCTGAGGCCGGAGAATCGCTTGAATCCAGGAGGAGGAGGAGGTTGCAGTGAGCTGACGTCACACCACTACACTCCAGCCTGGGCGACCGAACAAGACTCTATCTCGAAAAAATATAAAAATACAGCCAGGCGCGGTGGCTGACACCTGTAATCCCAGCACTTTGGGAGGCAGAGGCGGGCGGATCACCTGAGGTCAGAAGTTCGAGACCAGCCTGACCAACATGGTGAAACCCCGTCTCTACTAAAATACAAAAAAATTAGCCAGGCGTGGTGGCGCATGCCTGTAATCACAGCTGCTTGTGAGGCTGAGGCAGGAGAATCGCTTGAACGTGGGAGGCGGAGGTTGCAGTGAGCCGAGATTGCACCATTGCACTCCAGCCTGGGTGACGAGCAAAACTCTGTCTCAAAAAAATAAATAAATAGGCCGGGCACAGTGGCTCATGCCTGTAATCTCAGCACTTTGGGAGGCCGAGGCAGGCAGATCACGAGGTCAGGAGAATGAGACCATCCTGGCTAACACAGTGAAACCCCGTCTCAACTAAAAATACAAAAAATTAGCTGTGTGTGGTGGCGGGCGCCTGTAGTCCCAGCTACTCGGGAGGCTGAGGCAGGAGAATGGCATGAACCCGGGAGGCGGAGCTTGCAGTGAGCCAAGATCACGCCATCGCACTCCAGCCTGGCCTACAGAGCGAGACTCCATCTCAAAAATAAATAAATAAATAAATAAATAAATAAATAAATAAATAAAAGTTAAAAATACTTTCTTGCTAAAAAAAAATGCTAACAATCACCTGAGCCTTGAGCGTGTCACAATCTTTTTGCTGGTGGAGGGTCTTGCCTCAACGTTGATGGCTGCTGACTGATCAGGGTCGTGGTCGCCGAAGGCTGGGGGTGGTGGTAGCAATTTCTTTAAATAAGACAATAATAGCCAGGCGCGGTGGCTCACACCTGTAATCCTAGCACTTTGGGAGGCCGAGCGGGGTGGATCACGAGGTCAGGAGATCAAGACCATGCTGGCTAACATGGTGAAACCCCGTGTCTACTAAAAATACAAAAAAAAAAAAAAAATTAGCCAGGCATGGTGGCAGGTGCCTGTAGTCCCAGCTACTCGGGAGGCTAAGGCAAGAGAATGGCGTGAACCCGGGAGGCAGAGCTTGCAGTGAGCTGAGATCGCGCCACTGCACTCCAGACTGGGTGACTGAGCAAGACTCCATCTCAAAATAATAATAAGAAGAAGAAGAAGAATTGCTGCATCTATTAACTCTTATTTTCGCGAAAGAGTTCTCTGAATCATGTGATGCTGTTTGATAGCATTTTCCCCACAGTAGAACTTCTTTCATAATTGGAGTCAGTTCTCTCACACCCTGTTACTGCTTTATTAACTAAATTTATGTAATATTTGAAATCCTTTGTTGCCATTTCAACAATATTCACAGGCTGTTTACTAGGAGTAGATTCCATGTTAAGAACCACTTTCTTTGCTTATCCATAAGAAGCAACTCCTCATCCATTCAAGTTTTCTCATGAGATTGCAACAATTCAGCCTTATCTTCAGGCTCCACTTCTAATTCTAGTTCTCTTGCTATTTCTGCAGTTACTTCTGCAGTTACTTCCTCCACTCAAGTCTTGAACCCATCAAAGTCATCCATGAGGGTTGGAATCAACTTCTTCCAAACTCCTGTTAATGTTGATATTTTGAGCTCCTCCCATGAATTATGAATGTTCTTTTTTTAAAAATTTGGTGGTAGGAAATTCTTTTTTTATTTATTTATTTTTGAGGCAGAGTTTCACTCCCATCACGCAGGCTGGAGTGCAGTGGTATGATCACACCATGCCCAGCCAATAAGTTAAGCATTAGAAAAAAAAAAATCAGTAAACCATACTTACTGCAACCTCAACTTCCCAGGCTGAGGTGATCCTCCCACCTCAGCCTCCCATGTAGCTGGGACTACAGGCACCTGCCACTGTGTCCCACCTCTCCCCCGACCTAATTTTTTCTATTTTTAGTAGATACAGGGTTTCACCACGTTGCCCAGGCTGGTCTCAAACTCTCGGACTCAAGCCCAGCTTAGACTCAAGCAAGCAATATGACTGCCTCTGCCTCCCAAAGCATTGGGATTACAGGAATGAGCCACCATGCCTGGCCACAAATGTTCTTAATGGCATCTAGAATGGTGAATCCTCTCCAGAAGATTTTCAATTTATTTTGCCCATATCCATCCAAGAAGTCACTATCTATGGTGGTTATAAGCCATATGAAATATATCTCTTAAATAATAAAACTTGAAAGTCAGAATTACTCCTTGATCTGTGGGCTGCCACCTGAATGCAATATTAACAGGTATGAAAACAACATCAGTCTTCTTGTATGTCTCCATCAAAGCTCTTGGATGACTAGGTGTGTTGCCAGTAAGCAGTAATATGTTGAAAGGAATCTTTTTCTCTGAGCAGTAAATCTAAATATTCAGTAAATTCCAACTTAAAAATGGCAAAATATCTAAATAGACATTTCTCAAAGAAGACATACAAATGTTTATTGCAGCACCATTCACAACAGTCAAGATTTGGAATCAACCTAAGTGTCCATTAACAGATGAATGGGTAAAGAAAATGTGCTCTGTGTGTGTGTGTGTGTGTGTATATATGTGTGTGTGTGTGTGTGTGTGTGTATATATGCACACACACAATGGAGTACTATTCAACCATAAAAAAGAATGAGAACCTGTCATTGGCAACAACGTGGATGAAACTAGAGGCCATCATGTTAAGTGAAATAAGCCAGGCACAGAAAGACAAACTTTACATGTTCTTACTCATTTGTGGGAACTAAACATTAAAACAATTGAACTTATGGAGATAGAGTATATAATGATGATTACTAGAGGCTGAGATCAGTAGTGGAGGCGGGAGGAGTGGGTATGGCTCATGGGTACAAAAATATAGTTAAGCCTGGCCAACTTGGCAAAACCCCGTCTCTACTAAAAATACAAAAAATTAGCCGGGCGTGGTGGTGCACACCTGTAGTCTCAGCTACTCAGGAGGCTGAGGCATGAGAATTGCTTAAACTTGTGAGCCGGAGGTTGCAGTGAGCCAAGATCACATCACTGCACTTCAGCCTGGGTGACAAAACAAGACTGTGTCTCAAATGTGTATATATATATTTAAATAGGGTGAATAAGATGTAGTATTTGATGGCACAACAGGGTGACTACAGTAAACAGTTTATTGTACACTTAAAAATAAAAAGTATAATTGGAAAGTTTGTGACACAAAGAAATCATAAATGCTTGAAGTGATAGATACCTCATTTATCCTGATGTGATTATTACACATTGTATACTTGTATTAAAATATCTCATGTGCCCCATAAATGTATACACCTACTATACACCCATAAAAATTAATTTTTTTAATTGGTGGAGTCTCACTATGTTGCTCAGGCTGGTATCGAACTCCTGGGCTCAAGCAGTCTTCCCACCTCAGCCTCCCAAAGTGCTGGGATTACAGGTGTAAGCCACCATGCCCAGCCAATAAGTTAAAAATTAAAAAAAAAAAAAAAACAATTCAGTAAACCATGCTATAAACAGATATGCTGTCATCCAGGCTTTGTTGTTCCATTTATAGGGCATAAGCCGAGCAGATTTACATAATGAAGCTAATGCCCCTAAAAAGAGAGTCAGCCTATCATTTGAAGCTGTGAAATCAGATATTGACTTCTCCTTCCTGGCTATAAAAGTCCTAGATGGCATCTTCTTCCAATATAAGGCTGTTTCATCTACACTGAAAATCTGTCGTTAAGTGTTGCCACTTTTGTTAATTATCTTAGCTAGATCTTCTGGATAATTTGTTGCAGCTTCTATATCAGCAGGTGCTGCTTCACCTTGCACTTTTAGGTTATAAAGACAGCTTCTTAAATTTCACGAACCAAATTCTGGTACCTTCTAACTTTTCTTCTGCAGCTTCCTCACCTCTCTCAACCTCCATAAAATTAAAGAAAATTGGCTGGGCACAGTGGCTCACGCCTGTAATCCCAGCACTTTGGGAGGCTGAGGCAGGTGGATCACCTGAGGTCAGGAGTTTGAGACCAGCCTGGCCAACATGTCGAAACCCTATGTCTACTGAAAAATACAAAAATTAGCTAGGCATGACAGGCACCTGTAAGCCCAGCTACTTGGGAGGCTGAGGCAGGAGAATCGCTTGAACCCAGGAGGCGGAGGTTGCAGTGAGCCGAGATTGCGCCACTGCACTCCAGCTTGGGCAACAGAGCAAGGCTCCATCTCAAAAAAAAAAAAAAAAAAAATTTAAAGACAGTTAGGGCCCTCCTCTGGATTAGGCTTTGGCTTAAGAGAATGTTTTTTGTTGTTAGTTTGTTTTGTTTTTTTTTTCGAGACAGAGTTTCACTCTTGTTGCCCAGGCTGGAGTGCAATGGCATGATCTTGGCTCACCGCAACCTCCGCCTCCTGGGTGCAAGTGATTCTCCTGCCTCAGGCTCCCAAGTAGCTGGGATTACAGGAATGCACCACCACGTCCGGCTAATTTTGTATTTTTAGTAGAGATGGGACTTCTCCATGTTGGTCAGGCTGGTCTCAAACTCCCGACCTCAGGTGATCCACCCTCCTCAGCCTCCCAAAGTGCTGAGATTACAGGAGTGAGCCACCGTGCCTGGCTTTTTTTGTTTTTCTTTGGGTTTTGTTTTGAGACAGAGTTTTGCGCTTGTCACCCAGGCTGCAGTACAATGGTGTGATCTCAGCTCACTGCAACCTCTGCCTTCTGGGTTCAAGTGATTCTCCTGCCTCAGCCTCCCGAGTAGCTGGGGTTACAGGCGTGAGCCACCACGCCTAGCTAATTTTTGTATTTTTAGTAGAGACCGGGTTTCACCATGTTAGCCAGGCTGGTCTCAAACTCCTGATTTCACGTGATCCACCTCCCTCAGCCTCCCAAAGTGCTGGAATTACAGGTGTGAGCCACCGCGCCCAGCCAAGAGAATGTTTAGTGATTTATCCAGACCACTAAAACTTTCTCCATATCAGCAATACATCTGTTTCACTTCCTTATCATTTGTTTGTTCACTGGAGTAGCACTTTTAATTTTCTTCAAGAACTTTTCCTTTGCATTTACAGCTTGGCTAACTGTTTGGTGCAACAGGCCTTGCTTTTGGCTTATCTTGGCTTTTGACATGCCTTTATCACTAAGCCTTATCATTTTTGGCTTTTTATTTAAAACGAATGCTGTTTGACTCTTCTTTCACTTTGAATACTTAGATGCCATTGTAGGGTTATTAACTGGCCTAATTTCAATATTATAGTCTCAGGGAATTAGGGATGCCTGAGAAAAGAGAGGAGAGAGAAACGGGGGGAATGGCCAGTTGGTGGAGCAGTCAGAACACATACAATATATATTGATTAAATTCATTGTCTTATGTGGCTGTGGTTCATGCCAAAACAATGACAATAGTAATATCAAAAATCACTGATCACAGATCATGATAACAGATACAATAATAATGAAAAAGTTTGAAATTTTGCATGAATTACCGGAATGTGGCACAAAGATCCAAAGTGAGCTCATGCTGTTGGAAAAATGAGGCCAAGAGACTTGCTTGTCATAGGATTGTCACAAACCAATTTTGTAAAAACACGCAATAGGGGCAAACTAAATAAAGCAAAGCACAATAAAGCGAGAAGTGCCTGTAGTGTGGTCAGGGAAGCCCTCTTTACAGTAAACTTGAGCAGAAACCAGAATGACATAAAGAGCCGGCCATGAGGAGATCTGGAAAAAGAGTGTTTCAGATAGAGGGAAAGGCATATGTGTATTAGTCAGGGTTCTCTTAAAGGGAGAGAACTAATAGGATAGATAGATGATTGATTGATAGATAGATAGATAGATAGATAGATAGATAGATAGATAGATAGATAAATAGATAGATAGATAGATAGAGTTTATTAAGTATTAACTTACACGATAACAGAGTCCCACAATAGGCTGTCTGCAAGCTGAGGAGCAAGGAGAGTCAGTCCAAGTCTGAAAACTGAAGAACTTGGAGTCCGATATTCAAGGGCAGGAAGCATCCAGCATGGGAGAAAGATGTAGCCTGAGAGTCTACGCCAGTCTCTCCTTTTCACGTTTTTCTGACTTGCTTTTATATTCGTTGGTGACTGATTAGATGGTGCCCGCCCAATTAAGGGAGAGTCTGCCTTCCCCGGTCCACTGACTCAAATGTTAGTCTCCTTTGGCAACAGCCTCACAGACACACCCAGGATCAATATTGCATCCTTCAATCCAATCAAGTTGACACTAAGTATTAACCATCACAAGTCCACCCCTTGTCAACTTGAACTCATACACATCTCCTGAGATCATACATAATCTTCAACTAAGGACAATAATGGGCCGGGCGCGGTGGCTCACGCCTGTAATCCCAGCATTTGGGAGGCCGAGGCAGGTGGATCATGAGGTCAGGAGATCAAGACCATCCTGGCCAACACGGTGAAACCCCATCTCTAAAACTACAAAAAATTAGCTGGGTATGGTGGCAGGCGCCTGTAGTCCCAGCTACTCAAGAGGCTGAGGCAGGAGAATGGCATGAACCTGGGATGCGGAGCTTGCAGTGAGCCGAGATCGCGCCACTGCACTCCAGTCTGGGCGACAGAGTGAGACTCCATCTCAAAAAAAAAAAAAAGACAATAATGAGATCATAATTATGGCTAACATAATACAACTATCCTCCATACAACCAGAAATGCACCAATTCCCAGCCCAAATACTATTATATAAAGTTAACAATACTTAAATGCGGATATGAAGTCAGTAAATCTTATGTCACATGATAAAGGAAAAGGAAATAAAATGAAGATACTTTCTTTTTTTTTTTTTTTTTGAGACAGTTTCGCGCTTGTTGCCCAGGCTGGAGTGCAATGGCATGATCTTGGCTCACCGCAAGCTCCACCTCCTGGGTTCAAGCTACTCTCCTGCCTCAGCCTCCCAAGTAGCTGGGATTACAGGCATGCGCCACCACGCCCAGCTAATTTTGTATTTTTAGTAGAGATGGGGTTTCTCCATGTTGGTCAGGCTGTTCTTGAACTCCCGACCTCAGGTGATCTGTCTGACTCGGCCTCCCAAAGTGCTGGCATTACAGGTGTGAGCCACCACACCCGGCCTCAATAAAGGTATTTTCTTAGTACAAGTGTATACATGCACAAACATGTTTTTAACAAAAAAGGAGGAAATACTCATGACAATTACAGTCTTCGTTTCTGCAGCTGGTCACGTGATTGTAGCTGGTATTAATGGCTACCTTCTTTTTTTTTTTTCCCCGCCCCGAGACAGAGTCTTGCTCTGTCACCCAGGCTGGAGTGCAGTGGTGCGATCTCGGCTCACTGCAACTTCTGCCTCCTGGGTTCAAGCAATTATCCTGCCTCAGCCTCCCGAGTAGCAGGATTACAGGTGCCCACCACCACACCTGGCTAATTTTTGTATTTTTAGTAGACATGGGGTTTCACCATGTTGGCCAGGCTGGTCTCAAACTCCTGACCTTGCGATCCACCCGCCTTGGCCTCCCAAAGTGCTGGGATTACAGGCGTGAGCCACCGCACCCAGCTGACTACCTTCCTCTACTACCCATTCTGTATTCCCTGTGATTTCAGCAAGCACCTCAGCAGGTCGTCGTTTTTTTTCCTGGTGGACTGACCCAAGCCTTCATTCCTGAAGGGTCTGGGTCATCTGTAGTCCTCGCTGGATTGGGCTGTTGTAGTTTCCCATTGACCTTAATCACAGGGCATGATAATACTAAGAGACGCCCTAATAGATCTCCCGTGTTCCATGCATACTCTTCCTTACCTCCATTGTGGTGGAGTAGTAGACTAATTTCATCTTGATAGTCCAGGTGAATCATCCCAGCCAACACTGTAACTCCCTTCTTAGCCTGGTGACTTAAAGGAAGGAGTCCAAAGTGTCCAGGTGGCAATCTTCCAGTTTAACGGAATCGTTCTTGTGTCTCCTGGCAGCAGCGTTCCTCCCTCTGGAACTAAGACCTCTAAGCCAGCAGAGCATAATGTTGCGGGGACAGGAAGCAAAAATTTTGCTAGTGGATCACTAGGGGCGATGGTGAGTGGTGCCACTTCCACTTCCACTTCCACACCTTGATTGCTGGACCTGTGAATCCTGGCTATGGGAGAAACAGTACCATATATCGGACGCTGATTCAGAGCATACATGACCTTCTGGGGAACTTTGCCCCAGCCCTGCAAAGTATTGTCACTTAGTTGGCATTGTAATTCTGACTTCAAAAGACCATTCCACAGTCCTATCAATCCAGCTGCTTCAGGATGATGGGGAGCACCGTAAGACCAGTGAATTCCATGAGCATGAGCCCACTGCCACAGTTTTTCTTTTTTTTTTTCTTTTTTTTTTTTTTGAGATGGAGTCTTGCTCTGTTGCCCAGGCTGGAGTGCAATGGCGCTATCTCAGCTCACTGCAACCTCTGCCTCCCGGATTCAAGCAATTCTCCTGCCTCAGCCTCCTGAGTAGCTGGGATTACAGGTGCCGGCCACCTCACCCTGCTATTTTTTTTTTTTTTTTTTTTGAGATGGAGTTTCACTCTGTCACCCAGGCTGGAGTGCAGTGGCATAATCTCGGCTCACTGCAACCTCCAGCTCCCGGGTTCAAGTGATTCTCCTGCCTCAGCCTCCCAAGTAGGTGGGACTACAGGCGCCTGCCACCGTGCCCAGCTAATTTTTGTATTTTTAGTAGAGACGGGGTTTCACCATGTTGGACCAGGCTGGTCTCGAACTCCTGGCCTCAGGTGATCCGCCCACCTTGGACTCCCAAGGTGCTGGGATTACAGGCGCCTGCCCTGCCTCACTTCTTTAGCCATAAAGCGAGTGTCTCGGTCAGAGGCAGTGCTGTGTGGAATATCATGACGGTGGATAAGGCATTCTGTGAGTCCACGGTTGGTAGTCTTGGCAGAAGCATTGCGTGCAGAATAGGCAAACTCATATCTAGAGTGTCTATTCCAGTAAGGACAAACCTCTGCCTTTTCCATGATGGAACAGGTCTAATATAATCAATCTGCCACCAGGTAGCTGGCTGATTACCCCAAGGAATGGTGCCATATCAAGGGCTCAGTGTTGGTCTCTGTTGCTGGCAAAGTGGGCACTCAGCAGTGGCCGTAGCCAGCTCAGCCTTGGTGAGTGGAAGTCCATGTTGCTGAGCCCATGCGTAATCTCCATCCCTGCCACCATGGCCACTTTGTTCATGGGCCCATTGGGTGATGACAGAGGTGGCTGGGGAAAGAGGCTGAGTGGCGTCCACAGAACGAGTCATTCTATCCACTGAGTCATGCTATCCACTGAAGTAACACATTGGTGAGCACTCACATGGTATACAAATATCTTCACAGTTTTTGACCACTCAGAGAGGTCCATCTGCATGTCTTCCTCAAATTTCTTTGTCACCAATTTTCCAATCATGCTTCTTCCAAGTCCCTGACTATCCAGCCATACCATTGGCTACAGCCCATGAGTCAGTATATAATCGCATATCTGGCCATTTCTCCTTCCATGCAAAATACAGAGCCAGGTGCACTGCTCGAAGTTCTGCTCACTGGGAAGATGTCCACTGTATTTCAAGGATGTCCTAGAAAGGGGCTGTAGTGCTGCTGCTGTCCACTTTCGGGTGGTGCCTGCATATCGTGTAGAATCATCTGTAAGCCAGACCCTAGTCTTCTCTTCCTTTGTCGACTGATCATAGGGAACTCCCCATGAGGCCATCGGTGCAGGCTCAGGGAGAGAAGGCAGGGTGGCAGGAGTGGAGACCATGGGCATTTGAGCCACTTCCTCATGTAACTTACTTGTGCCTTCAGGACCTGCTGAAGCCCGATCACATATATACCACTTCCATTTGATGATGGAATGCTACTGTGCATGACCCACTTTATGGCTAGATGAGTCAGAAAGCAACCAGTTCATGACAGGCAGTTCAGGTCCCATGGTGACTTGATGACCCATAGTCAAACGTTCAGTTTCCGCCAAAGCTCAGTAACAGACCAGGAGCTGTCTCTCAAAAGGAGAGTAGTTATCTGCAGAAGATGGCAGGGCCTTGCTTTAAAATCCTAAAGGTCTCTGCTGTGATTCACCTATGGGAGTCTGCCAAAGGCTCCAGAGAGCATCCCTCTCTGCCACTGATACCTGAAGCATCATTGGATCTGCTGGGTCATATGGCCCAAGTGGCAGAAGCAGCCTGGACCTGTTGCAGAGCCTTCTGTTCTGGACCCCACTCAAAACTGGCAGCCTTTCGGGTCACTCAATAAATGGACCAAACTAACACACCCAAATGAGGAATGTGTTGCCTCCAAAATCCAAATAGGCCCAGTAGGCATTGTGCCTCTTTCTTGGTCATAGGAGTGGCGAAATACAGCAACTTATCCTTTACCTTAGAAGGGGTATCTCAGCCAGGTGCAGTGACTCATGCCTGTAATCCCAGCACTTTTGGAGGCCGAGGCAGGCGGATCACTTGATGTCAGGAGTTCGAGACCAGCCTGGCCAACATGGTGAAACCCTGTCTCTACTAATACACAAAAATTAGGCTAGGCACCATGGCTCACCCCTGTAATCCCAGCACTTTGGGAGGCCGAGGCGGGCGGATCACGAGGTCAGGAGTTCGAGACCAGCCTGGCCAACTATGGCAAAACCCTGTCTCTTCTAAAAAATACAAAAATCAGCCAGGCATAAGGGGCCAGGCACTGTAGCTCATGCCTGTAATCAGAGCACTTTGGGAGGCTGAGGCGGGTGGAACACCTGAGGTTGGAAGTTTGAGACCAGCCTGACCGACGTGGAGAAATCCCATCTCTACTAAAAATGCAAAATTAACTGAGCATGGTGGCACATTCCTGTAATCCCAACTACTCAGGAAGCAGAGGCAGGAGAATCGCTTGAACCCAAGGAGGCAGAGGTTGCAGTGAGCCGAGATTGTACCATTGCACTCCAGCCTGGGCAACAAGAGTGAAACTCCGTCTCAAAAAAAAAAAAAAAAAAAAATTTAGCTGGGCATGGTGTAGCCTGTAGCCTGTAATCCCAGCTACTTGGGAGGCTGGGGCAGGAGGATCGCTGGAACCTGGGAGGCGGAGGTTGCAGTGAGCCGAGATCGTGTCATTGCACTCCAGCCTGGGCGACAGAGCAAGACTCCATCTCTAAAAAAAAGGAATATCTCAATAGGCCCCACACCACTGGACCCCTGGAAATTTTACTGAGGTAGAAGTTCCCTGAATTTTAGTCGGATTTATTTCCCATCCTCTGGCACACAAATGTCTCACCAATAAGTCCAGAGTGTTTGCTACTTTTTGTTCACTGGATTCAATCGGCATAATGTCATCAGTGTAATGGAACAGTGTGATAGCTGGTGGAAGCAAAAAGTGATCAAGATCTCCCCAAATGAGGTCGGGCGCGGTGGCTCACGCCTGTAATCCCAGCACTTTGGGAGGCCGAGGTGGGCGGATCACGAGGTCAGGAGATCGAGACCATTCTGGCTAACACGGTGAAACCCCGTCTCTACTAAATATACAAAAAATTAGCCGGGCGAGGTGGCAGACGCCTGTAGTCCCAGCTACTCGGGAGGCTGAGGCAGGAGAATGGCGTGAACCCGGGAGGCGGAGGTTGCAGTGAGCCGAGATCGCGCCATTGCACTCCAGCCTGGGCAACACAGGGAGACTCCGTCTCAAAAAAAAAAAAAAAAAAAAAAAAAAAAAAAAAAAAGATCTCCCCAAATAAGATTATGACACAAAGCCAGAGAGTTGATATACCCCTGAGGTAAGACAGTAAAAGTATATTAATGGCCTTGACAGCTGAAGGCTAATTGCTTCTGGTGGGCCTTATGGACAGGAATGGAGGAAAAGGCATTTGCCAAGTCAATGGTTGCATACCAGGTACCAGGAGATGTGTTAATTTGCTCAAGCAATGAAACCACATCTGGTACAGCAGCTGCAATTGGAGTCACCACTTGGCTAAGCGTACGATAATCTACTGTCATTCTCCAAGATCCACCTGTCTTCTGCAGAGGCCAAATGGGAGAGTTGAATGGGGATGTGCTGAGAATCACCACCTCTGTGTCTTTCGAGTCCTTGATGATAGCACCAATCTCCACAGTCCCTCCAGGGATGAGATATTGTTTTTGATTTACATTTTTCTAGGTAGAGGCAGCTCTGTTGGCTTCCATTTGGCCTTTCCCACCATAATAGCCCTCACCCTACCAGTCAGGGAGCCACTGTGGGGGTTCTGCCAGCTGCTAAGTATGTCTATGCCAATTATGCATTCTGGCACTGAGGAAATGACCACAGGATGAGTCCGGGGACCCACTGGACTCACTGTAAGTCAGACCTGAGCTAAAACTCCATTAATTACCTTATCTCCATAAGCCCCTCCTTTAATTGGAGGACCACAATGATGTTTTGGGTCCCCTGGAATCAACATCAGCTCAGAGCCAGTGTCCAGTAGTCTTCAAAATGTCTGATCATTTCCCTTTCCCCAATGCACAATTACCCTGGTAAAAGGATGGAGGTTGGCCAGACACGGTGGCTCACACCTGTAATCTCAACACTTTGGGAGGCCGAGGCAGATGGATCACAAGGTCAAGAGTTCAAGACCAGCCTGACCAACATGGTGAAACCCCATCTCTACTAAAAATACAAAAATTAGCCGGGCGTGGTGGCACATGCCTGTAATCCCAGCTACTCAGGAGGCTGAGGCAGGAGAATCGCTTGAACTCAGGAGGCGGAGGTTGCAGTGAGCCGAGATCACACCACTGCACTCCAGCCTGGGTGACAGAGTGAGACTCCATCTCAGAAAAAAAAAAAAAAAAAAAAGGACAGAGGTCTCCTTGGGGAAGGATGGGAGAAAGATTCATTACATAAATGATCAGTAATGTAATGGGGTCCTTCCTCAAGGAGACCCGGTCTCCCCTTTGTTCAAGGGGTTCTGGGTCTGTAAACTGGCTCAGGTCTGGAAATCAATTGAGTGGCGGTGATTCTCTGATTTTATAATTCAAATTCATTTTTTGTCCACTAAATCTAGAAGTTTTCTGCTTGTATAAATTAAGTAACAATGCAGTAGGCTTCCTATCAATTTCACTTATAGGAACACTGTGATTAGCCAATGCCAGAGCTCTACAAGAGTCAGACTATTCTGATTGCCACTTTGCCTCTGCTGTTCATTATGGTAGCTACACCTACCTTGTCTTTGATGGTTGAGTGCCACCACTTGGCTCCTGCCACCTTGGCATCCAATTATTCCCATTGTATTTAATTTGTGTAGTTGAGTGACTGCGGTTCCCACTGTTAGATCTGACATACAGGCCGGGCGTGGGGGCTCATGCCTGTAATCCCAGCACTTTGGGAGGCTGAGGCGGGTGAATCATGGGGTCAGGAGTTCGAGACCAGCCTGGCCAACATGGTGAAACCCTGTCTCTACTAAAAATACAAAAAAAAAAAAAAAAATTAGCTGGGCATAGTGCTGGGGGGTGGGGGGTGGCTGTAATCCCAGCTACTCAGGAGACTGAAGCAGGAGAATCACTTGAACCTGGGAGGCTGTGGTTGTAGTGAGCCGAGATTGCACCACTGTACTCTTAGCCTGAGCGACAGAGTGAGACTGTCTCCAAAAAAAAAAAAAAAAAAAAAAAAAAAAAATTCTGACATACAGAGAAGAGCAATTACAGGGCTCCTCAAAGATGCAGGTACTGCCCTCACAAATCTATTTCACACGGCATTGGTCGAGGGTATATCTTCTGGACCTTCCCAGCCGGGATGAGTAGGTCTAAAGTGACTAACCCACTCCACCATCCCAATCTCCCTAAGCCTTTGGATCCCTGCCTCTACATTAAACCAAGGGAGATCAGGCATTTCCAGCTCGCTCACAGTGGGCCATCTTGTAATCCATATTTCAGCTAACCAAGCAAATAAACATTAGAAGGTTTTGTAACTTTCCGAGCTGCAACATTAAAAGCAGAGTCCCTACTTAGTGGGCCCAAATCAATAAATTCAGCCTGATCCAACTCTATGTTGCTTCCACCATTATCCTATACCCTTAATATCCGTTCCCATACCTCTTCTCCAGATGGCTGTTTATATAAATTAGAGAACTCAAACAGTTCTTTTCAAATGTAGCACACCTTGAGATAGAGTCTCGCTCTGTCGCCCAGGCTGGAGTCCAGTGGCGTGATCTCGACACACTGCAACCTCCGCCTCCTGTGTTCAAGCAATTTTCATGCCATTTTTTTTTTCTTTTTTTAGTAGAGGCGAGGTTTTACCATGTTGACGAGGATAGTCTTGATCTCCTGGCCTCAAGCGATCTGCCTGCCTTGGCCTCCCAAAGTGCTGGGACTTCATGTGTGAGCCACCGCACCTGGCCAAAAGTTGCGTTCTTACCAGAGAATGTGACGGGGGAAGGGAGTGCCCAGGAGTTGCTCATTTATGCAAGGAAGCGTTTAGGGTGATGAATCAAAGAATTTAAGTCGGGTGATGTGGAAAGTAAAAATAGAAGAGTGATGGGCAGTGAAAAGTTGAGAGGGTTAATAGTGTAGAGATCCTGCTTCTATCAAGAAATGGTTAGAGAGGAAGTGATGGTCAGTGTGAGATGCAAAATAATACAGGTTTTACAAGCAGCCTTTTTTTTTTTTTTTTTTTTTGAGACGAACTCTTGCTCTGTTGCCCAGGCTGGAGTGCACTGGTGTGATCTCAGCTCACTGCAACCTCCACCTCCCAGGTTCAAGCAATTCTATGCCTCAGCCTCCTGAGTAGCTGGGATTACAGGCACCTGCCACCACACCCGGCTAATTTTTGTATTTTTAGTGGAGATGGGGTTTCACCATCCCGGCCAGGCTGGTCTTGAACTCCTGACCTCGTGATCCACCCACCTCAGCCTCCCAAAGTGCTGGGATTACAGGTGTGAGCCACCGCACCCAGCCGAGCCCATTTATTATAAATAACCAGGGCTAGGGTATTAACCATGGGAATAAATGACTGAGGTGGACTGGAAAACAAGATGATTGGAAATGAGTGGACAAGAAACTGACGGCCAGCCTATTCGATGAATTGTCTCCATGCATCATGGAATAGCCAGGACTGATGACAGTAGGAATGGTGTAAACTAAGAGAATGAATCAGGCTTCTAAATTTTCAGAGAATGTGGGGGAAGTGACCCAGGAGATCAGCAGATTATTACAATATCCTGATGGCATGCACTGAAAAGGAGCTGAGTTTTTAGGGGATGAGCAACAGTTTGAAGTAGGCAAAGAGCAGCATCGTAAGAGTTACAAGCGAAATGCTGAACCTACCCTGTAGTACTTTCAGAGAAGTGAGATCCGCTAACTTGAAGGATCAGGAAGGGGATCATGGTAAAAGTGGCATTTATATGGACTTTGAAAGATGAAAAGAATTTTGTGAGAAATAGATTTGGAAAGATAATTCCAGGCAGAGAGATGCTACTACCAAAGAAGGAAGTGACACTGTTCTGCCCACGCCTGGTGCTTTTGCAAATCCGCCTCCAGAGCCCGTTGCTATGGTGCTAGTAACATCCTTGGTATTACCAGAGCTGGTTAGCAGTTGGCCACCAGGTGGCAGTGTATATCTTTGCGCCATCCCTCCCAGTACTGGCCTTGGAGAAAAACTGGAAGTGAGAATTAGCATAGGTGCAGCTGAGGTGAGATCAGTGGCTTGTGGATTGTGTATTTAGTTAGGCCTGAAGAAGCAAAGCCCTCAGAGAAGAGGATAAATTTGGGAACATTTAGGGAGAAGATCAGGGAGAAGATAAAAGGAAAGGAAATTGCGAGAGTATAATGAGGCCTGAAAAGTAGCAGAGGGCTCTAGGAGGGACAGCCATGTCCTCTTGGCCATTCCTTGAGGAACTAGTTGGAATAGGCACGCCGCCCTAGACTTTACAAAACTCCGGAAATACACTCTTGGAACCAGAGGTGACAATTCACTGAATGAGGATTACCCCAACCAGCCACAGCGGGAAATCCTTGGAGAAGGTGTGCGCTGATTGGATCAGAGACCCGAAGGGAAAGAATCCCAGCTTGAAGAACCAGTTTGAATGTCAAGACTCCAAGAATCACTGCAAGAAAAACAGCCTTGTGGTGAAGATTCTAGGATTTAGGATCATTTCCAGATGAGAATCCACAAATGACTCACACAGTCTTTCTGAGGTTGTTAAACAGATTGCTTCCATCAGTATTGAGTCAGGAATTGAGACTGCTCACCACTGCACTTACTTGTCAACTATTTTCATAAATATTAGTTGTTTAAAGAAAGCAGCAGCCAAAAAGAAGAACCAGAGAGGGGAGATGTGCAGATTGGCAGTGCAAGGTGAGGAATAGGCACTAGAGCAACATTGAAAGAGAGTTTGGAGCAATGGCCTTCTTCTTCTTCTTTTGGTTTGTTTACTCAGGTAATAATTAAAAAAAAAAAAAAACTATGTATTTCCTCTACACTGTTTGTTTTTTTTGGGGTGGTGGGACGAAATCTCGCTCTGTCGCCCAAGCTGGAGTGCACTGGCGCGATCGCAGCTCACTGCAACCTCTGCCTTCCGAGTTCAAGCGATTCCTTCCACATGTTTTTAAGTGACATCTAAGAAAATTTTTTTTGTGTTTAAGTAGCTTCCAGGGATTAATTTCTGCTGTCCGGTATTTGGTATACATGCTTTCAGGGCCATTGCTAGCTTTTCCAGTGCCTTTCTGCAAATTAGGCAAAGGTGCCCTTCTGGGAAAAAGCAGGTTTTCTAGGAATGGTACCCCTGTGTAAAGAAAAATGTGCTCCTTCCTCTGGATGAGGAGGAGAGCCTGGCCAGTGGATTGCAGGCTGTATTTCAGCCTCTACATATCCCACAAAACTGCACAACGAAGTTTCAGCCCTTCACTTGTCCCCAAAGCTGTACAAACCATACACAAAAGCTTTGTAGATTTTAAGTTAAAAAACAAACAAACAAAAACCTTGGCATACAGACAAAGATCATTCAGTTTATAGAAATATAAACTAAATGACAAAGCTACTGTTTGTAGGCAAACCTGTGAGCCAAATCTTTTGGCTTTGGAAGCCTGACTTCTTTTTTTATCTCAAATAAAAATATTAATATATGTCCCTATAACAATTATCTTCTTAATTTTTTTTTTTTGAGACAGAGTTTCACTCTTGTTGCCCAGGCTGGAGTGCAGTGGCGCAATCTCAGTTCACCGCACCTTCCGCCTTCTGGGTTCAAGGGATTCTCCTGCCTCAGCCTCCCAAGTAGCTGCCACCACGCCAGGCTACTTTTTGTATTTTTAGTATAGATGGGGTCTCGACATGTTGGCCAGGCTGGTCTCAAACTCCTGACCTCAGATGATCAGCCTGCCTCGGCCTCCCAAAGTGCTGGGATTACAGGCGTGGGCCACCGCACCATTCCAAAACAAATAAATCCAGTACTACTTCAAGTGTGGTGGTTATCTATGGATGACTGACATCAGCATCTTCAGGGAGGCTGTTAGACATGCAAATTCTCAGCTCCACGCCAGATTTGCTGAGTCAGAATCTCAGCAGAATGGGATCAGAAAATCTGTATTAAGAAGCCTTTGAAGTGACTCTTAATGACTGCTAAAATTTTAGCAGCATCAGTTGGTAAGCAAACCCTAAGCAAAGTTCCAGAGTATAAGGTTCTGCTCCATTTAATAATTTCCATCGATGCTGTCACAGTGCTCTTCCTCAGCAGCCGTGCACTCTTAAATTGTTCTTCTTGCACCCTGGTAAAAGTTTAAGATGCATTAGAGATAGTTTTTCTTTTTTTTTTTTTTTTTAACACGGAGTCTCACTCTGTCGCCCAGGCTGGAGTGCAGTGGCGCGATCTCGGCTCACTGCAAGCTTCGCCTCCCGGGTTCACACCATTCTGCCTCAGCCCACCACCTGTGGTGGGACTACAGGCGCCCACCACAATGCCCGGCTAATTTTTGTGTTTTTAGTAGAGATGGGGTTTCACCGTGTTAGCCAGGATAATCTCGATCTCCTGACCTCGTGATCCGCCCGCCTCAGTCTCCCAAAGTGCTGGGATTACAGGGGTGAGCCACCTCGCCCGGCCGCACTTTATCTAATTTAATCCTCCTAACAGCCTATTGGGTGGAACAGAACTTTAGCAACCTGTTTAAGATTGTTGGATAAAATAGTGTTTTGTTTGTTTGCTTTTTAGTATAGCTATGTCTCAAACATTATATGGGACATATTTATGCTTTAAAAAGTATTCATCTTTGATCTGAAATTCAAATTTAACTGGATATCCTGTTTGTTTGTTTGTGCTAAATCTGGCAACCCTACCTATTTCTTTTATCCATCATCTTAAGAAATTACTTTCCTTCAAAACATATCGCACAACTTTAATTTTCTAGCTAATATTATTTTGTCTTGCTAATGATGTTCAGATTGTCAGAGAAACCAAAAGGAACCAATGTTTTAGATAGGTTTTTTTTGTTTTTGTTTTTGTTTTTGTTTTTGTTTTTGTTTTTTTGAGACGGAGTTTCACTCTGTTGCCCACGCTGAAGTTCAGTGGTGTGATCTTGACTCACTGCAACCTCCGCCTCCCAGATTCAAGGCATTCTCCTGCCTCGGCCTCCCGAGTAGCTGGGACTGCAGGCACGTGCCACCACACCCAGCTAATTTTTGTATTTTATTTTAGTAGAGACAGGGTTTCACCATGTTGGCCAGGATGGTCTCAATCTCTTGACCTCGTGATCTGCCCACCTCGGCCTCCCAAAGTGCTGAGATTACAGGCGTGAGCCACCGCACCCAGCCCCGATAGCTTTTATAGGAATCTCCTGAAGGAACTATAGGATAAATCCCAGAAGTTTAACTTCTACTATTCCCAAATGTATCTACGAGTCTCAAATCCTCAATCCTAATTTTAATTAAGAATTGTTTACGAAAAAAAGAGTTGCTTAGGTCTCTTTACAAATGAACCTTGTGAATAGATATGTTGGTGATATCTTACAATGGGAATTGTAAAATTTTAGAACTAGATATAGAACTAGAAAAACCTTGCAGATCATAGTTCTTAGTGTTCCCAGAAACTAACTCTGAAACTTAAGTATGAACTGGTGTCTCTAGGCAATAGAGGACTTTGTAGACAGGGATTCCTGTACCTACTGCCTGGGGGTTGTCAACTTGCTTCAGTTTTCCCCTTGTCTTGCCTATGCTCCCTCCCAGACACCTCTTCTGTTTTTCTTAGGCTTTAAATCTTATCTGTGGCTCCAAAGTGGCTGCAATAGAAGCCAAACAGGAGAGGGAGAGTGATATGGATCAATTAGAAATGAATATAAACATGCCCCAGACATGGGGAAATCCCCTTGGTGAAAACTGTGAAAGGTCTGGGTAACAATAGTTCATTCCAACATGGCAGAGAGAGGGAAAGGCGAGACAGGCTTCTTGCAGGGGATGGACATAAAGTTATTCATAGTTATTCCAAGACCAGTAGGATTCAAGGTCAAAAATGCTAAAGAAGAAGGAGCAAATGCCAAGTTGTCAGCACTTGATCTTGTAGTGAATATGTACCCTTGCCTCTGTTGTGAAGAAAGAAACTTAGACTGGCTCAAATATTTGTTAGAAGATGTTCTCCTACAACGAGGGCAACCAGACTTCAGAAAGCCTCTTCCGTACAAGCAGATAGCACGTATCTAGAAACGCAGCAATGGCTTTAAGACATAAGAATGTGGTATCTCTCCATGAGTATACAGAGAACAGTGCCAGGAGGGCCCAATATATGGTAATTGATCATTAAATGTTTATTGAATGAAAACTCCAAGGTCAGATTCTGTGTTACTTTTCTTGCTTTGTCATAGCTCTTTCTTTTTTTTTTTTTTTATCATAACTGTGCCTATGTCCTATTTTTCCCATCTGTGTTGAGTAAAAATGAAATCAAACAAGAAATCATGAGATGTGCCTCTCAAGGAAGTGTACTGGAAAGCTGAAGTTTGCATTAGATGTACTTTTGCATTAGATGTACCTGAGATTCTGAGCCACTGCCAGTACTTCAGTTTCAGTACTCGTCATCTCTTTGTATAACAGCCTCCTTACTAGTTTCTACAGTGTAGTCAGTAATCTCTTTAAAATCCAAATTCAATCATGTTACTACTGCACGTAACCTACCAGCTCTCTGGGGTACTCAGAAGAAAGTCCAGGCTGGGTGCGGTGGCTCAGGCCTGTAATCACAACACTTTGGGAGGCCAAGGCGTCGGATCACCTGAGGTCAGGAGTTCGAGACCAGCCTGGCCAATATGGTGAAACCCCGTCTCTACTAAAAATACAAAAATTAGCTGGGCATGATGGCAGGCGCCTGTAATCCCAGCTGCTTGGGAGGCTGAGGCAGGAGAATCGCTTGAACCTGGGAGGCAGAGGTTGCAGTGAGCTGAGATTGTGCCACTGCATTCCAGACAGAGCAAGACTCTGTCTTAAAAAAAAAAAAAAAATTCCAAACTCCTTGACCTGTCGTACCTGGCATGCTTGGATATTTGTGATATTATCCCTGCTCTCCTTCTGGCCTCTTCTCACCCCTTGGCACTCCCCACTGCAGTCATGCTGAAATCACAAACACACCATACTTCAAGCCCATGCTCACACTGTACCCTCAACCTATCACACTACTTAATCTTATCTCTCTCCATCTTACTTTGTTAGAGTGACTACTACTTAAAGAGGAAGACTGCCTAGACACTTTCACACCCCTACTACCTCTTGCCTGAGTTATGTGTCTGTCCCCACGTCCCCGCTTCAAGACCAGAAGTTGTGCACCGCCTGACCCTGGGCGGCACCAGTTCCATAAACCCCAATGTGCACGCAGTCAGATGCAATCTGCACAGTCATATGCAGTGTCCCCACAGGAAGTTATGAGTCTTATAAGTTTCCTATGCTTCCTCTCTAATGAACGGTAAACACTCAGGAAAGCATGGTTATTTCTCAGAGTTGGAAAGAACAAGAGCAGAGGAACATTTAAGCTGGACCTTGAAGGGTGTGTCAACAGACAGAAAGGGTAAATAACATATTTCAAGCAGAGAAAATTACAAGAAAAAGAATGCAGAGGTAGTCTGGTGTGACCAGATTAGATAGGAGTAAGTAAATGGAAATTAAGATAAATTGTGTAAAGCCCTGAGTGCTACAATAATGAATATGAATTTTATTCTATTGGCAGAAAGCCATTGAAGAGTTTTGAGCACTACAATGATATAATCCAGTCTGTGTTTAAATGTATTTTCCACTGAGTGTTATTTTTTGCTATAAAACAAAGCATGCTTATTTTTAAATTTTTATTATTTCAAAGAAAAATCAGATAAGTGAAAGGTTACTATAATACTACTCATTAGAGTTAACCACTATTAATAGTTTGGTATAATGCTCCATTTTTTTTTCCTGTGCAGCACATGTGCATGTGTGTATGTGTTTCTGTCTTTTGTTCATTTGTTTGTTTGTTTTGAGACAGTTTCGCTCCTATTGCCCAGGCTGGAGTGCAATGGAGTGATCTTGGCTCACCGCAACCTCTGCCTCCTGGGTTCAAGCGATTCTCCTGCCTCATCCTCCGGAGTAGCTGGGATTACAGGCATGCGCCACGATGCCCAGCTAATTTTTTATATTTTTAGTAGAGTCAGGGTTTCTCCATGTTAGGCTAATCTCCAACTCTTGACCTCAGGTGATCCACCTGCCTCGGCCTCCCAAAGTGTTGTGATTACAGGCATGAGCCACTGCACCCGGTGTATGTGTTTCTGTATAATTCATTTATTTATAAGAATTAAGGGAAGAGGTGTGGTAGCTCACACCTGTAATCTCAGCACTTTGGGAGGCCAAGGTGGGCAGATCCCCTGATGTCAGGAGTTTGAGAGCAGCCTGACCAACATGGCAAAACCCCATCTCAACAAAATATACAAAAATTAGCCGGGCATGGTGGTGTGCATCTGTAGTCCCAGCTACTTGAGAGGCTGAGGCACTAAAATTGCTGGAACTGGGAGGTGGAGGTTGCAGTGAGCTGAGATCCTGCCATTGCACTCCAGCCTGCATGATAGAGCAAGACTCTGTCTCAGGAAAAAAAAAAGAATTGAGGCCAGGCACAGTGGCTCATGCCTATAATCCCAGCACTTTGGAAGGCAGGGGCGGGTGAATCACTTGATCTCAAGAGTTCGGGACCAGTCTGGGCAATAAAGTGAAACCCTGTCTCTATAAAAATTACACACTTCAAGACCAGCCATGATGGTGAGCATCTGTAGTCCTAGCTACTGGGGAGGCTGAGATGGGGGAATCACTTGAGCTCCAGAAGTTGAGGCTGCAGTGAGCTGAGATCGTGCAACTGCACTCCAGCCTGGGTAACAGCAAGACCCTGTCTCAAAAAAAAAAAAGAATTGGCCGGGCGTGGTGGCTCACGCCTGTAATCCCAGCACTTTGGGAGGCCGAGGGTGGTGAATCACAAGGTCAGGAGATCGAGACCATCCTGGCTAACACGGCGAAACCCCATCTCTACTAAAAAAATTAGCTGGGCGTGGTGGCGGGCGCCTGTAGTCCCAGCCACTCGGGAGGCTGAGGCAGGAGAATGGTGTGAACCCGGGAGGTGGAGCTTGCAGTGAGCCGAGATCGCGTGACTGCACTCCAGCCTCAGCGACAAAGCGAGACTCCGTCTCAAAGAAAAAAAAAAATTAGATCATTCTAAACATACTTTTTGCCACTGCCTTTTTTGAAGTAATGGTGGGTATCTTGTATGAGGAAGCAAACCACGCAAATCTTATCAACTACAGTAAAAACATGAATGTGTGTGAATATACTTTGCTAACCATCAGCACAGAAATGATATTCTGTTTCACCTATGAGCTTGCACAATTAAAAAGAGATGGATATCAGTTTTGGCGGGGCTCTAACAAAAAGGTACTCTTTATATAATTATAATAGCAGGAATAAAAATTAGTTATTCAAGAGAGGGCAATTTAGCAATTCTTTTTGAAATTTAAAATACATGTAACTTTGAACTAGCAATTCCATATCTACAAGTTTTTTCTACAAAATACCCTCAGAAATTCACAAAGAAATGGAGGCTGGGCACACTGGCTCACACCTATAATTACAGTGTTTTGGGAGGCTGACACAGGAGGATCACTTGAGCCTGAAAGTTTGAGACTAGCCTGGGCAACATAGTGAGACCCTGCCTCTACTAAAAAATAAACATTATCTAAGCATGGTGACGCACACGTGTAATCCCAGCTACTCAGGAGGCTAAGGCAGGAGAATCACTTGAACCTGGGAGGTGGAGGTTGCAGTGAGCCGAGATTGCACCACTGTACTCCATCCTGGGTTACAGAGTGAGACTCCATCTCTTAATTAATTAATAAATAAATAAACAAAAAGGAATTCACAAGGATAAATTGACAAGTATGTTTATTGCAGCAATATTTGTAATAGCAAAGCAACCTAAAAGGACAGTAAATTATGGGGTTCCCAGACACATTACATACCATTGTGAAGCATATCTGAATGTATTGATGTAAGTAATTTCCATGATATATTGTTGGGTGAGAAAAATATCAAAATGCTGACATGATACATGTGTTATATGATGCCATTTTTGTAAAATTATACATGTACTCAAGTAGAATGTGTCTATATTCATTTACAATGTGTGTACATAATATGTGTGCTAATATATACACATACTCAAAAGGTTTTTTTGGTTTTGCTTTTTTTTTTTTTTTTTTTTGAGAGGGAGTCTCGCTCTGCCGCCCAGGCTGGAGTGCAGTGGTGCGATCTTGGCTCACTGCAAGCTCCGCCTCCCGGGTTCACGCCATTCTCCTGCCTTAGCCTCCTGCGTAGCTGGGACCACAGGCCCCCACCACCACGCCCAGCTAATTTTTTGTATTTTTAGTAGAGACGGGGTTTCACCGTGTTAGGCAGGATGGTCTTGATCTCCTGACCTTGTGATCCACCCGCCTCGGCCTCCCAAAGTGCTGGAATTACAGGCATGAGCCACCACACCCGCCCTTTGCTTTTGTTTTGATTTGAGATAGGATCTTTCTCTGTTGCCTAGGGTGGAGTACAGTGGTGCAATCATGGCTTACTGCAACCTCAAACTCAAAAGCTCAAGCAATCCTCCCTAGTAGCCTCCCTAGTAGATCTGGTTCCACCACGCCCAAGATGAGATTTTGCTTTGTTGCCCAGGCTGTTCTTGAACTCCTGGCCTCAGGTGACCCTCCTGCCTCAGCCTCCCAAAGTTCTGGGATTACAGGTGTGAGCCACTGTGCACAGCCCGTTCTCAAAATAGCCACAATAAAACATGACATTGTTTTTTCGTTTGTTTGTTTTTTGAGACAGAGTTTTGCTCTTGTTGCCCAGGCTGGAGTACAATGGCTCCATCTCGACTCACTGCAACCTCCGCCTGCTGGATTCAAGCGATTCTCCTTCCTCAGCTTCCCAAGTAGCTGGGATTACAGGCACGCGCCACCACGCCCAGCTAATTTTGTATTATTAGTAGAGATAGGGTTTCACCATGTTGGTCAGGCTGGTCTGGAACTCCTGACCTCAGGTGATCTGCCTGCCTCGGCCTCCCAAAGTGCTGGGATTACAGGCATGAGCCACCACACCTGGCTTGATGTTTTCAAATCAATATATATTGTGATATTTCATTCTTTTTAATGGCTACAGAGTATTTTATTGTATGACAACACCATTGATTTATTCTACACTATTTTTTTTTTTTTTTTGAGACGAAGTCTTGCTCTGTTGACCAAGCTGGAGTGCAGTGACGCAATCTCAGCTCACTGCAACCTCTGCCTCCTGGGTTCAAACAATTCTCCTGCCTTAGCCTCCTTTGCCTCCCAAGTAACTGGGATTACAGATGCCCACCACCAACGCCCAGCTAATTTTTTTTTTTTTTAATAGAGACGGGCTTTCACCATGTTGGCCAGGCTGGTCTCAAATTCCTGACCTCAGGTGATACACCCGCGTCGGCCTCCCAAAGTGCTAGGATTACAGGCATGAGCCACCACACCTGGCCAAGATAACAGTTTTTGTTGATGGACTGGATATGGAAGGAGTGGGAAAGAGAAAAATCCTAAATAACTCCTAGCTTTTGGAATTGAGTGAATAGTGATAACATTTACTGAGATGTAAAAGACTAGAGAAGGAAAAGATTTGAGAGTGTGAAAAATAAACAGGACTTCTCCTTTGGCTATGATTAATTTGAGATGCTTTTTGACCACCCAGGTACAAATAAGACAGGCTATATATATATATGACTCTGATCACTTCTCAGCCTTTTGGCCAAGATCAAGTGATATATGACTCTGGAAGTCAGGGGGAAAGCCATCAGTGAAAAACTTAACTAACTTACAAGGCAGCCCATTATATTTTCGATAGCTCTAGTTATCAGAAAGTTCTTGCCATTACACTAAGGTGACTATAAATGTTATATAAATTTGATGTCCATTTCCATTCGGGGTTCCTGAAAAGTACATATTTTTCTAAGCACATCGAATATTGGAAGAGAGTTATCACATTTTCTCCCAGCATCTTTTATTTTATTTATTTATTTTTTTAGAGACGGAGTTTCACACTTTTTGCCTAGGCTGGAGTACAGTGGTGCGATCTTGGTTTACCACAACCTCTGCCTCTCGGGTTCAAGTGATTCTCCTGCCTCAGCCTCCCGAGTAGCTGGGATTACAGGCATGCACCACCACACTCGGCTAATTTTGTATTTTTAGTAGAGATGGGTTTCTCCATGCTGGTCAGGCTGGTCTCAAACTCCCAACCTCAGGTGATCTGCCCGCCTCAGCCTCCCAAAGTGCTGAGATTACAGGCGTGAGCCACCGCACCCAGGCTACATCTTATATTTTCTAATCTAAACAAACAATCTTAGTTTCTCCAGCTGTCCTTCAGGACCTGTTTCCAGACATGTCATCATCCTGGCTGGTCATATGCCTTTTCAGGTAGGATGCCAAGGACTAACATGACCCAAATAATACACAAAATGTAGGAGTATCATCCCTCGGATTTGCCATTCCTTCAGAAATATGGTTGACTTTTATAATTTGTGTTTTCTTTTTTTTTATTTTATTTTTTGGAGACACACCACCTTGCCCGGCTAATTTTTGTATTTTTAACAGAGACAGGATTTCACCATGTTGGCCAGGCTGGTCTCAAACTTCTGACCTCCAGTGCTCCGCCGACCTTGGCCTCCCGAAGTGCTGGGATTACAGGCATGAGCAACCTTGCCCGGCGCTATTTTCTTTCTTATTTTCATGATTGTGTCAGAGTTCCTACCTGTGGCATACAATGTCTCTTCTTCTCTTTTTTTTTTTTTTTTAATGGAGTTTTGCTCTTGTTGCCCAGGCTGGAGTGCAATGGCACAATCCTGGCTCACTGCAACCTCTGCCTCCTGGGTTCAAGCGATTCTCCTGTCTCAACCTCCCAAGTCTCTGGGATTACAGGCATATGCCACCATGCCCAGCTAATTTTTGTATTTTTAGTAGAGACAGGGTTTCACCGTGTTGGCCAGGCTGGTCTTGAACTCCTGACCTCAGGTGATCCACCTGCCTCGGCCTCCCAATGTGCTGGAATTATGGGCGTTAGCCACCACGCCACGCCTGGCCACAATGTCTCTTCTTACTTTCTTCTTATCCGTTGTTGGATTTGGAAATTAAATAACCAATTTAAGCTATCAGATATTAACATTTTGCTTTGTATGTTTGGGAGATTTTGTAATAATTTAAAAGGAGAGGCGGGGCGCAGTGGCTTACGACTGTAATCCTAGCACTTTGGGAGGCCGAGGCAGGGAGATCACCTGAGATCAGGAGTTGGAGAATAGACTGGCCAACATGGTGAAACCCTGTCTCTACTAAAAATACAAAAATTAGCTGGGCGTGGTGGCAACCACCTGTAATCCCAGCTTCTAGGGAGGCTGAGGCAGGAGAATCGCTTGAACCCCAGAGGCAGCGGATGCAGTAAGCCAAGATTGTGCCATTGTACTCCAGCCTGGGAGACAAGAGCTCCTTGTCAAAAAACACTCCGTCTCAAAAAAAAAAGGAGAGAGAAAGTGCTTCCTGAGAGGAACCAAAGCCTTCCTATGAGTTATGCTTTGAATTCTAGCGAGAAATCCTGTTTTCTTTCCTTGTTTCCTCCTGCGTATATTCAAAATAAATGAGTTTCCCAAACAGTTGAGTGTCAGATAGGTGAGGTATTTCAGCCTTTTGCACAGGATCTCATTGGAGATTTTCTGAGATGTCTTGCTGAAATCAAGGTGCGTGGTGTCTGTCTAAGGCAGTGGTTCTCAAACAGTGGTGATTTGCTCCCAGTGGACATTTGGCAATACCTGGAGATATTTTTGTTGTCATGATTACAGGAAAGGGATTACAAGCTTCTAGTGGGGAGGGGCCAGGGATTCTGCTAACCATTCTGTAATGCATGGGACAAGCCTCTGTAACAAAGAATTGTCTGGCTCCAAATGTCAGTAATATCCATATTTAGGACTATGGTATTTCTCTGATTTTATTAACTTTATGGGAAAAAGTTAGAAAAGTTTTAAACTTAATGAAATAATTCTGCTTCCAACTAATCACTGCTCTCTCTCTCTTTTTTTTTTTTTTTTTTTGAGACAGAGTTTTGCTCTTGTTACCCAGGCCGGAGTGCAATGGCACCATCTCGGCTCACCGCAACCTCTGCCTCCCAGGTTCAAGCAAGCCTCCCAAATAGCTGGGATTACAGGCATGTGCCACCACGCCCAGGTAATTTCGTATTTTTAGTAGAGATGGGGTTTCTCCATATTGGTCAGGCTGGTCTTGAACTCCGTTCCTCAGGTGATCCGCCCGCCTCGGCCTCCCAAATTGCTGGGATTAGAGGTGTGAGCCACCGTGCCCGGCCTATCACTGCTCTCTTCTTGCATACAAATCATCTGTTAATAATCTTTCTAGACTTTAGTAGGAAAATAATGAAGCACTGTTTCTTTTCCACTTTTTTAAAATGGAAAAGTTTACATTTTTCTGTCATCATTCTCAATCTCCATAATTTTTTCAATATTAACAGTGCCCGATGATTAAATTTGGACACAATGTTCATATACTGTTATTTAAAGAAAAATTATATTCTTACCATATCCCATTGCCTTTTTGGCCTTTTGTTTCTCTTCCCCATGTTTATTCATTTGTTACAGTTGTAAGGTTTTTCTTGAGGAGGTAAGTAATCCCACTTTTCTTCTGTCATCTCTAAAAACTAAGTAAATACAATACAATTTAAACTAGAAGCTCTGTTCTTATCTTTTAGGACCCCTAGTGAGACATGTAGCTATTTTGGAATGAGGCTATACTAATCATGTTGACTAGCTACTTATTAGTGAGAGAGAAGGGGGCAGAAGTCACTGTCCTGTCACCAGGTAGATAAGAATGTGGGAGACAAAGAATGATGCTGTCTCTGCACGTCCTCCACGTGGGGACATTGGAATCTTTTCCTGGGGCTGTGGCATTTCTTTTGTATTGACTGCAGCTGTCAGGATCAAAGAAGAACTAATGAGACAGAAGTAAATAGCTTCATTCTCAGGCTACCTGAGAGGAGCAATGTCTGATGGAGATTAAAAGATGAAAGGGGAGAAAAATTCTTTCTCAGCCACACCCAGATACAACTAAGTCACTCTTTTCACATGCTTCTGATTCTTCAAATTCTATGTTACCACTTAGAATCTAGTGGCAAAAAAAAACCTTTTCCTAATGCTTTTTTCCTTATTACGTTTTTATTATTTTTAAGATAGAGAACAGTGATGTTTCCTGATCTCAATGCTTTTATATTTAGAGCTAGAGGTTTATTCAGTCAGCCAGTCATTTATTCAATTATATATTGACTATGTCTATATGTTCCAGACCCAAACATGAACCAAGGAAAGGCTCCAAAAACTTGGAAGTTTTAAGTATATATTTGAAAGAGGACTGATAAGTGAATATCTGATTAGTAGTTAAAATGTTATATAATTTGGCCAGACATGGTGGCTCATGCCTGTAATCCCAGCACTTTGGGAAGCCGAGGTGGGTGGATCACCTGAGGTCAGGAGTTCAAGACCAGCATGGCCAACATGGTGAAACCCCATCTCTACTAAAAATACAAAAAGGTAGCTGGGCCTGGTGGTGGGTGCCTGTAATCCCAGCTACTCCAGAGGCTGAAGCAGGAGAATCCCTTGAATCCGGGAGACGGAGGTTGCAGTGAGCCAATATTGTGCCATTGCACTCTAACCTGGGCAACAGGAACATAACTCCATCTCAAAAAAAAAAAAGAACAGTTACATAATTTTTCACCTTTCTTCTCGGGTAATGACTACTTCACATGCATGGATCAGGAAGTATTTGTTTGGGCAGTACCTTTGTAGAACTCTTGAGATTGCACAGAATAAAATAGCTAGCATTCTTCTTCTTCAGCCATAAGTCCACCTTCTGGAATTAGAGAACTGAGACACAGGTTTAATGACTTAAGTTTTTGCGAAGTCTGTAGCACAGTCTGTACCATAGTCTTTGCTGATACCCAGGTTTTCTAACTTCCAACCTTGTCTTTGTTCTAAAAACAGAGGTGAGAGAAGACTGCTTGCAGAAAACGCTTTCCGCCGTTGTACCAAATGCATTTCTATCAAGAAAGCCTCTGAAGCAATCAAGTTGGGATTCAGGGTTGGGGTCGAGGAAAGCAATAGAAAGACGAGATTTAAAAAAGCACAGAATGCTTGGTGCGGTGGCTCATACCTGTATCCCAGCACTTGGGAGGCTGAGGTGGATGATCACCTGATGTCAGGAGTTCGAGATCAGCCTGACCAACATGGTGAAACCCCGTTTCTACCAAAAATACAAAAACTAAGGCCGGGAGTGGTGGATCACGCCTGTAATCCCAGCACTTTGGGAGGCCAAGGCAGGCTGATAACGAGGTCAGGAGTTCGAGATCAGCCATGGCCAACATGGTGAAACCCCATCTCTACTAATAATACAAAAATTAGCTGTGCATGGTGGCGGGTGCCTGTAATCCCAGCTACTCAGGAGACTGAGGCAGGAGAATCACTTGAACCCAGGAGGCGGAAGTTGCAGTGAACTGAGATCGCATCACTGCACTCCAGCCTGGGCGACAGAGTGAGACTCTGTCTCAAAATAAATAAATAAATAAAATAATAATACAAAATAAATAATAAATAATTTAGTTCATCCCTCACCTGAGGGCTTACACTTGAGCTAGCACCAGTGGTATTCGAAGACTGCTGCAGCATCCCCGAACTTGCTTTTCCAGCGTTATCTTTTACTAGACTTCTGTAAGTGCCTTACTCCTCAGCTAAACTGGACTAAGCACCATTCCCCAGCCTTCCCACAAACTGCCCACCACCAGACATGTGCCCAGGCCATTCCACTTTACTGAAATGCTCTTTTTTTTTTTTTTTTTCCCCTGAGATGGAGTTTCAGCTCTTGTTGTCCAGGCTGGAGTGCAATGGCGTGATCTCAGCTCACTGCAACCTCCGCCTCCCGGGTTCAAGCAATTCTCCTGCCTCAGCCTCCCCAGTTGCTGGGATTACAGGTGTGTGCCTCCACGTCCGGCTAATTTTTGTATTTTTAGTAGAGACATGTTTCCCCATGTTGGCCATGCTGGTCTCGAACCCCTGACCTCAGGTCATCTGCCTGCCTTGGCATCCCAAAGTGCTGGGATTAAAGGCGTGAGCCACCACGCCCACCCGAAATGCTCTTTTCTGATTTTTTTTTTTTTTTTTTTTGAGACAGAGTCTCACTCTGTCGCCCCGGCTGGAATGCACTGGCGCCATCTAAGCTCACTGCAAGCTCCACCTCCCGTGTTCACCCCATTCTCCTGCCTCAGTCTCCCGAGTAGCTGGGACTACAGGCGCCCACCACAACGCCCCGCTACCAGGCCATTCCACTTTACTGAAATGCTCTTTTTTTTTTTTTTTTCCCCTGAGATGGAGTTTCAGCTCTTGTTGTCCAGGCTGGAGTGCAATGGCGTGATCTCAGCTCACTGCAACCTCCGCCTCCCGGGTTCAAGCAATTCTCCTGCCTCAGCCTCCCCAGTTGCTGGGATTACAGGTGTGTGCCTCCACGTCCGGCTAATTTTTGTATTTTTAGTAGAGACATGTTTCCCCATGTTGGCCATGCTGGTCTCGAACCCCTGACCTCAGGTCATCTGCCTGCCTTGGCATCCCAAAGTGCTGGGATTAAAGGCGTGAGCCACCACGCCCACCCGAAATGCTCTTTTCTGATTTTTTTTTTTTTTTTTTTTGAGACAGAGTCTCACTCTGTCGCCCCGGCTGGAATGCACTGGCGCCATCTCGGCTCACTGCAAGCTCCACCTCCCGTGTTCACCCCATTCTCCTGCCTCAGTCTCCCGAGTAGCTGGGACTACAGGCGCCCACCACAACGCCCCGCTAATTTATTTTGTATTTTTAGTAGAGATGGGGTTTCACCCTGTTAGCCAGCATGGTCTCGATCTCCTGACCTCATGATCCACCCACTTCAGCCTCCCAAAGTGCTGGGATTACAGGCGTGAGCCACTGTGCCCAACCCTCTAATCTTCATCTCTTATCTCTGAGTCTACCCATGTTTCAAGATCTATTCCAAATACCCGCTTCAAGAAGCCTTTCTGGGTGTTTCCACATGAATAAAATCTCATGATTCTTGGCTTTTTTTTTTTTTTTTTTTTTAGCATTTTCTTATCTTGTCCCTTCCAGCACCAGATTATAACTTGAGGGTAGGGACTTTGAGTTTCCTGCCTAGTACAGCACAGCGTTGTGCATTTTGAAGGCTTTCTCAATATAGATGCATATACATTTTAATTTTTTTCAACATCACCTTTAAAAAAAATCTCATTCAAATCTTTCTGGATTTAGAAAGCTGTTATTTCAGCCGGGCATAGTGGCTCACCCCTGTGATCCCAGCACTTTGGGAGGCTGAGGCGGGTGGATCACGAGATCAGGAGATCCAGAGCATCCTGGCTAACACAGTGAAACCCCATCTCTACTAAAAATACAAAAACTAGTCAGGCATGGTGGCGGGCACCTGTAGTCCCAGCTACTCGGGAGGCTGAGGCAGGAGAATCACTTGAACCCGGGAGGTGGAGGTTGCAGTGAGCCGAGATTGCATCACTGCACTCCAGCCTGGGTGAGAACAGCAAAAACTCCATCTCAAAAAAATAAAAAGAAGGAAAAAGAAAGCTCTTATTTCTTGATTGATTTATGTGTATGTATGTAACAGTCTTGCTCTCTTGCCCAGGCTGGAGTGTAGTGGCATGATCACGGCTCACTGCAACCTCGACCTCCAGGGCTTGACTGATCCTCCCATGTCAGCCTTCCAAGTGGCCCCATGCCTGGTTAATTATTTGTATTACTTGTAGAGATGAAGTTTTGCCATGTTGCCCAGGCTGGTCTTGAACTTCTGGACTCAAGCAATCCTCCCACCTTGGTTTCCCAAAGTGCTGCGATTACAGACATGAGCCACCACGCCTGGGCTCTGGATGTTTTTATCAAGATGTTGTCTTGTCCAAAGATTGAGAGGCCCAGGTAAGAACTCGGTTAAAGAATGGAATTGGAAGAAGCAAAAATTTTGGCTAGGAGGGGTGGGGACAAGGACGACTAGGTAATAGAGACTGGAAAAAGGAACGGGATAGACATAAGGAGCATTAAGTTGGTAGCTACCTGGGGCAAATGGAAAAAGAAAAAGAACAAGAAAGGGAGTTGTAAAAAAAAAAAAGACAAAAATACAAATATTGAAGAACAGTCAAGATATAAGAGTTGTGTCTAGGCCAGGCACGGTGGCTCACGCCTGTAATCCCAGCACTTTGGGAGGCCGAGGCAGGAGGATCACGAGGTCAGGAGATCGAGACCATCCTGGCTAACACGATGAAGCCTTGTCTCTATTAAAAATACAAAAAATTAGCTGGGCGTGGTGGTGGGCACCTGTGGTCCCAGCTGCTTGGGAGGCTGATTAAGGAGAATGGCATGAACCTGGGAGGCAGAGCTTGCAGTGAGCCGAGATCGGGCCACTGCACTCCAACCTGGGTGACAGAGCGAGACACTGTCTTAAAAAAAAAAAAAAGAGTTGTGTCTAAGGGACATATTCTTGGCTTTTGGTTGTCCTAGGGAGGTTCCTTTCTGTGCACGTCAGAAGATGACAGGCAAGAAAACAAAGTGGAAAACAATAAGGAAGTGAAGGTAACCCCTTTATAACCTCCCACTGCTTCATTCCTTGGAAATAGAAATGACTCAGGGAGGCAGATGAGGATAAATAAACGCTGCCTTGAAACAGTCTCTATGCTTAGCTAGATTCTGTCTGCAGCTGCTTTCTGCAGAATCCTGCAAATTGGGTTTGTCATCTGACCGTGTCTCTCTCCTCCTGTGTCTCTACATCTATTTCAGGTCCCTGGGTTTGCTCGTGTCTGTTGCCTTGGTTCCTCTGCTGTGTTCCTCTAACTGTGGGCAATGCCTCCATCCATTTCTAGAAGTAAATGTGTTGATGGCATTTTATCACCTGTGTAGTTCCTCTTTTGACTGTCTCAATTCTCTTTTTTTTTTTTTTGAGACGGAGTCTCGCTCTAACGCCCAGGCTGGAGTGCAGTGGCACGATCTCGGCTGTGCATGGTGGCAAGCTCTGCCTCCTGGGTTCATGCCATTCTCCTGCCTCAGCCTCCCAAGTAGCTGGGACTACAGGTGCCCACCACCACGCCTGGCTAATGTTTTGTATTTTTTTTTTTTAGTAGAGACGGGGTTTCACTGTGTTAGCCAGGATGGTCTTGATCTCCTGACCTCGTGATCCACCCGCCTTGGCCTCCCAAAGTGCTGGGATTACAGGCATGAGCCACCGCGCCTGGCCTTGACCGTCTCAATTCTCACCTATGTCTGTGCCTATTGTTTTTACCTTCGTCTTTTATTTTTCTTTCTGCACCCTTTTGTTTCTGCTTCTGTCACTGCTTCTCTCTACCAGCTGGCTTTCTATGACGATGCCATTCCCATAGCAACCTCTCTCTGGGGAAGAATGAGGGGAAGGAAAAGAGAGAGCTAGAATAGATGGGCTAAGAGAAGCCAGATTGGAGTTGGAAGGTGACCTTTTGGATTGAGTCCTAGAACAGAGTACAGAGAAACTATGAAGACTGATACCAGCCAAGTTACACTAAACCCTAAGAAAACACAAATTGGGAGCCCAAATCCAGTCCCTGCTGGCAAAACTCATTCAGCAAATCCTTTCTGTTGTAAATTAACCTGTCATCTATTTTCCCCTTCTCTGTGATTCAGATTATTCTTTCTTTCTGTTTTTAGATCTCATGATTCTTTTTTTTTTTTTTTTTTTTTTTGAGACAGAGTTTTGCTCTTGTTGCCCAGGCTGGAGTGCAATGGTGTGATCTCGGCTCACCGCAACCTCCGCCTCCCAGGTTCAAGCAATTCTCCTGCCTCAGCCTCCCAAGTAGCTGGGATTACAAGCATGCACCACCTTGCCTGGCTTATTTTGTATTTTTAGTAGAGACAGGGTTTCTCCATGTGGGTCAGGCTGGTCTCGAACTCCTCACCTCAGGTCATCCACCTGCCTCGGCCTCCCAAAGTGCTGGGATTACAGGCGTGAGCCACTGCGCCCAGCCAGATCTCATGATTCTTAAACATGTATAGTTCTTTTTTTCTTTTTAAAGCTGGTCAAGTGAAGCAGTGTGAGTGGAAAAGTAATGAAGAAATTCATAACTGGTTGTGATCAGTTAGTTGTAAATGCCACTGTACTCAGACCAGCCACACGTATATTTTCTTTTAAAACTTATGAATATTCACATTGTAACCACAAGGTCTTTTGATGTACTATAGTTTTTTCACTAAGATTAGTTCTGGACACCATACTTCGAGTGGTACATGAAATACACTTGGAATGGCCTTAGGAAAAGACAATAAAGAAAAAAACCAACTTGAAATGATATTATGCACTCTCATTAAGGATCACAATGTTAGATAAGCGATTTCATAAGGATGATTCTTTTCTTTTTTCCTTTTTTTTTTTTTTTTTTACCAACAATGGGATTTGTTCCATGTAGGGAAAGGTTACTGAGTGAGTTGAAGCAATGGAAAAAAAATTTTTTTTTGAGACGGAATCTTGCGCTGTCACCCAGGCTGGAGTGCAGTGGCTAGATCTTGGTTACTGCAACCTCTGCCCCCTGGGTTCATGCAGTTGTCCTGCCTACCCCCCCGAGTACCTGGAATTACAGGCACACACCACCACGCTTGGCTAATTTTTGTATTTCTTTTGTAGAGATGAGATTTCACCATATTGGCCAGGCTGGTCTGGAACTGCTGACCTCAGGTGATCCACCCACCTTGGCCTCCCAAAGTGCTGGGATTACAGGCGCGAGCCACTGTGCCCAGCCAGCAATGGAAAAATTCTGCTCAGAAATCTGTTTTTTTTTTTTTTTTTGAGACAGAGTCTTGCTCCGTCACTTAGGCTGGAGCGCAATGGGGCAATTTTGGTTCACTGCAACCTCCACATCCCGGGTTCAAGCGATTCTCCTGCCTCAGCCTCCTGAGTAGCTGGGATCACAGGTGCGCGCTACCACGCCCAGCTAATTTTTGTATTTTTAGTAGAGATAGGGTTTCACCATGTTGGCCAAGCTGGTCTTGAACTTCTGACCTCCTGATCCGCCCGCCTCGGCTTCCCAAAGTGCTGGGATTACAGGCATGAGCCACCGCGCCTGGTGAGTTTGCATTTCTAACAGGATCCTAGGAGATGCTGATGCTGCTGGTCCATGGACCACAATTTCAGTAGCACTAGTCTAGATGATCTCCAAGTCAAGCAATACAGTTGATAAACATAGTGCATAAATGTGTGGATATTTTATTGTTCATTGATTAAAAATAACTTTCCTGCTGGGCATGGTGGCTCATGCCTGTAATCCCACCCACTTTGAGAGGCCACGGCGGGCGGATCATGAGGTCAGGAGTTCGAGACCTGCCTGGCCAACATGGTGAAACCCCGTCTCTACTAAAAATACAAAAAATTAGCTGGGAGTGTTGGCGTGCGCCTGCAATCCCAGCTACTCGGGAGGCTGAGGCAGGAGAATCGCTTGAACCCAGGAGGCAGAGGTTGCGATGAGCGGAGATCACATTGTAGCACTCCAGCCTGGGTGACAGAGCAAGACTCTGTCTGAAAAAAAAAAAAAAAAGTTTCCTTTGGGAATGGAGGAGCATGAATGAGCTAAATCAAGTTGGTTTTGTTTTTCTCTGCCATTTGCAAGTTGTGATATCTATCTGACCCCTTTCTTTGTTTTGTAAAATGACCAACCTTCCAGGTTTGCCCAGAGCCTTTCAGTGCTAAAACTGAGATAGTCCTGGGCAAAGGGGATGACTGGGTGACCTCTTCACTCACGAGGCCAGTGAAATCAAAGGAATATGTAAGCATAAATGAACTTGGCTAGGAATTAGGAAATGCAGTTTCTAATCCTAATTCACAACTTATTAATATTATGACCTTGGCCGGGCACGGTGGCTCACGCCTGTAATCCCAGCACTTTGGGAGGCTGACGCAGGCGGATCACGAGGTCAGGAGATCGAGACCATACTGACTAATACATTAAAACCCCGTCTCTACTAAAAATACAAAAAATTAGCCGGGCGTGGTGGCGGGCACCTATAGTCCCAGCTACTCAGGAGGCTGAGGCAGGAGAATGGCATGAACCCAGGAGGCGGAGCTTGCAGCGAGCCAAGATCGTGTCACTGCACTCCAGCCTGGATGACAGAGCGAGACTCCGTCTCAAAAAAAAAAAAACGAGATATTATGACCTTAAATTGGCCATTTAAATTATCTTTCAGCTTTTATACCTGTAAAATGGCGATAACATTATCTACTTTACTTCACACTAAAGTTTGAAGATCAACTTAAATAATGTATTTAAAAGATTTTTATTAAAATACCATACGCATATTAAGACAAAGATGTAGCCCACTTGTTTCTGTTTAGAATTTACTATTTACTGCCAAAAAATAACAACCCAGGCCGGGTGCGGTGGCTCACGCCTGTAATCCCAGCGCTTTGGGAGGCCAAGGTGTGTGGATCATCTGAGGTCGGGAGTTCAGCACCAGCCTGGCCAACATCATGAAACCCTGTCTCTACTAAAAATTCAAAAACATTAGCCGGGCATGGTGGTAGATGCCTGTAATCCCAGCTACTTAGGAGGCTGAGGCACGAGAATCGCTTGATCCCAGGAGGTGAAGGTTGCAGTGAGCCGAGATGGCCACCACTGCACTCCAGCCTGGGTGACAGAGCAGGACTCCGTCTCAAAAAAAAAAAAAAAGCAACCCAGCAATCTCATTCCTAATTATACACCCAAGAGAAAAGAATTCATACATTGAGCAAATGACAGGAATGTTTATAATAGCTCAAAACTGGAAACAATAACGCGTACATCAGTGGGAGAATAGATAAATAAATGTTGGCATAGCCAAAGGTGGAATACTACTCAGCAGTAAGAAGGAATGAACTACCAACACCACCACATAGTACTCATAGACACTATGCTCAGTGAAAAAAACATCTGAGCACAAAAGAGTACATACTGTATGGTTCCATTTAAAGGTCACGAACAACAAAATTCATTGATGATGACAGAAGTGAAAATTGTGATTTCTAGCTGGGAGTGGTGGCTTATACCTGTAATCCCAGCTGCTCGGGAGGCTGAGGCAGGAGAATGGCTTCAACCCGGGAGGCGGAGGTTGCAGTGAGCTGAGATCACACCAGTGCACTCCGGCCTGGGTGGACAGAGCAAGACTCCATCTCGAAAAATAAAAAAAAAAAATCTTGGTTTCTTCTGGCAAGGGCGGCTGTAGACTTGAACCGGCACAAGGAGCCTTTTTGAGGAGCAAGAAATGTTAAAGAATCTAGATTTTGCCAGGCTCGGTGGCTCATGTCTGTAATCCCAGCACTTTGGAGGCCAAGGAGCGGGGGGCGGGGGGGTGGATCACCTGAGGTTAGGAGTTCCAGACCAGCCTGACTAACATGGAGAAACCCCATCTCTGCTAAAAAATACAAAATTAGCCGGGCATGGTGGCGCGTGCCTGTAATCCCAGCTACGCAGGAGGCTGAGGCAGGACAATCACTTTAACTCGGGAGTTGGAGGTTATGGTGAGCCAATGGCGCCATGCACTCCAGCCTGGGCGACAGTGCAAGACTCCCATCTCAAAAAAAAAAAAAAAAATTAGCTGGGCATGGTGGTGCAAAAAAAAAATCTAGATCTTGATCCGGTTAATGTTTATGCCTGTGAATACAGATATAAATATTCACCCAACTGTAAACTCCAGATTAGTGCATTTTTATCTGCTTTATTGCATGTGCCCTTCAGTAAAGTAGAAAAAAATAAAAGACAAAAATAAAGGAAGGAAGAACTCACCCTCAATTCTATCACCACTAGAAAACAATGTTTTTTTTTTCTTGAAATGTTTGCATTCTAACCGCCCCAGCACTAAGAAGAGGTTCAGTTTTGTAATTGGAACGTCTGATGAGCATCTGATGAGTGGATCTAGAGGTTATCCCCTCATGTCGAGTTGATGATGATATTTCAGCTTCTAGACTTGAGCAAGATGACAGCAAAGGGAAGCGGAAACCCTGGGTCACTGGTTCAGGAAGACGGCCAGGTTTACATCAACGTTGCAACAAATCTGGTGGCTTTTTTTTTCGTTTCGTGTTGCTGTTTCTTTTCTTCCTCTTCATCTTTGGGTCCGTTTGCTACTTTTCTTGGATTGATTTTCCACTCTACCCCACTACACAACGTACTCTTTGGGGAGGAGGGGGGTCTTTACATTTTCTTCCACTCTCCGACTTTCCCATATTTTCTCATGTGTCTCAGTGAATTCAATGGTATGTGCTAACATTTTCTTTTATGAGTCTATTCCAGGGGCTCACATCCTGTCCCCTGCCCGAGGAGCCTTCCAGTAGCCTTTACAGCCGCATTCTCAGGCTTTCATCCACTCTTTTTGAAACAGCGCCTGTGACATTCCCACTCATTACAGCGTGCCCCTCCCATGCCTCCAGGAAATTCTCTGTTTTCCCACCGGTTTTCTACTCAGCAGCTATTCTCAGTCTAATGCGCTTCATTCACCGTCAGCCTTCCTCAGGAAGACATAAAAAAAGGGTGAAAAAGAACATTTATTTCTCAGGAAGGATTGGTCAGCTGACTAAGTTGTCTGAGGGTCTAAAAAGATGAGGGGGTAACTCAAAGCATAAATGCTTGAGGAGATGGATACCCCATTCTCCATGAGGTGATTATTTTACATTGCATGCTTGCATTAAAACATCATGGACCCCATAAATATATACACCTACTACATACTCACAAAAAAATTTTTTTAATTGTTTTTAAAGGGGAAGGGGAAGGATTAGCAGAAATACTATAGGTGAAGGGGAAACAAAAGTATGTGTCTTATTGTATGCGCCTTCCCTTTTACATTGAGTTGCTCTAGTTTCCCGGTTGTTTCTGTTTCCGTAGTGTTTGGTTCATACGTGGTACTTACGTAAATATTTCACCAACATATGAAAAAGTGAATGCGTGAGGGAGAAAACCTGTAAGTCGTGATTGAAAAATGACAGGCTAACTGCCCAAGATTCAGGATGCTGAGCTTTCTAAGATGATGAAAATTTCTGTGCGGATTGGGGTAGTGGCAACACTGGTGTGTGTGTGTGTGTGTGAGAGAGAGAGAGAGAGAGAAAAGTCGTCCACCTGCACACCTAAAAGGTTTGAATTGTATTGTGTACATTTTATACATAAAATTGACTTTAAAAAAGACTCAGCGTGCTGCTCGGGCATAATGAAGGGAGAGAGTTTGTAAACATAGGAGGCTGTGTGGAAGCGTGAAATGTGAAACGTGGAGTGTACGTGGGAAAGAAGAGCAATAAAAGGACCTGCAGCTAAAGAGGCAACGTGGTCGGGTGAGAGGAGGGGATGGGGATGGAAACTCACACAGCTGAGTGGGGCTAAAAGGGACGTTTGAGGATTACTGGCCTAGCACAAAACATCTGCCCTTAAGGCGAAACCCTCTTAAAACCTTTGGCGGCTTTCCAGAGAAGACGCCGATTCCTGAAAATTGCAAGGCTCTCCGGCGGGCTGGGAGTGGGAGGCGCTCCCGGTGTCCCCCAGCATGTGGGAGTCGGCGGGACCTGAGCCCCGCCTTCCTGCAGCGGCCGGGACGTGCCGTGTGGCACGCTACCCGCCGCGCGCGCATCCTGTCCCCCGCCCTCGGAATCCCAGCACGGGGGCCGAGCCCCGAGCTACATTCCTCCTCCTCCTTCTTCGCCACCCAAAGACTCACGCATACACACATTTTTCTTTCGTATCTGCTGTCTCAGCCTCCCTCGGGCCAATTTGGGTAAATGCGTCCAAGAGGAAGAAATAAAAATGAAAAGACTGACAGTTTAAAAGCATGTGGAGGGCTTAGAAGATAAAGACGAGTGCAAGAAAGGGAGAGCGCGGCCGGCCGCGGTGTCTCACGCCTGTCATCCTAGCACTTTGGGAGGCCGAAGAGATCGGATCACTTGAGGTCCGGAGTTCAAATCCAGCCTGGCCAACATGGTGAAACCCCGTCTCTACTAAAAATACAAAAAAATTAGCCGGACCTGGTGGCGGGCGTCTGTAATGCCAGCTACTCGGGAGGCTGAGGCGGGAGAATCGCTTGAACCCGGGAGGCGGAGGTTGCAGTGAGCCGAGATCGCGCCACTGCATTCCAGCCTGGGCAACAGACTGAGACCCTGCCTCAAAAGAAAAAAAGAAAAAAAAAAAAGGAGAGCGCGTACTGTTGCGGAAGGGGCACTGCTCGAGAAACAGAGACGAAGGGATGATTTTCAAGTAATCAAGACACCGAGAAAGACAAGATTGGGGATGGAAGAGCAGTAAGAATTAATGGAGACGTCCAAGAATTGTAGTTCGGGCGCGGTGGCTCATGCCTGTAATCCCAGCACTTTGGGAGGCTGAGGTTAGTGGATCACCTGAGGTCAGGAGTTCGAGACCAGCCTGTCCAAATGGCGAAACCCCATCTCTACTAAAAAATACAAAAATTAGCCGAGCATGGTGGCGCACGCCTGTAATCCCAGCTACTGGGGAAGCTGAGTCAGGAGAATAGCTTGAACCTGGGAGGTGGGAGGTGGAGGTTGCAGTTAACCGAGCCACTGCATTTCAGGTTAGGTGACAGAGTGAGGCTATGTCTCCAAAAAAAAAAAAAAAAAAAAAAAAAAGAAGAAGAAGAAAAGCAAATGGGTAGTTTGTTTTGCATGCTTCTTGCCAGGCAGAAAAGGTGCTTGAGAGGAGAAAGAAGTGGAAAACTGGAAAGGGGGGGAATCTAAATCAAGGACTTTATTTTCCTTACTGTTGAGTTGTAAATACAGTCCTCCTTTGACATTTATCTTCCCCTTTTTCTATGGTTTAAAAACAGGTGATTTGGCTGGGCATGGTGGCTCACACCTGTAATCCCAGCAGTTTGGGAGGCCAAGGCAGGCGGATCACTTGAGATTACGAGTTCAAAGACCAGCTTGGTCAACATGGTGAAACCCTGTCTCTACTAAAAATACAAAAATTAGCTGGGTGTGGTGGCAGGCACCTGTAGTCCCAGCTACTCGGGAGTCTAAGGCAGGAGAATCGCTTAAACCCAGGAGGTGGAGGTTGCAGTGAGCCGAGATCGCACCATTGCACTCCAGCCTGGGAGACAGAGTGAGACTCCGTCTCAAAAGCAAAACAAAACAAACAAAAAACAACGTGATTTATATATCATGGCGTTGTATTTATGTATTATGTAGTTTTTTTTCTTTTGACACAGGGTCTCACCCTGTTGCCCAGACTGGAGTGTAGCAGAGCGATCACGGCTTCACTGCAGCCTCAGACTCCTGGGTTGAAACAACCCTCCCACCTTCCTGAATACCAGCTATTGTCCCAGCTTCCTGAATACCTGGGACAATAGTTGGGACTATGGGCACAACTGTCTTGGGACTAAATTTGTATTTTATTTTATTTTATTTTTATTTTTTAGAGACGGAGTTTCGCTCTTATTGCCCAGGCTGGAGTGCAGTGGCGCGATCTAGGTTTACTGCAACCTACGCCTCCCGGGTTCAATCGATTATCCTGCCTCAGACTCCGGAGTCGCTGGGATTGCAGGCATGCACAACCACTCCTGGCTAATTTTTTTTTTTTTTTTTTTTTTTTTTGAGACGGAATCTTGCTCTGTTGCCCAGGCTGGAGTGCAGTGGCACCATCTCGGCTCACTGCAGCCTCCGCCTCCCGGGTTCAACCGATTCTCCTGCCTCACCCTCCCAAGCAGCTGGGACTACAGGCGCGTGCCAGCACGCCCAGATAATTTTTTTTTGTATTTTTAGTGGAGACGGGGTTTCACCATATTGGCCAGGCTGGTCTCAAACTTCTGACCTCGTAATCCACCCGCCTCAGCCTCCCAAAGTGCTGGGATTACAAGCGTGAGCCACGGTGCCTGGCGGCTAATTTTGTGTTTTTAGTAGAGATGGGGTTTCTCCATGTTGGTCAGGCTGTTTTGGAATTCCCGACCTCAGGTGATCGGCCCGCCTTGGCCTCCGAAAGTGCTGAGATTACAGGCGTGAGCCACCGCGGCCAGCCTGTATTTTATTTTTTGTAGAATCAGTGTTGCGCTAGGTTGCTCAGGCTGGCCTCTAACATCTAGGCTCAAGGGATCCTTCCTGCCTCTGCCTTCAGAGTAGCTAGAATTACAGACACACATCACCATGCCCAGCTTTGTTTGCTTGTTTTGAGATAGGATTGGCTGGTTTTGAACTCATGGACTCAAGCTATCCTCCTGCCTCAGCCTTCCAAAGCGGTAGGATTACAGGTGTGGACCACCGCTCCCAGCCTGTATTTTATTTTTTATGCACTTGGTAGTGCCCCTTCATGACACTTAACATAAACTTTCAGCCAGGAACAGTGGTTCCCACCTGTAATCTTTGCCCAGGTGGGAGGATTGCTTGAGCCTACAAGTTTGAGACTAGCTTGGGCAATATAGTGAGACGCCAATCTCTATCTTTAAAAAACTAAAACATTAGTCCGGGCGCAGTGGCTCACGCCTATAATTTCAGTACTTTGGAGGCCGAGGCGGGTGGATCACCTGTGAGGTCAGGAGTTTGAGACCAGCCTGGCCAACAAGATGAAACCCCGTCTCTACTAAAAATACAAAAATTAGCCAGGCGTGGTGGTGGGCATCTGTAATCCCAGCTACTCGGGAGGCTGAGGCAGGAGAATCACTGGAATCCAGGAGGTGGAAGTTGCTGTGAGCCGAGATCGCACCATTGCACTCTAGCCTGGGTGACAGAGCAAGACTCTGTCTCAAAAAAAAAATTTTTTTTCTAATAAATTTTAAAAAAACAAAACATTAAATAGGCTGGGCCTGGTGGCTCAAGCCTCTAATCTCAGCACTTTGGGAGGCTGAGATGGAAGGATCACTTGAGCTCAAGAACTCGAGTCCAGCCTGGACGATGTATCAAGACCTCATCTCTACAAATAATGTTAAAAATTATTAGTGCAGCATAAGTGGCATAGGCTTGTGGTCCCAGCTACTTGTGAGGCTGATATGGTTTGGCTCCGTTTCCCCACACAAACATCATCCCAAATTGTAACCCCCACCTGTTAAGGGAGGGTCCTGGTGGGAAGTGATTGGATCATTTGGACAGTTTCCTCCATGCTGTTCTAGTGATAATGAGTGAGTTCTAACAAGATCTGATGGTTCGGCTGGGCGCGGTGGCTCAAGCCTGTAATCCCAGCACTTTGGGAGGCCGAGGCGGGTGGATCATGAGGCCAGGAGATCGAGACCATCCTGGCTAACACGGTGAAACCCCGTCTCTACTAAAAATACAAAAAATTAGCCGGGCGTGATGGCGGGCACCTGTGGTCCCAGCTACTCGGGAGGCTGAGGCAGGAGAATGGCGTGAACCCGGGAGGCAGAGCTTGCATTGAGCCGAGATCGCGCCACTGCACTCCAGCCTGGGCGACAGAGCAAGACTCCGTCTCAAAAAAAAAAAGAAAAGAAAAAAAAAAAGATCTGATAGTTGAAAGGTGTGTGGTGGTCTCCCCCCTGCCCTCTGCCACCTCTCCTGCTGCAATGTAAGACGTGCCCTGCTTCCCATTTCACCATGATTGTAAGTTTCCTGAGGCATCCCCACCCATGTGAAACTGTGAGTCAATTAAAGCTTTTTTTTTTTTTTTCCAGAGTCTCCCTCTGTCGCCCAGGCTGGAGCGGAGTGGCGTGATCTCGGCTCACTGCAACCTCCGCCCCCGGGTTTAAGCAATTCTCCTGCCTCAGCCTCCAGAGGAGCTGTGATTACACATGCTTGCCACCACGCCCGGCTAATTTTTGTATTTTCAGTAGAGATGGGGTTTCACCACGTTAGCCAGGCTGGTCTCGAACTCCTGACCTCGTGATCAGCCCAACTCGGCCTCCCGAATTGCTAGGATTATAGGCGTGAGCCACCACACCCTACCAAGCTTTTTCCTTTATAAATTACCCAGTCACAGGTAGTTATTATTTTTTTTTTTTTGAGACAGAGTCTTGCTCTGTTGCCCAGGCTGGAGTGCCATGGTGTGATCTCAGCTACTGCAACCTCGGCTTCCTAGATTCAAGCCATTCTCCTGCCTCAGCTTCCCAAGTAGCTAGGATTACAAGCATGCGCCACCACGCCCAGCTAATTTTTGTATATTTAGTAGAGATGGAGTTTCATTCACCATGTTGGCCAGATTGGTGTTGAACTGACCTCAGGTGATCCACCCACCTTGACCTCCCAAACTGCTGGGATCATAGGCATGAGCCACTGCACTCAGCCTCACGTAGTTCTTTGTTGTTGTTGTTTTGTTGCTGTTGTTGTTTTTTCAGACGAAGTCTCACTCTTGTCCCCCAAGCTGGAGTACAATGGCGCGATCTCGGCTCACTGCAACCTCCGCCTCCCGGGTTCAAGCAATTCTCCTGCCTCAGCCTCCCGAGTAGCTGGGATTATAGGCGCCTGCCACCATGCCCGGCTAATTTTTGTATTTTAAGTAGAGACGGGGGTTTCACCATTTTGGCCAGGCTGGTCTCGAACTCCTGACCTCAGGTGATCCGCCCGCCTCGGCCTCCCAAAGTGCTGGGATTACAAGTGTGAGCCACCGTGCCCGGCCGGCCTCAGGTAGTTCTTTATAGCAGTGTGAAAATGGAGTAATAGAGAGCTGAGGCAGGAGGATCACCTGAGGCCAGGAGGTGAGGCTGCATGAGCTGTGACTGCACCACTGCACTCCAGCCTGGGTGACAAAGTGAGACCCTATCTCAAAAAAACAAAACAAAAGACATATTTATTTTAAAAATAAATAAATAAACTTTGTAGGACTTTGTTTAGACATGTTTACCATATGACATATGTGTCTTTAGAACAGCGTCCAGCATCTTGTAGAAGGACAATCATTACAAAGTTCAAGCACGTTCTGCTTTAAACACACCTATTGTGCCACACTAAAATCTGAATTTGTGAATAAATGAACTAAAACAATCATATTATAAAACTACACAGGACTTTAAAGCGTCATGTAGGATGTGACTTTTTTATTACAGGCTCCCATAATGTATTTAGAAATATGACTCAGGATCTATCCATGATAACAGTCAGTATAGGATAAACAAGTTAGTAATTTATGTTTAATAATGTATTCTATTTATTTTATTTTATTTTATTTTTTGAGCTGGAGTCTCACTCTGTTGCCCAGGCTGGAGTGCAGTGGCACGATCTCAGCTCACTGCAAGCTCCGCCTCCCGGATTCAAGCGATTCTCCTGCCTCAGCCTCCCGAGTAGCTGGGACTACAGGTGCGTGCCACCACGCCCAGCTAAATGTATTCTATTTATAATGGTTTATTCAGGGACTAATTCCACTAAAGTTATTATTCCTGCGCTGTTCTCCACATCTGTTTTCTTCACCCACACTTCATTAGGTAGATGGGTGATGATAGTGGTAATTTTTGTGTTTTTTTTTTTCTTTTTTCAGATGGAGTTTCGCTCTTGTTGCCAGGCTGGAGTACAGTGGCCTGATCTCGGCTCACTGCAACCTCTGCCTCCTGGGTTTAAGCAATTCTCCTGCCTTAGCTTCCTCCTGAGTAGCTTGGATTACAGGCATGCGTCACCATGCCCGGCTAATATTGTATTTTAATAGAGACGGGATTTCACCATGTTGGCCAGGCTGGTCTCGAAGTCCTGACCTCAAGTGATCCGCCCGCCTCATCCTCTCAAAGTGCTGGGGTTACAGGCATTAGCCCTCACGCCTGGCCAAATGCAGTCTTTTCACCACCTTTTTGGATCACAGAAAATGACCATGAAGCTATGGAAAAAAGGGAGAGTTGAATTTAAGATTAGCTGTCAGCCCATCTTTCATTAGCCATTTCTCTAATCCAGTCTTGAATTTTCCTCTTTCTAGTAATATGGAGGGTAGCACTATGTTCAAAGCGGCCACTGGGGATTTAGGTATTTTAATATCTGTACTATGTTTCTAGATAAGTAAAATAACCAGGTGAATTTATCAGCCCACAGTGAACCTGGGGAACAGTTTATTGAACTAGTGCCCTTAAGTAGAGGACATTCTCAACATTGCTAAGTTTATCTCCCATTCCCTATATCATGGAATGAGAGAAATTTGGAGAAAAAATTTCTATTTCCTAATCTCAGCTTTTTTTTTTTTTTTTTTTCCGAGACAGAGTATCGAGCTGTCGCCCAGGCTGGAGTGCAATGGCATGATCTTGGCTCACTGCAACCTCTGCCTCCCGCGTTCTAAGTGATTCTCCTTCCTCAGCCTCCCGAATAGCTGGGATTATAGGCACGCACCATCATGCATGGCTAATTTTGTATTTTTAGTAGAGATGGGGTTTCCCCATGTTGGCCAGGCTGGTCTCGAACTCCTGATCTCAGGTTATCCACCCGCCTCAGCCTCTCCAAGTGCTGGGATTACAAGTGTGAGCCACCGCACCCCGCCCTAATCTCAGCCTTTTTATATCTTCTTGGTAGGCCCACTTTTTGGCATCCCCTAACAAGAAGTCCTCAGAGATTTTTACTACTCAACATGTGTGCGTCCCACTCAGATGTATTGTGTTCTTTCTGTTCACCCTCTACTTCCCATTCCATTTCTTCCTCTGACTTAGGGTTAGAATGGCCCAATGATCCTACAACTTTTTGATGCTATTTCATTTGATTCCTCTACTGTCTAAATCACAAGTTGGCTAACTTTACTTACTGTAAGGGATCAGATAGCAAATAGTTTAGGCCTTGTGGGCCATTCAATCTGTCATAACTACCCACTCTGACCATATGTAGTGCAAAAGCAGCCCTTGACAATATATAAATGAATGAACGTGAATGTATTTCAATAAAGCTTTACTTGTGGACACTGAAATTTGAATTTTATATCATTTTCACAAGCCACAAAATAATTATTTTGATTCCCCCCCACCCTCAATCATTTAAAAATGCAAAAATCATTCTTAGTTTATGTGTGGTGATAGACAGGTGTTGGGCTTGATTTGGACCCAGTGCCATAGTTTCAGACCCCTGGTTTAACTGAACTGAAAGGTAATCAGCTCTGCAAAGCCATTATTACTGAAGGAGACTCCCCCTTTTTTCCCTTTGACGTTTCTTCTTTGCAGACAGAACACTGATAAGTAGCAAGAGCTTTCCTTCCCTTATCCAGCCTCCCTGCCTGGCATCCTCAACTTCCTTTCACCTTCTCTCTAGAGCCTAAGAATAGAATCTTTACTAAACTCGCGGGGGAGAATGTCTCCCTTTTCCTACAACCCTTGAACAGCCACTTATCGTCAGTCTCCAGATGTCTTGCACCCAGGACACATGCTTCCTGTTTATGACAAGCTGCCTAAGAAGGGGCAAGAACAGGCTCCATTTCTAGGCGTAAAAGGGTAGGATAGACGTGGATGGAGAAAGAGTGGCTATCCCGGATTCTTTTTTCTTTTCTTTTTTTTGAGGCGGAGTCTCGCTTTGTCGTCCAGTCTGCAGTGCAGTGGCGGTGCGACGTCGGCTCACTGCAACCTCCGCCTCCCGGGTTCAAGCGATTCTCCTGCCTCAGCCTCCTGAGTAGCTGGGACTACAAGCGCGCACCACCACACCCGGCTAATTTTTGTATTTTTAGTAGAGAAGGCGTTTCACCATATTGGCCAGGCTGATCTCGGACTCTTGACCTCGTGATCCGCCCACCTCGAACTCCCAAAGTGGTGGGATTACAGGCGTGAGCCACCGCGCCCGGCCCCGGATTCTTTCTTCTTAACATACATTGGATATATTTCTCTTAATCTACAACAATGTAGTATACTATAGTATAGTATGGACAACTAGTTCTGCCCCAAACTGTGGGTCCTTGAGCAAATTACTTAGAGATTTCTTGGTGTAAATGAGGATGACAATAGCAAATTTTAAATATTGTTATGAATTATAAATGAGGTAACAGAAGAAACTGACAGTTTGATTTATCAAGTACCTATTTCTACCACTACAGAGACGAATGTTTCTGTGATGATTTGATTAAGCTCCTCACATCTACTTCGAGTATGTTTGGAAAGTCTAAATTTAGATCGTTAAGAAGAATGGTGGTGGGGGTGGGGCGGAGGCTCGGTGGCTCACACCTATAATCCCAGCACTTTGGGAGGCTGAGGCAGGTGGATCACCTGAGGTCGGGAGTTTGAGACCAGCCTGACCAACATGGAGAAACCCCATCTCTACTAAAAATACAAAATTAGCTGGGCGTGGTGGTGCACGCCTGTAATCCCAGCTGCTCGGGAGGCTGAGGCAGGAGAATCCCTTGAACCCAGGAGGTGGAGGTTGCAGTGAGCTGAGATTGCACCATTGCACTCCAGCCTGAGCGACAGAGCAAGGCTCTGTCTCGAGAACAACAACAAAAAAGAAATAAAACGTAAAAATGAATACATAGCCTCATCCCAGTAGAATTTAAATTCTATGCAAACAGGAAATGGAGTTCTCCTACCACACCATAGTATCCTCAGAATATAAACTGGGTTTGGCAACATAGTAGATCTGTATAAATAAACGAACCCAGACTTATATCCCCTTGTGGATTTTTCAGGCCATTTGTCTTTCTTATTCACTCTTGTTGTCACTACGTTAGTCTGCTGCTGTTTATTAATAGTATCTAGGGGAAGAAGGCCAGAGAATATCAAGGTAAGGTCCACAGCCTTTAAAGGGCCACTTGTCAGGGTATAAGATTTCATGGGTTATCTCTTAATTTTGAATTTCATTTTTTAAAAATTATAAACTTGCTTATTTTCCATTAGCTTAAAGCAGCCACTTACATGTAATTGGAATTAAGCTGGATTTTAAAATTTACCTGGGGTTCGCTCACGCCTGTAATCCTAGCACGTTGGGAGGCCAGGGTGGATCAGTTGAGCCCAGGAGTTCGAGACCACCCTGGGCAACATGGTGAAGCCTTGTCACTACAAATGATACAAACATTAGCTGGACATGGTGGCATGTGCTTATAGTCTCCGCTACTCAGGAGGCTGAGGCAGGAGGATCACTTGGGCCCAGCAGGTCGAGGCTGCAGTGAGCTGAGATCGTGACACTGCACTCCAGCCAGCTCCTTTTTGCAACAGAGAAAGACCCTGTCTCCAAAAAATAAATAAAGAAAATAAATAAATCTACATGGAATCTAGTTTTTGAATATTGTGGTTGTAATCAAAGCAACTTCCCATGTCCGAACACTTAAACAGTTACAGGATTATAGGGTCAGGCCACTGAAGTCAACACTTGTTGCACACATTTTAAAAACAGGTAGAGTATTGCTGCAATAAATTTGCATTGAATCATGCAAGAAGTACTCGAGATTTTGCACTCCCATGAGATTGTGCACATCCATGCCAAACAGACCAAGAACCAAAGAGGATGAAGGAAAACAGGACGCTGAGGGAGATAAAGATGTTGTCGTATCGCTCGGTGGCATCAACAGGAGGATAAATTCCATAGGAGGAGAAGAGAAACAGAAGAACAAAGAAGGGACCAGAGTATTTGATCCGCTTTGAGTGATGGAGCTTGTCGCTCCGGAGATTCAAGATGATCTGCAACTCACGTCTGCACTTGCTTACGCAGCCTTTTACAAAAGCAAGACGCCAGCAGGCGGGGCTAACCTACAGGGTAGATACAGACAGGAAGAAATTCTTTGGTTTCTGGGCCCGCCTCATCCAAATATTTCTGTAACTGCCCTATTCAGCTGGGAGGCTAAAAATAAGAGGTCAACAGCTTGTGTTATTTGTAAGAAAAATGCATAAATTAGGGAAGACGGGTTTTTTTTGTTTTTTTTTTTCTTTGAGACAGAGTCTCGCTCTGTCGCCCAGGCTGGAGTGCAATGGCGCAATCTCGGCTCACTACAAGCTCCGCCTCCCGGGTTCATGCTATTCTCCTGCCTCAGCCTCCCGAGTAGCTGGGACTACAGGAGCCCGTCACCATGCCCGGCTAATTTTTTTGTGTTTTTAGTAGAGACGGGGTTTCACCATGTTAGCCAGGATGGTCTCGATCTCCTGACCTTGTGATCCGCCCGCCTTGGCCTCCCAAAGTGCTGGGATTACAGGCGTGAGCCACCGCGCCCGGCCGGGAAGCTGATTTTTCACTACACAGAAAGATTGTGTGGCACTTGTAAATGAAGTATGTATAGTAGAATATGCATCAGGTCATAGAATTACTACAAGTATAATAGCTAGAAAACTGTATAGTATGTAACAGCCACTGAATGTTAAAAATGTGTTAAATGCCTGTGGTGTCAAATGTATGGAAAAGGAAAATACACGAGTCTTTTTCACTTAAGAGAGCTTTGCCGCTGCTACTTCACATCTCTTCCTCTTCAAGTTGCTAAAGGCAAATGCTAAAATATTACAGTGACCCCTTATACAAGTGAGGGTGAAGAGTTTTTGTCTCTTCAGACTATGGCATGTTCTGAGGATTGTAGTGCTATTTTGCTTAAGTACCTTAATCAGGCACTAATGTTACCTGCCCTTTCTCTTAACTTCCCCTTGCCTGAAAGGAATTGGGGCCTCAGGCTTGAAAGGAGCTTGCTCTTTGTGATTCCACCAGGAGCCGTCCCTAAAAGTGGGAGGAGAACCTCTGTTGCAAGCAGACCACACCTGCTGTTTCCACACTAAGGCTCCTCTGCAGTGGCTTCCTCCCCACTTCCTACCACATTCAATGCCCGGAGGCCAATCTGGCTGTATTCTGAGTCTTGTACTCCTTTTTGAGACTGTGATAAGAGAGTTTGCACCTCACCGCCCCTCAAGAGTACACTAAAATACATTTGCATTCACTTTCGGGGGTATTTGCCTAGTCTATGTTATTTTTTCTTTCTTTTTTTGGGGGGGTGGGGGTGGCAGATAAAGAGGGAACAGGGTTTGACTCTGCTCCCCAGGCTGGAGGGTAGTGGCTCACTGCAGCCTCAAACTCCTGGGTTCAGGGATCCTGCCTACTCAGCCTCCGGTGTAGCTGGAACTACAGGCATGGCACCACCACACCTGGCTCATTTTTAAAGTTTTTTTGTAGAGATGAAGTCTTGCTATGTTCCCCAGGCTGGTCTCAAACTCCTGACCTCAAGCCATCCTCCCATCTCAGCCTCCTAAAGCAAGGTAATTATAGGCATAAAGCACCACACCTCCTAGCCCATTTTAGAACCCCATTTGATAAACAGCATCCTGGGGCTTCAGTAGTCTTTTTCCTCCTAGAGAACTCGGTGAATCTTTTCCAGGGAGTTAGGCTCTGCTGCACTGGAGGGTTACCAAAGTTAGGGAGAAGCCCTGTTAAAAGAATGTAGACCTTTAATTATGAAACACTGTATTGAAAAGTATCCATAGGTCAGGCACAGTGGCTCGAGCCTGTAATCCCAACACTTTGGGAGGCCGAGGTGGTTGGATTGATCACTTGAGGTTGAGGTCAGGAGTTTGAGACCAGCCTGGCCAACATGATAAAACCCTGTCTCTACTAAAAATACAAAAATTAGCCAGGCGTGGTGGTGGGCATCTGTAATCCAGGAGAATCACTGGAATCCGGGAGGTGGAGGTTGCTGTGAGCTGAGATCACGCCATTGCCTGGGTGACAGAGCGAAACTCTGTCTCAAAAGAAATTAAAAAAAAAAAAAGTGCCCATAGATTGCCATGTGCTTCTGGTTTTGAAAGCGTAGATGTGAGTCAGCTAAGCACTTCAGTCATCATGTAGCTGTTTTCCTGTGAGTGGGGGGAGGGGGGTGGTAGCCTGGTGATAGTGTCCCACTAATAGCTACACAGAGAAAGAAGGACATTTATAGCTTTAGAGCACTGCTAGAGAAAAGTTAAGGAACTCAAAGAACTGTCTTCACTTCATGCAAGCAATTATCTGTGTTGCTTATATATTGGCACTTGTATAGAAGAACACTTTTCCCGCTTCTCGGCCTTTTGGCTAAGATCAAGTGAAGATGACTTTTAAAACCCTTGTCTTGTCTGTGATCCTGCAATCACCCTCCTTGGTACTTACACCAATGAGTTGAAATCATGCATCTACATGAAAACCTGCAAACGAATGTTTAGAGCAGTTTTATTCATAGTTGCTAAAACTTACTAAGATGTCCTTCAGTAGGTGAAGGGATAAACTGTGGTGCATCCAAATAATGGAATATTATCCAGTGATAAAAAGAAGTGAGCAATGAAAAGACATAGAGGAACTTTCAATGAATATCACTAAGTGAAATAAGCCAATCTGGAAAGGCTACATAATGTATGACTCCAACTGTATGACATTCTGGAAAAGGTAAAACTATGCAAAAACAGCAAAAAGATCAGTGATTGCCAGGGGTTGGAGGAGTAAGGAAGGGAGGTGGAACATGGGATTTTTAGGGCAGTAAAGCTGTTCTGTATGATATCATACATTTATCAAACCCATAGAATATACAACACAAAGAATGAACCCAAATATAAACTATGGACTTCAGGTAATAATAATGTATCAATATTAGCTCCTCAATTATTAATATAACAGATGTGGCGAGGCGCGGTGGCTCAAGCCTGTAATCCCAACACTTTGGGAGGCCAAGACGGGCAGACCACCTGAGGTTAGGAGTTCGAGACCAGCCTGGCCAACATGGCAAAACCCCATCTCTACTAAAAATACAAAAATTAGCCGGGCATGATGACGGGTGCCTGTAATCCCAGCTACTCAGGAGGCTGAGGCTGGAGAATCGCTTGAACATGGGAAACAGAGGTTGCAGTGAGCCGAGATCATGCCACTGCATTCCGGCCTGGGAGACAGAGTGCAAAACTCTCTCTCTCTCTCTCTCTCTCTCTCTCTCTCTCTCTATATATATATATATATATACATATATATATATACATATACATATATATGTATATATACATATACATATACATATATATATGTATATATACATATACATATATATATACATATATATGTATATATATACATATACATATATATACATATATATATATCAGATGTATCATACTAATGCAAATGTTACTAGTAAGGGGGTTAAGGGAGTAGATGGGAACTCTGTATACTTTCTGCTTAATTTTTCTGTAAACCTTAAACTGTTCTACCCCAAGTAAAGCCTATTAATTAAAACAAAGGCGGAACGCTTGATTATATGTCACTCTCCATCCCCTTTACCACCACGAGACCTTAAAGGCAGGGAACATCTTTTTTGTGTGTGACGGAGTTTCGCTCTTGTCGCCCAGGCTGGAGTGTAATGGCATGATCTCGGCTCACTGAAATCTCAGCCTCCCAGGTTCAAGAGATTCTCCTGCCTGAGCCTCCTGAGTAGCTGAGATAACAGGCGTAGGCCACCATACCCAGCTAATTTTTTTTGTATTATTACTAGAAATGGGGTTTCACCATGTTGACCAGGCTAGTCTGGAAATCCGGACCTCAGGTGATCCACCCACCTCGGCCTCCCAAACTGCTAGGATTATACGTGTGAGCCACTGTGCCGGCCTGAACATCTTTTTTATCTGTATATTCCCAGCATCTGGGATGAAAGAGAAAGGGAACACTATTTTTAGTGCATAACCTAACAACATCTCAGACTTAGCGCATCTAAAATAAAAGTCTTGATTTGACCCTGAAGTCTCTGTCTGCTTTCCTGACTGAGGTAAATGGCAACTCCAGTTCTCCAGTTGCTCCAGCCAAAACCTTTAGGATCATTCTTGACTCCGTTTTTTCACTTATGCCCAACATCTAGACCACCAGTAGGTTGCACCTTGAAAATACATTTTAAATCCAACAACAACCCACTACCAAGTCATTTCTCACCTGGACCAGTAGCCTCCTAACTGGTCTCTATGCTCCCACTCTTACCCTGTGTCTTTGTTCATACTGCTGTAACCAAGTAACACAGACTGGCAGGGCGCGGTGGCTCAAGCCTGTAATCCCTGCACCGAAGCGGGTGGATCACCTGAGGTCAGGAGTTCGATACCAGCCTGACCGACATCATGAAATCCCGTCTCTACTGAAAATACAAAAAATTGGCCTGGCGCGGTGGCTCATGCCTGTAATCCCAGCACTTTGGGAGGCCGAGGTGGGCGGATCACGAGGTCAGGAGATCGAGACCATCCTGGCTAACATGGTGAAACCCCGTCTCTATTAAAAATACAAAAAATTAGCCGGGCGTGGTGGCGGGCGCCTGCAGTCCCAGCTCCTCCGAAGGCTGAGGCAGGAGAATGGCGTGAACCCAGGAGGCGGAGCTTGCAGTGACCTGAGATCACCCCACTGCACTCCAACCTGGGCGACAGAGTGAGACTCCGTCTCAAGAAATAAAATAAAAAATTTAAAAAATAAAAAATTAACTGGGCGTGGTGGTGCGCACCTGTAATCCCAGCTACTCAGGAGGCTGAGGCAGGAGAAATCACTTGAACCCGGGAGGCGGAGGTTGTGGTGAGCCGAGATTGCGCCACTGTACTCCAGCCTGGGCAACAAGAGCAAAACTCCGTCTCAAAAAACAAAAACAAAGTAACATAGACTGCGTAATTTTTGTTGTTATTGTTTTTTGAGATGGATTCTCACCGTGTCGCCCAGGCTGGAGTGCAGTGGCGCGATCACAGCTCACTGCAGGCTTGACCTCCTGGGATCAAGTGATCCTCCCACTTCAGCCACCCGAGTAGCTGGGACTACAGGTGCAAACCACCATGCCCGGCTAATTTTTTGTATTTTTTTTGGTAGAGACAGGGTCCCCACGTGTTACACAGGCTGGTCCAAAAGGAGGAAATAAGGACCTCTGCACTCAAGCAATCCGCCCGCCTTGGCCTCTGAAAGTGTTAAGATTACAGGCATTAGCCACCCTGCCTGTCCTCTGAAGTCCTTTTATATGGGGATGAATCCATCCATGGAGACAGACTCCTCATGACTCAGTCACTTCCCAAAAGGTCCGGCCTTTTTTTTTTTTTTTTTTTTTTTTTTTGAGACGGAGTCTCGTTCTGTCACCCAGGCTGGAGTGCAGTGGCGCAATCTCGGCTCACTGCAAGCTCCGCCTCCCGGCTTCACGCCATTCTCCTGCCTCAGCCTCCCGAGTAGCTGGGACTACAGGCGCCCGCCACCACGCCCGGCTAATTTTTTATATTTTTAGTAGAGACGGGGTTTCACCGTGTTAGCCAGGATGGTCTCGATCTCCTGACCTTGTGGTCCACCCGCCTCGGCCTCCCAAAGTGCTGGGGTTACAGGCGTGAGCCACCGCGCCCGGCTTTTTTTTTTTTTTTTTGAGACGGAGTTTCACTCTTGTTGCCCAGGCTGGAGTGCAATGGCGCGGTCTCGGCTCACCACAACCTCTGCCTCCCGGGTTCAAACGATTCTCCTGCCTCAGCCTCCCGAGTAGCTCGGATTACAGACATGCGCCACCACGCCCAGCCAATTTTGTATTTTTAGTAGAGTCGGAGTTTCTCCATGTTGGTCAGGCTGGTCGCAAACTCCCAACCTCAGGTGATCCGCCCGCCTCGGCCTCCCAGCGTGCTGGGATTACAGGCGTGAGCACCGCGCCCTGCCAAGGTCCAGCCTCTTAATATCACCACAATTAGGATTAAGTTTCTGCATGAATTTTGGAGGGAACACACATTTAAACCACAGCACCCTCCTTCAGCATCTTCTCCATTCAACAGCACATACTTTTTTAAAAACACGAATCAACTGATGTCATGCTTCTGCTCAAAAAACTAAAATGGCTTCGTAGCTTCCTGGCTGTCTGTCACATTCGGAATATAAACCAGAACGTTCATGACTGCTTACAGCGTCCTGCATGAGCAGACTCCTAGCCGTCTTCAACATCATTTCTCCTGCCACTCTGCCCCCGCTTCACTCCACTCCTGCCAAATCCACCTTTTGACACCCTGCCAAGCACGAGTCCTCCTTTTGGTGTCTGCGTTTGAAATGCCTTCTGTTTGAAATGCTGTTTTGAGATACTCCCAAGGTTGACTTTCTCGTGTGATTCAGGTTTCTGTGCAAGTATCATCTCTACTGAGAGAGGAACCCTAACCACTCTATCTTAATCTTCCCCAGCCCCAACCCTTTATCGCCTTACCTTGATATTTTCTTCTTCAAAATGCTCCCTTATTACTTGACAGTATATATTTATTGTCTGCTAAGGCTGCCATAACAAAATACCACAAACAGGTGGCTTAAACAACAGGAATTTGTTTTCTCAAAGTTCTAGATGCTGGACATCCAAGATCAAGGTGCCAGCAGGCTTAGTTTCTCCTGAGACCTCTCCCTTCAGTAGCAGATGGCTGTCTTCTCAGTGTCTTCACATGGCCTTTTCTCTATTCACAGGCCTAATGCCTCTTCCTCTTCTCATAAGGACACCTGTCCTATTGGACTAGAGCCCCACCCTAGTGACCTCATGTAACCTTAATTACCTCCTTAAAGGCCCCATCTCCAAATACAGTTCCATTATAAGTTACTAGGGGTTAGGGCTTCAACATAGGAATTTTAGGACGCAATTAAGTCCATGACAGTTTGCCCTTTGGCCCCCCAAAATGTATGTCCTCACATCCAAAATACATTTATCTCTATCCCAGCAGCACCTAAAATCTTTTTTTTTTTTTTTTTTTTTTTGAGACGGAGTTTCGCTCTGTCGCCCAGGCTGGAGTGCAGTGGCGCAATCTCGGCTCACTGCAACCTCCGCCTCCTGGGTTCACGCCATTCTCCTGTCTCAGCCTCCTGAGTAGCTGGGACTACAGGCGCCCGCCACCACTCCCGGATAATTTTTTTTGTATTTTTAGTAGAGACGGGGTTTCACCGTGTTAGCCAGGATGGTCTCGATCTCCTGACCTCGTGATCCACCCACCTCGGCCTCCCAAAGTGCTGGGATTACAGGCGCGAGTGAGCCACCGCGCCCCGCAGGCCCTAAAGTCTCAACCATTCCAGCATCAGTTCCAAATCCAAAATCTCATCTGAATATCATCTACATTTGGTATGGGTGAGACTCAAGGTGTGATTAATCCCGAGGCAAATTTGTTTTTCTAATCTGACCCTGGGAAACCAGACAAGTTATGTGCTTCCATAATATAATGGTGGGACAGGCATAGGCTAGACATTCCCCTTGCAAAAGGGGGAAATGGGGGAAATAAGAAAGAAGAAAGGGGTACCTGGACTTCCAAATCAAAATTCTAGCAAGGCAAATTCCATTTTTCTTTTTTTGTTTTTTGAGACAGAGTCTCACTGTGTTGCCCAGGCTGGAGTGCAGTGGTGCGATCTCGGCTCTCTGCAACCTCTGCCTCCTGAGTTCATGCGATTCTTCTGCCTCAGCCTCCCAAGTAGCTGGGATTGCAGGCTTGTGCCACCACGCCCGGATAATTTTTGTATTTTTAGTAAAGACAGGGTTTCATCATGTTGGCCAGGCTGGTCTTGAACTCTTGATCTCAGGTAATCCACCCACTTTGGCCTCCCAAAGTGCTGGGATAACGAGCCCGAGCCACCACGCCCAGCCCATTATTTCTTTATCAAATGATTTTCTTTTTTTTTTTTTTTTTTTGAGACCGAGTCTTGCTCTGTCGCCCAGGCTGGAGTGCAGTGGCGCGATCTCAGCTCACTGCAAGTTCTGCCTCCGGGGTTCACGCCATTCTTCTGCCTCAGCCTCCTGAGTAACTGGGACTACAGACGCCCGCCACCACGCCTGGCTAATTTTTTGTATTTTTAGTAGAGACGGGTTTCACCATGTTAGCCAGGATGGTCTTGATCTCCTGACCTCGTGATCCGCCCGCCTCGGCCTCCCAAAGTGCTGGATTACAAGCGTGAGCCACCGCACCCGGCCAACTATCAAATGATTTTCTAGCCACACTCACAGTATTCTCTCCAGAACATGCTTTCTCAGTACTTTGCAATATAGATAGGCCAAGAATTTCCCAAATAATGGTTCCTTTTTGCTTACAATTTCTCATTCAGTTTATCTCTTCTTCTCACATATTACTATAAGCAGCAAGGAGAAAGCAGGCTATATCCTCAGCATTTTCCTTAGAAATCACCTCAGCTAAATATGCATTTCATGACAAACAAGTTCATTCCACAAAACATTGGCACAATGTTCAGCCAAGTTTTTTTTGCCACTTTATAACATAGATTGCCTTTTCTTCAGTTTCCAATAACATGTTCCTCATTTCCCTCAGGGAACTCACAGAATCGCCTTTTTATTTATTTATTTATTTTGTATATTTATTTTTCAGAGGGTCCCATGGAGAAACAGAATCACTTTTAGTGTTGATTAATGTTGATATTCTTACCAAGAATCATTTTTGTTGTTGTTGTTGTTGTTTTGAGACAGAGTTTCATTCTTGTTGCCCAGGCTGGAGTGCAATGGCGAGATCTCAGCTCACTGCAACCTCCACCTCCCAGGTTCAGGCGATTCTCCTGCCTCAGCCTCCTGAGTAGCTGGCATTACAGTTGCACACCACCACACCTGGCTAATTTTGTATTTTTAGTAGAGACAGGGTTTTCCCATGTTGGTCAGGCTGGTCTTGAACTCCTGACTTCAGGTGATCCACCCGCCTCGGCTTCCCAAAGTGCTGGGCTTACAGCCATGAGCCACCGAACCCGGCTGCAAGAATCCCTTTAAGGCAATCTAGGCTTTTTCTCGTATTTACCTCAAAATTCTTCAGCTGCTACTCATTACCCACTTCCACAGCCATTTCCACATTTTTAGGTATTTGTTATAGTAACACCCTACTTTTTAGTACCAAAATCTGTATGAGTTAGGGTTAGAACCAATAGGGTGCATACGTGTGTGTGTGTGTGTATGTGCAAGCATGATTGCCTGTGTAGAGAGATTTATTTATTTATTTATTTATTTATTTATTTATTTATTTCATTTTTTTTTCTAGATGAGTCTCACTCTGTACCCTAGGCTGGAGTGCAGTGGCATGATCTCGGCTCACTGCAACCTCTGCCTCCCAGGTTCAAGCGATTTTCCTGCCTCAGCCTCCTGAGTAGTTGGGACTACAGGCGCGCACCACCATGCCTGGCTAATTTTTTTTATTTTTTAGTAGAGACGGGGTTTCACCATGTTGGCCAGTCTGGTCTCGAACTCCCAACCTCAGGTGATCCGCCTGCCTCGGCCTCCCAAAGTGCTGGGATTACAGGTGTGAGCCTCTGCACCCGGCCTGGCTCACATGATTATAGAGGCTGGCAAGTCCGAAATCTGCAAGAAGGGCTGACTGGATAGAGACCCAGGAAGAGCTGATACTGCAGTTGAAGTCTGAAGCCCCTCTGCTGGCAGAATTCTCTCTTGCTCAGGGAGTCAGTCTGCTGTTCTATCAGGTCTTCAACTGATTGGATGAGGCCTACCCACATTATGGAAGATAACCTTCTTTACTCAAACTCTGCTGATTGAAATATAAATCTCATCCCAAACACTCTCACAAAAGCATTTAGAATGAGGGTTTTTTTAAATTTTTTATTTATTTTATTTATTTATTTATTTATTTTTGAGATGGAGTTTCGCTCTTGCTGCCCAGGCTGGAGTGCAATGGCGCGATCTCGGCTCACTGCAACCTCCGCCTCCTGGGTTCAAGCAATTCTCCTGCCTCAGCCTCCCGAGTAGCTGGGATTACAGGCATGTGCCACCACGCCCGGCTAATTTTGTATTTTTAGTAGAGATGGGGTTTCTCCATGTTGAGGCTGGTCTTGAACTCCTGACCTCAGGTGATCCACCCGTCTCGGCCTGCCAAAGTGCTGGGATTACAGGCGTGAGCCACCTCGCCTGGCACTGGAATGAGGTTTGACCACATATCTGGGCACTGTAGTCCAACCAAGTTGACACATAAAATAAAATATCACAAATATCTTCCGTACTGAAATGTAGATGTTGGGCACAGTGGCTCATGCCTTGTAATCTCACTACTTTGGGAGGTCGAGGCAGGAGGATCACTTGAGCTCAGGAATTTGAGACGAGCCTGGGCTACATGGGAAGACTGTGTCTCTACTAAAAACCAACAAAATTAGCCAGGCATGGTGGTCTGCACATGTATTCCCAGCTGCTTGGGAGACTGAGGCAGGAAGTTCATGGCATCATGCCTCACTGCAGCCCCGACCTCGCTTGAGCCAGGAGCTCTAGGATGCAGCGAGTCATGATGGCGCCATTGCACTCCAGCCTAAATGACAAAGTGACTCTGTCTCAATTTTTTTTTTCTTTTTGAGGCAGAGTCTCACTCTATTGCCCAGGCTGGAGTGCAGTGGCAAGATCTTGGCTCACTGCAACCTCTGCCTCCAGGGTTCAAGCAATTCTCCTGCCTCAGCCTCCTGAATGGCCGGGACTATAGGCACACACCACCATGCCCGGCTAATTTTTGTATTTTTAGTAGAGATGGGGTTTCACCTTGTTAGCCAGGCTGGTCTTAAATTCCTGACCTCAGGTGATCCGCCCGCCTCAGCCTCCCAAAGTGCTGGGATTACAGATATGAGCCACCGCGCCCAGCCTCAAACAAGTCATTTTCTTTCTCTAAATCTCAATTTCAGTATTTAAATTGGAGGTTTGAATACCCATCTCACAAAATTATTGGAAAAATCAAATGAGACAATGTAAGTGAAAAAAAGGCACATACACTCTATAGCCCAAACAAATATTCATTTCTTCAGTCAGTCATTATGCATTTTTTTGATTTATTTATTTTTTACACAGATGGGATCTCACTGTGTTGCCTAGGCTGGTCTCAAACTCCTGGGCTCAAGCAATCCTCCCGCCTCAACCTCCTAAAGTGCTAGGATTCACCATACCTGGCCTTTGAGGTGAGTATTTTATTTTATTTTATTTTTTGAGACAGAGTCTCGCTCTGTTGCCCAGGCTGGAGTGCAATGGCCAGTCTCGGCTCACTGCAAACCTATATTGTCTGTGCCTAGTAGTGTATCTAGAAAACAGTAGGTATTCAATAAATAGTTGATGAAAAATATCACTAGGTCAAGAGTTAGACCAGCCTGACCAACATGGTGAAACCCTGTCTCTACTAAAAATACAAAAATTAGCTGGGCTTGGTGGCAGGCACCTGTAATCCTGGCTACTCAGGAGGCTGAGGCAGGAGAATCGCTTGAATCCGGGAGGCGGAGGTTGCAGTGAGCCGAGATAGTGACATTGCATTTCAGCTCTGGCGACGGAGTAAGGTTCTGTCTCAAAAAACAAACAAAAAAAAAAGAAAGTGACTTGTTTGAATATCCAAACTCTAGTTCATGCTCCAGAGCTGGGCTTCACATTTTTCTGTTCTGATGTCCAAACCTCTGCTTAGTTAACTACACCAAACTGTAAAAATTCTCTCTCCTACCTATTTTTTTCTAGTATTGACAATAAGAGGAAGTAGATAAAGTAATAATGCCAAGTCTCAGATTGTCTCATACCTTTTACATTCTGCTGGGTGTTAAAGAGGATATACAATGAGTAAGGGGAATATTTGTGCAGCCCTGCCCAAGGTTAATAGGCAGTTGTGATCTGCAAGGGAGGTGTCAGAGAAAGAGCTTCTGCTTTAGAGTAGATGGTCATTTCAGGGAAGCACTGAAATACTCTGCAAGGAGTGTCACTTGTTTCTCCAATCCTGGGGAAAAAGCTGTTATTAAAACACTGGAGAGAGTCTATAAACACAAAGATTTTGCTTTGCACTGCAAGTCTTTCAGAATTAGTTTGGCATATAGGGATTGGGGAGATTTGGGGGCTAAATTGTGGGCAGCTGTTGTATAAGGTAGTGGTTTTTTGTATGGTAATTGTGACATAAACATTCACTTCCGCCTCTTAGTAACCTGGTTCTTCCTTTTTTTCTCAGGTCTTCCTTTATCAAGTATAATGATCGACTTACTTTCTAGATATTGATTAGAGCATATTCAGACATTATTGATTCTTAACAATAAGTATAATATATGTGATGTTATAGTATGGTAGAACCATTTTAATCTCTGCTAAATATGAAAAAGTGCTTGTGGCCAGTCACGGTGGCTCACGCCTGTAATCCCAGCACTTTGGGAGATTGAGGCGGGTGGATGATGAGGTCAGGAGATTGAGACCATTCTGGCTAACATGGTGAAACCCTATCTCTACTAAAAATACAAAAAATTAGCCGGGCGTGGTGGTGGGTGCCTGTAGTCCCAGCTATTCGGGAGGCTGAGGCAGGAGAATGGCTTGAACCCAGGAGGCGGAGCTTGCAGTGAGCCAAGATCGCGCCACTGCACTCCAGCCTGGGCAACAAAGTGAGCGAGGCTCAGTCTCAAAAAAAAAAAAAAAAGTACTTGTGCTGGGAAAGGTGTCTCACGCCTATAATCCCAGCACTTTGGAAGGCCAAGGTGGGCAGATCACGAGGTCAAGAGACTGAGACCATCCTGGCCAACATGGTGAAACCCGGTCTCTACTAAAAATACAAAAATTAGCTGGGTGTGGTGGTGTTCACCTTTAGTCCCAGCTACTCGGGAGGCTGAGGCAGGAGAATTGCTTGAACCCAGGAGGCGCAGGTTGCAGTGACCCGAGATCGAGACACTGCAGCGAGACTCCATCTAAAAATAAAAAGTACTTGTTTAAAGAAAAATAAAAATAATTACTTAGAAGTAACAAGGCAGGCCAGGTGTGGTGGCTCACACCTGTAATCCCAGGACTTTGGAAGGCCGAGGTGGGTGGATAGCTTGAGGTCAGGAGTTTGAGACCAGCATGGCCAACGTGGTGAAACCCGTCTCTACTAGAAATACAAAAATTAGCCGGGCTTGGTGGCATGGGCCTGTAATCCCAACTACTGGAGAGGTGGAGGCTCAAGAATTGCTTTACCAGGAGGCAGAGGTGGCAGTGAGCTAAGATCACTCCAGCCTGGACAACAGAGCGAGACTGTGACTCAAAAATAAATAAATAAAATAAAATAAAAAGACGAAAACAATGCATGGGAAATAAAATGGCTAGGCTCAGTGGCTCTTGTCTGTAATCCCAGCACTTTGGGAGGCCGATGCGGGTGGATGGCTTGAGCTCAGGAGTTCCAGACCAGCCTGGGCAACATGGTAAATCCGCGTCTCTGCAAAAAATTAGCTGGGTGTGGTGGCGCACACCTGTGGCCCAAGCTACTCAGGAGGCTGAGGTGGGATGATTGCTTGGGCCCAGGAGGCAGAGGTTGCAGTGAGCTGAGACCACACAACTGCACTCCAGCCTGGGAGACAGAGTTAGACCCTATCTCAAAAAGAAAGAAAAGGAAAGGAAAGGAAGAGAAGGGAGGGGAGGGAGGGAGGGAGGGGAGGGGAGGGGAGGGGAGGGAAAGGAAGGGAAGGGAAGGAAAAAGGAAAGGAAAGGAAGAAAGAGTATTATCTTAATTGGGTTATCATGCCCCATCTACCTACATTCCTAGAAGGATTTACTTATCTAAGGGACATTTTTGAGACTTATAAAAGTAATTTTATTAATGAATCTCTTCTATAATTATGTTATCTAATTAGGTTGTAGCTTATTTAGATATTAGCGGTCCTAAAGATATACTTTGGACGTGTTTTATTCCCCTAATTTGACATTTTGATCACCTATTTATTAGGCACTGTGAATACAGAGATAGGTAAAATCAAGTCTCTGCCCCTAGAGTGCTCACAGCTTAGAAAGGTAAGCAAATATTCACCATGGGATTCAATAAGTACTAAATTATGGGTATGTTTGAGATGGTTGGTGGCACAAAGGAAATGAGATCTTCTTAGGTTTCTCTGGGAAAGTTTCACAAATGAGAAGAAATGCTGGTTATTGAAGTATGATCAGGAGTTAGCTGATTGGAAAGAATATTCCAGATGGAAGAATACAAAGGAGTGAATCTCCAGTAACATGGTGTTATGGACTGAACCATGTCCCCCAAATTCAATACTACTGCCCTATTCTGGGAATAGAGTTCACTACAAATCCTGGTATTAGAGACTAGGAATATTAAATTTTAGTCGCTTAAATTTCAGCCTCTTAAATTTTATTTAAAGATGTTATTTCATTTAAAGAGATAACTTCTTTTTTTTTTTTTTTTTTTTTTTTGAGATGGAGTTTCGCTCTTATTGCCCAGGCTGGAGTGCAATGGCACAATGTCGGCTCACTGCAACCTCTGCCTCCTGGGTTCAAGCAAGTGATTCTCCTGCCTCAGCCTCCCAAGTAGCTGGGATTACGGGCATGTGCCACCAAGCCCAGCAAATTTTGTATTTTTAGTAGAGATGGGATTTCACCATGTTGATCAGCCTGGTTTCGAACTCCTGACCTCAGGTGATTCACTGGCCTTGGCCTCCCAAAGTGCTGAGATGACAGGAGTGAGCTAACGGGCTCGGCCTGCTCAACATTAAAATAGGTATCTGCTTTAACAATTTCAGGGCATGGGTTTTTTGTTTCTTTTGGGTTTTTTTGTTTTTGTTTTTGTTTTTTGAGACAGGGCCTTGCTCTGTCGCCCAGGCTGGAGTGCAGTGGCATGATCACGGCTCACTGCAAGCCTTGCCCTCCTGGGCTCAAAAGTCTCCCACCTCAGCCTCTCAAGTAGCTAGGACCACAGGCACACACCACCACGCTCAGCTAATTTTTAAATTTTTTGTAGAGACAAGTTCTCACTACATCACCCAGGCTGGTCTTGAACTCCTGGGCTCAAGCGATGCCCCCACCTAGGCCTCCCCAAGCCATGTTTTAATACCTATGAGTGACAAAGATGGCTACTGTAAAACAAAAGGACCTATGGCTGGCAGAATTGAAGTCCTATTGCAATTTATTATAAAAAGGAAGAAAGATCCAGATTGTTTCTATACCCTCTACAATTAATTCAACAATGATTAAGCCTTTCTATGTGTGAGGAACTTACACATTTCAAAAGTTTAAAAATTACCCAGAGAGTTGATGAGAATACTACATTAATACAATGACCAGATGCCCAGATTTTCCAAGGCAATCCTGGTTGCAGTATTTTGTCCCAGTTTCAGACTGTGTGGAATGATGTAAATGTGTCAATTATGAGCATCATGAGTTTGTTGTTTGAGTTTTCCAAAAGTCCTATATTATGTATTCAAGGCTAACATACAAAAAGAGTAAAAGTAAACTTCACATACTTGGTTATGGGTTAATGTACTCCTTGGCCAAGTGTGGTGACTCACACCTATAATCTGAGCAATTTGGGAGGCTGAGACAGGGGGATAGCTTGAGGCCAGAAGTTTGAGACCAGCATGGTCTATATAGTGAGTCCCTGTCTCTATAATTTAAAAATAAAAATAATGTACTTACTAACCTTGGTTTCACTGTCAGCTGTGCCCTGTTTGTGTGGCCTGCAAGCATGACTGTGTGACCTTCCTAAACCAAATGCTTTAGGGGGAACTGAAGTGTTCATAAGTTTTAGTTTGTTCATTTGTTCTGAGAAATACAGTAAACTTTTTTTTTTTTTTTTTTTTTTTTTTTTTGAGAGGGAGTCTTGCTCTGTTGCCCAGGCTGGAGTGCAGTGGCGCGATTTGGCTCACTGCAACCTCTGCCTCCTGGGTTCCAGCGATTCCCCTGCTTCAGCCTCCCAAATAGCTGGAATTACAGGCATGCGTCACCATGCCCAGCTTATTTTTGTATTTTGAGTAGGGACGGGGTTTCCCCATGTTGGGCAGGCTGGTCTCCAACTCCTGATCTCAGGTGATCCGCCCGCCTTGGCCTCCCAAAGTGCAGGCCACTGTGCCTGGCCAACAATAAACTTTTTTATCTGAGGAATCTGAATCACCTTTAAATTACCAGGTCCAGAGAGGCATTGAAATAAGACTGCAGTCACTTCCCATCCCCGCTTGAGCCAAGTCATTATTTTGATGTGGCCTTCTATATGAACTCTAGATTGAGTGTCAGCATCAACAGCTATAAATTAACATGGGCATGGTGGTGCGTGCCTGTAATCCCAGCTACTCAGGAGACTAAGGTAGGAGGATCACTTGAGATTGGGGTGACATAGAAAGACCCCGTCTAGAAGAAAAAAAAAATTAATTGAATGATACAGTACATTGGACACCATAACTCATATCCTATAGTTCAACTAGGTATAACCAATCACTGATCAATGTTATTTATTTTTTTTGAGACAGAGTCTCACTCTGTTGCCAGGCTGGAGTGCAGTGGCGTGCTCTCGGCTCACTGCAACCTCTGCCTCCCGGTTTCAAGCTATTCTCCTGCCTCAGCCTCCCGAGTAGCTGGGACTACAGGCATGTGCCACCATGCCCAACTAATTTTTGTATTTTTAGTAGAGACAGAGTTTCACCATGTTGGCCAGGCTGGTCTTAAACTCTTGACCTCAGGTGATCCACCCACCTCAGCCTCCCAAAGTGTTGGGATTACAGGTGTGAATCACCGCGCCTGGCCTGGTCTTAAATGCTTGCCCTCAGGTGATCTGCCTGCCTCGGCCTCCCAAAGTGCTAGGATTACAGGCGTGAGCCATGGAGCCTGGCCGATCAATATTATTTCTGTAAACCTGTGAGAATTCCTGAAACACAACTTTTGTTTTCACCCTTCTCCTGATTAATCCTTTTTTCTTTAAAATCTCAAGGTTCTCTTTTGTTCTCTGGAGCACTTCCTAGTGATTTCTAGGATACAGTCCTCAACCTTGGCCCAAATACACCCCCTACCTATATTAATTTTGCCTCAGTTTCTTTCTTTAGACCGACATGTCATTCAGTCAACGGTTCATTCATGCATATGTCCAGGACTATGTGAAGTGCCTGTGAATAGAAAGAAGACACAAAATCCCTGCTCTTAAGGGATTCACATGTGAATTAGGGTGATGAAGAAGACAATTAAGGTGAGACTCTGAGGAGCATGGAGTGTGCCTGTAGTCCCACCTACCAGGAGGATCGCTTGAGCCCAGGAGTTATAGTCCAGCCTGGGGTAACATAGCTAGATGCTATCTCTTAAATTAAAAAGAAGAAGAAAATTAAAAGATGCTGGCCAGGCATGGTGGCTCACGCCTGTAATCCCAACACTTTGGGAGGCCGAGGCGGGCAGATCACCTGAGGTCAGGAGTTTGAGAGCCTGGCCAACATGGCAAAACCCCATCTCTACTAAAAATACAAAAAAATCAGCTGAGTGTGGTGGTGGGAGGCTGTAATCCCAGCTACTTGCGGGGCTGAGGTAGGAGAATCACTGGAACCCGGGATGGGGAGGTTGCAGTGAGTGTGCCATTGCACTCCAGCCTAGGCAACAAGAGCAAAACTCCATCTCAAAAAAAAAAAAAAAAAGAAAGAAAAAATTAAAAGACATAGAAACAGGTTGTGAGGGATGAAGTTCCTGGAAGAGATGATGTTTCATTTAAAACTTGAAGGTCGCCCCGCGCGGTGGCTCACGCCTGTAATCCCAGCACTTTGGGAGGCCGAGGCGGGCAGATCACAAGGTGAGGAGATTGAGACCATCCTGGCTAACACGGTGAAACCCCTTCTCTACTAAAAAAATACAAAAAATCAGCCAGGCATGCTGGCGGGCACCTGTAATCCCAGCTACTTGGGAGGCCGAGGCAGGAGAATGGCATGAACCTGGGAGGTGGAGGTTGCAGTGAGCCGAGATCGTGCCACTGCACTCCAGCCTGGGCGACAGAGTGAGACTCTGTCTCAAAAAAACAAACAAACAAAAAAAAACACTTGAAGGTCTTCATCAGGTTTTTCACTACCCTCCAACTTCCACAACTTCTACATACAATCATTCATTGATTCAACTAACATGTAGTGGGTTTCCATTCTATTCTAGGCCTGCTCAAAACAAGCCAGATCATGCTCCCATGGAGTTCCAACCTACATACCTAAAATTCAAGATAAAATATAGTATTATAAGACATGCATGATCTTTGGCTGGGCACGGTGGCTCACACCTGTAATCCTAGCACTTTGGGAGGCCAAGGTGGGTGGATCACCTGAGGTCAGGAGTTTGAGACCACCTGGCCAACATGTTAAAACCCCCTCTCTACAAAAATTGGCTGGGCGTGGTGCCACATGCCTATAATCCCAGCTAGTCGGGAGGCTGAGACAGAAGAATCGCTTGATCCCAGAAGGCAGAGGTTGCAGTGAGCCGAGATCACGCCACTGCACTTTAGCCTGGGCGATAGAGTGAGACTGTCTCAAAAAAAAAAAAAAAAAAAAAAAAGATACGCATAATCTTCAAATGTATGTCCTTTGGCCAGAAGGATCTTGCATTAGAATTGACCCATAAAGGATGGGAAAGATTTGTACGAGCAGGAATGAAAGGGATTTATTTATTTATTTATTTATTTATTTATTTATTTATTTATTTTTTGAGAGGGAGTCTAGCACTGTCGCCCAGGCTGGAGGGCAGTGGCGCGATCTCCGCTCACTGCAAGCTCCGCCTCCCGGGTTCACGCCACGCCATTCTCCTGGCTCAGCTTCCCGAGTAGCTGGGACTATAGGCGCTCGCCACCACGCCTGGCTAATTTTTTTGTATTTTAAGTAGAGACGGGGTTTCACCGTGTTAGCCAGGATGGTCTCGATCTCCAGACCTCGTGATCCGCCCGCCCGCTTCGGCCTCCCAGAGTGCTGGGATTACAGGCGTGAGCCACCGCGCCCGGATGGGGATTTATTTTTTAAGGCAAAGTAAGATAAAGTAAAAACTATGAGGCAGGGAATGGGACCTGTTTGAAAACTGACAAATAGTTAGATTGGCTGGGGCAAAGGGTAGGTATACTTCCAATTTTTTTTTCTTGGGTGTATATTTTAAGTATATTCTAAGCCTGGCATCCTAAATTGGGATCATGCTGAAGAGTCAAGATATATCTCATTGATAATTATATATATTAATTTAATGCTGAAATGAGAATTTGGGGGTATATTAGGGTATACAAAGGATAATATTAAAATTAATGTGTTTCTTTTTATTTTCTTAATGTGGCTACTTAATTTTTTTTTTTTTGACTCAGGGTCTCACTCTGTCACCCAGGCTGGAGTGCAGTGGCACTGTCTTGGCTCACTGCAACGTCTGCCTCCTGGGTTCAAGTGATTCTCATGCCTCAGCTTCCCAAGTAGCTGGGGTTACAGGCACGTAGCACACACCTGGCTAAATTTTTGTATCTTTCATAGAGACGGGCTTTTGCAATGTTGGCCAGGCTGGTATTGAACTTCTGACCTCAAGTGATCTGCCCGCCTCAGCCTCCCAAAATGCTGGGATTACAACAGGTGTGAGACCCCATGCCCAGAAGAAAAATTTTAAGTGACATATGTGGTTCACATTATATTTATATTGGACAGTACTGGTCTAGGCTTTATTCAATAATTATTGAAGGTATTTGAGTAGGAAATTGATACGATTCAAATTTTGATTTAGGATAATTCATCTAGCACTGATGTGGAATTGATTCATTTTTGAAGAAGGGAGAGGGAGGAGGAGAGAAGACCCTTCTGAAAGTGGTAAGGGCCTGGGAGCTGGGATTAGGCCCTTCAGGGCCAACAGGAGTGACGGATGGATGGTTTAAACCCACTATAGACAGGAAAATCAACATTTCTCAAATTCTTTCTTTCTTCACCCTGAGGACTTATTTTCTACAGTGTTTTCAAATTCAAAGTGAACTCTGCCTACACTAACCTAATAAAGGAAGATAAAAAAGTTGCTTTAACAAAAGTTGTTCTTTATGAGGAATATTACAGATGCAAGCAAAGTTTTAGAGCAGTTACTAGCTCTTTTGTTTCTGTTTTTGTTTTTCTTTTTGTTTTTTTGAGATGGAGTCTTGCTGTGTCGCCCAGGCTGGATTGCAATGGCGCAATCTCAGCTCACTGCAAGCTCCGCCTCCCAGGTTCACGCCATTCTCCTGCCTCAGCCTCCTGAATAGCTGGGACTACAGGCACCCGCCACCACGCCCAGCTAATTTTTTTGTATTTTTAGTAGAGACGGGGTTTCACCGTGTTAGCCAGGATGGTCTCAATCTCCTGACCTTGTGATCCACCCGCCTCGGCCTCCCAAAGTGCTGGGATTACAGGCATGAGCCACTGCGCCTGGTCTTGTTTTTGTTTTTTTTTTGGATGGAGTTTTTGCTCTTGTTGCCCAGGGTGGAGTGCAGTGGTGCAATCTCGGCTCACTGCAACCTCTGCTTCCCAGGTTCAAGTGACTCTCCTGCCTCAGCCTCCTGAGTAGCTTGGATTACAGGCACGCACCACCACTCCCAGCTAATTTTTTAGTATTTTTAGTAGAGACAGGGTTTCACCATGTTGGCCAGGCTGGTCTCGAACTCCTGACCTCAGATGATCCACCCGCCTTGGCCTCCCAAAGTGCTGGGATTACAGGTGTGAGCCACCGCGCCTGGTCCAGTTACTAGCTTTTTAGTGTGTCTTGAAATGCCACTTACATTGTTTTATGAAAGAGACAGTTTTCCCTGTCTTTACCTCAATGCGTTTAAAGCCTTGTGTTCCCTGACTTTAGATTTTATGTTTGTTTTCCACTTGGTTATCATACTAGCAAGCACCCATCCCACAAAGCTGCATGAAACTAGGATTGAGATTTACATTCTGCAGATTTAGATTCCAGGATTGAGATTCACATTACAACTCTTCTCTAGCGGCCAGGGTGAAGGACTATCTAAGCTTGGACATTCCTGTTGCTTTGGGGGCCAGCCCAGTGCAGAACTGGTTTTTGAGCATCAGGTTCCTCCTAGGTCCCACTTGCTCAAGGAATACTTGTCTCAATATGCTCAACACACTTTTTTTTTTCTTTTTTGAGGCAGGGTCTCACTCTGTTGCCCAGACTGCATAGCTCACTGCAGCTTCTACCTCCTGGGCTCAAGTGATCCTCCCACCTCAGCCTCCCAAGTAGCTGGGTCTATAGGCACCTGCCATTACCACGTCCAGCTAATTTTTTTTTTTTTTTTTTTTTTTGTAGAGAAGGGGTCTCACTGTGTTGCCCAGGCTGGTCTCAAACACCTAGGTTCAAGTGATCCTTCCACCTCAACCTCCCAAAATGCTGGGATTATAGATGTGAGCCACTGTGCCCAGGTCAACACATTTGTAGATTCTCAAGACTCGGCTGAATTCCAATTGTAACCTTTAAAAATATATATGGCCAGGGCCGGGCGAGCTGGCTCACACCTGTAATCCCAGCACTTTTTTTTTTTTGGAGATGGGGTTTCCCTCTTGTCACCCAGGCTAGAGTGCAATTGCCCACGGCAACCTCCGCCTCCTGGGTTCAAACGATTCTCCTGCCTCAGCCTCCCCAGTAGCTGGGATTACAGGCTCCCGCCTCCACGCCCAGCTAATTTTTGTATTTTTAATAGAGACAGGGTTTCACCACATTGGCCAGGCTGGTCTCGAACTCGTGACCTCAGGTGATCTGCCCGCCTCAGTCTCCCAAAGTGCTGGGATTACAGGCATGAGCCACTGCGCCCAGCCAATCCCAGAACTTTGGAAGGCTGAGGTGGGGGGATCACGAGATCAAGAGATCGCCGGGCGCGGTGGCTCACGCCTGTAATCCCAGCACTTTGGGATGCCAAGGCGGGATGATCACGAGGTCAGGAGATGGAGACCACGGTGAAACCCCGTCTCTACTAAAAATACAAAAAATTAGCCGGGCACGGTGGCAAGCGCCTGTAGTCGCAGCTACTCGGGAGGCTAAGGCAAGAGAATGGCGTGAACCCGGGAGGTGGAGCTTGCAGTAAGCCGAGATCGCGCCACTGCACTCCAGCCTGGGCAACAGAGCAAGACTCTGTCTAAAAAAAAAAAAAAAAAAGAGAGATCAAGAGATCAAGACCACCCTGGTGTACGACTGGGCTAGGCGGCCAGGCTTGGCTGTATGCAATTTGCCTGCATGCAACGCTCGATATGCAACTTAAAATATTTTCCTGATAAACACAACTTTGTTGTTTTGGTGGGGCTACATATCCCTTTAATTTGTAAATTTAAAATATACAATATGTTTCAAAGACTTAGTACAAAAAAGTAAACTATTAATTTTTATATTGAATGCATGCTGAAATGACAATGTTTTGGATATATTGGGTTAAATAAAATAATTATGAAAAAAATTTATCTTGTTTCTTTTAAAATTTTTAGTGTGGCTACTAGAAACCATAATGTGACATGCTCATATTATATTTCTATTGGACAGCACTGCCCTTTGGGATATCCTTTTTCCTTTAGATACTAAATTCAGTTGCTGTGGTGACTAAAGGGGCCTCTGGCTCAGCATTTCCTGGAAGGCAATGGTGAGATGGGGGAGGGGAGTTGTCATCAAATCAGATTTTAACAATATCCTCGTTAAAGCAAAGGAAGCAACAGTAATCTAGTTTTCTCGGGTCCAGCAGTATCAATTTGAATTCTAGGCCCTCAACCAAAACCCTAAAGGAAGATACACTTTCTCCAATTCACCACTGGGAAAAAGTTTATCTCTTTACCAAGCGTCCTTCACCCACCCTGCCACCTCCAGTACTGAAAGGGTTGCAAGCTACAAATGAATGGGCATTAGGAATTTGATAGTTGATATTCCTCCTCCAAAAAAGCCTAGATACTATCTCTCACTTACCCAGCTGTTTAAACACAAACCAAGTTGTTTTGCTTTGTTTACTCTCAACCTGGAACCACTCTTCTCTCTCCCCGATTATCCCTCCCTCAGTTCTCATTCCTATTTTCTTCTCCTGCTTAGCTTGTTCAGTTTTCTTGTATAGCTTAGTAATCAGATACTTATGTAACACTTTTCTTTCAAGAAACTCACAGTCCATAACTAATAGGATATTAATAATCTTTTCCAGTTATGTGAGAATTACTTGCCCTAGTCCCTTTTTATACTTTATAAAAAGGGAAGAAGGGAAACACTATAAATGACTTGTGGGTCAGAACTCTTTTGTCCTATTATTCTTTTTTTTTTTTTTTTTTGAGACGGATTCTTGCTCTGTCGCCCAGGCTGGAGTGCAGTGGCGCTGTCTTGGCTCACTGCAAGCTCCGCCTGCCGCGTTCACGCCATTCTCCTGTCTCAGCCTCCCGAGTAGCTGGGACTGCAGGCGCCCGCCACCATGCCCGGCTAATTTTTTTTTTTTTTTTTTTTTTTTTTGTATTTTTAGTAGAGAATGGTTTCACCGTGTTAGCCAGGATGGTCTTGATCTCCTGACCTCGTGATCCGCCCACCTCGGCCTCCCAAAGTGCTGGGATTACAGGCGTGAGCCACCGCGCCCGGCCTTTTTTTCTATTATTCACTGAAGAATCACCAGCTTCTTGGAGAGTACCTGATACATAGCGTGTATTCGGCAAATACCTGCTTAATTGAATTCGGTATTTATTGCATTTCTAGATGCTATAAGCTTGAGACTAGCAGAAAGTGATGCAGAATTCAGAATGGGTGATATGGCAAATGCCTTATTAAATATAGGGCTCGGCGCGGTGGCTCACACTTGTAATCCCAGCACTTTGGGAGGCCAAGGCGGGCAGATCACAAGGTCAGGAGTTTGAGACCAGCCTGGCCAATATGGTGAAACCCCGTCTTTACTAAAAATACAAAAATTAGCGGGGCGTGGTGGCGGGCGCCTATAGTCCCAGCTACTCGGGAGGCTGAGGCAGGAGAATTGCTTGAACCCGGGAGGCGGAGGTTGCAGTGAGCCGAGATCGCACCACTGCACTCCAGCCTGGGCGACAGAGAGAGACTCCATATCAAAAAAAAAAAAAAAAAAAAAAAAAGGATATGGATTGTATTCCATAAACAGTTGAACCTCTTATTCCTACTGCCCTGATAGTTGGTCTGGCTCCTAGAAATTCAGATTTTCTTCCCTCCAGGTGAGATTATGCGAAGAAAGGAACACTGGCAAAATTATTTCCCTGATTTTCTTCTCTCAGGCTGTCTTTCCCTCCCCTTTAAGATTGTGTACTCCGTCTCAAAAAAAAAAGAAAAAAAAAAGATTGTAGACCCAGCCTATAAATTCATAGGATCAAGAATTCTTACTAACACTCTTTCTAACAACCTTAAATCTCTGATAGTAGCACCCACTTGACTTCGTTTTGTATGGATAGATTTATTCTAATCTCTCTGTAGATTGTTTTAATCCCAAGCAGATGCGAGAGCATAAAATAGTGTATTTGCCCTCCCTCCAGGCTTTTCTGGTAGTATTTTGTCTGTGAAACTAAGAGGCTCTAGCTGCTATTAGAAGAGGGAAGGAGTAAGGATGAGCTTTTGAAAAAAAAAAAAAAAAAAAAACCCAGGGTGGAGAGAGTGGAAGGATGTGGTTTTAAGAGAGGGGGGAGGGAGGGCGTTATTGTCTGTGGGGCGGGGGCGGGGGTAGTTCTGATAACACAGAATTCCGAGAGATCACAAGATTGCTTCAGGGGGGTGGGGTGGGGTGGGGTGGGGCTGGGGGCTTGTCGCCCTTTCAGGCTCCACCCTTTGCGGAGATTATAAATAGTCATGATCCCAGCGAGACCCAGAGATGCTGTAATGGTAAGACTTTGGATCCTTCCTGAGGACGTGGAGAAAACTTGCTGCTGAGAAGGACATTTTGAAGGTTTTGTTGGCTGAAAAAGCTGTTTCTGGAATCACCCCTAGATCTTTCTTGAAGACTTGAATTAGATTACAGCGATGGGGACACAGAAGGTAAGAATGATATAATTACTGGTTATTTTTGCTTGTTTGGGATACACTCAGAAAGGCAAATATTAATGGTAATCTCCTTGTTCTATTTTCTCCTAAGTCACCAAGCTATCTTAAGGCCTTTTCATTTCGTCTCTAGCCTGCACTGCTGCCGCTTCATCAGTTCTCTTTGAATGTCATACAGTTCTGTTCACCTTATCATAGGAAAGTCACCCGGAGAAGTTGTGTTTGCTTCTCAGGTTTATTTTAGGTAACCATATGCCACTGAGGACGAGATGGTTGAGTGTTTAGAGGATCGGGCTGCTTGGTTGTATGGATTACAAGTGTGGGTCTCAGAGCCAGTGTGAAGACTTCTCTGGAAGCATTAGACCTTGAAAAGGTCTGTGTTTGGAGGCACAGGCCAGGGTCTGGCCATCTGTTTGTCCTATAACATATGGGGTTCGTGGATGCTAAGGAGAAAGAATTCCAGTTGTCCTTCCTATTAGGGTTAAAATCGTGAGTGCAGGACATACTAAAATATTGAGTGTTGTATATGCATTATTTGCAGGGAGAAAGGCTTTTCTTTTTTTTCTGATTGAGTTTTACTCTTGTTGCCCAGGCTGGAGTGCAATGGAGCGACCGCAGCTCACCACAGCCTCCGCCTCCCGGGTTCAAGCGATTCTCCTGCCTCAGCCTCCTGAGTAGCTGAGATTACAGGCATGAACCACCGGGCCCGGCTAATTTTGTATTTTTAGTAGAGACGGGGTTTCTCTATGTTGGTCAGGCTGGTCTCGACTCCCGACCTCAGGCGATCCGCCGGCCTCGGCCTCCCAAGGTGCTGAGATTACAGGCATGAGCCACTGCGCGCAGCAAGAAAGGCATTTTTTACCAAGATAAATTTAACTAAAAATAAGGGGCCAGGTGTGGTGGGTCACACCTATAACCCCAGCATTTGGGAAACCAAGGCAGGAGGATCACATGAGGCCTGGAGTTTGAGACTAGCCTTGGGCAATATAGTGAGATCCCATCTCTACAAAGCAGAAAGAAAGAAAATGTAGGAAAATAAGAAAGGGATGGAAAATTATGAGACTAAAGAAGAAAAGGCTCTCAAAGATAGTGAATGATGAGAGGAGACAGAAGAGATTTTTACTAAACGGAAAAAGATTTAACAGAGCATTGCACTGGCAGGGCCCTCCGGGGTACCGATGCTTAGCTGGGACTGAGACATCTGGGAGGCTGCAGGCAAGGTCACTTCTCCTGCTGAAGCTCCCAGCCTGCTGCCTAATCTGCCCGACCTGAAAGGAAAGGAGTTTAAGATATGAAAGGTTGAAGGGATTTTGGGTGGTGGGGTGGGGGGGAATGGCGTAGAAGTTGGCCTCAGGTATAAAAATTGAGCTGCCCCAAGGTAGAAATGGAAAATGTCTCGCCCGGCTGAATTATTCCAGGCAAGGTGAAGATGACCGGTTCTCCCCACTAAGAAATGTCTCTTATATGTTGGGTTCGCCCTTATATGTTGGGTTCAGAGTAAGTACTTTCTTCCCCTGCGCGGGAGTTAGGGATAGCAGAACTGTATTTAATAAACGAAGACTGAAATGGGGCCAGGATGCAGTGAGTAGATCCAGTAGGTTACATGGTCCTGAGAGATAAGAGACTCAAAGAGCCACCCAGCAGTGAAGACACAAACTACCACCCCCTCCACCACCACCAGTGGGCTTCCGTGGAGTCTGGGGTACAGATCAGACTGCACTGTATTTGTTTCCAGAATGGTCAATTCTTAGTAATCCTACCCGAGACTGTCTTTTTCTCTGCCCTCCCAGTTCGTGAGTGGAATTCTATGCCTACATTTGCCTGATGCAAGTTTTTAAATATTTCCAAACTGACCAACCCAGTTTCTCTTAACTTCTTCCTTCCCCAATTTTCTTTCATTTTTACCAAGTTAACTTCACATTCTTATCTCCAGATAAGTTCTTTAGTATAATCTATTCCTTTGTCTTCCCCATTAATTACCTAAATCTCATTGGATGTTCTTTTCATACCACTCATAACTCAAATTCTCCTAATACAGCTCCATAATTAATAAGAAACAGTCATCAATCACAAGTTTTAAGGACTATTCTCTCCTCTGTCTTCCCTCCCTCCAGGTCACCCCAGCTCTGATATTTGCCATCACAGTTGCTACAATCGGCTCTTTCCAATTTGGCTACAACACTGGGGTCATCAATGCTCCTGAGAAGGTGAGTGCCAGGCCACAATAATTAGAATTTAGAATAGGGAAGTTATTCCTTTAAGTAGGGTTTCAGGAATTCAGAATTTAAGGCCAGGCATGGTGGCATCTGCCTGGAGTCCCAGCTACTCCTGAGGCTGAGGCTTAAAGATCACTTGAGTCCAGGAGTTAAACACCATCCTGAGCAACACAGTTAGTGAGGGTCCCTCCCCAAACTAGGGGATTTTAAGACAAACTTTGTATCTATCCTGTCCAAGACTGAAGATGGAGACAATATTGGTGGGGAAAATTAGTGGGGTCATCTAATCGAAGCACAAAGCTCACTTACTCCCGGAACGCTGGGCGGTGCTGTTCTTCCTCCCACTCTTTCACCTCATAGTGATGCACATCCTGTATTATCCCTTAGGGGTTAGTTACAAAGAAGCTGGGTTCCCTTAGCAGAGGGCTGGGGTAGACTGTGAACATCGGTGCTGCCACCTACTGGGATTTTCAGGACAAATAGAATTACTATTCCAGCGAGAGTTAACATAAATTCCAATACGTTATCTGCCCCTTCCATTCCTGTCTATTTATTCCCTTGATTCTCTAGGAAGGAAATGATCCCTAATGTTTGTCTTTTGTTCTCATCCAACTGTAACAGTCTGTTCTTCCACCAACCCTTTTATTTTGCAGATCATAAAGGAATTTATCAATAAAACTTTGACGGACAAGGGAAATGCCCCACCCTCTGAGGTGCTGCTCACGTCTCTCTGGTCCTTGTCTGTGGCCATATTTTCCGTCGGGGGTATGATCGGCTCCTTTTCCGTCGGACTCTTCGTCAACCGCTTTGGCAGGTATTGACTAGAAACTGGGCAAGGAAGTGGGCTCTACCAGCCACATTGAGGACAAGTGTGGAGAGTTAGGGCAGGGAGGTGATGATGCCTTTGAATAAGAACACCTTGAATTCTAATCAAGGGAAACCTAGTCCAACTGGCCCCGAATATGACTGCCCTTGCTTGGAGCTCTACTACCCTGGAGAGCTCCCACCCAGCTGTGCAAGAGATGAACTGTGAGTGATTGGCCTTTGCAGTCCAGCTAGGGATAGTTCAGAATTATTCCCTAGTAAACTCAACTATGGGGTTTCTAGAAACATACTTAATTTACAAGGTCCGAAGTTGTTTACTTGTATTATAAATGTTTTTATTATTTTACCCAGGATTGGTAGGAATTATTTTTGTCTATGGCAAATGTGGATAATGACAAAAAAAAAGTCTTATTCTATAGAAGCTTAACAATATGTTTTAGAAGGTAGAATATATTTTCATTTATGACTAATGAAGGAACTGTTTTAATTTGCCAATTAGGCACGGTGTGGTGGCTCACCCCTGTAATCCTAGCACTTTGGGAAACCGAGGCAAGTGGATCAGCTGAGGTCAGGAGTTCGAGACCAGCCTGGCCAACATGGCAAAACCCTGTCTCTACCAAAAATACAAAAATTAGCCGGGCGTAGTGACAGGCACCTATAATTCCAGCTACTCCGGAGGCTGAGGCAGGAAAATCACTTGAACCTGCAGTGGGGGTGCAGAGGGTGCAGTAAGCTGAGATCTGGCCACTTCACACCAGCCTGGGCGAAAGAGCAAAACCCCGTCTCAAAAAAAAAAAAGCCGGTGCCGTGGCTCACGCCTGTAATCCCAGCACTTTGGGAGGCTGAGGCGGGCAGATAACAAGGTCAGGAGATCGAGACCATCCTGGCTAACACGGTGAAACCCTGTCCCTACTAAAAATACAAAAAATTAGCCGGGCGTGGTGGCATGCGCCTGCAATCCCAGCTGCTTGGAAGCTGAGGCAGGAGAATCTCTTGAGCCTGGGAGGCGCAGGTTGCAGTGAGCCGAGATCCTGCCACTGCACTCCAGCCTGGGTGACAGACCAAGACTCCGTCTCCAAAAAAAAAAAAAAAAAATGCCAATTAGATATTCTAGAAATGCAATTGGAATTCACATTTAAAAATCGGTAAAGCAACCTGTTTTACTTGATTATGTTGTTCTTTTGTTTTTTTACCCCCCAAGAAAGAGGGTCTTGCTCTGTCACCCGGGCTGGAGTGTAATGGCCCAATCATAGCTCACTACAGCTTCGACCTCCGACCTCAGCTCCCTGAGTGCCTGGGACTACAGGCGGGCACCATCACACCTGGTTCCCAACTAGAAATGTTCTGATAATAGAAAGTGAAAAACAAAAGTTAGATTAAAAAAAAAAGGGATGATATGAGCCTGGAGAAGAACAGAATAATGAGGACAGAGGAGAAGTTAGGAGCCTCTCACTTTGCTAATTCTACTTTGTCTTTGATTAACCTTACAGGCGCAATTCAATGCTGATTGTCAACCTGTTGGCTGTCACTGGTGGCTGCTTTATGGGACTGTGTAAAGTAGCTAAGTCGGTTGAAATGCTGATCCTGGGTCGCTTGGTTATTGGCCTCTTCTGCGGACTCTGCACAGGTTTTGTGCCCATGTACATTGGAGAGATCTCGCCTACTGCCCTGCGGGGTGCCTTTGGCACTCTCAACCAGCTGGGCATCGTTGTTGGAATTCTGGTGGCCCAGGTACTCTAGAACTTCTCATACTTAATGAGTGTTAGTTTCATGGGTCATTAAAAAAGTTAACATAGGTAAAGCACTGAAGAATATCTGGCACATGTTCAATTACATATGGAAGTTTTAGATAATAGATAGTAGCTGAAGAAGCAGGCTGAGGCCGGGCGCTGTGGCTCACGCCTGTAATCCCAGCACTTTGGGAGGCCGAGGTGGGCAGATCACGAGGTCAGCAGATGAAGACCAGCCTGGCTAACATGGTGAAACCCCATCTCTACTAAAAACACAAAAAATTGGTCGGGCGTGGTAGCGGGCACCTGTAGTCCCAGCTACTCCGGAGGCTGAGGCGGGAGAATGGCGTGAACCCGGTAGGCAGAGTTTGCAGTGAGCCGAGATTGTGCCACTGATCTCCAGCCTGGGTGACAGAGCAAGACTCCGTCTCAAAAAAAAAAAAAAAAAAAAAACCATGCTGAGTAGAGAAAGGAAAAGAAACACAATTTGTTTATTTTTTCACATGGTAAAAGAATGTATGATTTTCTGAACTTTTTGTGTTTTAATGAACTTGTGGCCTGTGAAGTATGGGGTTTATAGCATTATCTTTGTGTGGTTTCTAGATCTTTGGTCTGGAATTCATCCTTGGGTCTGAAGAGCTATGGCCGCTGCTACTGGGTTTTACCATCCTTCCTGCTATCCTACAAAGTGCAGCCCTTCCATTTTGCCCTGAAAGTCCCAGATTTTTGCTCATTAACAGAAAAGAAGAGGAGAATGCTAAGCAGAGTGAGTATCCTTCACACCTTACTACATGAATTATATGGTTGTGGTTTGTTTTAGGGATGATTGTACTGGACCTACTTTCTGTTACACTCTTTCCCTGCCTCTCAGAATCCAAGTGAGGAGGGTTCTGATTACTCCTGAGTAAAATTTTCAGCCCCTAAAGAATGAGGTGAAAAGGCGGGTTTAGGAATGGATGCTATCAGGCAGGGTGTGATGGCTCATGCCTGTAATCCAGCATTATAAGAGGCCGAGGCGGGTCACCTGAGGTCAGGAGTTCAAGACCTGCCTGAAACAACATGGAGAAACCCTGTCTCTACTAAAAATACAAAATTAGCCGGGCATGGGGGCGCATGCCTGTAATCCCAGCTACTTGGGAGGCTGAGGCAGGAGAATCGTGTGAACCCGGGAAGTGGAGGTTGCAGGGAGCTGAGATCATGCCATTGCACTCCAGCCTGGGCAACAAAAGTGAAACTCTGTCTCAAAAAAAAAAAAAGGAATGGATGCTACCCATCACCTCACCTCGTGCGGCCCTTTCCTGGCTGCCTTACAGGAAGAATGAATTTGGGGCAGCACATTCTCTTTTATCCTTTCCTCTTTCTTCTTTTCACCAGTCCTCCAGCGGTTGTGGGGCACCCAGGATGTATCCCAAGACATCCAGGAGATGAAAGATGAGAGTGCAAGGATGTCACAAGAAAAGCAAGTCACCGTGCTAGAGCTCTTTAGAGTGTCCAGCTACCGACAGCCCATCATCATTTCCATTGTGCTCCAGCTCTCTCAGCAGCTCTCTGGGATCAATGCTGTGAGTGTGATACTTTAGGGTCAAACGTGTCTTAAAGTATTTCACTTAAAATGCCGGGCATGGTGGCGGTGTGCCTCTGTAGTCCCAGCTACTCAGGAGGCTGAGGTAAGAGGATCACTTGAGCTCAGGAGTTTCAGGTTGCAGTGAGCTATAATTATGCCACTGCATTCCAGCCTGGGAGACAGAGTGAGACTGTGTCTCTGAAATTTAAAAAAAGGAAAAAAAAAAAAGACCCTGGAAGGACACTGGCAACTTCAGAGTGAACTGACTTTACCAGTCTGTTTTTACAACTAGTATAGCGAGCATGGTAGTTTAAAGAGGGCATGATAGATGATAGTTTAAAGAGGGCGGCACAACGGAAGCTAGCATTTGGCAGGTAGCCCTTGTATTCCATGCAAATATCAGCTTCCTGCATTTGACTGTGGATTGTAGGAAGAGAGTATTCCTGTGCCTTCTAGTCAATATGGATATTAAGAGCACCCTTGTCCCACCTTTTTAAATACTGATTCATCCCCTAAGGGTTTTCAGATAGTCTTTGATCAATGGGATTAAATTATTTTGTAACAAAGCATTTTGCAAAACTTACTATTTTGAGCATTTTGATGCTCAAAATAGTAAGTTGGTTCTTGGAACTTTTCTCCTACCTAGCACACCAGGATATTTGTATTTGAAGTGGCAGTGCTTCTTATGAGGGGTTAGAGGCTGTTATGTCAGAATCTATGAGGAGCCAAGTGTGGTGGCTGCTCATGCCTGTAGTCCCAGCTACTACTCGGGAGGCTGAGGTGGGAATATCACTTAGGCCCAGGAGTCAAGCCTGGGAAATATAGTATGACCCTGTCTTTAAAAAAAAAACTTGGGAGGAAATACACAGTAGTTAGAAAAAGCCTCCTAGGTGATTTTGATGAATCCCAGTCTCAAATTTCTTCATTTGGAAATGATAATGTAGGCCACACGTATTACTGGAGAAAAATGTGCTCCCGAGACTTTCCAGAGCAGCAGAGCTGGGACTAGGCAGGTGAGGCAGCTACGTGCAAGTGTAGCCCTGAGAATGAGCACCTCTTTAAAGAATGTACCTTGCGTTAGTTCTGTGCCTGTTTAAAAAAAGAAAAAAGAAAGAATGAAAGAATGCACCTGAGGCAACTCCCTAGCTGCCTCACCACAGTCCAGGCCCTGCAAAACAGGATCAGTAAAAGATCACCTGTGAGAAATGACAAGTGATCCGTGAGCAGTCTGAGGGACAGACTCCTGCCATTTCAGAGTATGGTGTGTACATTCTTTTTTTTTTTGAAACAGAGTCTCACTCGATCGCCCAGGCTGGAGTACAGTGGCACGATCTCGGCTCACTGCAACCTCCACCTCCTGGGTTCAAGCGATTCTCCTGCCTCAGCCTCCCGAGTAGCTGGGACTACAGGCGTGTGCCACCATGCCTGGCTAATTTTTGTATTTTTAGTAGAGAACAGGTTTCACCATGTTGGCCAGGATGGTCTCGATCTCTTGACCTCATGATCCGCCTGCCACGGCCTTCCTAAATGCTGGGATTATAGGCGTGAGCCACTGCGCCTGGCCCATCCTTTTTTTGAGGTGAAGTCTTGTTCTGTCACCCAGGCTGGAGTGCTGTGGCGCAATCTCAGCTCACCACAACCTCCATCTCCTGGGTTCAAATGATTCTCCTGCCTCAGACTCCCGAGATTACAGGTGGGATTACAGCCCAGATTACAGGTGCCCACCACCATACCTTGCTTATTTTTTCGTATTTTTAGTAGAGAATAGAGGGATATCACCATGTTGGCCAGGCTGGTCTCAAACTCCTGACCTCAGGTGATCCACCCACCTCAGCTCTCTCTCCTAAAGTGCCGGCCTTACAGGTGTGACCCACCTCGCCCGGCATGTACATTAATTATTGTTGGACTAAGCTGGCTCCCAATTTAGTCAATGAGTAGATTTTGCGCTAGGTATAATCTCACCCAAAGCTGGCTGCATCAGAATTATGGGGGTTGGGATTCCTGAGTCAGCTGAATTTGAGAATCTCTGTGTAAGAGACCTGAAAGTTGTCTGTAAAAAAATAAATCTGATGCACAGCAGGCTTGGAAATCACTTTTCCAACCTACTTTGCACAAATGATGATTTCTAATTTCCCTTATGGGCAGATGGGTAAGAGGTTGCATTGTATCATGTTTACCTAGCAGAGTAAACTATTTAGGTGAGATGATGTAGGGGTTACCTTGCTTGGTGACACTAGATAGCAAAGTCATTTTACTATGAGAAATTTTATTGAGATGAGTACATGTACATTAGGTTTTTGACGTGTAGACATTATGTTAAGGAAAAGAATTGGCATACCTATTTATTGCTTGTTTAAACTGCTCAAGTAATTACTTTTGCACTAGCCTAATATATTTCCCCACAAGCTTGACGCCATCATATAATATGTTGAGATTTCTTAACAGTGTTAATTAGCCCTAGAGCAGCAGGTTTTTCAATAATGACTCTACAAATCTCAGTTTCAAAACACAATTATCTTATTTTAGAAAATATGAATATACATAGTTTACATCTTACGTACTAGGGATTTAAAGAGTTGTTTCGTGAGAAGGTAAATCCCAATGTAGAGGTCCATATTCATAAAAAAGACTAATAAATATTGCTATGGAGGCAAATACTCTGGGTGAAATAAACTGAAGTGAACCTCGGTAACCTAGATAATGTTCCCTTGTTAACTTGAGGTCTGAGTCCAGTATTTTAATATCTCTTAACTATGGTAGTTATAGCAACTTTAGATTTTAGCACAGTGCCTAGCAAACAACATAATAATTTATTTAATATATATTAAATTGCATTAGTAGCTGGTATTATTTCATAAAACACTTCAAAAGGGCCTAGGCCTAGGAAATACAGCCCAACCTCTGCTTATTCAATGAGCAGGATAAGGTTATTCAATTAGTTCACTATCAAATTGAGACATCGATGTCCCTATCAATGTTTTGAGAGTTTGGGGAAGAGCCAATTAAAAAAGCATTTAGCTGGGCCTGATGGCACATGCCTATAATCCCAGCAACTTGGGAGGCTGAGAGGCAGGAGGATCACTTGAGACCAAGAGTTTAGGACCAGCCTGGGCAACAGTGAGTTGCTGTCTCAACTTATAAAAAAGAAACCAGTTAGTAGGAATTACACCTTTATGTAAGTTAGTGAAGTGGACATAAGCAAGAGGAAATGGAACAGTGGGAATAAGCATTTTTAGAAGAAACAATGTAAATGAGTAGCTAGAATTAAGAACATTTAGAGAGAGAAAGGAGGGCCAGGTGCGGTGGCTCATGCCTGTAATCCTAGCACTTTGGGAGGCCAAGGCGAGCAGGTCACTTGAGGTCAGGAGTACGAGACCAGCCTGGCCAACAAGGTGAAAACCCATCTCTACTTAAACTACAAAAATTAGCTGCGTGTGGTTGCAGGCACCTGTAGTCCAGCTACTCAGGAGGCTGAGGCAGGAGAATCGCTTGAATCTGGGAGGTGGAGGTAGCAGTGAGCTGAGATTGTGCCACTGCACTCCTGCCTGGGTGACAGATCCAGACTAGGAGATAAGATACAGAAGATAATTCATTTGCAGAAGGGATATTAGTATTGAACGAAAACCTAGAAAAAGGACTTCTTACCCACTGGGACTTTTAAGTTTATTTTTGAGGGTTCTGTGTAACTGGTGTGCAGAATTGCATCAAAGCTGCATGTTTTCTTTTCTCCTAGGTGTTCTATTACTCAACAGGAATCTTCAAGGATGCAGGTGTTCAAGAGCCCATCTATGCCACCATCGGCGCGGGTGTGGTTAATACTATCTTCACTGTAGTTTCTGTAAGTTGGATGGTTTGGTAATTTTGAGGGGAGAAAAGAATCCTTGCTACAGATGTTCAAAGATGGATTGCATGACCCTACCATCATTTAGTTACCTTTTTGTTGCTTAATTTTCCTTTGGGAAAAAGAGATAAATTTAATGTTGGATGTAGTCTTCACTCTTCAAGCAAATATGGGATGGATGGGAAAGGAGGGAGTATAGAAGGGACTATATAGTATGCTTTGAACTTGGAATTGGAGGAAAGGTGCTTGGAAAAACTCTCAAGCTCTGTTACTCCACTGTTTTTACACTAAAACAACAATAATCAACAGAAGTTATCTGTGATCCCCAGAATATGTGAGAATTTTTCCCCGTGAGGTGTGCAATCAGTTCCGTAGTGGACACCATCTAGGTGTCCTGCGATTTTTTAATTATGACACTGTCTACCTGGAGATAGCATCAGATCTCACAGGTTGGTGGCCCAGTTCCCAAGACTGCCCCCCACTCCTGATGCCAGTCACAAGCTCCAGGTTGTTTTACCTGTGCTTCTGACTCACCAGCTGTAGATCAGGATTCCCACGACATCCTCTTTGGGTTTGATTAATTTGCTACAGTGGCTCACAAAACTCAGGAAAATTGTTTCCTAGTTTGATTTAAAGGATATTTTAAAGCACAGAAATACACAACCAGATGAAGAGATTCACGGGGCGAGGTCTGGAGGGATCCTGAGCATGGGAGCTTCTGTCTCTGTGGGGTTGGGGTGCACTCCTAGCACATAGATGAGTTGTTGCTGACCTTCCTGTCAGCTTCCACGGGTTCAGATATCTGGAAGCTCCCCATACCCTGCCTTTTGGGCCTTTTATGCAGACTTAATTGGTTCTCCATGATTGAAGCATGGACAACTGTTCTGACCTGTGATTGGACAAAAAGGGAATGATCTGAACCCAGCTGGGCCTGTCTGCTTAGATGATTTGTTGGCCTCTCTGTAGCGTTTCTTCCTCTAGGGTGTGGGGCAGGACCCTCTCTGAAATGAGGGTTTTATGACCCACAGTCAGATTAGCGTCCTGCCAAGTGGGAGGGCAGGAGAAAGTCAGAGAAGAATTCTGTTATCTGAGGCCTGCTCCTGAGGCCTGAAGCATCCCAACATTATGACAAAAGACTCTACCAAGGGCTATGGGGATTTTGAGCCAGGACCTGTGAATGGCACACAATATGTATGTATATAAAATCATAAATCACAGGAGGGGTATCCATAACAAGTGTCCTGCTGTTGGTAAGGCAGATTTCAAGTAGCTCAGATGCTGTTTTCATGGAAAGGAAAACTGAAGTTTCATGTCATATTCTTCTTCCAGCTATTTCTGGTGGAAAGGGCAGGAAGAAGGACTCTGCATATGATAGGCCTTGGAGGGATGGCTTTTTGTTCCACGCTCATGACTGTTTCTTTGTTATTAAAGGTAGGTGCTCTTTGGGTGAAAAAAAAGGGAGGGGGAAAGAAGAGAGGTTACAGTTGACTTCTGTGACACAAGGGGTGGGTTGTTAAGGTTGCAGTTTGTCAATAAAGTCAGAGGAGAGAAGCAGGATGCCCAGAGTTTAAGAAACATGGGTCGTCAGAGAACTGGAGGTAAACTGTTAGAATCCTTACATTTATAGAACATTATTATAGCTTATAAAATAAATTATCTAATTTAATTCTTAGAATAATATCAAGGTAATCACACTTAATAGATGATGACATGGTCTCAGTACAAAGTGACATATATGAGATCATATAGATGGGATTGAAAAATTCAATCCTCAGCTGGGCGCGGTGGCTCACGCCTGTAATCCCAGCACACTGGGAGGGTGAGGCAGGCGGATCACCTGATGTCGAGAGTTCAAGACCAGCCTGACCAACATGGAGAAACCCCGTCTCTATTAAAAATAGAAAATTAGCCAGGAGTGGTGGTGCATGCCTCTAATGTCAGCTACTTGGGAGGCTGAGGCAGGAGAATTGCTTGAACCCAGGAGGCAGAGGTTGTGGTAAGTTGAGATGGTGCCATTGCACTCCAGCCTGAGCGACAAGAGCGAAACTCTCTCTCAAAAAAAAAAAAAAAAATCCAATCCTGGCTGGGCGCAGTGGTTCATGCCTGTCATCACAACACTTTGGAAGGCCAAGGTTAGAGGATTGCTTGAGCCCAGAAGTTCAAGACCAGCCTACGCAACATGGCAAGAAACTTTCTCTACAAAAAAACAAAAAAAAATTTTTTTTTTGAGACAGGGTTTCACTCTGTCACCAGGCTGGAGAGCAGTGGCAGGATCTCAGCTCACTGCAACCTCTGCCTCCTGGGCTTAAGTGTTTCTGCTGCCTCAGCCTCCCAGGTAGCTGGGATTATAGGCACGTGCCACCACGCTCAGCTAATTTTTGTACTTCTTAGTAGAGACTGTGTTTCACCATGTTAGCCAGGCTGGTCTCCAACTCTTGACCTCAGATAATCCACCTGCCTTGGCGTGAGCCACAGCTCCTGGCCAAAAAAAAAATTTTTTTTTAATTAGGCAGGTGTGGTGGCACATGCTTCAAGTCCAAGCGATTTGAGAGGCTGAGGTGGGAGGATTGCTTATGCCCAGGAGATCGATGATGCAGTGAGCTATTGTAGTGCCACTGCCCTCCAGCATGGGCAACAGAGTAAGACCCTGTCTCAAAAAATAAAAATAAAAATAAATCCAAGCCTTTTGACTCCACAGCCACTCTTTGTATTGTACGTCAGGGACAGGAGGAGCTTGCCGTTAATTGCTTCTGGGAACCTAGATACTAGGTTACACTGTCTTTAAATTTAATTTTCTCTGTTCCTTGCTCTTACAGGATAACTATAATGGGATGAGCTTTGTCTGTATTGGGGCTATCTTGGTCTTTGTAGCCTTCTTTGAAATTGGACCAGGCCCCATTCCCTGGTTTATTGTGGCCGAACTCTTCAGCCAGGGCCCCCGCCCAGCTGCGATGGCAGTGGCCGGCTGCTCCAACTGGACCTCCAACTTCCTAGTCGGATTGCTCTTCCCCTCCGCTGCTGTAAGTAAACTCACCTTATCTTAAAACCAGCCTATGTAAGCTGACATGAAGATACTCCTTAATAATACAGTAGTCTGGGCCTGGCATGGTGGCTCATGCCTGTAATCCTAGCACTGTGGGAGGCTGAGGCGGGTGGATCACCTGAGGTCAGGAGTTCAAGACCAGCCTGGCCAACATGGTGAAATTCAAAAATTAGCTGGGCATGGTGGTGCATGCCTGTAATTCCAGCTACTTGGGAGATCGAGGAAGGAGAATCGCTTAAACCTGGGAGGTGGAGGTTGCAGCGAGCTGAGATCGCGTTACTGCACTCTAGCCTGCTCGATGGAAGCAAGACTCCATCCCTAAATAAATAAAAAAATACAGCAGTCCCTCCTCTTCTTCAGTTTCAGTTACCTGTAGTCTAAAAATATTAAATGGAAAATTGCAGAAATAAATAATTCATAAAGTTTAATTTGCGGCCAGACACAGTGGCTCAAGCCTGTAATTCCAGCACTTTGAGAGGCCTAGGCGGGTGGATAACTTGAGGTCAGGAGTTGGGGACCAACCTGACTATCATGGTGAAACCCTGTTTCTACAATAAATACAAAAATTAGGCCGGGTGTCGTGGCTCATGACTGTAATCCCAGTGAGCGAGATCACACCATTGCGGTAGCACACACCTGTAGTCCTAGCTACTCAGAAGACTGAGGCAAGAGAATCACTTAAACCCAGGAGGTGTTCATGGTGAGCTGTGATCAACCTTCTGCTCTCCAGCCTGGGTGACAGAGCGAGATTCCGTCTCAAAAAAAAAAAAATTCATAAATAGAGATGGAGTTGCCCAGGTTAGTCTCAAACTGCTGGGTTCCAGTGATCCTCCCACCTTGACCTCCCAAAGTGCTGGGATTATGGGCGTGAGCCACCGCACTCGGCCCAGAAACACAGATTTTAAAAATAATACTCAAAAGTCCAAAAATACTCAGTAGACATTTGGAAGCATCTAACTGTAATGAAATGGAATGACAGAAAGAAAACTAGAGAGAACTACAGTAAGTTAGCAATGGAATCATAAGCGAATCTGAAGAAACCTGTTTTCATTAAATATGGAAGGGTTATAGCTTGAAGCCTATTGGAAATATGAATGTGAAGGAAATTGACTTTGTCAATGACCAGATTTTTATATCAACCTTCCTTTTTTCTGTCCTTTCTCTAGCACTATTTAGGAGCCTACGTTTTTATTATCTTCACCGGCTTCCTCATTACCTTCTTGGCTTTTACCTTCTTCAAAGTCCCTGAGACCCGTGGCAGGACTTTTGAGGATATCACACGGGCCTTTGAAGGGCAGGCACACGGTGCAGATAGATCTGGAAAGGACGGCGTCATGGAGATGAACAGCATCGAGCCTGCTAAGGAGACCACCACCAATGTCTAAGTCGTGCCTCCTTCCACCTCCCTCCCGGCATGGGAAAGCCACCTCTCCCTCAACAAGGGAGAGACCTCATCAGGATGAACCCAGGACGCTTCTGAATGCTGCTACTTAATTCCTTTCTCATCCCACGCACTCCATGAGCACCCCAAGGCTGCGGTTTGTTGGATCTTCAATGGCTTTTTAAATTTTATTTCCTGGACATCCTCTTCTGCTTAGGAGAGACCGAGTGAACCTACCTTCATTTCAGGAGGGATTGGCCGCTTGGCACATGACAACTTTGCCAGCTTTTCCTCCCTTGGGTTCTGATATTGCCGCACTAGGGGATATAGGAGAGGAAAAGTAAGGTGCAGTTCCCCCAACCTCAGACTTACCAGGAAGCAGATACATATGAGTGTGGAAGCCGGAGGGTGTTTATGTAAGAGCACCTTCCTCACTTCCATACAGCTCTACGTGGCAAATTAACTTGAGTTTTATTTATTTTATCCTCTGGTTTAATTACATAATTTTTTTTTTTTAACTTTAAGTTTCAGGATACATGTGCCGAATGTGCAGGTTTGTTACATAGGTATATATATGCCATGATGGAAATATTTATTTTTTTAAGCGTAATTTTGCCAAATAATAAAAACAGAAGGAAATTGAGATTAGAGGGAGGTGTTTAAAGAGAGGTTATAGAGTAGAAGATTTGATGCTGGAGAGGTTAAGGTGCAATAAGAATTTAGGGAGAAATGTTGTTCATTATTGGAGGGTAAATGATGTGGTGCCTGAGGTCTGTACGTTACCTCTTAACAATTTCTGTCCTTCAGATGGAAACTCTTTAACTTCTCGTAAAAGTCATATACCTATATAATAAAGCTACTGATTTCCTTTGGAGCTTTTTTCTTTAAGATAATAGTTTACATGTAGTAGTACTTGAAATCTAGGATTATTAACTAATATGGGCATTGTAGTTAATGATGGTTGATGGGTTCTAATTTTGGATGGAGTCCAGGGAAGAGAAAGTGATTTCTAGAAAGCCTGTTCCCCTCACTGGATGAAATAACTCCTTCTTGTAGTAGTCTCATTACTTTTGAAGTAATCCCGCCACCTATCTCGTGGGAGAGCCATCCAAATAAGAAACCTAAAATAATTGGTTCTTGGTAGAGATTCATTATTTTTCCACTTTGTTCTTTAGGAGATTTTAGGTGTTGATTTTCTGTTGTATTTTAACTCATACCTTTAAAGGAATTCCCCAAAGAATGTTTATAGCAAACTTGGAATTTGTAACCTCAGCTCTGGGAGAGGATTTTTTTCTGAGCGATTATTATCTAAAGTGTGTTGTTGCTTTAGGCTCACGGCACGCTTGCGTATGTCTGTTACCATGTCACTGTGGTCCTATGCCGAATGCCCTCAGGGGACTTGAATCTTTCCAATAAACCAGGTTTAGACAGTATGAGTCAATGTGCAGTGTAGCCCACACTTGAGAGGATGAATGTATGTGCACTGTCACTTTGCTCTGGGTGGAAGTACGTTATTGTTGACTTATTTTCTCTGTGTTTGTTCCTACAGCCCCTTTTTCATATGTTGCTCAGTCTCCCTTTCCCTTCTTGGTGCTTACACATCTCAGACCCTTTAGCCAAACCCTTGTCAGTGACAGTATTTTGGTTCTTAGTTCTCACTGTTCCCTCTGCTCCTGGAGCCTTTGAATAAAAATGCACGTAGCTGAGGCCGGATGCGGTGGCTCACGCCTGTAATCCCAGCACTTTGGGAGGCCTAGGCGGGCGGTCAGGGGTTCGAGACCAGTCTGGCCAACATCGTGAAACCCTGTCTCTACTAAAAATGCAAAAATTAGCCGGGCGTGGTGGCGGGCGCCTGTAATCCCAGCTACTTGGGAAGCTGAGGCGGGAGAATCATGTGAACCCGGGACGCAGGGGTTGCAGTGAGCGGAGATCGCATCATTGCACTCTAGCCTGGGCCACAGGGCGAGACTCCGTCTCAAAAAAAAAAAAATGCACATAGCTATCAAGTGTGCTTTAGCTTGAAAAGGTGACCTTGCAACTTCATGTCAACTTCTGGCTCCTCAAACAGTAGGTTGGCAGTAAGGCAGGGTCCCATTTCTCACTGAGAAGATTGTGAATATTTCCATATGGATTTTCTATTGTTACTCTGGTTCTTTGTTTTAAAATAAAAATTCTGAATGTACACGACATTATGGGCTTATTTACTTTTTGTCCTTCCTGTAACCACAAAATGAGCTCTAAATCCTGACTTGGCTACTCAGTGCCTGTTGACTTTGAGACTTGTATGAGACCCTCATACTCATGAGACTGTGTTCTTAGAGTCTCATACATAAGAGAATAGCAATATGTGTTTATTATGTAGATTAAATGAAAAAGCTTTCGTGGCCAGGCGCGGTGGCTCACGCCTGTAATCCCAGCACTTTGGGAGGCCAAGGCGGGTGGATCCCCTGAGGTCGGAAGTTCAAGACCAGCGTGACCAACATGGAGAAACTCCGTCTCTACTAAAAATACAAAAATTAGCTGGGCATGATGGCGCATTCCTGTAATCCCAGCTACTTGGGAAGGCTGAGGCAGGCAAATCGCTTAAACCTGGGAGGCGGAGGTTGCGGTGAGCAGAGATCGCGCCATTGTACTCCACCCTGGGCAACAAGAGCGAAACTCCGTCTCAAAAGAAAACAGCTTTCATTTGTTGCTTTTCATACTTGATAAATTATTTTGCTTTCTTTCCCCACTGAGAACTAGCTATTTTGTTTGTTTGTTTTTCTCTTGTGTTCTTTTTACTTCCTCCTCCAGTCTTTTTTTTTTTTTTTTTTTGGAGACAGAGTTTTGCTCTTGTTGCTCAGGCTGGAGTGCAATGGTGTGATCTCAGCTCACTACAACCTCTGCCTCCTGGGTTCAAGCCATTCTCCCGACTCAGCCTCCCAAGTAGCTGGTATTATAGGCATGCGCCACCACACCCGGCTAATTTTTATATTTTTAGTAGAGATGGGGTTCCACCACGTTGGCCAGGCTGGTTTTGAACTCCTGACCTCAAGTGATCCGCCCACCTCCGCCTTCCCAAAGTGTTGGGATTACAGGTGTGAGCCACCGCACCTGGCCCAGAGTGATCTTTTAAAATTGAATGTTACTCTGCTGCTTAAAGCCTTCCAGTTACATCTTACCACTTAAAATAATATCCAAACTCCTTCACCATGACTGACAAATCTAGTGACCTTAGGTCCCAGTTTAAATTGCCTTGATTCATTTTCACAACTGCCCTATCTGCCTAAAAGCCTTGCCTCTCCAATTTCACATCTTGTTATATGCATTTTTTTTTTTTTTGAGACAGAGCTTCATTCTTGTTATCCAGGATGGAGTGCAATGGTGTGGTCTCGGCTCACTGCATCCTCAGCCTCCCGGGTTCAAGCGATTTTCTTGACTTAGTCTCCCAAGTAGCTGAGACTACAGGCATAGGCCACCACACCCAGCTAATTTTTGTGTAGAGATCGGGTTTGGCCATGTTGACTAGGCTGGTCTTGAACTGGACTCACGTGATCTGCCAGCCTCAGCCTCCCAACGTTCTGGGATTACAGGCGTGAGCCACCACACCCGGCCCTAAGTGATGTTTATTTAAAGTGTCAGTCTGGGTCCTATCAGAAGACAAAAATGACACTTTTTTTTTTTTGGAAATAATATAAAGAATATCAAGCTATAGGCCGTGCGCGGTGGCTCACACGTGTAATCCCAGCACTTTGGGAGGCTGAGGTGGGTGGATCACCTGAGGTCAGGAGTTCGAGACCAGTCTGGCCATCATGCTGAAACCCCGTCTCTCCTAAAAATACAAAGAAAAATTAGCCGGGCTTGGTGGCAGGCGCCTGTAATCCCAGCTGAGGCAGGAGAATCGCTTGACCCAGGGAGGCAGAGGTTGCCGTGAGCCAAGATCGTACCATTGCACTCCAGCCTGGGCAATAAGAACAAAACTCCTTTAAAAAAAAAAAGGTATAAGACAAAATGCAGTTTCCTAGAGCTGAGGGAGATTATCCAAGAAATGACAAACTTGGAAGGAAGGCCACTGCCATCTCCTCAAAACTGACGTGCACACCTTATTGGAGAATGTAGAGTTTCAGTCTACTGGAGAGCAGAGAAGTCTGGTAGTTTGCCTGGGTCAGTGCTGGTGTGCAGTCCCTGGGCAAGCAGGGAACACACAGCTGGTGACCAGACATGCAGATGTGCAGATGGAGTCGAGGCACCAGAGGGGTGGGAGGCTTAGAGTGTGGCATCCCTGTGGAAAGTGACCACCAGGCCAGGGTGTGGCTGGGGCAGGTCACCATCAAATTTTCTCTCATCTATACTGCTAACCTATGGTGCAGGCACTGGAACCAGCAAGAGAATCCCCCTTCATCCTGCAGTATCCTTCCAGCACCATCTACTAAGAAAGCATTGTTCTTAGTACTCTAAAAAGGAAATGCTTAAAGGAATTCCAACCTTTTAAAAGCAGGTATTGGCCAGGCGCAGTGGCTCAAGCCTGTAATCTCAGCACTTTGGGAGGCCAAGGCGGGCGGATCACAAGGTCAGGAGATCGAGACCATCCTGGCTAACATGGTGAAACCCCGTCTCTACTAAAAATACAAGAAATTAGCAGGGCGTGGTGGCGGGCGCCTGTAGTCCCAGCTGGTCTGGAGGCTGAAGCAGGAGAATGGCGTGAACCCGGGAGGCGGAGCTTGCAGTGAGCCGAGATCGAGATCGTGCCACTGCACTCCAGCCTGGGCGACAGAGCGAGACTCCGTCTCAAAAAAAAAAAAAAAAAAAAAAGCAGGTATTGAGGGATGAATTCGGAGCTGACAGACAATAAATTTATAACTAGCACAATAAGTGTTAGATGGCTGGGTAGATAATAGTGGGTATTGGTTGAGGGGATTTCCCCCTTCCACACCTCCCAAAGCCACCTGGGCTTTTAGAGAAATTTCAAGTCCCCCACCCCGCCACCCTCCTTTTTTTTGGAATCAAGTGTTTGTTGCAGAAACTTGGCCAAGGTTCCAAGTGGCCCCAGATGGTTGAGGTTGGGCTAGGGGTCGCCTGCTCAGGGCTGGGCAAGTGAGACAAGGAAAAGGTGGAGGGAGCGCCTCTGGGCCTGGAGCTTCAGAGCTGCGAGGTTATGTTTCAGCCAAACTGCAGGTGAGGCTTATGAGGCCCGCTTGGGCTCCGCGCTGTGGGCCTTCATCACGCCGTCCTCTCTCATCATGAGCTGTAGATACCCAAAGAATGGCACCGATGAATCATCTAGTAACAAATCTGTCTTTTTGATCGGGGGCCTTCGCTGCACTGGCGTGGCTGAAACTGCGGTTCTCACCAACGTCCACCCTCTTCCTCCAGTTCGCCGCCCTGCCCCCAGCGAGCACTGAGCCCGCCAGCCCGACTTGGCGCTGCGGCCGCGACCACCCACCTCCCAATAGCCCGGCGGCCGCATGAGGCTGGGACTGGCGCACGGAGGCGGTGGGGCGGCGGGGGGGGGGAAGGGGGAGGGGAAGGGGGGTGCTGAAGCGGGGGGGGCGAGAAACTGGAGACCCTGCAAAAAGGCTGGGCCTGGGCTGCTCTGGTTACCCCGCGAGTCCTCTTCACTGCGCAGGCGTGGGCAGCTGCAGAACCCTGTCATTCTATCTTAGTTTGCTCATCATCACTAATATTCTTTGCTATGACCCAGGATATACCTGGAACCCAGCGACCTTGACCTGCCTTCCAATGCAGGTAAGTGAATTTAACTGCCCTTTCTGTATTGCTCTAGGCTGTGTTACTTGATAGGGTTGACGCCTGAGTTGGGATACATTTCAGGGATTACATTAATTTTTTTTTTTTTTTTTGAGACGGAGTTTCGCTCTTGTCGCCCAGGCTGGAGTGCAATGGCACGATCTCAGGTCACCGCAATCTCCGCCACCCGGGTTCAAGCGATTCTCCTGCCTCAGCCTCCCGAGTAGCTGGGATGAGAGGCGCGCGACACCACGCCCAGCTACACGCCCGGCTAATTTTTTGTATTTTTAGTAGAAACAGGATTTCACCATGTTAGCCAGGCTGGTCTCGAACTCCCGACTTCAGGTGATCCGCCCGCCTAGGCCTCCCAAACTGTTGGGATGACAGGCGTGAGCCACCGCGCCCGGCTAAGTTTCATTTTTTTAAATGAGAAAATTGGCCAGGTGCTGCGGCTCGAGCCTGTCATCCCAGCACTTTGGGAGCTGAGGCGGGAGAATCGCTTGAACCCGGGAGGCAGAGGTTGCAGTGAGCCGAGATCGTGCCATTGCACTCCAGCCTGGACGACAGACTGAGACTCCGTCTCAAAAAAATAAACAAAAGAAAAAAAGTGAAAGAAGCCAATCATAAAAGACCACATACTATATTACTCAATTGAGACGAAATTTCCAGAATAGGCCATTCTACAGAGAGAAAGAAGATAGATTTACTGGTGGCCTTGGAAGGGAAGAGGAAGTGGTGAAGAACACAGGGAGGGCAGAGTGCAGTGGCTCACGCCTGTAACCCCAGCACTTTAGGAGGCCGAGGCAGAAGGATCACTTGAGCCAGGAGTTCAAGACCAGCCTAGGCAATATAGAGAGACCCCCGTCTCTACAAAAAATTTAAAATTTAGTCAGGTGTGGTGGCACGTGCCTGTGATCCCAGCTACTCGGGAGGCTGAGGCAGGAGGATCGCTTGAGCCAGGAGGTCGAGGTTGCAGTGAACCGAGGTCATACCACTGCACTCTAGCTTGGGCGACAGAGGGAGACCCTATCTCGAAAAGAAAAGATATGAAACTGAAATATCCTGGCCAGGCGCGGTAGCTCACGCGTGTAATCCCAGCACTTTGGGAGGCTGAGGCGGGCGGATCATGAGGTCAGGAGATCGAGACCATCCTGGCTAACACGGTAAAACCCTGTTTCTACTAAAAATACAAAAAATTAGCCGGGCATGGTGGCTGGCGGGCGCCTGTAGTCCCAGCTACTCAGGAGGCTGAGGCAGGAGAATGGCGTGAACCCGGGAGGTGGAGCTTGCAGTGAGCCGATATCCCGCCACTGCGCTCCAGCCTGGGCGACAGAGCAAGACTCTGTCTCAAAAACATAAATAAAATAAATAAAAAATAAAACCTAAATATCCCAATAAGAAACTGGTAAACATAAATTTTGAAACATCCGTGGAATATAGTACTATGCAGATACTCTACATAATTAGGTAGATATTTGGTGCTGCTATGTTACAACATCCATGATGTATCACTGAGTAAAGAAAAGAAATTAGAGAATAACATATTCAGTATGACCCCATTTGTTTAAAAAAAAAAAAGAAGGAAGATAAGAAAAGGAATCTTACTTATGTAGGCTTAGATAAGCATAGTTTCCGGAGTGATATTGAATAAATTGTTAATAATGGTTACCTCTGAATAATGGGAAGAGATCTTATTGAGAAGACATTTACTTTTAAATTTTTTCCATCTTGTGCTTTTTAAATATTTTGCTGGGCTGGCACGGTGGCTCACCCCTGGAATCCCAGCACTTTGGGAGACCAAGGTTGGCGGATCACCTGAGGTTGGGAGTCGAGACCAGCCTGACCAACATGGAGCAACCCTGTCTCTACTAAAAATACAAAATTAGCCGGGCGTGCTGGCTCATGCCTGTAATCCCAGCTACTCGGGAGGCTGAGGCAGGAGAATCGCTTGAACCCAGGAGGCAGAGGTTACGGTGAGCCAAGATAGTGCCATTACACTCCAGCCTGGGCAACAAGAGCGAAACTCTGTATCAAAAATAAAATAAACATTTTGCCGTGATTATATTCTACTTTTAAAAGCGTAAGTACACACAACAAATATTTAGAAAATTCTCAATCATCTCTCTTTTTAAAACATTGTAGCTTTTGGCCAGGCGCAGTGGCTCATGCCTGTAATCCCAGCACTTTGGGAGGCCGAGGCGGGCGGATCACGAGGTCAGGAGATCGAGACCATCCTGGCTAACATGGTGAAACCCCGTCTCTACTAAAAATACAAAAAATTAGCGGGGCATGGTGGCAGGCGCCTGTAGTCCCAGCTACTCGGGAGGCTGAGGCAGGAGAATGGTGTGAACCTGGGAGGAGGAGCTTGCAGCGAGCCGAGATTGTGCCACTGCACTCCAGCCTGGGCGACAAAGCGAGACTCCGTCTCAAAAAACAACAACAACAACAACAACAAAATTGTAGCTTTTTCCTTCTTCATAGATTTGGGAAGCTTCATTGATATTGGACTTTTCCCAGGAAGGCTTCATGGAGTGTGGAGGCCCAAGATAAAGTCTAGGTAGTCTAAAAGGAGATCTCTGCATAAAGGATGAACAAGAGATCAAACCATGGTTCAGAAGAAGACAGCAGTCCTCTTTTGCTTTTTCACCTTGGTGCTGGACAGAGGAGGAAAAAAAAATCTCGCCAAGAATTCTTAACTACACATTGGTCCCCATGCAGTGTCGTTGTCTGATTTTATGCTAACTGTGTGGCTAAAAATCTACAAATAGAAAATATAACTTAAAGCGGTTCTAGATTAGTACAGGTCCTAAACAACTGAGAGAAGCAAATGTAAATCTTTTCTGGAGGAATGCCAGTTCAACTCAGAGTTCAAAGTAGTCAATTATAAAATAAGAGGCCAGGCGCAGTGGCTCACGTCTGTAATCCAAGCACTTTGGGAGGCTGAGGCGGGTGGATCACCTGATGTCAGGAGTTCGAGACCATCCTGGACAACATGGCAAAACCTTGTCTCTACTAAAAATACAAAAGGCTGGGCACAGTGACTCACACCTGTAATACCAGCACTTTGGGAGGCCAAGGTGGGTGGATCACTTGAGGTCAGGAGTTTGAGACCAGCCTGACCGACATGGTGAAACCCTGTCTCTACTAAAAATACAAAATTAGCCGAGCATGGTGGCATATACCTGTAATCCCAGCTACTCGGGAGGCTGAGGCAGGAGAATCACTTGTACCCGGGAGGCAGAGGTTGCAGTGAGCTGAGATCAGGCCATTGCACTCCAGCATGGGCAACAAGAGCAAAACTCCATTTCCAAAAACAAAACAAAACAAAACAAAATCCAAAAATTTGGATGGGCATGGTGTCTCACGTCTGTAATCCCAGCACTTTGGGAAGCTGAGGCGAGTGGATCACTAGAGGTCAGGAGGTCGAGATCAGCCTGGCCAAGACAGTGAAACCCCGTTTCTACTAAAAATACAAAAATTAGCCTAGCATGGTGGTGCACGCCTGTAATCCCAGCAACTCAGGAGGCTGAGGCAGTAGAATCGCTTGAACCCAGTCACTATTAAATGAATAAGCCTTATAGATGATAAATTCCAAATATTTTACATGGGGGAAAAAAACAGACTACGTAAAGAAAAACAAACCAACCAATTTTTTTTTTTTTTTTTAAAAGATGGAATCTTGCTATGTTGCCAAAGCTGGACGTGAATTCCTGGGCTCAAGCAATCCTCCCGCCTCAGCCTCTCGAGTAGCTAGAATTACACACACACACCACACAAACCAACTACCTTTTTTTTTTTTGAGACGGAATCTCCCTCTTGTTGCCCAGGCTGGAGTGCAATGGCACGATCTCGGCTCACCACAACCTCTGCCTGCCGGGTTCAAGTGATTCTCCTGCCTCATCCTCCCAAGTAGCTAGGATTACAGGCATGCACCACCACGCCTGGTTAATTTTTTGTATTTTTAGTAGAGACGGGGTTTCTCCATGTTGGTTAGGCTGGTCTCGAACTCCCGACCTCAGGTGATCCACCCGTCTCGGCCTCCCAAAGTGCTGGGATTATAGGGGTGAGCCACCACGCCCGGCCAGACAACCAACTACCTTTAAAAGAACAGAAAAGGGTTTGGGAAGAGAAAACAGAAAAAGCATTACAAAGTAGAAAGCAGATAATAGAATGATAGGAAAAAATCTAATTATATAAGCAATAACAAATATAATGGGATAAGCTTTTCAAATAATAGTAGATTATCACATTAGATTTTTATTTATTTATTAAAAATTTTTTTTTGAGACAGGGTCTCAGGCAGACCAATTTTATTGATTCATATAGAGGCAAACAAATTATTAGAATATCATATCTAGCAATGTATTAAAAAATATAATACATCTTGGCCAGGCTCGTCGGCTCATGCCTATAATCCCTGCATTTTGGGAGGCTGAGGCAGGTGGATCACTTGAGGTCAGGATTTCGAGACCAGCCTGGCAAACATGGTGAAACCTTGTCTCTACCACAAATACAAAAATTAGCCAGGTGTGGTGGCACGTGCCTGTAGTCCCAGCTGCTACAGAGGCTGAGGCAGGAGAATCGCTTGAACCTGGGAGACGGAGGTTGGAGGTTGCAGTGAGCTAAGATCATGCCACTATACTCCAGTCTGGCTGACAGAGCAAGACTCTGTCTCAAACAAAAACAAAAACAAAAAAAAAAAAACGGAAAAGAAACTCTGGACCCTTTAACTATTGTGCCTCTCTCTCCATTACCCCAGCCCTAAACAACCACTAATGTACCTTCTACCTCTATAGGTTTACCTATTCTGGACATTTTATGTAAAAGGAATTACACAATATGTGATCTTTTGTGACTAGCTTTATACATTTAGCATAACATTTTCAAGATTCATCTATGTTACAGCATGGGTCAGTACCTCATTCCTATTAATGGCTGAATAATATTACATTGCACGGACATACTACATTTAATTTATCTTTTTTTTTGAGACAGAATCTCACTCTGTTGCCCAGGCTGGAGTACAGTGGTACAGTCTTGGTTCACTGCAGCCTCTGCCTCCTGGGTTCAAGCAATTCTGCCACCTCAGCCTCCCAAGTAGCTAGTACTACATGTGCACACCACCACACCCGGTTAATTTTTGTATTTTTAGTAGAGACAGGGTTTCACCATGTTTGCCCAGCTGTCTGGAACTCCTGACCTCCAGTGATCTGCCCACCTCAGCCTCCCAAAGTGTTGGGATTATAGGCGTGAGCCACCGCGCCCAGCCTGTTTATCCATTTATTGGTGAATGGATGGGGTTGTTTCCAATTTGGTGTTATTGTCAAGAATTCTGCAGTGAACACCTATGAACAACTTTTTTATGTGGTCATATGTGTATTAGTCAGGCTTCTCTAGAGGGACAGAACTAATAGGATAGATGTATATATAAAAGGGAGTTTATTAAGGAGTATGACTCACACGATCACAAGGTAAGGTCCCACAATAGGCCGTCTGCAAGCTGAGGAGCAAAGAAGCCAGTCCAAGTCCCAAAGCTAAAGAACTTAGATTCCGATGTTCAAGGGCGGGAAGCATCTGGCACAGGAGAAAGATGTAGGCCAGGAGGCTAAGCCAGTCTGGTCTTTTCATGTTCTTCTGCCTGCTTTTATTCTGGCCTCACTGGTAGCTGATTAGCTTGTGCCCACACAGATTGAGGGTGGGTCTGCCTTTCCCAGTCCACTGACTCAAATGTAAATTTCCTTTGGCAACACCTGACAGACAAGACACACCCAGGAACAATACTTTGCATACTTCAATCCAATTAAATTGACACTCAATATTAACCATCACAATACATTTTCATTTTCTTCGGATAATATACCTAGGAGTAGAATTTCTGGGTTATATAGTAACTCTATCTTTAACCATTTGAGAAACTATCAAACTGTTTTCCAAAGTGGCTGCACCAGGCTAGGCTACTCTGCCTCTGGAGTAGCCATTCTTTTGTTCCTTTACTTTCCTAATAAGCTTGCTTTCCTTCTTTTTTTTCTTTTTTCTTTTTTTTTGTTTTTTTGTTTTTTTGAGGCGGAGTTTCGCTCTTGATCCCCAGGCTGGTGTGCCATGGTGCGATCTCAGCCCACCGAAACCTTGGCCTCCTGGGTTCAAGCGATTCTTCTGCCTCAGTCTCCCGAGTAGCTGGGATTACAGGCATGCAACACTATGCCCGGCTAATTTTTGTATTATTAGTAGAGATGGGGTTTCTCCATTCTCTGTGTTGGTCAGGCTGGTCTCAAATTCCCTTTTTTTTTTTTTTTGAGACAGACTCTCACTCTGTCGCCCAGGCAGGAGTGCACTGGGCTCACTGCAACTTCCACCTCGGGGATTCAAGTGATTCTTCTGCCTCAGCCTCCCAAGTAGCTGGGACTACAGGCACATGCCACCACACCAGGCTAATCTTTGTATTTGTAGTAGAGACAGGGTTTCACCATGTTGGCCAGGCTGGTCTCAAACTCCTGACATCAAGTGATCTGCCCGCCTTGGCCTCCTAAGGTGCTGGTATTACAGATGTGGGTGTGAGCCACCTCGCCCAGCAATTTTTATTTTTATTTTTTTCCGAGACCACCCAGGCTAGGGTGCAGTGTCATGATCTCGGCTCACAGCAACCTCCGCCTCCAGATTCAAGCGATTCTCCTGCCTCAGCCTCCCAGGTAGCTGGGGTTACAAGCGTGCACCACCATGCTGGGCTAATTTTTGTATTTTCAGTAGAGACGAGGTTTCACCGTATTGGTGAGGCTAGTCTTGAACTCCTGACCTCAGGTGATCCACCCAGCTCAGCCTCCCAAAGTGCTGGGATTACAGGTGTGAGCCATCGTACCCGGCCTGACTAGTCTTAAAAAAAAAAAAAAAACTTACAGAGCTTTAGAGTGTCAACACACAAATGGCAGTTAACCTCAGAGTATAGCTTACAGTTCAAGTGAAGCACAGTTTATAAATATTTTCTCATGTAATTGAGTGCTGTGTAAATCTAAAGTACTCTGAAAGGTATTTACCTCCAAATTGGAACTCACTTTATTTTTCACTATTCTTTTTTTCAGAGACAGGGTCTTGCTCTTGTTGCCCAGGCTGGAGTGCAGTGGCAGGATCTTGGCTCACTGCAACCTCTGCCTCCCAGGTTCAAATGATTCTCCTGCCTCAGCCCCCAGAGTAGTTGGGATTACAGGCGCGTGCCACCACGCCCAGCTAATGTTTGTATTTATTTATGTATTATTATTATTTTTTTGAAAAAGAGTCTCACTCTATTACAGATTGGAGTACAGTGGCGCCATCTTGGCTCACCGCAACCTCTGCTTCCCAGGTTCAAGCGATTCTTCTCCTGCCTCAGCCTCCCAAAAAGCTGGGATTACAGTCACATGCCACCAGGCCCAGGTAATGTTTGTATTTTTAGTAGAGTTGGGGTTTCTCCATGTTGGCCAGGCCGGTCTCAAACACTTGACCTCAGGTGATCCGCCTGCCTTGGCCTCCCAAAGAGCTGGGATTACAGGTGTAAGCCATTGCGCCCGGCCTGTTTTTCACTCTTCTTTTGGAAGATGTAAGTGACGTAAGAGGCAGAGTAGGACTGCTGAGGTGGCTCACGCCTGTAATCCCAGCACTTTGGGACGCCGAGGCAGGCGGATCACCTGAGGTCAGGAGTTGGAGAGCAGCCTGGCCAACATGGCGAAACCCCGTCTCTACTAAAGATACAACAATTAGCTGGGCGTGGTGGCAGGCACATGTAATTCCAGCTACTCGGAAAGCTGAGGAAGAAGAATCGCTTGAATCCGGGAGGCAAAGGTTGCAGTGAGCCAAGATCATGCCACTGCACTCCAGCCTGGGAGACAGAGCAAGACTCCATCTCAAAAAAAAATAAAAAGAGGCAGAGTATTCTGACCTATAGAACTGTAAGGAAAAAAAAGGAAAAAACATGTTTTTTAAAAAAGGCATAATAAAAATACATCGCTAAGAGTTAAGAATAATGATCATCTCTCTTATCCTGACAAAGACTGATGTGGCCAGGAGTGGTGGCTCACGCCTGTAATCCCAGCACTTGGGGAGGCCGAGGCAGGCGGATCACAAGGTCAGGAGTCTGAGACCAGCCTGACCAACATAGTGAAACCCCACTTCAACTAAAAATACAAAAATTAGCTGGGCATGGTGGGTGTGCACCTGTAATCCCAGCTACTCAGGAGACTGATGCAAGACAACTGCTTGAACCCGGGAGGTGGAGGTTGCAGTGAGCTGAGATCCTGCCACTGCACTCTAGATTGGGAGACAGAGGGAGACTCCAACTCAAAAAAAAAAAAAAAAAAAGAAAAGACTGATGTGGCAGATACTTAAAACATGGTCTTTCCCGCCCCCCGCACCGATAGAGGGCAGCAACTCTGAGTAAATAAAAGGAGTCACTTTTATTGACATAATGAGATAAGAATTGACCAGGAACTGTGTGTGATAGTTGTGTGGACTGCACTGAAAGAACCTACAGAGCCTTACACAGCTTGAGGGCTAAGTATGATTGCAGGCCTGGTGGGGCTCACACCTGCAATTCCAGCACTTTTGCAGGCCAAGATGGGAGGATCCCTTGAGTCCAGGAGTTGGAGACCAACCTAGGCAACATAGTGAGAGCCTGTCTCTACAAAAAATAGAAAAAAAAAAAAAAATTAGCCTGTGATCCCAGCTACTAGGGAGGCTGATGTGGGAGGATCTGTTAGACCCAAAAGGTTGAGGTAGCAGTGAGCCATGATCGTGCCACTACACTCCAGCCTAAACAACATAGCAAAATGTTGTCTCAAAACAAAAGTATGACTGTAGGATTACTGAAAGGCTGAGGAAGGACGAGACTTAAGAAATGAGATTTGGGGCCGGGCGTGGTGGCTCACACCTATAAACGCAGCACTTTGGGAAGTTGAGGCAGGCAGATCATGAGGTCAGGAGTTCGAGACCAGCATGGCCAATATGGTGAAACCCTGTCCCTACTAAAAATAGAAAAATTAGCCAGGTGTGGTGGTATGCACCTGTAGTCCCAGCTACTCAGCAGGCTGAGGGAGAATGACGACTTGAACCCAGAAGGCGGAGGTTGCAGTGGACCGAGATCACACCACTGCATTCCAGCCTGGGTGACAGAGCAAGATTCCATCTCAAAAAAAAAAAAAAAGTGCTGCTCAATGAGCCAAGGAGAACTACTTTTGTGGCCAGGAATACCTACCCCTTTGTCTCTCTGATAAGAGCACATTGACACCCATGTTCCAGGTACATCTGTTCTGCAGATCCCTGGCCCTAATTGAATCTCAAATTCTCACCCTTGGTTCTTGTCCTTAGCTCTTGTGACTACGCCAGTGTATCAGAGGACATGTAAACACTGCTACCCTTTCTACTCCACATGCACCTTATCCTAAATGGATTAATGTATCCCATCTTTTTTTACTGTGCTTTGTGCCATGTATTTAAGTGATTTAATATGATTCTAGTATCTTAATTTGATCTGTGAGCTTTTCTGTTTCTTAATAGTTTGCTTGGTAGTGTCATTGGAGGTAGTGCTACCATTGCATTGAAGTAATTTCCCAGGTGCTTAACCCTTTAAAATTCTCAAGAACATTTTATTCGAGGACCACAAAGTTTATACCAACTACCCAGAAGCCAGGAATAGCTTAAGGAGAGACTCACCACCAGCAGCTTCTTTTCAATCAAGTTTCACTTCAACCTCACACCCAGGAACCCATTCAAATTCCTACATTTCGGTATCCTTAGTCGAACTAACTTCCTGTGCCGGAAGCTTTTGTCTGTCCCAGTGACTTCTTTCTTTAACAAATTCCCTTCATCTCCCCCTTGAGTCAAAGCCCATGGGGGCCCCAGGAGGCATGCAATATTTACCAAGGGCTCTCCCCCACTTTCCTGCCTCTGTCTGGCAGCTGTTTGCCTTTACTTTTAGGTTTGTAGTCACAGCCTGTTTTTTCTTCCTTGGACACACCAGCTTTTCTGAATGGTAGGATTATTTACAGTAGAATTAACCTTGTCCTTCACCCCGAGAACTGAGCTTGAAATTCACTAATCAAGGCCTGTATTCCTCCCACTTCTGAGCTTTGAATTTATATTATGAAATTCGGAAAACCCAGGCAAATTCAATCCATGCTTCTCTCCTTCAGGTACAAACTGAAATGGAAATGGAAGCTGAAAAATCAAGAAAATGAATTTTAAAAACTAAAATATGGTAAAGTTACTAAAATATAATGTTGGAAGTAACACACACCTCCTTTTGGGAAAAGAACAAAGAAAGCAAAATTTTCTAGGGGAAAGGAAGAGATGTAAAAAGGAGAGCCTGACTTGTGAATTTATAATTTCCTTTTTGCTTAATCTCCTATTATTATATTTGTTTATATTGTTGGTGATCCGGTGACCTAGAAAGGATAAGCTGAAAAGCCTTAAATTAGGTTGGCACATCTCCAAGTTCTTATTGGCAACTTTTCAAGCCTCTTCTTAAGGTGGCTTATGTATAGTGAATTTTGCTTTAATGTTTATTTGCTGATCTTTCACCTTCTTAGGCATTAAGTTTTTGGACCATAAAGACAACATAGAGCTTACATTTTTTAACTTTTAATCACTTGGCTAATAGTAGTCAGTGATTAGTTCTCATTTAGCCATGAAGTGAGCAGGAACATAAAGAATGGCATTTTTTAATTTTTAAAAACATATCGGCCGGGCGCGGTGGCTCACTTCTATAATCCCAGCACTTTGGGAGGCCAAGGCGGGTGGATCATGAGGTCAGGAGTTCAAGACCAGCCTGGCCAAGATGGCGAAACCCCATCTCTACTAAAAAATACAAAAAATTAGCCGGACATGGTGGCAGGTGCCTGTAATCCCAGCTACTTGGGAGTCTGAGGCAGGAGAACTGCTTGAACCCAGGAGGCGCAGGTTGCAGTGAGCCCAGATGGCACTACTGCACTCCAGCCTGGGCGACAGAGCGAGACTCTGTCTAAAAAAAAAAAAGCTATCGGCCGGGCGTGGTGGCTCATGCCAGTAATCCCAGCACTTTGGCAGGCCAACACGGGCAGATCACCTGACGTCAGGAGTTCACGACCAGCCTGACCAACATGGAGAAACCCCATCTCTACTAAAAATACAAAATTAGCCAGTCATGATGGTGCATGCCTGTAATCCCAGCTACTTGGGAGGCTGAGGCAGGAGAATCACTTGAAACCGGGAGGCAGAGGTTGCAGTGAGCTGAGATCGTGCCATTACACTCCAGCCTGGGCAACAACAGCAAAATTCTGTTTCAAAAAAAAAAAAAATCTACACCTTAACATTTATTTAAATTAATGTCAAGATGTTAATAGCAGGCCGGGTGCGGTGGCTCATGCCTGTAATCTGAGCACTTTGAGAGGCCGAGGCAGGTGGATCACCTGAGGTCAGGAGTTCGAGACCAGCCTGGTCAACGTGGTGCAACCCCATCTCTACTAAAAAATACAAAAATAAGCCGGGCGTGGTGGCCGGCGCCTGTAATCCCAGCTACTTGGGAGGCCGAGCCAGGAGAATCACTTGAACCTGGGAGGCGGAGGTTGCAGTGAGCCAAGATCGTGCCACTGCACTCCAGCCTGGGTGACAGAGCAAGACTCCGTCTCAAAAAAATTTTTAAAAAAATTTTTTAAAAATGTTAATAGTTATATATAGTGCTCAAAAGTCAAAACAAAAATAAAAACAACTTAAATCGTGATACATCTGTAATATTTATTATTACATAGTAATTAAAATGAATGAGCCAGATCCAATTTTAGTGTATAGAAAGTTATCTATGATAGGCCGAGCACGGTGGCTCACGCCTGTAATCTCAGCCCTTTGGAAGGCTGAGGCGGGCGGATCACTTGAGGTCAGGAGTTCAAGACCAGCCTGTCCAAAATGGTGAAACCCCAACTCTACTAAAAATACAAAAATTAGCCAGGTGTGGTACCTGTAATCCTAGCTACTTGGGAGGCTGAGGCAGGAGAATCGCTTGAACCCAAGAGGCAGAGGTTGCAGTGAGTGGAGATTGTGCCACTGCACTCCAGCCTGGGCAACATCTCAAAAAAAATAAATAAATAATACAAAAGTTTGTTGGGCATAGTGGTTCGTGCCTGTAGTCTGAGCTATTTGGGAGGCTGAGGCAGGAGAATTCCTTGAATCCAGGAAGTCGAGGCTGCAATGAGCTGAGATGGCACCACTGAACCCCAGTTTGGGCAGCAGAGCCAGACCTTGTCTTTTTTTTTTTTTTTTTTTGAGACAGAATTTGCTCTTGTTGCCCAAACTGGAGTGCAATGGTGCAATCTTGGCTCACTGCAACCTCCGCCTCCCAGGTTCAAGCAATTCTTCTGCCTCAGCCTCCCGAGTAGCTGGGATTACAGGCGCGTGCCACCACACCAGGCTAATTTCTTGTACTTTTAGTAGACACGGGGTTTCACCATGTTGGCCAGGTTGGTCTCAAACTCCTGACCTCAGGTGATCCACCAGCCTTGGCCTCCCAAAGTGCTGGGATTACAGGCATGAGCCACCCTGCCTGGCCAAGACTTTGTCTTTAAAAAAAAAAAAAAAAAAAAACTGGGGCACAATGGCTCATGCCTGTAATCCCAGCACTTTGGGAGACCGAGGGATCACCTGAGGTCAGAAGTTCAAGACCAGCCTGGCCAACATGGTGAAACCTTGTGTCTACTTAAAATACAAAAATTAGCCAGGCGTGGTGGCATGCACCTGTAATCCCAGCTACTCAGGAGGCTGAGGCAGGAGAATTGGCTTGAACTGGGGATGTGAAGGTTATGGTAAGATGAGATCGCATGCTGCACTCCAGCCGTCTGGGCGACAGGGGAAAACTTCGCCTCAAAAAAAAAAAAAAGACGGGCACGGTAGCTCACGCCTGTTAATCCCAGCACTTTGGGAGGCCAAGGCAGGCAGATCACCTGAGGTCGGGAGTTTGAGACCAGCCTGACCAACATGGAGAAACCCCGTGTCTACTAAAAATACAATATTATCCGGGTGTGGTGATGTATGCTTATAATCCCAGCTTTCCAGAGGCTGAGTCAGGAGAATCGCTTGAACGTGGGAGGCGGAGGTTGGAGTGAGCCAAGATTGTGACATTGCACTGGGCAACAGGAGTGAAACTCCGTCTCAGAAAAAAACCCAGAAAATATAATAGTGTTATAATTTACAAAACCACCCATTAACATCTACATTATATGTACTAAAATATCTTTGGCTGAAAATCTGTAAGAATATATGCTGAATTATTTAGTGTTTATATCTGAATAGGTGTAATTACTAGATCAACTTCATTATGTATTTTTCTATTGCTTAAATAATTTGCTTTTAAGAGCAAATTTATTTCAGACTTGCAACCAAAAGCCATGATTCTTTAAAAAAAAAGAAAATCGGGGCTGGGCGCAGTGGCTCACGCCTGTAATCCCAGCACTTTGGGAGGCCGAGGTGGGCAGATCACCAGGTCAAGAGATGGAGTCCATCCTGGCCAACATGGTGAAACCCTGCCTCTACTAAAAATACAAAAATTAGCTGGGCGTGGTGGCACGTACCTGTAGTCTCAGCTACTTGGGAGGCTGAGGCAGGAGAATTGCTGGAACCCGGGAGGCAGAGGTTGCAGTGAGCCAAGATTGTGCCACTGTACTCCAGCCCGGTGACAGAGCGAGAATCATCTCAAAAAAAAAAAAAAGAAAAGAAAAGAAATCAGGCCGGATGCAGTGGCTCACGCCTGTAATCCCAACACTTTGGGAGGCTGAGGCTGGAGGATCACGAGGTCAGGAGTTCAAGACCAGCCTAACCAACATGGTGAAACCCTGTCACTATTAAAAATACAAAAATTAGCCAGACATGGTGGCACACACCTGTAATCCCAGCTACTCCGAAGGCTGAAGCAGGAGAATCACTTGAACCTGGGAGGAAGAGGTTGCAGTGAGCCAAGATCACGCCACTGCACTCCAGCCTGGGTGACAGAGTGAGACTGTGTCTCAGGAAAAAAAAAAAAAAAAGAAAAGAAGAAAATTTTCTTTTTTCTTTTTTTTTCCTGAGCTGGAGTCTCACTCTCCACCAGGCTGGAGTGCAGTGGTGCAATTTCAGCTCACTGCCATTTCCACCTCCAGAATTTATGCGATTCTCCTGCCTTTGCCTCCTAAGTAGCTGAGATTACAGGTGTGAGCTACCATAACCGGCTAATTTTTGTATTTTTAGCAGAGATGGGGTTTCACCATATTTGGCCAGGATGGTCTTGAACTCCTGACCTCAAGTGATCCGCCTGCCTCAGTCTCCCAAAGTGCTGGGATTGCAGGTGTGAGCCACTGCGTACAGCCTTTCTTTGGTTTCTTGGTGACTGTGGGTTTTACTACCTTCTGCCCTAGGTCTTCACCTCAACTTGAATATTGACCTATTGGATGTAGGAAACAAGTCGTATTTCCATTAATGGTTAATTTCCAAAAGCAAATTAAACAGTGAAAACCAGACACCAATCTCCTTTTTTTCTCTCATCTCTTACTTCCTTTCTTCAGTCCCCAGCTTGATGCTTTCAACATGAGATGCTTCAAGCCTATGTGCAACTCAAAATCTTCCCTCTCGCAGATCCCAGACCTCAAGTCAGGCATCTTTCCTCAGCCTCTCAGTAACCCTGCAGTCATACTTAACATCTCCTAAACTGGGGAAGGCCCTGTAGATTCCATCAGTGCTGCCCACACAGCCATCACACACGTGTTAACTGCCACCAAGGCCCTGAACAATTCCTATGCTCATTAGATCAGTAAAACTGGTTCCATTATCTACTCAAGATTATCCTTTCGGCAGGTGGAGGGTGGTATCTACCACATCAGATTTCTCATCAGGATAACAGAAATATAAACTACCCCCATGCTTTGTAGCTGAACTTAATCCAAAGCAAAGAGAAGCCAGATATTTTTTCCAAAATTTCTAGGCTCTGAATTACTATTTAATATTTCCTCAAATTTATTGGAGCTTCATTATCTGCCCTTTGTAAGAACCAATAATTTTATTAAAATGTTAGTGACACACCATCTTAAAAAAAAAAAAAGGCCAAGCGCAGTGGCTCACACCTGTAATCCCAGCACTTTGAGAGGCAGAGGCAGGCAGATCACTTGAGGTCAGGAATCTCACTCTGTTGCCCAGGCTGGAGTGCAGTGGTGTGATCTTAGCTCACTGCAACCTCTTGCAACAAATTTTTGTATTTTTAGTAGAGATGGTGTTTCGCCATGTTGGCCACGCTGGTCTTGAACTCCTGACCTCACATGATCCACCCAGTTCAGCCTCCCAAAGTGCTGGGATTATAGGACTGAGCCACCTCGCCCAGCCACTTACTCAATTCTATCCATTTTTTGAGGCAGGGGACTCACTGTTGCCCAGGCTGGAGTGAGTCCTCCAGGGCTCAAGCGATCTTCCTTCCTCAGCCTCCCAAGTAGCTGGGACTACAGGCATGGGCCACCACATTCAGCTTTTTCTATCTATTTCTAAGATAGCAGTGTTCTCAGCTAATTTACTCCCCCGCCCCAACTAAAAACGTAACAAAGATTTATGTTTAAGCTGTATTTTTACTGATTGAAACACTAGGAGAAATCAGGCCAAAGTCAACTGAAGGAAAAATGGTTGTTTTATTCATTAGTACTTAAACCAGCCGAAGTAGTACTGATGCCATTATAATGCACTAAACACAAGACCTCTTTCCACAAATATTAGTCATAACCAACAAAATACGGGCTATAGTAAAACGGAGCCAAAAAGGGTTGAGGAAATCAGTGAAGTATGTAACAACTTAAAGCTTCACCCTTCACCTCAATAGAGTTTTTATTTTATTTTGACATGGAGTCTGGCTCTGTCATCCAGGCTGGATTGCTGTGGCACCATCTCCGCTCAGCCTCCCGAGTAGCTGGGATTACAGGCGCCTGCCACCATGCCCAGCTAATTTTTGTATTTTAGTAGAGACGGGATTTCACCATGTTGGCCAGACTGGTCTTGAATTCCTAACCTGTGGTGATCTGCCTACCTTGGCCTCCCAAAGTGCTGCCATTACAGGTGTGAGCCACCACACCCAGCCTCAATAGAGTTTTTAAAAAAATAAACAAAGCCTCCCAATCCCAAACAATAGGAATATATCTTCATCACACCAATTTGTACTTTTATTTCCTTTTCTTTTTCTTTTTCTTTTTTTTTTTTTGAGACAGAGTCTCACTCTGTCGCCCAGGCTGGAGTGCAGTGGCGCGATCTTGGCTCACTGCAACCTCCGCCTCCCGAGTAGCTGGCACTACAGGCGCCCACCACCATGCCCAGCTAACTTTTTTGTATTTTTTAGTAGAGACAGGTTTTCACCGTGTTAGCCAGGATGGTCTCGATCTCCTGACCTCGTGATCCGCCCGCCTTGGTCTCCCAAAGTGCTGGGATTACAGATGTAAGCCACCGCGCCCAGCTTATTTCTCATTCTTGAGGTTAGATTCTAAACCCTAAAGATATCCAAACTAGTATTACATCTACTTATCTATAGCCAGAGACAGCTTCTATCAAGTTGTCTTTAGCAGCCAAGGTTATTAAAATATCTTTTCTCAGGAAAGATCCAATAGGAAAAAAGAAAGAAACCTCTCTGATTAGGCTCCAACCATACCCCACCCTCCATGAGATTGACTGGATAGGCATCATGGAAACCAGAACACGTAGTTTCCATACAAGAAAAATCCTATGAGGGATGGGAGGAGGGGAGAGGAAGGATTCAGCCAGTGTCCAGACTGAAACTGAGTAACATCAATTTCACTCATCTTCACACGTCTTCAGGTTGCATGTTCATGGAGTAGTTTAGGAATAAATCCATGGTTTGTGGAGTATTAAAATACCTAGTGGTCTGCTGTATTACATTAAGGCCTTCCCCAGCAGCTTCCAAGGCAGCCTCCAAGTCACTGGCAGGAGAATTTGGCTGGAACTGCATGCAGGACTGCAGAGATTCCTCTCCACAGTTATAGAAGGGACTGTTCCAGGCCTGATTGTTCCAGGATTGGGTGCACCAGGTCTGAGTGTTCCAGGAGTGGTTGCTCCAGGACTGGATGTTCTGGGTCTGGTTGCTCCAGGTTGAATTGTTCCAGGTCTGGTTGCTCCACATTGGAAGGTTCCCAGTCGGGTTCACCAGGCATCCCTGGTGGTAGGAAGAGTAGAGGCTGGGGTAGGTAGGTGCTGAGGCCTTCTCAAAGAGAAGGAGAGATTAACAGAAAGGGTACAAGGACAACCAGAACTGTCTGTGACTGGAGTTGTGTGTTTCAGGGATGGACAAGATTGAAAGATCACTGAAAGGAAAGAACAGAATGAAGTTTCCTGTTACCTGCGTCACACCATTGCTATTCTTCAGCCAGTTGTTTTTCTGCCACCTCTTAGATTTCATTCTCTGGTTCTGGAACCAGGTCTTCACCTGCAGGAAAAAATGACAGAAATTATAAAATATTAATAATACGGATGTACTTTGAATGAAAGAATACTACTAACTTTTATTCCTGGCCAGGCACCATGTCTCACACCTGTAATCCCAACACTTCGGGAAGCCAAGGTGGGCGAATTGCTTAAGCCCAGGAGTTCGCGCCAGCCTCGCCAAAATGGTGAAACCCTGTCTTTACAAAAATTAAAAAAATTAGCCAGGCATACGCAGTGGCTCACGCCTGTAATCTCAGCACTTTGGGAGGCCGAGGCGGGCGGATCATGAGGTCAGGAGAGCAAGACCATCCTGGCTAACATGGTGAAACTCCGTCTCTACTAAAAATACAAAAAAAAAAAAAAAAAAAAAAAAATTAGCCGGGCGTGGCGGCGCGCGCCTGTAGTCCCAGCTACTCGGGAGGCTGAGGCAGGAGAATGGCTTGAACCCGGGAGGCGGAGCTTGCAGTGAGCCGAGATTGCGCCACTGCACTCCAGCCTGGGCGACAGAGCGAGACTCCGTCTCAAAAAAATAAAATAAAGTAACAAATTAGCCCGGCATAATGGTGTGTGCCTATGGTCCCAGCTACTCAGGCGCGGAGATGGAAGGATCGCTTGCACCTGGGAGGTGGAGGTTGCAGTCAGCCAAGATTGCACAGCTGCATTCCAGCCTGGGCAACAAAGACTGTTTTAAAAAAAATAAAAATAAAAAAGAGAAATGAACATTTTCGATACAAAATAAGGGCTAAAAACAAAAGAAGCTGGAGGCTGCTGGCAGAAAGAAAAAAAGGAAAAAGAAGAGGTAGTTTTTATTTTAATGAGAACCAGTGTAAGTTAGGAATTCTCCTAACCTGGAAAGTAGAGTTATGTAATTCTTTTTTTTTTTTTTTTTTTTTTTTTTTTGAGACGGAGTCTTGACCTTTCGCCTAGGCTGGAGTGCAGTGGCAAGATCTCGGCTCACTGCAACCTCCACCTCATGGGTTCAAGCAATTCTCCTGCCTCAGCCTCCTGAGTAGCTGGGATTACAGGCAACCACCACCACGCCCGGCAATTTTTTGTATTTTTAGTAGAGACGGGGTTTCACCATGTTGGCGAGGCTGGTCTTGAACTCCTGACCTCAGGTAATCTGCCTGCCTTGGCCTCCCAAAGTGCTGGGATTACAGGTGTGAGCTACTGCGCCCGGCCCATAATTCTTTTTGATTAAGGAAACATTGGAAAGATTTTCACAATATTGGTCTATGCAAGAAAAGAAAGTGGTTAAATTATATCACATTCACGTAATAGATATTTAATGAAAGAAAGAGGTGAAGAACCTTCCAATGTGGAGCAACCAGACCTGGAACAATTCAACCTGGAGCAACGAGACCCAGAACATCCAGTCCTGGAGCAACCACTCCTGGAACACTCAGACCTGGTGCACCCAATCCTGGAACAATCAGGCCTGGAACAGTCCCTTCTATAACTGTGGAGAGGAATCTCTGCAGTCCTGCATGCAGTTCCAGCCAAATTCTCCTGCCAGTGACTTGGAGGCTGCCTTGGAAGCTGCTGGGGAAGGCCTTAATGTAATACAGCAGACCACTAGGTATTTTAGTACTCCACAAACCATGGATTTATTCCTAAACTACTCCATGAACATGCAACCTGAAGACGTGTGAAGATGAGTGAAATTGATATTACTCAGTTTCAGTCTGGACACTGGCTGAATCCTTCCTCTCCCCTCCTCCCATCCCTCATAGGATTTTTCTTGTATGGAAACTACGTGTTCTGGTTTCCATGATGCCTATCCAGTCAATCTCATGGAGGGTGGGGTATGGTTGGAGCCTAATCAGAGAGGTTTCTTTCTTTTTTCCTATTGGATCTTTCCTGAGAAAAGACATTTTAATAACCTTGGCTGTTAAGGACAACATTGATAGAAGCTGTCTCTGGCTATAGATAAGTAGATCTAATACTAGTCTGGATATCTTTAGGGTTTAGAATCTAACCTCAAGTATAAGAAATAAAGTACAAATTGGTGTGATGAAGATCTATTCCTATTGTTTGGAATTGGGAGACTTTGTTTATTTTTTTAAAAACTCTATTGAGGCCAGGCACGGTGGCTCACGCCTGTAATCCCAGCACTTTGGTAGGCCAAGGTAGGCAGATCACCTCAGGTTAGGAGTTCAAGACCAGTCTGGCCAACATGGTGAAACCCCGTCTCTACTGAAATACAAAAATTAGCTAGGCGCGGTGGCAGGCGCCTGTAATCCCAGCTATTCGGGAGGCTGAGGCAGTGAGCCGAGATTGTGCCACGGTGAATCCAGCCTGGATAACAGAGCCAGACTCCATCTCAAAATAAAATAAAATAAAAACTCTATTGAGGTGAAGGGTGAAGGGTTAAGCCATAACATACCTCATCTTCATACTTAAATTATTTGCAAGAGGGAGTGTGCTGACACATACCACACACATCTATGTGCATCCACAGAGATCTTAGCCATGCAAATTAGTCCAATTTTTGTTCACCTTATTGCAACGACAAAATAAGCCTACCTGTTTGTAGCTGAGGTTCAGGATGTTGGAAAGTTCTTGCATCTGCTGGAGGCTGAGGTATTTCTGTCTCTGAAATCTATCATTGAGTACACACAGCTGGGTGGAAGAGAACACAGTTCTGGTCTTCTGTTTCTTGACCGGGACCTTGTCTTCCTTTTTTGTGGCACTCTTCTCTGCAGTAGTGGGTTGTTTGCCTTTGGGACTGGTGGAAGAATCATGGCTGTCCTGAATAGGCAGATCCATGGAGGAAGGAAGAGGAGAGACTGTTGGAAACAAATAAAAGGATGCTTTTCTTTAAAACTTTTTCCAAATATTAAAATATTCTGTTAAAAAAGTTGTTTTCAAAGTACTTTGATAATCCCCACAACCCCAGATCTAAGTAATAAGCACCTTCTTATTTATTTATTTATTTAGAGACAGAGTCTTGCTCTGACACCCAGGCAGGAGTGCAGTGGGGTGATCTCCGCTCATTGCAACCTCCGCTTCCCAGGTTCAAGAGATTCTCGGCGGGGGCGGTGCCTCACGCCTGTAATCCCAACACTTTGGGAGGCCCAGGCGGGTGGATCACCTGAGGTCAGGAGTTCAAGACCAGCCTGACCAACATGGAGAAACCCCGTCTCTACTAAAAATACAAAATTAGCTGGGCGTGGTGACACATGCCTGTAATCCCAGCTACTTGGGAGGCTGAGGCAGGAGAATCACTTGAACCTGGAAGGTGGAGGTTGCGGTGAGCCAAGTTCACGCCATTGCACTCTAGCCTGGGCAACAACAGCAAAACTCTGTCTCAAAAAAAAAAGAAAAAAAGATTCTCGTGCCTCAGCTTCCTGAGTAGGTGTGATTACAGGCACCCGCTACCATGCCTAGCTAATTCTTTGTATTTTTAGTAGAGACAGTGTTTCACCATGTTGAGCAGGATGGTCCTGAACTCCTGACCTCAAGTGATCTAGCCGCCTTGGCATCCAAAAATGCTGGGATTACAGGTGTGAGACACTTCGCCCGGCCATAGGCATCTTTTTTTTTTTTTTTTTTTTTTTTTCTGAGACAAAGTCCCACTCTGTTGCCCAAGCTGGAGTGCAGTGGCGCAATCTCGGCTGGTGGCAACCTCCACCTCCTGGGTTCAAGTGATTCTCCTGCCTCAGCCTCCCAAGTAGCTGGGACTACAGGCTCGCGCCACCATGTCCAGCTAATTTGCTTGTATTTTTAGTAGAGAGAGGATTTCACTGTGTTGGCCTGGCTGGTCTTGAACTCCTGACCTCTGGTGATCTGCCTGCTTAGGCCTCTCGAAGTGCTGGGATTACAGGTGTGAGCCACTGCCCCCGGCCCATGATAAGCATCTTCTTTTTTTTTCTTTTTGAGACAGAAGTCTCGCTCTGTCGCCCAGACTGGAGTGAAGTGGTGCAATCTCAGCTCACTGACCTCCACCTCCCGGGTTCAAGCAATTCTCCTGTCTCAGCCTCCCGAGTAGCTAGGAGTATAGGGGCATGCCGCCACGCCCAGCTAATTTTTTGTATTTTAGTAGAGATGGGGGTTTCACCGTGTTGCCCAGGCTGGTCTCGAACTCCTGAACTCTGGCAATCCGCTCGCCTCGGCCTCCCAAAGTGCTGGGATTACAGGCGTGAGCCACCACGCCCGGCCCGAGACTGTGTCTTAAAAAATAAAAAATAAAGCCAGCAACTCACTGCCCAGCTCTCAATGCTAGAACCAGCAGGATATGTGAATTTTGATAGGCTTCTGTTTCAGTCCAAGATTTCCCTTTACTAGCTCTCTGACCTCATCTCCAAAATTATTCCTTCGTTTATTAAAATGAGGTAACCAATTAAAATGGTCCAGCATAGGGCCTGGCATATACTGATTTTGTAACTAAAGTTGGTTCATTTTTAAATTTTTGAAAACTACTGAAAAATTGATTTTCCAAAGAGTGATAGTGGCTTTATGAGTATCCTGAGTATCCCCCACCCCTTGCAGCTACCAGTCAGAAGCGTAAGTACTAGCACAGGTTTTGAAGCCAAACTGGATTTCTAGCTACGTTCTGTTTGACTGTCAGTAGATTAAACTTTCTGGAATTATCTTTACCATAAGGTTTCATCAACACTTCCCAGGACTGATGAGAAGTAGACATAGGAGGTGCTCCCAAACTCAGAGCTGCCCAGTAACATCCACAAACCCAGAGAATGGAGAAGAGACAGCCGTTACTGCCATAGAAAGAAGGTAATTACATAAATTATATATTAATTACAGAAATCTCACCATGATTTGCCATGCCATTTTTGGCAAAACAAAAACATCATGCTTATCCCTGAGCTATGATGTTAGGTCTTCCGGTTAATTAGCAATAAATCTGCTATAGCTGTGTGTCCAGTGCTATGTGAAGATGTACGCATCACCTTCATTTAACTATAATAATACATTTTTTTTTTTTTTGAGACGGAATCTCGCTCTGTCACCCAGGCTGGAGTGCAGTGGCGCGATCTCGGCTCACTGCAAGCTCCGCCTCCCAGGTTCACATGCCATTCTCCTGCCTCAGCCTCCCAAGTAACTGGGACTACAGGTGCCCTCCACCACGCCCAGCTAATTTTTTGTATTTTTAGTAGAGATGGGGTTTCACCGTGTTAGCCAGGATGGTCTCGATCTCCTGACCTCGTGATCCGCCCACCTCGGCCTCCCAAAGTGCTGGGATTACAGGCGTAAGCCACCACGCCCGGCCAATGATACATTTTTGTTTCCACCATGCCTAAGCCCATAGGTTCTCAAATTTACTGCATACTGTTCAACTGCCGAATTCTGTGTCCTTCAACTCAGTGCACACTCCTGAGACCTGGGATATAGTTCAAAGGGCAGGTGCCACCAAGTTACAATTGAAACAGGGGTTTTTTCAGAGGATTAGGTGATATTAACACTTGCTTATAGTAATGGGGTATTATTGCTCAAGAGTGAAATGATCCCTTAACCCTCTCTCCTTCCCTTTTCTCTTAAGGAACTTGGCCTTTCTTTCAAGGATAAATTTCTTTCTTACCAGTCTCTGTGTGAGGCATCTCAGCAGAAGACATTTGCAAGGATGGATGGTTTTCTTCAGGCCCACAAATCACAGGTATAGGTGACCAGTCTTTACAGTCAGATGCTTTGGAGCAAGGCAGGCTTTATGGACAAGCTGGATCCACACTCATGTCATTATTGGAGAAGAGTGGGAAAAATTTAAGAGCTGGACTGGAAAAAAGGCTAAGATGGCTTTAAGACTTTTTTCTGGAAGATCTTAGAGAAATATGACCTCCAGCAGCAAAAGTATCAAGAAGTTGTGATGAAGTGAGTCGCCTCCACAATAACAGGAGGAAACCAGCTCAGTCCAGAAAAATGCTAAAGTCCTGGAGTCTTTAGATTTATAATGAAGGCTCTATCACCCTTAGACCCACCCCTCCTGGGGGGGACACCCCCCCACCCTTGTGAATTCTCAGTTAATCCCGTCTACCAGTCTCACCAAGGCCATTGTAATGCAAAAGTAGCTGCAGAGTAACCCAGACTAGGTGGGGAACTAGAAAACCGAGCAACAGAACCTGAAGACAAACCCAGCAACAAATACTTCTAGGTTCACCACGTTTCCAACTTTTAAATCAGGAATGATGATATTGTCATGTCTTTCAACATTACCCCATGCCCATCTTGTGTGTTTGGGTTTGTTTGTTTGTTTGAGGTGAGAGGGAGGTATGTTTTCCAAAGGAATAAAGTTTTTAGAGTTGGGTTCCAGCACTAACATTTATGGACATAAATAGTCTAAAGTAGCTGGGTGCTGTCGTTCACGCCTGTAATCCCAGCACTTTGGGAGGCCAAGGCGGGCGGATCACGAGGTCAGGAGATGGAGACCATCCTGGCTAACACGATGAAACCCCGTCTCTACTAAAAATACAAAAAATTAGCTGGGTGTGGTAGCACGGACCTGTAGTCCCAGCTACTCAGGAGGCTGAGGCAGGAAGATTGCTTGAACCCGGGAGGCAGAGGTTGCAGTGAGCTGAGATCATGCCACTGCACTCTAGCCTGGGGGACAGAGTGAGACTCCATCTCAAAAAAAAAAAAAAAAAAAGTCTAAAGTTTTCCATTTTCCTTTCTATTCCCAAACCTAACATTCAAGAAACCTGGCCAGGTGCGAAGGTTCACGCCTATAATCCCAGCACTTTGGGAGGCCGAGGTGGGCGAATAACTCTGAGGTCAGGAGTTCGAGATCAGCCTGGCCAACATGGTGAAACCCCGTCTCTACTAAAATATACAAAAAAATTAACCGGGCTGTAGTGGCACACGCCTGTAATCCCAGCTACTCGGCGGGGCTGAGGCAGGAAAGTCGCTTGAACCCAGGAGGCAGAGGTTGCAGTGAGCCGAGATTGTGCCACTGCACTCCAGTCTGGGTGACAGTGAGACCCTGTCTCGAAAAAAACAAAAAAAAAAGAAATAAAAGTAAGATTTCTTTCTCTTTTCCAATTTCCCAAACAGAAAGTAAACTCTTAGCAAATCGCAATTACGTAATTTTTGAAGACACAACTCTGACTCATTCTCCTCTGCACTCTGCTCCTGGGTCTGCACTGGGAGCAGCTGGCTTTGCTCCCACACAACCTGACTTTTGTTCACAATGCAAAGACTCCAACTGTTGAGAGTAGAAGTACTCCTGGGTGTGAAACAAGGAGATGAAATGCGGCATTTCTTTTTTTCTTCTCAGACCTCCACTCTGGAGAAGAGTCAGAATGGGGGCGTCGGGGAGGAGGTAAGTGGAACTAGATAGATCATGCTTCAAGGCAGGTAGTCCATGTCGAGGATGATTTCTTTAAAAAAGGGAAAAACTTGCCCTCCTGTCTCTCTTAATCAGCACAGTGTGTTAAGTGGGGGCTGTCAAGGCCACCAAGACTCACCGAGGCTGAGCTTGCCCGCAGCTGTCCAAAGGGCAGGTACCAGAAGCTTTGTTCTTTGCTGAAGGGGGACTTTGCATAAAAGCCTGAGCTGAATTCCCCCATCCCCCGCTCCCTGTCCCATTGCGTCTAGGGTAAGAGCCTCCGGAGTGAAAGACCAAAGGGAAGGGGGTTGGTGGCTGGAAGGCCAACTTACTATGTTCTTTGCCAAGGAAAGCAATTTGAATAAAGTTGAGGTTTAGGAACCTGTCTGACTTCAGATTTGTTGGACTAGGCTGGCATAAGGGCGTGTTAAAATGAGCTAACAATTTAGTAGAGTTGATCAAAATAAACCAAAAAAACAATTATAATGTTGTGTGATAAGTACTGAAAAAAGTGCACTGGATGCTAAGAGAGTACAAATAATGGAGGATGGGGTCGGGAAGGGATGGGCAGGGAAGACTGGACGATCTTCAGTGATCTGAGAAGGAAAAATGTGGAGAGAAGGGAATTGCAGAAAATTAACAGTTTGGGTAAAGGCATGAGAGAAAATGATGGGTTCCAATACTGTTGTTTAGCAGGACTCAAAGGCAGGGGTGCAACAGGAGGGAGTTGTGGCAGAGAACACGGCAACTAACACTTAGTGAGCAGATTACTATCAGAGCTGTGTGAACCAGAACGACTCCATCTTCAATAGGAGCTGGGTAAAATGAGGCTGAAACCTACTGGGCTGCATTCCCAGATGGTTAAGATGTTCTAAGTCATAGGATGAGATAGGAGGTCAGCACAAAATACAGGTCATAAAGACCTTGCTGATAAAACAGGTTGCAGTAAAGGAGCCAGCCAAAACCTACCAAAACCAAAATGGTGGCGAGAGTGACCTCTGGTAGTCCTCACTGCTACACTCCCATCAGCGCCATGACAGTTTAGGAATGCCAAGGCAACCTGGGGAAGTTACCCTATATGCTCCGAAAAGGGGAGGAATGAATAATCCACCCGTTGTTTAGCATATCATCAAGTAATAACCATAAAAATGGGCAACCAGACGACCAGGCTCATGCCTGTAATCCCAGCACTTTGGGAGGCCAAGGCGGGTGGATCACCTGAGGTCAGGAGTTCGAGACCAGCCTGACCAATATAATGGAACCCTGTCTCTACTAAAAATACAAAAATTAGCCGGGCGTGGTGGCGTATACCTGTAATCCCACCTACTTGGGAGGCTGAAGCAGGAGAATCGCTTGAACCTGGGAGGCAGAGGTTGCAGTGAGCCGAGATTGCACCCCTGCACTCCAGCCTGGGCAACAAGAGCAAAACTCCATCTCAAAAAAAAAAGGGGGAACCAGGTCAGGCACGGTGGCTCACGCCTGTAATCCCAGCACTTTGGGAGGCCGAGGTGGTGTATCACCTGAGGTCAGGAGTTCGAGAACAGCCTGACCAACATGGAGAAACCCGTCTCTACTAAAAATACAAAATTAGCCGGGCGTGATGGTGCATGCCTGTAATCTCTCAGCTACTTGAGAGGCTGAGTCAGGAGAATTGCTTGAATCCGGGAGGCAGAGGTTGGAGTGAGCTGAGATCACACCATTGCACCCCAGCCTAGACAACAAGAGCGAAACTCAGTCTTAAAAAAAAAAAAAAAAAGGGCAACCAGCAGCCCTCTGGGCTACTCTGTCTATGGAGTAGCCTTTCTTTTATTCCTTTACTTTCTTAATAAAGTTGCTTTCACTTTGCCTTGTGGACTTGCCCTGAATTATTTCTTGTGCTCAAGAACCCTCCTGGGGTCTGGATCAGGACCCTTTTCCTGTAACATTAATATGCATGAGGCACTGTCTTGTCCATATTGTAGCCATCTTAATTATATCTAGCCCAAGGCCTGATACCTGTGTATGTATATATTTGATCATCTTGGTTTATATAGAGATGGAGTGTCAAATTGGTCATTGGAAATTAGAGTCCAGAGACCTGAGAAGTAAGTAGGTGACCATAGGTAGAAAAGGACTGTAAGCTTTAAATTAAATCTCTTCTAATTAGTCTATATTCTCCTGATATTCCTTTTTTCTTTTTTTTTTTTTTTTTTGAGACGGAGTCTTGCTCTGTTGCCCAGGCTAGAGTGCAGTGGCACGATCTCAGCTCACTGCAACCTCTACCTCCCAGGTTCAAGTGATTCTCCTGCCTCAGCCTCCGGAGCAGCTGAGACTACAGGCATGCACCACCACGCCTGGCTAATTTTTGTATTTTTAGTAGAGACGGGGTTTCACCATGTTGGCCAGGATGGTCTCGATCTCTTGACCTTGTGATCTGCCAACCTCGGCCTCCCAAAGTGCTAGGATTACAGGTGTGAGCCACTGCACCCGGCCAGTCCAAAATCTTAAAGACATCTTTGTCAACTATGCCTTCAAAATATATCTAGAATTCAATGGCATCTTTCTTGTAATCGTATTGCTTTTGCATGCTTCTGTTTTCCACCATTGAGTGCGTTTTTGATCAGCACATGAACAAGGGCTTGGTGAACCAGCAGAGTGTCAAAAAATGATTATGCTTTTTAAAAACGTGCATTTCTTTATTTCTTTCATTACTGCTTGTGTCACAGGACTGCTGGGGTGGAGATTACCTGTTTCTCTTGCCAAAAGGGTAGGTTCACATTTGGCATGTGTGCCAACCGAAGCTGCAGTTGACCTTTCCTAAGTGCTATAATGAAGAATCAAATGGAGGATAGGGAGGGGGACACTGCATTAAGGAGGTAATGTTAAAGCTAGGTAGATTTCTGGAGGAAGAACCAGAGAGACAACATTGGTGGCAAAAGCCCTGATTCTGGAGATTTCCTGCCTTCTTCCTGGATCAATGAGGGGCCAACTTCATGGTGCTGTGGGAGAACCCAAGGAGGCAAAGACAGACTGTAAAGTACAGGGCCAGAGGAAGGATTCTGTGATTCAGCAGTTTGACTCGTGACTCTGAATGAGAGAAAGCCAAAGGAAGATTTTGAGCTAAGGAGTATCTTGATACGACCGTCTTTAAAAAACAACAAAAAAATCATTCTGACGAATACATTGGGACTAGATTATAGGAAGGCATGGGTGCCAACAGAGATGACAGTTGGGAGACTTCTTGAATAAATCAAGTGATAGGATTTGCATAAGGCAATAGGTAGACTTGGAGATGATTAGAAAAGGTCAAGTGCAGCTTGGATTGACATACATGCCAAATGTGAACCTACCCTTTGGCCAGGCAACACAGGTAACATACATTCTATCTATCTATCTAACTATCTATCTATCTATCTATCTATCTATCTATCTATCTATCTATCTATCTATCTGATTTATCTACCTACTATCACTAGAATATAAGCTCTGTGAGGGCAATTACTTTCATTTTTCACCTGTTTAATTTATTGTCTTGTCTGCAACCCTAGAAGAGTATGAATGGTTCATTCACCAGCATCCTCAGCACCACCTGGGAGCTTGTTAGAGATGCTAACTGATGGGCTTCACCACTGAATAGGAATCTTTGGTGGTAGGGATCAGGAATCTGTTTTAAAATTCTCCCTGTGATTTTTTTTTTTCATGACAGCCTACCATTGAAACCAGGTGATTTTTCTGAATGCTATTGTTTAAGAACTACTCTTCTAGAGAGAACCAGGCAAAAAGTAGGAAATCATTATTTGGCCGGGCGCGGTGGCTCATGCCTGTAATCCCAGCACTTTGGGAGGCTGAGGTTGGTGGATCACCAGAGGTCAGGAGTTGGAGACCAGCCTGGCCAACATGGTGAAACCCCATCTCTACTAAAAATACAAAAATTAGCCGGGCGTGGTGGTGGGTGCCTGTAATCCCAGCTACTCAGGAGGCTGAGGCAGGAGAATTGCTTGAACCTGGGAGGCGGAGGTTGCAGTGAGCCGAGATCGCGCCATTGCACTCCAGCCTGGGCTACAGAGCAAGACTCAGTCTCAAAAAAAAAAAAAAAAAGAAAATCATTATTTGTTGATGAAGGAATGGGCATAAATGAGAACTAGGGTTTTGTAAACAAATAGAGGGTAGGAGTCATTTCCTTACATTTAAATATTGAACTGCACATCAATGTGATATACAGAATAACTCTTGAAAATAACAGTGGTCATTGCCTTAGGTCCCCTACACTGACAATTCAATGAGCCTTGAACAATGAGTCTTTAATTCACAACTAACAGTCTTCCTTCCTTCCTCTGGGAGGTAGAGTTACTCTCCAATTACCAATGATGGAAAGATGAACACCATAACTACTGAAACTACTTAGTTTAGTTAGAGATTACAAATGGAATTATCAGCATATTCTTCACTATTTTGCCTATTTTACCCATAAAAACACAAAAAGAACCTTTTTATTATGAAAAATTTTAGCTAGCTGCAGTACTTCACGCACTCCCAGCAATTTGGGAGACTAAAGCAAGAGGACTGCTTTGAGCCCAGGTATTTGAGACCAGCCTGGGCAACAAAGAAAAACTCTGTCTCAAAATAAATAAATAAATAAATAAATAAATAAATAAATAAATAAATAAATTTTAAAAATTTAATTAGCTGGGCGAGGTGGCACATGCCTGTGGTCCCAGCTACTTGGGAGGCTGAGGTGGGAGGATCCTTTGAGCCCAGAAGGTCAAGGCTTCAGTGAGCCATGATTGCATCACTGCACTCCAGCCTCAGGGACAGCCTGACCTTGTCTCAAAAAAAAAAAAAAAAAAAAAAAAAAAAAAGCTGTCCGGGCGTGGTGGTACATGCCTGTAATCCCAGCTACTCAGGAGGCTGAGGCAGAGAACTGCTTGAACCTGGGAGGTGGGTGTTGCAGTGAGCTGAGATCGCACCACTGCACTCCAGCCTGAGCGACAGAGTGAGACTCCATCTCAAAAAAAAAAAAGAAGGAAAGAAAAGAAAAATTTCAAACTTACATAGTGAACAATACAATAAATCTTCACATATGTATCTATGAACCAGTTTAATTAACTTGCTCATGGCTGTTTCATCAATGACCTTACCATGAGAAGAAATTTTGAAGTGGAATAAAAGATTCAACTAACAGAAAAATATATGAGACACCATTGACTCCTTTTTCCACGATGAGCATCACTTATTGGGCTGGGCATCACACGAGACCTACTGAATAAGAATCTCGTAGGTGGGCCCAGAAATCTGTCCTTTATGAATCTCTGATTTTTGTTTGTTTGTTTGTCTGTTTACTTTTCTTTTTTCACTCCCCATGATATAGAGCTTGAAAGAATCTCTGATTTTTGTATATACTAAATTAGAGAAGCACTGCTCAGACTACGGTGCTTGGCAGCATGAAAAAAAAAAAACTTACCAATTTAACAAATTAATGAATCATTTCCAATAGCTAAAACATTAACATTCAGAAAATTGGAGAGTTACAAGAACTTTTTTTTTTGAGACGAAGTTTCGCTCTTGTTGCCCAGGCTGGAGTGCCATGGCATTATCTCGGCTCACTGCAACCTCCCTCTCCTGGATTCAAGCGATTCTCCCGCCTCAGCGTCCCGAGTAGCTGGGACTACTGGCGCCTGCCACCACCCCTGGCTAATTTGTGTATTTTTAGTAGAGATGGGGTTTTGCCATGTTGGCCAGGCTGGTTTCAAATGCCTGACCTCGTGATCTGCCCGCCTCGGCCTCCCGAAATGCTGTACAGGCGTGAGCCACCACACCTGGCTCTTTTTAGTTATTATTTTTTCTTTCCTATGGTGCTGGAAAAAAAAATTTCTGACTCATGGTTCAGCTTTGGATTTGTCAGATTGTACTCTAACTAAAGGCTTTTAATATTCAAGGACTGAATTACTATGTATACCAAATTCTAAGGTCTACTGGAGAGTTCAAAAGACTAAACCATCAAACTGCATTGTCAAAAATAGTCCTGATCGTTTTTTGGTTCCTGAAAAATATGAGGAAAAAAAAAATAGTCCTGACCTTGAACAATATTGTTGCCAGGGTATTTATGACTTCCTCTTTCCCACCCTACCCTCAGGGGATCTTTGACCCAATGTAAAAAGGGATTTATTTTTAACTCCTAGTAAGTCTAGCCCGCAGGGAGAGGAGAAACATCTAAGAATGCCTTCCAAAGTTTAACAAACAAAAATAGAACCTTGCTCTGGAACAGCATATTAACAGCCCAGAAGAGAATCGCCTTCTCAATTTCTCAGTAGGTGTTAGAGAAGGAGGAAGAACATGTGGGCAGAGTTGAGGAAGGTGAAGTGATGATGATGTTGAGAGAGAAGTCCAGCACCTATGACAATGCTATTATCTCGACCTTAGCTGTTGCTCCAGTTAGCTGATGTGGGATAAAATGAAGCTGTTGACCGTAATAATACAGCAACCAAATAGTGAATTATCTACGTAGTGAGTTATCCCAATTGATTGTTCAGGGTCAGTTACAGATCAAACTCCTTGTTCCACTCTTCCCCATCCCCCCACTACGGCACTTCACTAGTATTAAAAGCTTTTTACAAAAATAAATAAATATTATACTTAAAATATTGCAGGACATCAGAGTATTTCAGTTATTGCAAAGGGGTTGGAGGAAGAAGGAGCAAGAGGTCCCAGCCTCCAGGAGTAAATAAGTTTAATTATGTGAAAGAAAGAGTTCAAACTTATAGCACATAGTGTGATGTTGAAAAGGAAATTCAGGCTGGGCGCGGTGGCTCATGCCTGTAATCCCAGCACTTTGGGAGGCTGAGGCGGGCAGATCACGAGGTCAGATCAAGACCATCCTGGCTAACATGGTGAAACCCCGTTTCTACTAAAAATACAAAAAATTAGCCAGTTGTGGTGGCAGGCGCCTGTAGTCCCAGCTACTTGGGAGGCTGAGGCAGGAGAATGGCGTGAACCCGGGAAGCAGAGCTTGCAGTGAGCCGAGATTGTGCCACTGCACTCCAGCCTGGGCGACAGACCAAGGCTCCGCCTCAAACAAAAAAAAAGAAAGAAAGAAAGAAAAGTTAATTCAGATTTAAGAAAGCATTTGTGGGCCAGGCGTGGTGGCTCATGCCTGTAATCCCAGCAGTTTGGGAGGCCAAGGCAGGTAGAGCATGAGGTCAAGAGATCGAGACCATCTTGGCCAACATGGTGAAACCTTGTCTCTACTAAAAACACAAAAAATTAGCCCGGCGTGGTGGTGGGCGCCTGTAATCCCAACTACTCGGGAGACTGAGGCAGGAGAATGGCATGAACCTGGGAAGCAGAGGCTGTGAGCCGAGACTGCACTCCAGCCTGGTGACAGAGAGAGACCCCGTCTCAAAAAAAAAAAAAAAAAAAAAAAGAAAAGAAAAAGAAAAAGAAAAAGAGGCCGGGCGTGGTGGCTCATGCCTGTAATCTCAGCACTTTGGGAGGCCGAGGCAGGCGGATCATGAGGTCAGGAGATCAAGACCATCCTGGCTAACATGGTGAAACCCTGTCCCTACTAAAAATACAAAAAATCAGCCATGCATGGTGGCGGGCGCCTGTAATCCCAGCTACTCAGGAGACTGAGGCAAGAGAATGGCGTGAACCCAGGAGGCTGAGTTGCAGTGAGCCAAGATCACGCCCCTGCACTCCACCCTGGGAGACAAAGCAAGACTCCATCTCAAAAAAAAAAAAAAAAAAAAAAGAAAGAAAGAAAAAGAAAGCATTTGTGGTTTTGTTTGGTTTTGGATTGTTTTTTGAGACTGAGACTTGCTTTTGTCACCCAGACTGGAGTGCAATGGCATGATCTTGGCTCACTGCAACCTCTGACTTCTGGGTTCCAGCGATTCTCCCAACTCAGCCTACGGAGTAGCTGAGATTACAGGTGCCCACCACCATGTCCAGCTAATTTTTGTATTTTTAGTAGAGACAGGGTTTCACCATGTTGGCCAGGATGGTCTTGAACTCCTGACCTTGTGATCCGCCCACCTTGGCCTCCCGAAGTCCTGGGATTACAGGCACGAGCCACCACACCTAGCCAGGAGAGCATTTAAGAGTCTTAGTCCTTTTTTTTTTTTAAACTTGAATTGAGAAACAACTTCCAAGTGGTGAACAAGTCTCAAGCAAATTTTTTTGAGACAGCCTCACTCATCACCCAGGCTGGACTACAGTGGCCAGATCTCAGCTCACTGCAGCCTCTGCCTCCTGGGTTCAAGTGATTCTCCAGCCTCAGCTTCCCACGTAGCTGGGATTACAGGCGTGCGCCACTATGCTGGACTAACTTTCGTATTTTTAGTAGAGATGAGGTTTAGCCATGTTGACCAGGCTGGTCTTTAACCCCTGAGCTCAAGTGATCCACGTGCCTGCCTCAGCCTCCCAGAGTGCTGAGATCACAAGTGTGAGCCACTGCCGACGCTAGCCTCAAATAAATATCTTTTATTTTTCTTTGAGAGGTAAGTTTCGCTCCGTTGCCCAGGCTGGAGTGGAGGGGCGCTGTGTCAGGAATTGGGGGATTCTTGGTCTCACTGACTTCAAGAATGAAGCCATGGACCCTCGCGGTTAGTGTTACAGCTCTTAAATGTGGCGCATCTGGAGTTTGTTCCTTCTGATGTTCAGATGTGTTTGGACTTTTTTCCTTCTGGTGGGTTGGTGGTCTCCCTGACTCAGGAGTGAACCTGCAGACCTTCACGGTGAGTGTTACAGCTCTCTTAAGGCAACCCGTCTGGAATCGTTCGTTTCTCCCGGTGGGCTTCTGGTCTTACCGGCTTCAAAAGTAAAGCTACAGACTTTCACGGTGAGTGTTACAGCTCATAAAAGCAGTGCAGACCCAAAAACTGAGCAGCAACAAGACTTATTGCAAAGAAAAAAAGAACAAAGCCTCCAAGTGTAGAAAGGGAGGCCAACATGTTACCACTGCTGGCCCGGGCAGCCTGCTTTTATTCTCTTATCTGGCCCCACCCACATCCTGCTGATTGGTAGAGCCCAGTGGTCTGTTTTGACAGGGCGCTGATTGGTGCGTTTACAATCCCTGAGCTAGACACAAAAGTTATCCATGTCCCCATCACAGTAGCTAGATAGAGAGTGTCAATTGATGCATTCACAAACCCTGAGCTAGACACAGGGTGCTGATTGGTGTGTTTACAAACCTTGAGCTAGATACAGAGTGCCGATTGGTGTATTTACAATCCTTTAGCTAGACATAAAGGTTCTCCAAGTTCCAACTAGACTCAGGAGCCCAGCTGGCTTCACACAGTGGATCTTGCACTGGGGCTGGAGGTGGAGCTGTCTGCCAGTCCCGCACCCTGCGCCCACACTCCTCAGCCCTTGGGTGGTCGATGGGACTGGGCGCGTGGAGCAGGAGGCCGCGCTTGTCGGGGAGGCTCAGGAGCCCACGGAGGTGGAGCGGGGAGGCTCAGGCATGGCGGGCTGCAGGTCCTGAGCCCTGCCCCATGGGAAGGCAGCTAAGGCCTGGGGAGAAATCGAGTGCAGCGCCGGTGGGCCGGCACTGCTGGGGAACCCAGCACACCCTCCGCAGCCGCTGGCCCAGGTGCTAAATCCCTCATTGCCCGGGGCCACCAGGGCCGGCCGGCCGGCCGCTCCGAGTGCGGGGCCCGCCGAGCCCAAACCCACCCGGAACTCGTGCTGGCCCGCAAGCACCGCGCGCAGCCGGGTTCCCGCCCGCGCCTCTCCCTCCACACCTCCCGCAAGCTGAGGGAGCTGGCTCCGGCCTAGGCCAGCCCAGGAAGGGGCTCCCATAGTGCAGCAGGGGGCTGAAGGGCTCCTCACGTGCCGCCAAAGTGGGAGCCCAGGCAGAGGAAGTGCCGAGAGCGAGCGAGGGCTGTGAGGACTGCCAGCACGCTGTCACCTCTCAGTGCGATTTCGGCTTACTGCAACCTCCGCCTCCCGGGTTCACGCCATTCTCCTGTGTCAGCCTCCTGAGTAGCTGGGACAACAGGCGCCTGCCACCACGCCAGTTAATTTTTTGTATTTTTAGTAGAGACGAGTTTCACCTTGTTGGTCAGGCTGGTCTCGAACTCTTGACCTCAGATGATCCACCCGCCTCAGCCTGGCAAAGTGCTGGGATTACAGGCGTGAGCCACCGCGCCTGGCCAATTTTTGTATTTTTAGTAGAGACAGGGTTTCAGTGTGTTGGCCAGGCTGGTCTTGAACTCCTGACCTTGTGATCCACCCGCCTCAGCCTCCCAAAGTGCAGGGATTACAAGCATGAGCCACTGCGCCCGGCCAATTTCTCTCTTTTTTTTTTTTTTTTTTTTTTTTGAGACCCAGCTAATGTTTGTATTTTTAGTAGAGACAGGGTTTCTCCATGTTGGCCAGGATGGTCTCGATCTCCTGACCTCGTGATCCATCCGCCTCAGTCTCCTAAAGTGCTGAGATTACAGGCATGGGCCACCACACCCAGCCTCAGTAGTAATCTTGATGGAATTCTGTTATCAATATTGATTAATATTGATTAATCAGTATTTTTTTTTTTTGAGACAAGAGTCTTGCTTTGTTGCCTAAGCTGGAGTGCAGTGGTGTGATCTTGGCTCACTACAACCTCCGCCTCCTGGGTTCAAGCGATTCTCCTGCCTCAGCTTTGATTTTTTGTGTGTGTTTTTGTTGTTGTTGTTGTTTCTTTTTAAAATATGTATTTATTTATTTATTTTTGAGACGGAGTTTTGCTCTTGTTGCCCAGGCTAGGGTGCAATGGCGCGATCTCGGCTCACTGCAACCTCCGCCTCCAGGTTCAAGCTGTTCTCCTGCCTTAGCCTCCCAAGTAGCTGGGATTACAGGCACGCTCCACTACACCTGGCTAATTTTGTATTTTTAGTAGAGATGGGGTTTCTCCATGTTGGTCAGGCTGGCTTGAACTCCCAACCTCAGGTGATCCACCCGCCTCGGCCTCCCAAAGTGCTGGGATTATAGGTGTGAGCCATGATGCCCGGCCTGTTGTTTCTTATTTTTTTGGAGATGTCACTCTGAGGCCTAGGCTGGAGTGCAGTGGTGCCATTTCGGGTCACTGCAACCTCCGCCTTCCAGGTTCAAATGATTCTCCTGTCTCTGGCTCCCTAGTAGCTGGGATTACAGGCAGGAACCACAATGTCTGGCTAATTTTTTGTATTTTTAGTAGAGATGGGGTTTCACCATGTTGGCCAGGCTGGTCTTGAACTCTTGGGCTCAAGTGTTCCTCCTGCTTTGCCCTCCCAAAGTGTTGGGATTACAGGCATGAGCCACTGTGCCTGGCCTAAAAAACTTGTTGTTATATTTTTTTTATTTATTTTTTGAGACAGAGTTTCACTCTTGTTGCCCAGGCTGGAGTGCAGTGGCGTGATCTTGGCTCACTGCAACCTCCACCTCCAGGGTTCAAGCGATTCTCCTGCCTTAGCCTCCCAAGTAGCTAGGATTACAGGCACCTGTCAGCATGCCTGGCTAATTTTTTTGTATTTTTAGTAGAGATGTAGTTTCCCTATGTTTGGCAGGCTGGCCTTGAACTCCTGACCTCAGTTGATCCGCTCCCCTTGGCCTACCAAAGTGCTGAGATTACAGGCATAAGCCATAGCACCTGGCCTCTTTTTTTGTTGTTGAGACATGGCCTTGCTCTGTCATCCAGGCTGGGGTGCAACTTTTGTTTTTTTTTGTTGTTGTTTGTTTTTTTTTGCAGAGTTGAGGTCTTGCTAGGTTTTCCAGGCTGGTCTGGAACTCCTGGCCTCAAGCTGAGGCAGACGTTAAAATAATAATAATAATGAGTACTGCATTTATTCACTCCAAGAAAAGTAAAAGCTAAGGCCCGGAATGTGGTAAGGCAAGGGTTAAAAAGAAAAGAAGAAGTTTTCCTATGTAAGCAGCTCACTTCAAGGACAGTTATAAGATAATGCTGTCTGAAAAGCCAAGGCCAAAGGAATGGGCTTCAGACACCCCTACTTTCTAGAGTAAGGTTGAGGAAAAAAAAGAAAGACAAATTGTTTTTTTTTTTTTTTTTTTTTTTTTTTTTGAGACGGACTCTTGCTGTGTCGCCCAGGCTGGAGTGCAGTGGCAGGATCTCAGCTTACTGCAACCTCCGACTCCCTGGTTCAAGTGATTCTTCTGCCTCAGCCTCCTGAGTAGCTGGGATTACAGGCAGGTGCCAGCATGCCCAGCTAATTTTTGTATTTTTATTAGCAACAGGGTTTCACCATGTTGGCCAGGATGGTCTCAATCTCCTGACCTCGTGATCCGCCCACCTTGGCCTCCGAAAGTGCTGGGATTATCGCCCTGAGCCACCCCACCTGGCTCAATTTCCATATTAATACATTCATTTTACTTGAGAAAGATATTTCACTATGTTTTTATTTTTTTCTGGTAAAATGTTAGCAAGAGTACAAATATACACCCACAGTATATACTTTAACCATCTAAAAATCTTTAAAACTGGCTGGGCAGGGTGGCTCATGCCTGTAATCCCAGCGGTTTGGGAGGCCTAGGTGGGTAGATCTCTTGACGTTAGGAGTTCAAGACCAGCCTGGCCAACATGGTGAAACCCTGTCTCTACTAAAAATACAAAAATTCGCTAGGCATGGTGATGGGTGCCTGTAGTCCCAGCTACCCAGGAGACTGAGGCAGGAGAATCACTTGAACCCAGGGCTGGCACAGTGACTGACACCTGTGATCTCAGCACTTTGGGAGGCTGAGGCAGGCAGATTACCTGAGGTCAGGAGTTTGACACCAGCCTGGCCAACATGATGAAACCCTGTCTGTACTAAAAATACAAAACTTAGCCAGGCGTGGTGGCTGCCACCTGTAGTCCCAGCAACCTGGGAGGCTGAGGCAAGAGGATTCCTTGAACCCAGGAGGCAGAGGTTGCCGTGAGCCAAGATCACGCCATTGCACTCCAGCCTGGGCGACAAGAGTGAAACTCTGTCTCAAAAAAATAAAAAATAAAAAACAATAAGGCCGGGCATGGTGGCTCACGCCTGTAATCCCAGCACTTTTGGAGGCTGAGGCAGGCATATCACGAGCTCAGGAGTTCGAGACCAGCCTAACCAACATAGTGAAGCCCCTTCTCTACTAAAAATACAAAAATTAGCTGGGCATGATGGCATGTGCCTGTAATCCCAGCTACTTGGTAGGCTGGTGCAAGAGAATTGCTTGAACCCGGGAGGTGGAGGTTGTAGTGAACTGCACTCCAGCTTGGCCAACTAAGTGAGACTTCATCTCTAAATAAATAAATAAATAGAATTTAAAACAAAAATGTAAAACAATTTTTTTGCTGGGTTTGGTGACTCACGACTGTAATCCCACCACTTTGGGAGGCCGAGGCGGGCGGATCACCCGAGGTCAAGAATTTCAGACCAGACTGGCCAACGTGGTGAACTCCACCTCTACTAAAAATGCAAAAATTAGCTGGACGTGATGCCCTGTGCCTGTATTCCCAGCAACTCCAGAGGCTGAGACAAGATAATCTCTTGAACTTGGGAGGTGGAGGTTGCAGTAAGCCAAGATCTCACCATTGCATTCTAGCCCGGGCAACAAGGGCAAAACTCCCTCTCAAAAAAAAAAGAAAAAATTTTGTACTCTCTCTCCTAAGCCCAGGAGGTTGACGCTGCAGTGATCTGTGATCATGCTGCTGCACTCCAGCCTAGGTAACAGAGCAAGACCTTGTGTTAACAAAATTTTAAAATATTATTCAGCTTTGGCCAGACATGGTGGCTCACGCCTGTAGCCCTAGCACTTTGGGAGGCCGAGGCGGGTGGATCACCTGAGGTCAGGAGTTCAAGACCAGCCTGGCCAACATTGTGAAACCCTGTCTCTACTGAAAATACAAAAATTAGCCGAGTGGCATGCGCCTGTAATCCCAGCTCTTGGGAGGCTGAAGCTGGAGAATCATTTGAATCCGGGAGGCAGAGGTTGCAGTGAGCGGAGATTGTGCCACTGCACTGCAGCCTGGGTGACAGAGCGAGACTCCATATCAAAAAAAAAAAAAAAAGAAAAAAAATTATTCAGCTTTAAAAAACAAGATCTTGCCATTCACAGCAACATGGAGAATATCATGCTAATTGAAATAAGCCAGACAGAAAAAAAAATTATATGAACTCTCTTATATATGGGATATGGGAACAGTCAAATACGTATATTAGCCTCCTGAGTAGCTGGGACTACAGGCGTATGCCACCATACTCGCCTAATTTTTTTTTCTTTGCACCCAGAACTTTCCTGGCATCAGTGAGTTTTAAAATCTTTGACAGAGCTTAGGTCCCATTAAGTTGGCTAAGCTACTATTCATCTCTCCACAGACGTTTAGATTGTTTCCATATCTTGGCTATTGTGAATAATGCTGCAATGAATATGGGATGCAGTTATTTTTACAAGGTGCTGGTTTCATTTCCTTTGGATATATACCCAGAAGTGGAATTGCTGGATCATAGGGTAGTTCTGTTTTAATTTTTTGAGGAATCTTCCATACTGCTTTCCATAATGGCTGCACCAATTTACATTTCCACCAATGTAAACACTTTCTCTTTTCTCCACTTCAGCACCAACACTTGATTTGGGTGGCTGGGAAGTCCAAGATCAAGGCCCCAGCAAATTCACTGTCTGGGGAGGGCATGCTTCCAGGTTCACAGGTGACTGTACTCTTGCTGCGTCCTCACAAGGAGAAATCCAGGAGAGAGCTCCCTGTTGTCTCTCTTTTTTTTTTTTTTTTTTTTTTTTGAGATGGAGTTTTGCTCTGTCACCCAGGCTGGAGTGCAATGGCGCGATCTCGACTCACTGCAACCTCTGCCTCCCAGGTTCAAGCCATTCTCCTGCCTCCACCTCCCAGGTAGCTGGGACTACAGGCATGTGCCAGCATGCCTGGCTAATTTTTTTTGTATTTTTAGTAGAGATGGGTTTCACAATGCTGGCCAGGCAGGTCTCAAACTCCTGACCTCAAGTGATCTGCCCACCTCGGCCTCCCGAAGTGCTAGGATTACAGACATAAGCCACCGCACCCAGCTTGGTGTCTCTTTTTTTTTTCTGGGACGAAGTCTTGTTCTGTAGCCCAGGCTGGAGTGTAGTGGCACGATCTCAGCTCACTGCAACCTCCACCTCCTGGGTTCAAGAGAATCTCCTGCCTCAGCCTCCAGAGTACCTGGGATTACAGGCATGCGCCACTGCACCCGGCTAATTTTTTGTATTTTTAGTAGAGACGGGGTCTTTCACCATGTTGGCCAGGCTGGTCTTGAACGCCTGACCTCAGGTAATCCACCTGCTTCGGCCTTTCAAAGTGTTAGGATTACAGGCTTGAGCCACTGAGCCTGGCCCTGGTGTCTCTTTTATAAGTACACTAATCTCATTGATGAGACACCACTCTTATTACCTAATCACATTCCAAAGGCTCTATACCCTAATACCATCACACTGGGGTTTAGGATTTCAACATGTTAATATTGAGGGGGTAGAAACATTCAATTCATAGCAATAATTTTTTTTAATTTTTTTTTTTTGAAAGGGAGTCTCACTCTGTCACACAGGCTGGAGTGCAGTGGTGCAATCTTGGCTGACTGCAACCTCTGCCTCCCGGATTCATGCAATTTTCAGGCCTCATTCTCCCAAGTAGCTGGAATTGCAGGCGTGCATCACCATGCCCGGCTAATTTTTGTATTTTTAGTAGAGATGGGGTTTTGCCATGTTGGGCAGGCTGGCCTTGAACTCCTAGCCTCAGGTAATCTGCCTGCCTTGGTCTCCCAAAGAAATTATATATATATATATAAATATATAAAAATACATATATAAATATATAAATATAAATATATTTTAATATATTTATATATTATATATAATTAAATATATATATTTAATTTTAAATATAATATTTAAATATATTTAACTATTTAAATATAATATTTAAATATTTAAATTTAAATAGAATATTAAATATAATATTTAATATATAATTTATATATAAATATATATTTATATATGTATTTATATATAATTTTTATATATGTATTTATATATAATTTATATATAAATATATTTATATATAATTTATATATAAATATATTTATATATAAATTATATATAAATATATATTTATATATGTATTTATATATAATTTTTATATAAATATATATTTATATATGTATTTATATATAATTTATATATAAATACGTATTTATATATAATTTATATATAAATACGTATTTATATATTATTTATATATTTATATATTTATATATGTTTATATAGTTATATAAATATTTATATATATTTTTATATATTTTTTATATATTTATATACATATTTATATATATTTATATATATATTTATATATTTTTTTGAGATGGAATCTTGCTCTCTGGCCCAGGCTGGAGTGCAGTGGCGTGATCTCGGCTCACTGCAACCTCCACCTCCCGGGTTCAAGCAATTTTCCTGCCTCAGTCTCCGGAGTAGCTGGGATTACAGGCGCATGCCACCACGCCCGGCTAGTTTTTGTCTTTTCAGTAGAGACGGGGTTTCACCATGTTGGCCAGGCTGGTCTTGAACTCTTGATCTCATGATCCACCTGCCTCGGCCTCCCAAAGTGCTGGGATTACAGGCATGAGCCACTGCATCCTGCCTAAATATACTTTTAAAATACTGATTGCAAAGGCCAGGCTGAGATGAACATTTTAGTACCTACTTTTTGGTGAATATATGTATACATTTCTGTTGAGTGTATACCTAGGAGTGGAATTCTTGGATCGTGGGGTAGCCATATGTTCTAATAAATATTGCCAAACAATTTATCAATTTGTACCCCATTAACAAATGTGTGAGAGTTCTGAATGTTCCACATTCCCCAGGTTTGGCATTCACTTCCTTTTTTCTCCACACCCCAACTCCCATCTTTGTTTTAGTCATTCTAGTGGGCACGAATTGGTATCTCATGTAGTTTTAATGTGAAGTTCCCTGATCAACAATTCAGTTGCATGCCTTTTGACATGTTTATTGTTGACTGAGATATCCTCATTTAAGAAGTGCAGTATAGACCCTTTTAATGGCCCTTGTTTGCTATTGACTTGTCAACCCTGTACTGAAGGCCATGCTGTCGTGGTAAGGCTCCAGGTAATTCCAAGGTAAGCCTTATGCTTGGGCTAGGGGAGAACAATCTCTCCAAAACACCTTCGTGCTGTCTGCAGGGGCCTTACCCTGGATGGCACCAATGGGGCAGCAGGGGATGATCTTTATTACTCCAAAGCCGAAAACCTAGAGAGTCTTTTCCAGGAGGTGGAGAGAACGACCGCGGGGCTTTTCATCCAAAAAGAGCTCCTGAGTCTGAAATAACTGTTTTGTTTGTTTGTTTGTTTGTTTGTTTGTTTGTTTGTTTTTTGAGACGGAATCTTGAGCTGTTACCCAGGCTGGAGTGCAATGGCGGAGTTCAGCTCACTGTAACCTCCGCCTCCTGGGTTCAAGCGATTCTCCTGTCTCAGCCTCCCAAGCAGTTGGGACTATAGGAGCGCACCGCCAAGCCCCCTAATTTTGTTATTTTTAGTAAAGACTGGGTTTCGCCATGTTGGCCAGGCTGGTCTCGAACCCCTGACCTCAAGTTATCCGCTCTCCTCGGCCTCCAAAAGTGCTAGGATTACAGGTGTGAGCCACCGTGCGCGGCCCGAAATAACTCTTTACAGGATCTCGCCCTGGGCCTTCCCAGCCCAGCCGGCCCGCCCGCGGGGATAGCCCGGGCACTATCTCCCTGCTGCAGGCGGTGAGGGGCTCGGGTATCTTTGAAAATAGATACGTTCACACCCTCCTAACGGCGGCGCCAAGGGTGGTGGGTCCCAAAACTGTTTCCCCGTAAAGAGTTCCCCCGCCCGGTCGCAGGAAGACGCCTGAGGGGGCGCTCGGAGGGATCCCCAGCAGCCGCCGGGGCTGGACCGTGCGGTGCGCAGGTGAGAAGCCGGGAGGGGCCGGACAACCCCGACCGCGAGCCGGACCCCTGCTCTGACCGCAGGTGGGTGCTTGTCTTGCTTACGGAGGGCTCCCGATGAACCGAGTCACGTTTTGTAACCACATTAACGGACCATTCAAAGTCGAATCCTAGGCTTTTCGAGGCAGTTAGTGGGTCCCAACGGCTGCAGGCGGGGCCGGCGGGGGCGCAGCGGCCCGGGAGGTGCGTGGTTGAGCGAAGCCGCGGGGCCCAACCGCAGTCGCGGGGTCTGGGAGGTGGGTGCGCCGCGCCGTCCCTGCGGCCGGGGGGTGCGGGAATGAGGACCTGAGCTGGGGTAGAGGTGGCCGAGCTAGAGTAGAGGTGGGCGGCTACTCGGAGGTGGGCCGGGCTAAGAAAGAAGAGAGCTGCGGCTCTGGGAAACTAGCCTTGGAGCCTTGGAGAAGAGATTTGTGATTTACTGAGCACCTACTATGTCCTGGGCTCCGCTCTAGGTGCTGGGATCCCACAGCAAACGAAGCCACCCCAGCCCTTGCCTTGCTGGACTGTATATTCTAGGGAAGAGACAGACAAGAAAATGTATAGATACGTAACAAAATGCCGTAAATCTTCATGAATAAAAATGTAGTAGGGCTAGGGGAGTGGACTGTGAAGTTGGGAGTGGGGAAGGGGTCGGTCTGAGAGGCCTTTGTGAGGAAGTGTCTTTTGGCAGGAGACCTGAATGAAATGAGGGAGCCTTGGGAGCATGATCCAGGCGGAGGGAACTGGATTCGGGAGGAGGAACTGCCTTGGCCTTGAAAGATACCTACCAGGAGTTCAAGTGCTGTGCGGGTGCATCAGCTTTGTAGATTTGTGCAAGATGAAAATTGGAATTGTCTTAGGAAATTATGGATCATTCATTTATTCAGTGCTGGATTCATTCAGTGATTTATGTCTGAAGTGTGACAGAAGGGGAGTAAGGCCAAGTGTCCTTGGTAAAATACTGTTATTAGTTTTGTCCCAGTTTAATACACAGACTAAATTTAGAATTTCCATTGATTTTTAAGAAGAATTAATCTGAGTTAATTTTACAGATAAATAAATAGTACCTTACTTTTTTTTTCTTTTTCTTTTTTTTGTTTTTTTTCCATGCTCAGCCCTCTATTGGAGATTCTGCCTCCCCTGGGACAGATGGCTTCTTGAGCACACTCCCACGATGGGTGGCTGCTCTGGGTGGGTGTGCGCTGGTGTCTCAACAGGGTGTAGGGGAGGAGTCTAGTGTCCTGTCCTCTGAGAGGGGACTTTGGTGAACTTGTGTTTGGGTGGGGATGCATGTGAAATGGTATTGGATCTCAGGACTAAGGGTCCCTTCCTCCTGGGGGCACACAGGTTCCCTTCCTCCTTGGGGAGCAGCCCAGGAATGGCTGTCTTGGGGGCTTTCTCTCAGTACCTCCAGGTCCTGGAGGCCCATCTCTTCATAAGGCGGTCTTTCCCTGGAGGGGTCAGAGACTCCAGCCCAGGGCCCTAGGGTCACAGTGAGAACACCTGCCTCAGTCCTGCACTGCACTTCTCTTGGCGTGATTTCTCCACTGGGAGCTGGGACCCGAAGCCCTCAAAGGGAGGATCCCCTGAGAGAAGGTCGTGGGCAGAGAGCTGGTACAGACCAGTGTGTGCCGGGGGTGGGGAGATGACTGGCGGGGGGGCCAGGGTGTCGCGAGGGCTGGGGTGGCCTAGTCATCTTTGCCCTTGGCGCCATGTATGAGGATGCAGGTGAACTCCACCTAGTTGAACTTGTCTTTTTTTATCAATGGGTGCCTCCCAGTACATCTCATCCACTTCTTCATCTGTGAAGCTGTCACCCATGGTGGTGAGCAGCTCCTGGAGGTGGTCCTCATGAATGAAACCTGAGGATTCCTCGTTGAAGCAGGTGAAGGCGTTTTGGATCACATCCTGGGGGTCTGTTCCATTCAGCTTCTCCCCAAACATGGTGAGGGAAGTGGTGAAGTTGATGGGCCCTGGGGCCTCGCTCATCATGCCCTGCAGGTATTCATCCATGGGGTTCTTCCGCGGTGAAGCCAGCTTGTCGTGCTGTCCCCCTTGTCATTGAAGCCATCATGGTTCTGGTCAATCATGTTGAAAGCCTCCTTAAACTCCTGGATGTGGAACTGGTCGAACATCACGAAGACATTGGATGTGGCCCCTTGTGCTGTGGTCGCTTCTTGGTGGTCTTGGCTTTGGTCCACTTGCTGAACATTTTGGCTTCAGGTGGGTGGGGGCTTCACTGGGTTCTTGGAGCTGGGCTGACCATACTACTTTACTTTTTTTGAAAAGTATATTTATTTGAGTTAAAAGAGTTCTGAGGTTTTTTTTGGTTTGACTTTATTTGTTTTTTCCAAGTGTGAATGACCTAGAAGATAAGAACTAGCTGATACAGGAACAAAAACAGTGAGGCGCAGGGTGGGGAAGGTAGCAGAGAGAAATGAAAATGAAATAAGGAGGATGTGGAATAGTGGAAGGGACAGTCTGTCCTAATTCTCCTCCTCCTAATAGACTCAGGAAATAACACAGGTGTTCAACATAACGTATCTCAGCAGACCTTCAGAACTATCAGTCCAAGTCAGCAGAGCTGGTAGAGGAGGAAACAGACTCACATTTGGTAACTGGTTAAGCAGAATCACGACTTCCAACTTCACTGTGGCTCACTGAAGCAGTTTAGGCTAAGGTGATGCTATGAGGAGAGGTGGCTTGTTCTAAGTGTTTTAAATTTTATATGGCAAGGTAAACCACATTAAATCACAGAATTTTATGACAGCAAGATTACCTAATCCAATCCTTGCTCATTTTGCAGATGGGGAAACTGCTAGTTGGTGACAGAGAAACAACTCAAAATATAGGAGAGACATTTTTACCTTACCTTCAGCTGTCTCTCCCCAGAACCCTTATTTGAAAAAATGCTTCTCAATGGCTACTGAATGAGTAGAATAAACTTTGTTGAGGATCCCAGAATTGAGTTAATCTAAAACATCAATAGAATTATATAAATTTTCACTTTTCTTCCAGAAGTATTTATTGGAGTGTCCATTGGCGAGGGGGCTAAATCACAGCCTCTTCCCTCAAGGAGCTTAAGTAGATGGAGTAAATGAATAACTAGACAATTACAATTTACAGGAAGCAGTACCTTGAAGAGAAATTGGAGAGGGAGTCAATTCCTAGGATAGCAGAGAGATGGACAACAGACAGAATGTGAGTATTAAAACTGATGTCAGATATCAAATTGGTTTGTCAGAGTTATGTTGATAATCACAGTACCTATCATCTTCCTAAACTTTTCATGTCTTGATAATGTGTAATATACGTAAGTGGTGGTGGGAGAGACTGTTACAGCCAACAGACTTGGTACATTCCCAAAATCTTTTTATTCATAAGCAATTACTCTTTGCCATTTGCAGCCTTTTGTGCTTTAATATTATCAAGAACAAGACGAATGATAAAATATTTATGATCAGCATTGTAATTGCAAACAGGCCTCCGTAATAATCATATGCAACTGGTTTTGCGGGAATTTCCTTGGAAAGAACCATGGCTATATACGCGTGAAGAGTAACATAGAGTAATATATGAATGTACACAGTAATAATAACTTTTTCTAGAGCAGACTATAGAGTGTAACTGAGTCATTGTACTTGCATACTGTGATAAAGATCAAGAAAATGTATTCAGCAACATATGAGCCTTTGGATTGGGCTGGAGGGTAGGATAGGCAGCATCTGGTGGTTAAGTTACGTAATGCCTAATTTGCCACATGTGCTCACCTCTGGAAAGACTCACTAAACTTATTTTCTGGGAACTTACCCGCATCTTGAATGCTTTGCATCTCCAACTCCCAGATTTTTTCTGAACATTTTAATGTGACACTTAGAGAAGCAGAGCATACTTAGTCAACACTGTTTTTTTTTTTTTTGAGATGGAGTTTCACTCTTGTTGCCCAGGCTAGAGCGCAATGGTGTGATCTCGGCTCACCGCAACCTCCGCCTCCTGGGTTCAAACGATTCTTCTGCCTCAGCCTCCCGAGTAGCTGGGATTACAGGCATGAGCCACCATGCCCGGCTAATTTTGTATTTTTAGTAGAGATGGGGTTTCTCCATGTTGGTCAGGCTGGTCTTGAACTCCCGACCTCAGGTGATCTGCCCGCCTCGGCCTCCCAAAGTGCTGGGATTACAGGCTTGAGCCAACGAGCCCGGCATAATTTTTTTGTATTTTTGTAGAGACAGGGTTTCGCCATGTTGGCCAGACTGGTCTTGAACTCCTGATCTCTGGTGATCCACCTGCCTCGGCCTCCCAAAATGCTGGGATTACAGCCATGAGCGAGCCACTGTGCCTGACCAGACATATTCTTTTATTCAAGTATTTTTTCTCTAACAAAACAAGTTACAGGCTAATATGTAGCTTTTTTCTGGGAAGATGTAGTAGTTCTTCATGACTCATTTATTCACTGAAATATTTCTCGAGTAGCTATTATACTACAGGCACTCTTGGTGCCTATGACTACCCTGATAGAGAAGGAAGTGATAAATTCTAAGAAGAAAAATAAAGCAAGATAAAGGGATAGAAAATGGTGGAATGGACGGGGAGGATTTTGATTATTCTAAATACAGGCATACCTCAGAGATAGTGCAGGTTTGGTTCCAGACTGCTGAGAGAAAGCTAATATCCAATAAAGTGAGTCAGAAATACTTTGGCTTCCCAGTGCATATAAAAGTTATGTTACATTATACTGTTGTGTATTTCCTGTACAATAGCATTGTGTCTAAACAAAATGTATATACCTTAATTTAAAAATACCTTCTTGCTAAAAAATGCTAACAATCATCTGAGCCTTCAGCATGTCATAATCTTTTTGCCTCTGGAGGGTCTTGCCTCAGCATTGATGGCTGCCGACTGATCAGGGTTGTGGTTACTAAAGGCTGGGGTTGGCTGTAGCAATTTATTTAAGTAAGACAACAATGAAGTTTGCTGCATCTATTATAGACTCTTATTTTCACGAAGGAGTTCTCTGTAGCATGTGATGCTGTTTGATAGCATTTTAGCCAAGTAGAACTTCTTTCATAATTCGAGTCAGTTCTCTCACACTTTGTTACTGCTTTATTAACTAAATTTACGTAATATTTGAAATCCTTTGCTGTCATTTCAACAATATTCACAACACGTTTACTAGGAGTAGATTCCATGTCTAGAAACACTTCCTTTTTTTTTTTTTTTTTGAGACAGAGTCTCACTCTGTCACCCAGTCTGGAGTGCAGTGGAACGATCTCGGCTCACTGCAACCTCCACCTCCCAGGTTCAAGTGATTCTTCTGCCTCAGCCTCCCGAGTAGCTGGGACTACAGGCGCACGCCACCACACCCAGCTAATTTTTGTATTTTTAGTAGAGATGGGGTTTCACCATATTGGCCAGGCTGGTCTCAAACTCCTGACCTTGTGATCTGCCTGCCTCAGCCTCCCAAAGTGCTGGGATTACAGGTGTGAGCCACTGAGCCCAGCCAAGAACCACTTTCTTTGCTTATGCATAAGCAGCACCTCCTCATCCATTCAAGTTTTCTTATGAGATTGCAACAATTCAGTCTCATCTTCGGGTTCCACTTCTAATTCTAGTTCTCTTGCTATTTCTACCACATCTACAGTTACTTCCTCCACTTAAGTCTTGAACCCATCAAAGTCATCCATGATGGTTGGAATCAACTTCTTCCAAAGTTCTGTTAATGTTGACATTTTGACCTCCTCCCATGAATCACGAATGTTTTTTTTGTTTTTTTTTTTTTTTTTTTTGAGACGGAGTCTCCCTCTGTCGCCCAGGCTGGAGTGCAGTGGCACGAGATCTCCGCTCACTGCAAGCTCCGCCTCCTGGGTTCAAGCCATTCTCCTGCCTCAGCCTCCAGAGTAGCTGGGGCTACAGGCCCCCGCCACCACGCCCGGCTAATTTTTTGTGTTTTTAGTAGAGACGGGGTTTCACCGTGTTAGCCAGGATGGTCTCAATCTCCTGACCTTGTGATCCACCCGCCTCGGCCTCCCAAAGTGCTGGGATTACAGGCGTGAGCCGAGATTGAGCAATTGCACTCCAGCATGGGCGACAAAAGTGAAACTCTGTCTCAAAAAAAAAAAAAACCATGAAAGTCCTAGATGGCATCTTCCTCCAATGTAAGGCTTTTTCATCTACACTGAAAATCTGTTGTATAGTGTTGCCACTTTTATCAATTATCTTAGCTAAATCTGGATAACTAGTTGTAGCTTCTGTATCAGCACTTGCTGCTTCACCTACCTTGTACTTTTAAGTTATAGGGACAGCTTCTTTCCTTAAACCTCATGAACCAACTTCTGCTACCTTCTAACATTTCTTCTACAGCTTCCTCACCTTTCTCAGCCTTCATAAAATGAAAGAAAGTTGGCTGGGCCCAGTAGCTTATGCCTGTAATCCCAGCACTTTGGGAGGCTGAGGCGGGTGGATCACCTGAGGCCAGGATTTCTAGATCAGCCTGGCCAACATAGTGAAACCCTGTCTCTACTAAAAAATATAAAAATTAGCTGGGCGTGGTGGCAGGCGCCTATAGTTCCAGCTACTTGGGAGGCTGAGGCAGGACAATAGCTTGAACCCAGGAGGTGGAGGTTGCAGTGAGCTGAGATCATGCCACTGCACTCACTCCAGCCTAGGCGACAGAGCAAGACTCCATCTCAAAGTAAAAAGAAAAAATTAAAGAAAGTTAGGGCCTTGCTCTGGATTAGGCTTTGGCTTAAGAAAATGTTTAGTGGTCTATCTAGACCACTAAAACTTTCTCCATATCAGCAATACATCTGTTTCACTTTCTTTTCTTTTTTTTTTTTTTTTTTGAGACAGAGTCTTGGTCTGTCACCCAGGCTGGAGTGCAGTGGTGCAATCTCAGCTCACTGCAGCCTCTGCCCACTGGGTTCCAGCGATTCTCCTGCCACAGCCTCCTGGGTAGCTGGGATTAGCTGGGTACAAGCGCACGCCACCATGCCTGGCTAATTTTTGTATTTTTGGTAGAGACAGGGTTTTGCCATGTTGGCCAGGATGGTCTCGAACTCCTGACCTCAGATGATCCACCCGCCTCGGCCTCCCAAAGTGTTGGGATTACAGGCGTGAGCTACCATGCCCGGCCCCTGTCACACTTTCAGTGTGTTCACTGGAGTAGCACTTTTAATTTTCCTCAAGAACTTTTCCTTGGTATTTATAGCTTGGCTAACTGTTTGGTGCAACAGGCCTTGCTTTTGGCTTCTCTTGGCTTTTGACATGCCTTTATCACTAATCTTAATCATTTCTAGCTTTTGATTTAAAGTGAGATATGTTTGACTCTTTCACTTGAATTCTTAGATGCCATTTAGGGTTTTTAATTGGCCTAATTTTCAATATTATTGTCTCAGGAAATAGGGAGGCCTGAGAAGAGAGAGAAGGAGAGAGAAATGGGGAATGGCCAGTTAGTGGAGCAGTCAGAATGCATACAGTATTTATTAATTAGATTTATTGTCTTTTTTTATTTTTATTTTCATTTTTTTTTTTGAGACAGAGTCTCACTCTGCCGCCCAGGCTGGAGTGCAGTGGCACGATCTCGGCTCACTGTAACCTCCGCCTCCCAGGTTCAAGAGATTCTCCTGCTTCAGCCTCCCGAGTAGCTGGGACTACAGGCATGTGCCACCACGCCCGGCGAATATTTTGTGTTTTTAGTAGAGATGGGGTTCCACCATGTTAGCCAGGATGGTCTCGATCTCCTGACCTCGTGATCCGCCCACCTTGGCCTCCCAAAGTGCTGGGATTACAGGTGGGAGCCACCGTGCCCAGCCTGCCTGGCTAATTTTTGTATATTCATTGTCTTATATAGGTATGGTTCATGCCAAAACAATGACAATAGTAATATCAAAGATCACTGATCACAGATCACTATAACAGATATAATAATAACGAAATGTTTGAAATATTACAAGAATTACCAGAATGTGGCACAGAGACTCAAAGTGAGCTCATGCTGTTGGAAAAATGAGGCCAATAGACTTGCTTAACATAGGATTGCCACAAACCTTCAATTTGTAAAAAAGCGCAATAGGAGCAAAATGCAATAAAGCGAGATATACCTGTAGTGTGGTCAGGGAAGGCCTCTTTACGGTAAATTTGAGCAGAAACCAGAGTGACATAAAGAGCCGGCCATGAGGAGATCTGAAGAAAGAGTGTTTCAGATAGAGGGAAAGGCATATGAAAATACCCTAAGAGTATGGAGGCTTATCTGATTAGAGCCTGGGTCGGCTGACTCTTTTTGTGCAGATAGAGGCTTTGTGGGCCATAGCGGCTCAGTCACCACTACAGCTACTCAGTTCCAACGTCATAGCATTTAAGCAGCCACGTTCATTACATAAACAAGTGAGCATGCCTGTGTTATAGTAAAAGAGACTTAACAGTAAAAGCTCAGCCGGGCACGGTGGCTCACGCCTGTAATCCCAACACTTTGGGAGGCCGAGGCCGGCGGATGATGAGGTCCGGAGATCGAGACCATCCTGGCTAACATGGTGAAACCCCGTCTCTACTAAAAATACAAAAAATTAGCCAGGCATGGTGGTGCGCACCTGCAGTCCCAGCTAGTTGGAAGGCTGAGGCAGGAGAATGGCTTCAATCCGGGAGGCGGAGGTTGCAGTGAGCTGAGATTGCACCACTGCACTCAGCCTGGGCGACAGAGCGAGACTCCATCTCAAACAACAATAACAACAACAACAAAAGACGTTAAAAGCTCAAACCACAAGAGGAAAAATTGATAAATTTGGGCTTATCAAAATGAAAAGCTTTTGCTCTGCAAAAGGCCCCATGTATATGGTGAAAAGATAGGCTACATTCAGAGAAGATATTTGCAAACCACATATCCCAAAGGATTTGTTTCTAGAGAATGTAAAGCACTCTCAAAATTCAGCAGTAAGCTGTAATCAAAACAATGTGGTGGCCGGGCGCGGGGGCTGACACCTGTAATCCCAGCACTTTGTGAGGCCGAGGCGTGCAGATCACGAGGTTAGGAGATCAAGACCATCCTGGCTACCACAGTGAAACCCTGGCTCTACTAAAAAACACAAAAAATTAGCCAGGCATGGTGGCACATGCCTGTAGTGCCAGCTACTCGGGAGGCTGACGCGGGAGAATCGCTTGAACCCGGGTGGTGGAGGTTGCAGTGAGCCAAGATCATGCCACTGCACCCCAGCCTGGGCAACAGTGAGACTCCGTCTCAAAAAAAAAAAAGAAAAAAAGAAAAAAAAGGAAGATGGTTGATATAGGGAGATAAGTTTTCATCTGAAATAAAAGGAAGTTAGGCTTTTGGCTTCCAAAGCCAAAAGATGTGGCTCACAGGTTTCTCCATAAACAGTATGTTTGTCATTTAGTTTATATGTCAATGAATTGAATGAGCTATGTCCGTATTCCAAGGTTTATTTTTTATTTTTTTTTAAGATGGAGTCACTCTGTCACCCAGGCGGGAGTGCAGTGGCACAATCTCAGCTCACTGCAACCTCTGTGTCCTGGGTTCATTCTCCTGCCTCAGCCTCCCAGGTAGCTGGGACTACAGGCATGCACCAGCACACCCAGCTAATTTTTTTGTATTTTTAATAGAGATGGAGTTTCACAATGGTGGCCATGTGTCTGGAATTGGTGGGTTCTTGGTCTCACTGACTTCAAGAATGAAGCCGCACACCCTCGCAGTGAGTGTTACAGCCCTTAAAGTGGTGCGTCTGGAGTCCCTCCCTTCTGATGTTCAGATGCGTTCGGAGTGTTTTCCTTCTGGTGGGTTCGTGGTCTTGCTGGCTCAGGAGTGAAGCTGCAGACTTCCGCCGTGAGTGTCGCAGCTCTTAAGGCAGCGCGTCAGGAGTCGTTCGTTCCTTCCGGTGGCCTCGTAGTCTCGCTGGGCTCAAAAATGAAGCTGCAGACCTTTGCGGTGAGAGTTACAGCTCATAAAAGCAACGTGGACATAAAAAGTGAGCAGTAGCAAGATTTATTGCAAAGAGTGAAACAACAAAGCTTCAACAGTTTGAAAGGACACCCAAGCTGGTTGCCAATGCGGGCTTGGGCAGCCTGCTTTTATTCTCTTATCTGGCCCCACCCACATCCTGCTGATTGGTAGAGCCGAGTGGCCTGTTTTGTCAGGGGGCTGATTGGTGCGTTTACAATCCCTGAGCCAGATACAAATGTTCTCCACGTGCCCATCAGATTAGTTAGATACAGAGTTTCCACACACAGATTCTCCAAGGCCCCACCAGAGCAGCTAGATAAAGAGTGTCAATTGGTGCACTCACAAACCTTGAGCTAAACACAGGGTGCTGACTGGTGTATTTACAAACCTTGAGCTAGATACAGAGTGCCGATTGGTGTATTTACAATCCCTGAGCTAGACATAAAGGTTCTCCAAGTGCCCACCAGACTCAGGAGCCCAGCTGGCTTCACCTAGTGGATCACGCACCGGTGCTGCAGGTGGAGCTGCCTGCCAGTCCCGCGCCATGTGCTCGCATTCCTTAGCTCTTGGGTGGTCGATGGGACTGGGCGCCGTGGAGCAGGGGGCGGCATTCGTCGGGGAGGCTCGTCCGCACAGGAGGCCACAGAGGGGGTGGGAAGGCTCAGGCATGGCGGGCTGCAGGTCCCGAGCCCTGCCCCGTGGGAAGGCAGCTAAGGCCCGGCGAGAAATCGAGCGCAGCGCCGGTGGGCTGGCACTGCTGGGGGACCCTGTCTCGGCCTTCCAAAGTGCTGGTATTACAGACATGTGCCACCGCATGCAGTTTGGTGTCTTCTTTTTTTTTTTTTTTTTTTTTTTTGAGAGACAAGTCTGGCTCTGTAGCCCAGGCTGGAGTGCAGTGGCGTGATCTCGGCTCACTGCAACCTCCGCCTCCTGGGTTCAAGCAATTCTGCTGCCTCAGCCACCTGAGTAGCTGGGATTACAGGCATGCGCGACCATGCCCAGATAATTTTTGTATTTTTAGTAGAGACGGGGTTTCACCATGTTGGTCAAGCTGGTCTCAAACTCCTCACCTCGTGATCCACCTGACTTGGCCTCCCAAAGTGCTGGGATTGCAGACCTGAGTCACCACACTGGCCTTTGTTTTTGTTTTTTTTTTTTTGAAATGGAGTCTCGCTCTGTCGCCCAGGCTGGAGTGCAGTGGCGTAATCTCAGCTCATTGCAACCTCTGCCTCCCGGGTTCCAGCATTTCTCCTGCGTCAGCCTCCCGAGTAGGTGGGATTGCAGGTGTGCGCCACCATACCTGGCTAATTTTTGTATTTTTAGTATAGATGGGGATTCACCATGTTGGCCAGGCTGGTCTGGAATTCCTGACCTCAGGAGATCTGCTGCCTCAGCCCCTCAAAGTGCTGGGATTACAAGGGTGAGCCTCCGCGCATGGCCTGTTTTTTTTCAGTTAAAGTTTACAAAGCTTTTATGTATGGTTTGTATGGTTTTCGGGACAAGTGAAGGGCTGAAACTTAGTTGTGCGGTTTTGTGGGATAAGTAGAGGCTGAAATACAGCCTGCAATCCACTGGCCAGGCTCTCCTCCTCATCCAGAGGAAGGGGCACATTTTTTCTTTACACAAGAGTACCGTTCCTAGAAAACCTGCTTTTTCCCAAAAGGGCACCTTTGCCTAATTTGCACAAAAGCAATGGAAAAGCTAGCAGTGGTACTGAAAGCATGTATACCAGATAATAGACAGCAGAAATTAATCCCTGGAAGCTACTTAAACATAAAAAAATTTTCTTAGATGTCAACTTAAAAATGTGTAGGGGAAATACATAGTTTTTGAAAATTATTATGGGGAATAAACAAGCCTCCCCCCCACCAAAAAAAAGACTATTGCTCCAAACTCTCTTCCAATGTTGCTCTGGTGCCTTTTCCTCACCTTGCACTACAGATCTTCACATCTCCCCTCTCTCTTTGGTTCTTCCTTTTGGCTGCTTCTTTCTTTAAACAACTGATAATTAATTTATGAAAACAGTTGATGCCGGGCGAGGTGGCTCACGCCTGTAATCCCAGCACTTTGAGAGACCGAGGTGGGTGGATCACTTGTGGTCTGGAGTTTGAGACCAGCCCGACCAACATGGAGAAACCCCGTCTCTACTAAAAATAAAAAATTAGCTGGGCATGGTGGTGCATGCCTCTAATCCTAGCTACTCGGGAGGCTGAGGCAGGAGAATCGCTTGAACCCAGGAGGCAGAGGTTGCAGTGAGCTGAGATTGCGCCATTGCACTTCAGCCTGGGCCACAAGAGTGAAACTCTGTCTCAGGAAAAAAAAAAAAAGTTGACAAGTAAGTGCAGTGGGGAGCAGCCTCAATTCCTGACTCAATACTGATGGAAACAATCTGTTTAACAACCTCAGAAGGACTGTGTGAGGCAGTGAGTCATCTGTGGATTCTCATCTGGAAATGATCCCAAATCCCAGAACCCTCACCATAAGGCGTTTTTCTTGCAGTGATTTATGGAGTCTTGGCATTCCAACTGGTCCTTCATGCTGGGATTCTTTTCCTTTGTGCCTCTGATCCAATCAGCGCACACCTTCTCCAAGGATTTCCCGCTGTGGCTGGTTGGGGTAATCCTCATTCAGTGAATTATCACCTCTGGTTCCAAGAGTGTATTTCCGGAGTTTTGTAAAGCCTAGGGCAGCGTGGCTATCCTGACCAACTAGTTCCTAAAGGAATGGCCAGGAGGACATGGCTGTCCCTCCAAGAGCCCCCTACTACTTTTTAGACCTCATTATACTCTCGCCCTGAGGCAATTTCCTTTCCTTTTATCTTCTGCCTGATATTTTCCCTAAATGTTCCCAAATTTATCCTCTTCTCTGAGGGCTTTGCTTCTTCAGGCCTAACTAAATACACAATCCACAAGCCACTGATCTCACCTCAGCTGTACCTGTGCTAATTCTCACTTCCAGTTTTTCTCCAGGGCCAGTACTGGGAGGGATGGCGCAAAGATATACACTGCCACCTGGTGGCCAACTGCTAACCAGCTCTGGTAATACCAAGGATGTTACTAGCACCACAGCAACGGGCTCTGGAGGCGGATTTGCAAAAGCACCAGGCGTGGGTGGAGCAGTGTCAGCTCTTTGGTTGGTAATAGCATCTCTCTGCCTGGAATTATCTTTCCAAGTCTATTTCTCTCAAAATTCTTTTCATCTTTCAAGGTCCATATAAATGCCACGTTTCCCATGATCCCCTTCTTGATCTTTCAAGTTAGAGGATCTCACTTCTCTGAAAGTACTACAGGGTAGGTTCAGCATTTCGTTTGTAACTCTTATGATGCTGCTCTTTGCCTACTTCAAACTGTTGCTAATCCCTTAAAAACTCAGCTTCTTTTCAGTGCATGCCATCAGGATATTGTAATAATCTACTGAACTCCTGGGTCACTTCCCCCACATTCTCTGAAAATTTAGAAGCCTGATTCATTCTCTTGGTTTTCACCATTCCTACTGTCATCAGTCCTGGCTATTCCATGATGTATGGAGACAACTGGCCCTCAGTTTCTTGTCCACTCATTTCCAATCATCTTGTTTTCCAGTCCACCTCAGTCATTTATTCCCATGGTTAATACCCTAGCCCTGGTCATGTATAATAAATGGGCTCCTTGCAAAACCTGTATATTTTGCACCTCACATTGACTATCACTTCCTTTCCAAAATTTATTTCCTTTTTTTTTTTATTTTTTGAGACAGCGGAGTCTTGCTCTGTCACCCAGGTTGGAGTGCAGTGGCACCATCTTGGCTCATCGCAACCACTGCCTCCTGGGTTCAAGTGATTCTCCTGCCTCAGCCTCCTGAGTAGCTGGGATTACAGGCATGCGCCACTACGCCTAGCTAACTTTTTGTATTTTTAGTACAGACAGGGTTTCACCGTGTTCGTCAGGCTGATCTCCAACTCCTGACCTCAGGTGATCCGCCCTCCTCAGCCTTTCAAAGTGCTGGGATTACAGGCACCAGCCATCACGCCCAGCCTGTTCAACTGATTTTTGACAAGGGTGCCAAGATTATTCAATGGGGGAAAGAATAGTCTTTTCAACAAATGGTGAAGGGAGAAGAGGATAACTGTATGCCAAAAAATGCAACTGGACCTTTACCTCATACTGTATACAAAAATTAACTCAGAATGGATGAAAGTGCTACAACCATAAAACTCTTAGAAGAAAACATAAATGTTAATGTTTGTGATCTTGGATTGGGTAATGATTTCTTAGCTATGACAACAAAAGCATGAGCAAATGAAAAACTGGGTATATTGGATATATTCAAAATTTAAAATTTGGGGCTGGGCAGGGTGGTTCACGCCTGTAATCCCAGCACTTTGGGAGGCTGAGGCAGGCAGATCACCTGAGGTTGGGAGTTTGAGATCAGCCTGACCAACATGGAGAAACTCCATCTCTACTAAAAATACAAAATTAGCAGGGTGTGGTGGCACATGCCTGGAATCCCAGCTACTCGGGAGGCTGAGGCAGGAGAATCGCTTGAACCCGGGAGGCGGAAGTTGTGGTGAGCTGAGGTCATGCCATTGCACTCCAGCCTTGGCAATAGGAGCGAAACTCCATCTCAAAAAGAAAAAGAAAAGAAAATTAAAATTTTTGTGTTTCAAAGGATACCCAAGAAAGTGAAAAGACAACCCACAGAATGGGAGACAATTATAGCAAATCATGTGTATGATAAGGGGCTTGTATCTAGAATATGTAAAGTCCTTTTACAACTCAGTAATAAAATACAACCCATTTATATGAACAAGGAGAGAATGATAGGTTTTGTCAGATGTTGAGTGGTTGAGTAAGAAGGCTCGAGAATTGACCATTGGATTTCATAAGATAGTGTTTGTTGATGACTGACAGGAATGGTTCAAATAGAGAAATGGGGCAAATGCCTTACTGGTATAGGTTCAATAGGGAATTATTTAAGGAAATGGAGAAATTTTGTTTTTGTTTTTTTTCAGATAAGAGTTTTGCTGTGTCACCCAGGCTGGAGTGCAGTGGCACGATCTCGGCTCATTCCAGCCTCCACTTCCTGGGCTCAAACAGTACTTATTGCCTCAGCCTCCCAAGTGGTGGGATTAAAGGTGCAAGCCACCACACCAGGCTAATTTTAATTTTTTTGTTGTTTTTAGTAAAGACGGGGTTTCACCATGTTGGCCAGGTTGGTCTCAACCTCCTGGCCTCAAGTGATCCTCCTGCCTTGGCCTCCCAAAGTGTTCATGTCACCATGCCTGGCCTGGAATTTTGCTTTAAAAAGGACCATATGGGCCAGGCCCAGCAGCACCTGCCTGTAATCCCAGCTACTTGGGAAGCTGAGGCAGGAGAATTGCTTGAGCCCAGGAGTTCAAGACCAGCCTGGGCAACATAGGGAGACTCTCTGTCAAAAATAAATAAAAGGGAGCGCAGATATAGGGTACTGTTCTATCCTCTCAAGCTGAAGGTAAGATCAAGAGAACTATTTAATTTTTAGAAAGGAATATATGTGTTTGTTTTGTTTTGTTTTGAGATGGAGTTTCACTCTTGTTGCCCAGGCTGGAGTGCAATGGCGCGATCTTGGCTCGCTGCAACCTTTACCTCCCAGCTTCAAGTGATTCTCCTACCTCAGCCTCCCAGGTAGCTGGGATTACAGGTGTGCACCACTGCGCTCGGGTAATTTTGTATTTTTAATAGAGACGGGGTTTCACCATTTTGGTCAGGCCGGTCTCAAACTTCTGACCTCAAGTCATCCACCCACCTTGGCCTCCCAAAATGCTAGGATTACAGGCGTGAGCCACCGTGCCTGGCCTATATGTGTTTTATGAATGGTTTTTGTTTATGTTTTTTGTTTGTTTGTTTGTTTTTTGAGACGGATTCTTGCTCTGTCACCCAGGCTGGAGTATAGTAGCAAGATTTCGGCTCACTGCAACCTCCACCTCCTGGGTTTGAGCGATTCTCCTGCCTCAGCCTCCCGAGTAGCTGGAACTACAGGCACGTGCCACCACACCCAGCTAATTTTTGTATTTTTAGTAGAGATGGGGTTTCACCATGTTGGCCAAGATGGTCTCAATCTCTTGACCTCGTGATCCGCCCGCCTTGGCCTCCCAAAGTGCTGGGATTACAGGCGTGAGCCACCGTGCCTGGCCCAACCATCTTCTTAATTCTAAGACAAATATACTCTGGAAATTAGGGTTTGTTTACCAATTGATCCTTCTAAAACTTTGCATTCCAACCTGAGCGACAGGGCGAGACTCTGTCTCAAAAAAAAAAAAAAAATTAGCATTCATTAATACCCACTTCAAAGGCTTGTTAATACAGATTTCCTGATCCCACTCTGCTGAAATTGTGACTCAGCAGGCCTGGGGTGGAGCCGAGAATTTGTATGTCTAACAGCCTCCCTGAAGATACTGATGTCATTCATCCATGGATAATCACACTTGGATAAAGTAGGGTGGTGCTCCGTTTAATCATCTCCATCGATGCCGTCAATAGTGCTCTTCCTCAGCAGCTATGCACTCTTAAATTGTGCATCTTGCACCACAGTAAAAGTTTAACATGGGTTAGAGATAGCTTTTCTTTTGCAAAGTAGAAGAAAGTAGCGAAAAGTAGAAAAGAAAAATGAGCAAACCACACACATTAGTTTTTGAGACAGGATCTTGCTATGTTGTTCTGGCTGGAGTGCAATAACTGGCTATTCACAGGCGCCATCCCACTGCGGATCAGCACGGGACTTATATGGGCCATGCTCTGTGGAGAAGCTAGTTCACTTCTCCTTAGGTAACTTTGTGGTCCCCCGCTCGTGGGAGATTATCATACTGATGCCAAACTTAGTGTCAACACCTGATGTGCAAAGCACACTTCAGCCCAGAACTGCTGGCCTCAAGTGATCCTCTCGCCTAAGCCTCCCAACTACCTGGGATTATAGGCACGCACCACTACGACTGGGCAGGCACATTCTTAAGAAAACCAGTTTTAGGAAACAAAACCCATGAAAGCTGAAGTTTTGGAAAATGACTTTGTTAAATACGTGTAATCAACTTAGTCAGAATTTTACATGTCTGGTTTTGCATTAAAAATATAAAAATTTTTACAATATGATATGGCTAATTATAATTATAAAATGATTTTTTAAAAGTCTACTTCATGTTGTGAGGCTGGTGCATTGAGAGGGAGCTTTTGTAAGCCAGGCGCGGTGGCTCACACCTGTAATCCCAGCACTTTGGGAGGCTGAGGCGGGCAGATCACGAGGTCAGGAGATCAAGACCATCCTGGCTAACATGGTGAAACCCCGTTTCTACTAAAAATACAAAAATTAGCCGGGCTGGTGGAGTGAGCCTGTAATCCCAGCTACTCAGGAGGCTGAGACAGGAGAATCATTTCAACCTGGGAGGCGGAGGTTGCAGTGAGCTGAAGCCGTGCAACTGCACTCCAGCCTGGGCATCAGAGTGAGACCCTGTCTCAACAAAAACAAAGAAAAAGAAAAAAAAAGGAGCATTTGTGGAAGAAGCAGTGGTACATGTGTAAACGTTTCGGGTAAGGGTGGCATCACACTGGTTGAGGAGAACAGGCAGCTGCAGGGGTAGTAATGGCCTGTTTAGATTTCTTCTTAAGCTCCCAACTTTGCTGATACAGCCATTTGGGGAGCAAGGGGGTGGTCATCAAAAAACAAACAGAGAGTTGGGCGCAGTGGCTCATGCTTGTAATCCCAGCACTTTTGGAGGCTGAGGCAGGAAGATGGCTTGAGCTCAGGAGTTTGAGACCAGTCTATGGGCAACATAGGGAGACCCCATCTCCAAGAAATAAAAATGAAAACAAATAGAGGAAGCATGCTTTTGTTTTACCTGCCCTCCCTGAAAAGAAATTGAAATTGACATAACTGTCTTAAGAGGATGTAAAGATGGAATGCCTAATGTCCAGAGTGGGAATCAAGGGGTTACTCTGGGAAGTGATGAAGACTGGACAGATGATGCTCATTGATTTCCCAAGCTATATATAAAGTGCGATACCTGGCTGGATGCGGTGGCTCATGCCTGTAATCCCAGCCCTTTGGGAGGCCGAGGTGGGTGGATCACGAGGTCAGGAGTTCAAGACCAGCCTCGCCAACATGGTGAAACCCTGTTTCTACTAAAAATACAAAAATTAGCTGGTCGTGGTGGCAGACACCCGTTATCCCAGCTACTCGGGAGGCTGAGGCAGAGAATTGCTTGAACACGGGAGGCGGAGGTTGCATTGAGCTGAGATCGCGCCACTACACTCCAGACTGGGTGACAGAGCGAGACTCCATCTCAAAAAATAAAAAATAAAATAATAAAGTGAGATGCCTGTAATCCCAGAATTTCGGGAGGTCGAGGTGGGCAGATCAGCTGAGGCCAGGAGTTTGAGACCAGCCTGACCAACATGGAGAAACCCCATCTTTACTAAAAATACAAAATTAGCCGGGTGTGGTGGTACATGCCTGTAATCCCAGCTACTCAGGAGGCTGAGGCAGGAGAATTGTTTGAACCCGGGAGGCGGAGGTTGCCATGAGCCGAGATCGCACTCCATTGTGAGCCATTGCACTCGTGGGCCATTGCACTCCAGCCTGGGCAACCAGAGTGAAACTCCATCTCAAAAAGCAAACAAACAAACAAAAAACAAAAGAAAAGAGAGGAATCAGTGAGACTCATTAGGAGACTACTTCAGTAGATCAAGGGACAGTTTATAATGGCTTTGACAAGTATGGTGTAGCAGACATGTGCGAGTGGAAGGAATCTAAGAGTATTTTGGAGATAAAGGTAACAGTTTTTGTTGGTGGATTAGATATGGAAGGTGTGGGAAAGAGAAAAATCCTGAATAACTCCTAGCTTTTGCAATTTGGTGAACAGTGATAAAATATTTACTGAGATGTAAAAGACTAGAGAAGGAAAAGATTTGGGAGTTTGAAAGATAAACAGGACTTCTCCTTTGGCTATGCTTAATTTGAGAGGCTTTTTGACCACCCAGATACAAATAAGACAGGCTATAGATATATGACTCTAATCACTTCTCAGTCTTTTGGCCAAGATCAAGTGATATTGACTCTGGAAGTCAGGGGGAAAGCCATCATTGAAAAACTTAACTAACTTACGAGACAACCCATTATATTTTGGATAGCTCTAGTTATCAGAAAGTTCTTGCAGTTACACTAAGGTGACTATAAATGTTATATAAATTTGATGCTCATTTCCATTCAGGGTTCCTGAAAAGTACACACTTTTCTAAGCACATTCAATATTGGAAGAAAGTTATCACATTCTCCATCTTTTATTTTCTGAGCTAAACAATCAATTCTAGTTTCTCCAGCTGTTCTTCATGACCTGTTTCTAGACATGTCATCATCCTGGTTGGTCATATGCCATATAAGGTAGGATGCCAAGGACTAACGTGACCAGAATAATCATATACAAAATGTAAGACTGTCATCCCTCGGATTTGCCATTCTTTCAGAAATATGTTTGCCTTTTATAATTCATCTGTTTTCTTTCTTTTTCTTTTCTTGAGACAGCATCTTGCTCTGTCACCCAGGCTGCAGTGTAGTGGTGAGATCTTGGCTCACTGCAACCTCTGTCTCCTGGGTTCAAGAGATTCTCCTGCCTCAGCCTCCCAAGTAGCTGGGACTACAGGTGCGCCACCACGCCTGGCTAATTTTTTTTTTTTTTTTTTTTTTTGAAATGGAGTCTCTCTCTGTTGCTCTGGCTGGAGTGCAATGGCATGATCTGCAACCTCCACCTCCCGGGTTCAAGCGATTCTCCTGCCTCAGCCTCCTGAGTAGCTGGGATTACAGGCGCGCACCACCATGCCTAGCTAATTTTTGTAATTTTAGTAGAGACAAGGTTTCACCATGTTGGTCAGGCTGCTCTCAAACTCCTGACCTCATGATCCATCCACCTCAGCCTCCCAAAGTTCTGGGATTACAGGCATGAGCCACCATGCCCAGCCCTGTTTTCTTTCTTATTGTCATTAGTGTGTCAGTGTTCCTACCTGTGGCATACAATGTCTCTTCTTATTTTCATCTAATCCGTTGTTGGATTCGGAAATCAAATAACCAATTGAAGCTATCAGATATTAACATTTTGCTTTGTATGTTTGGGATATTTTGTAATAATTTAAAAGGAGAGAGAGAGTATGTGCTTCCTGAGAGAGACCAAAGCCTTTCTATGAGTTGTGCTTTGAATTTTAGTGAGAAAACCTTTCTTTTTTCTCTGTTTCCTCCTGCCTATATACAAAATAAATGAGTTTCCCAAACAGTTGAGTGTCAGATGGGTGAGGTATTTCAGCCTTTTGCACAGGATCTCATTGGAGATTTTCTGAGATGTCTTGCTGAAATCAAGGTGCATGGTGTCTAAGGCAGTGGTTCTCAAACAGTGGTGACTTGCTCCCAGTGGACATTTGGCAATATCTGGAGATATTTTTGTTGTCATGATTACAAGAAAGGGATTACATATTTCTAGTGGGGAGAGGCCAGGGATTCTGCTAACCATTCTGTAATGCATGGGACAAGCCTCTGTAACAAAGAATTGTCTGGCCCCAAATGTCAGTAATACCTATATTTGGGACTATGGTATTTCTCTGATTTTATTAACTTTATGGGAAAAAGTTAGAAAAGTTTTAAACTTACTGAAATAATTCTACTTCCAACTAATCACTGCTCTCTTCTTTTATTACATAGAAATCATCTGTGAATAATCTTTCTAGATGGGGAAAAAATGAAGCACTGCTTTTTTCCACTTTTGTAAAATGGAAAAGTTTACATTTTTCTGTCACCATTCTCAATCTACATAATTTTTTTAATATTAACAGTGCCCGATGATTAAATTTGGACACTATGTTCATATACTGTTATTTAAAGAAAAATTATACTTTCACCATATCTCATTTTCCTTTCTGGCCTTCTGTTTCTCTTCCCCACGTTTATTCATTTGTTACAGTTGTAAGGTTTTTCTTGAGGAGGTAAGTAATCCTGTTTTTCTTCTGTCATCTCTAAAAACTAAGTAAATACAATACAACTTAAACTAGAAGCTCTGTTCTTATCTTTTAGGACCCCTAGTGAGACATGTAGCTATTTTGGAATGAGGCTATACTAATCATGTTGACTAGCTACTTATTAGTGAGAGAGATGGGGGCAGAAGTCACTGTCCCGTCACCAGGTAGATAAGAATGTGGGAGACAAAGAATGATGCTGTCTCTGCACGTCCTCCACGTGGGGACATTGGAATCTTTTCCTGGGGCTGTGGCATTTCTTTTGTATTGACTGCAGCTGTCAGGATCAAAGAAGAGCTAATGAGACAAAAGTAAATAGCTTCATTCTCAGGCTACCTGAGAGGAGCAATGTCTAATGGAGATTAAAAGATGAAAGGGGAGAAAAATTCTTTCTCAGCCATACCCAGATACAACTAAGTCACTGTTTTCACATGCTTCTGATTCTTCAAATTCTATGTTAACCACTTAGAATCTAGTGGCAAAAATAATCTTTTCCTAATGCTTTTTTACTTATTACATTTTCATTATTTTAAAGATAGAGGACAGTAATGTTTCCTGATCTCAATGCTTTTATATTTAGAGCTAGAGATTTATTCAGTCAGCTAGTCATTTATTAAATTATTATTGACTATGTCTATATGTTCCAGACCCAAACATGAACCAGGGAAAGGCTCCAAAAACTTGGCAGTTTCAAGTATATATTTGAAAGAGGATTGATAAGTGAACACCTGATTTGTAGTTGAAATATTTATATAATTTTTCACCTTTCTTCCGGGGTGATGACTACTTCAGATGCATTGGTCAGGAAGTATTTGTTAGGGCTGTGTATTTGTAGAACCCTTGAGACTGCACAGAATAAAATAGCTAGTATCCTTCTTCAGCCATAAGACCACCTTCTAGAATTAGAGAACTGAGACACAGGTTTAATGACTTAAGTTTTCAGCACAGTCTGTAGCGTAGTCTGTACCACAGTCTGTGCTGATACTTACGTTTTCTAACTTCCAACCTTGTCTTTGTTCTAAAAACACAGGTGAGGGAAGATTGCTTGCAGAAAATGCTTTCTGCTGTTGTACCAAGGGTGTTTCTCTCCAGAAAGCCTCTGAAGCAACCAAATTGGGGTTCAGGGTTGAGGTCGAGGAAAACAATGGAAAAGCAAGAGTGAAAAAAGCACAGACCAAGAAAAAACATTTTAACTGAGGCAAAGCATCTAGGATAAAAGAGACACATTTGATGTATGTGGAACACAAGTAGTATGTAGGTGCTGTGACAGAGAAAAAAAGCCCTAAGATTTTCCTTCATAGCTGGTCTAAATGCAGTGGTCCTTACAACCAACTGATCACAACCAGTAACAATTTTCTTTGTTCCTTCTCCACTCTCACAGCTTCACTTGACTAGCCTTAAAAATAAATAAATAATAAATAAATGGCCTGGCCTGGCGGCTCACGCCTGTAATCCCAGCACTTTGGGAGGCCGAGGTGGGTGGATCACGAGGTCAAAAGATCGAGACCATCCTGGCCAACATGGCGAAACCCCGTCTCTACTAAAAATACAAACATTAGCCGGGTGTGGTGGTGCACGCCTGTAATCCCAGCTACTTGGGAGGCTGAGGCAGGAGAATGGCTTGAACCCAGGAGACGGATGTTGCAGTGAGCCGAGATCACACCACTGCACTCCAAGCCTGGTGACAGAGCGAGACTCCGTCTCAAAAAAATAATAATAATAAATAAATTAGTTCATTCCTCACCTGAGGGCTTACACTTGAAGTAGAACTACTGGTATTCAAAGACTGCTGCAGCATCCCCGAACTTGCTTTTCCAGCATTATCTCTTCCTAGACTCCTGTAAGTGCCTTATTCCTCAGCTAAACTGGACTAAGCACCATTCCCCAGCCTTCCCACAAACTGCCCACCACCAGACATGTGCCCAGGCCATTCCACCTTACTGAAATGCTCTTGTCTAATCTTTATCTCTTATCTCTTAGTCTACCCATCTTCCAAGATCCCTTCCAAATACCAACTTCAAGAAGCCTTTCTGGGTGTTTCCACGTGAATAAAATCTCGTGATTCTTGGCTCTTTTTTTTTTTTTTAGCACTTTCTTGTCTTGTCCCCTCCAGCACCACATTGTAACTTTTGAGGTCAGGGACTTTGGGTTCCCTGCATCGTACAGCAGAGTGTTGTGCATTTTGTAGACTTTTTCCTTTTTTTTTTTTTTTTGAGATGGAGTCTCGCTCTGTCACCCAGGCTGGAGTTCAGTGCCCTGATCTCGGCTCACTGCAACCTCTACCTCCCAGGTTCAAGCGATTCTCCTGCCTCAAGGCCTCCCGAGTAGCTGGGACTACAGGTGCCCGCCGCCACACCCGGCTAATTTTTTTTTGCATTTTTAGTAGAGACGGGGTTTTACCAGGTTGGCCAGGCTGGTCTCCATTTCCCTACCTCGTGATCCGCCTGCCTCAGCCTCCCAAATTGCTGGGATTACAGGCATGAGCCACTGCACCCAGCCCAGACTTTTTCAATATATATCCACATACATTTTAATTTTTTTCATCACCTTTAAAAAAAAGCTCATTCAATTCTTTCTGGGTTTAGAAAGCTGTTCTTTCTTGATTTACTTATGTGTGTAACAGTCTTGCTGTCTTGCCCAGGCTAGAGTGTAGTGGCATGATCATGGCTCACTGCAACCTCAACCTCCAGAGCTTGAATGATCCTCCCACTTCAGCCTCCCAAGTAGCTAGGACCACAGGTGGGCGCCACCACACCTGGCTAATTATTTGTATTGTTTGTAGAGATGAAGTTTTGCCATGTTGCCCAGGGTGGTCTTGAACTCCTGGACTCAAGCAATCCTCCCACCTCGATCTTCCAAAGTGCTGGGATTACAGGCATGAGCCACCACGCCCAATGTATGGATGTTTTTATCAAGATGTTATCTTGCCCGAAGATTGAGAGGTCCAAATAAGAACTCAGTGAAAGCGGGCGCAGTGTCTCAGACCAGTAATCCCAGCACTTTGGGAGACGGAGGTGGGCTGACTACCCTGAGGTCAGGAGTGCCAGACCAGCCTGGCCAACATGGCAAAACCCTGTCTCTACTAAAAATACAAAAATTAGCCGGGCGAGGTGGCAGGTTCCTGTAATGCCAGCTACTTGGAGGCTGAGGCAGGAGAATCACTTGAACCCGGGAAGCGGAGTCCAGTGAGCCCAGATCGCACCACTGCACTCCAGCCTGGAAAACAGAGCAAGACTCTGTCTCAAAAAAAGAAAAAAAAAGAGGCCGGGCGCGGTGGCTCATGCTTGTAATCCCAGCACTTTGGGAGGTCGAAGCGGGTGGATCACCTGAGGTCAGGAGTTCGAGACCATCCTGGCCAACATGGTGAAACCCCATCTCTACTAAAAATACAAAAATTAGCCGGGCATGGTGGCGGGCACCTGTAATCCCAGCTACTCGGGAGGCTGAGGCAGGAGAATTGCTTGAACGCAGGAGGTGGAGGTTGCGGTGAGCTGAGACTGCGCCATTGCACTCCAGCCTGGGCGACAAGAGCAAAAACTCTGTCTCAAAAAAAAAAAAAAATGGAATTGGAAAAAGCAGAATTTGTGGCTAGGATGGGCGGGGACAAGGATGACTAGGTAATAGAGACTGGAAAAGAGAATGGAATAGACGTAAGGAGCATTAAGTTAGTGGCTACCTGGGGTAAATGGAAAAAGAAAAACAAAGAACAAGAAAGGGAATTGTAAAAAATAATAATAAAAAAAAGACAATCTGAGATACAAATATTGAAGAGATGGCAGGAGAACAGTCAAGACATAAGAGCTGTGTCTAAGGGACATATTCCTGGCTTTTGGTTGTCCTAGGGAGGTTCCTTTCTGTGCACGTCAGAAGATGACAGGCAAGAAAACAAAGTGGAAAACAATAAGGAAGTGAAGGTAACCCCTTTATAACCTCCCACTGCTTCATTCCTTGGAAATAGAAATGACTCAGGGAGGCAGATGAGGATAAATAAAACGCTGCCTTGAAACAGTCTCTATGCTTAGCTAGATTCTGTCTGCAGCTGCTTTCTGCAGAATCCTGCAAATTGGGTTTGTCATCTGACCGTGTCTCTCTCCTCCTGTGTCTCTACATCTATTTCAGGTCCCTGGGTTTGCTCGTGTCTGTTGCCTTGGTTCCTCTGCTGTGTTCCTCTAACTGTGGGCAATGCCTCCATCCATTTCTAGAAGTAAATGTGTTGATGGCATTTTATCACCTGTGTAGTTCCTCTTTTGACTCTCTCAATTCTCACCTATGTCTGCGCCTGTTGTTTTTACCTTCGTCTTTTATTTTTCTTTCTGCACCCTTTTGTTTCTGCTTCTGTCACTGCTTCTCTCTACCAGCTGGCTTTCTATGATGATGACATCCCCATAGCAACCTCTCTCTGGGGAAGAATGAGGGGAAGGAAAAGAGAGAGCTAGAATAGATGGGCTAAGAGAAGCCAGATTGGAGCTGGAAGGTGACCTTTTGGATTGAGTCCTAGAACAGAGTACAGAGAAACTATGAAGACTGATACCAGCCAAGTTACACAAAACCCTAAGAAAACACAAATTGGGAGCCCAAATCCAGTCCCTGCTGGCAAAACTCATTCAGCAAATCCTTTCTGTTGTAAATTAACCTGTCATCTGTTTTCCCTTCCTTGTGATTCAGATGAACTATTCTTCCTTTCTTTGTTTCTAGGTCTCATGATTCTTAAACATGTATAGTTCTTTTTTTCTTCTTAAAGCTAGTCAAGTGAAGCAGTGTGAGTGGAAAAGGAACAAAGAAATTCATAATTGGTACAGTGGTACAAACACCACTGTACTCAGATCAGCCACATGTATATTTTCTTTCCTTTTCTTTTCTTTTTTGAGACAGAGTTTCTCTCTTGGTGCCCAGGCTGGAGTGCAATGGCACAATCTTGGGTCACTGCAACCTCTGCCTCCCAGGTTCAAGTGATTCTCCTGCCTCAGCCTCCTGAGTAGCTGGGATTACAGGCATGCACCACCACACTTGGTTAATTTTGTATTTTTAGTAGAGACAGGGTTTCTCTATGTTGGTCAGGCTGGCCTTGAACTCCCAACCTCAGGTGATCCACCCACCTCGGCCTCCCAAAGTGCTGGGATTACAGGTGTGGCCACTGCGCCCGGCCGCCACAGGTATATTTTCTTTTAAAATTTATGAATATTCAGGACCAGACGTGGTGGCTCACACCTGTAATCCCAGCACTTCGGGAGGCCAGGGCAGGTGGATCATGAGGTCAGGAGTTCGAGACCAGCCTGGCCAACACAGTGAAACCCTGTCTCTACTAAAAATACAAAAAAATTAGGCGGGTGTAGTGGCGGGCGCTTGTAATCCCAGCTACTCCAGAGGCTGAGGCAGGAGAATCGCTTGAACCCAGGAGGCAGAGGTTGGAGTGAGCCAAGATCACGCCATTACACTCCAGCCTGGGTGACAGAGCGAGACTCCATCTCAAAAAAAAAAAAAATTATGAATATTCACATTGTAACCACAAGGTCTTTCTTTTGATATACTATAGTTTTTTCACTAAGATTAGTTCTGGACACCATACTTTAAGTGATACATGAAATACACTTGGAATGCCCTTAGAAAAAGACCAATAAAGAAAAAAACCAACATGAAATGATATTATCCACTCTTATTTAGGACCAGAATGTTAGATAAGAGATTTAATAAGGATAAAGTTTTTTTTTTTTTTAACCAATAATGAGATTTGTTTCATGTAGGGAAGGGTTGTTGAGTGAGTTAAAGCAATGGAATAATTCTGCTCAGAGATCTTTAAATTATATAAATATCCAAATATCTGTAAATAAAATTGGTTAGATCAGTTTTCCCTCAAACTTTAGCTTCCTTTTTCCACCGTTTCCTTTGACCTCCACCTGGAGAGCTGGTTAGACACAAATTCCTGAGCTCTACTCTCAGTAATTCTGATTCTGTAGGTCTGGGGGGATAGGAGGGGCTTGAGTTTGCATTTCTAGTTCTTTTTCTTTCTTTCTTTCTTTTTTTTGTTTAGACAAGGTCTCCCTTTGTCACCCTGGCTGGAGTGCAGTGGCACCATCTCAGCTCTCTGCAGCCTCGACCTCCCAGGCTCAAGCTATTCTTCTGCCTTAGCTTCCTGGGTAGCTGGGTTTACAGGCATGCACCACCACGCCCAGCTAATTTTTTGTATTTTTGATAGAGATGGGGTTTTGCCAGGTTGCCCCCACTGGTCTCAAACTCCTCAGATCAGGAAATCCACCCGCCTTGGCATCCCAAAGTGCTGCGATTACAGGCGTGAGCCACCACGCCTGGCCTTGAGTTTGCATTTCTTTTTTTTTTTTTTTTGAGATGGAGTCTCGCTGTGTCGCCCAGGCTGGAGTGCAGTGGCGCGATCTCAGCTCACTGCAAGCTCTGCCTCCCGGGTTCATGCCATTCTCCTGCCTCAGCCTCCCAAGTAGCTGGGACTACAGGCGCCTGCCACCACGCCCGGCTAATTTTTTGTATTTGTAGTAGAGATGGGGTTTCACCATGTTAGGCAGGATGGTCTCAATCTACTGACCTCATGATCCACCCGCCTCGGCCTCCCAAAGTACTGGGATTACAGGCGTAAGCCACCACGCCTGGCCTTGAGTTTGCATTTCTAACAGGATCCTGGGAGATTCTGATGTTGCTGGTCCCCGGACCACAATTTGAGTAGCACTAGTCTAGATGATTTCCGAAGTCAAGCAATACAGTTGACATACATAGTACATAAATGTGTGGTTATTTTATTGTTCCTTGATTAAAAATAACTTTCCTTTGGGAATGGAGGAGCATGAATAGACTAAATCAAGTTGGTTTTGTTTTTCTCTGCCATTTGCAAGCTGTGATATCCATTGACCCCTTTCTTTGTTTTGTAAAATGACCAACCATAGAGGTTTGCCCAGGTACTTTCAGTGCTAAAACTGAGATAGTCCTGGGCAAACGGGATGATTGGGTGACCTCTCCATTCACGAGGCTAGTGAAATAGAAAGAATGTATAAGGAAAAATGAACGTGGCTAGGGATCAGAAAATGCAGTTTCTAGTCGTAATTCACAACTTATTAATATTCTGACCTTAAATTGATCATTTAAATTCTCTTTCAGTTTTTGCACCTATAAAATGGTGATAATGTTAACTACTTTACTTACTTACCACAAAAGTTTTGAGGATCAATTGAAATAATGGATAAAAAGATTATTAAAATACCATATACATATTAAGACAAAGATGTAGCTCACTTGTTTTTGCTTAGAATTTACGATTTACAGCCCGGTGCGGTGGCTCACACCTGTAATCCCAGCACTTTGGGAGGCCAAGGCGGGTGGATCAGCTGAAGTCAGGGGTTCGAGACCAGCCTGGCCAATATGGTGAAACCCCTCTTTACTAAAAATGTAAAAATTAGCTGGATGTGGTGGCATTTGCCTGTAATCCCAGCTACTCGGGAGGCTGAGGCACGAAAACTGCTTGAACCTGGGAGGTGGAGGCTGCAATGAGCCGAGATTGTGCCACTGAACTCCAGCCTGGGTGACAGAGTGAGACCCTGTCTAAAAAAAAAAAAGGAGTTTACTATTTACTGGCAAAAAATAGCAACCCAGCAATCTCATTCCTAAGCATACAACAAGTATACAATCGAGAGAAAAGAATTCATACATTCAGCAAATATCAGGAATGTTTATAATAGCTCGAACTGGAAACAATGATGCATACATCAGTGGGAGAATAGATAAGTAAATGTTGTCATAGCCAAAAGTGGAATACTACTCAGCAGTAAGAAGGAATGAACTACCAACACCACCACATAGTACTCGTAGACACGATGCTCAGTGAAAAAACATCTGAGCACAAAAGAGTACATACTGTATGGTTCCATTTAAAGGTCAAGAACAACAAAATTCATTGATGATGGCGGAAGTAAAAATAGCAATTTCTTCTGGAGAAGGAGGCTATAGACTGGAACCAGCACTAGGAAACTTTTTGAGGAGCAAGAAATGTTAAAGAATCTAGATCTTGATCTGGTTAATGGTTATGCCTGTGAATACAGATATAAATATTCACCCAACTGTAAACTCCAGATTAGTGCATTTTTATCTGCTTTATTGCATGTGCCCTTCAGTAAAGTAGAAAAAAATAAAAGAAAAGACAACAATAAAGGAAGGAAGAACTCACCCTCAATTCTATCACCACTAGAAAACAATGTGTTTTTTTCTTGAAATGTTTGCATTCTAACCGCCCCAGCACTAAGAAGAGGTTCAGTTTTGTAATTGGAACGTCTGATGAGCATCTGATGAGTGGATCCAGAGGTTATCCCCTCATGTCGAGTTGATGATGATATTTCAGCTTCTAGACTTGAGCAAGATGACAGCAAAGGGAAGCGGAAACCCTGGGTCACTGGTTCAGGAAGACGGCCAGGTTTACATCAACGTTGCAACAAATCTGGTGGCTTTTTTTTTCGTTTCGTGTTGCTGTTTCTTTTCTTCCTCTTCATCTTTGGGTCCGTTTGCTACTTTTCTTGGATTGATTTTCCACTCTACCCCACTACACAACGTACTCTTTGGGGAGGAGGGGGGTCTTTACATTTTCTTCCACTCTCCGACTTTCCCATATTTTCTCATGTGTCTCAGTGAATTCAATGGTATGTGCTAACATTTTCTTTTATGAGTCTATTCCAGGGGCTCACATCCTGTCCCCTGCCCGAGGAGCCTTCCAGTAGCCTTTACAGCCGCATTCTCAGGCTTTCATCCACTCTTTTTGAAACAGCGCCTGTGACATTCCCACTCATTACAGCGTGCCCCTCCCATGCCTCCAGGAAATTCTCTGTTTTCCCACCGGCTTTCTACTCAGCAGCTATTCTCAGTCTAATGCGCTTCATTCACCGTCAGCCTTCCTCAGGAAGACATAAAAAAGGGTGAAAAAGAACATTTATTTCTCAGGAAGGATTGGTCAGCTGACTAAGTTGTCTGAGGGTCTAAAAAGATGAGGGGGTAACTCAAAGCATAAATGCTTGAGGAGATGGATACCCCATTCTCCATGAGGTGATTATTTTACATTGCATGCCTATATTAAAACATTTATGTGGCCAGGCGCGGTGGCTCACACCTGTAATCCCAGCACTTTGGGAGGCTGAGGCGGGCGGATCACCTGAGGTCGGGAGTTCGAGACCAGCCTGATCAACATGTAGAAACCCTATCTCTACTAAAAATATAAAATTAGCTGGGTGTGGTGGCACATGGCTGTAATCACAGCTACTCGGGAGGCTGAGGCAGGAGAATCACTTGAACGCGGGAGGCGGAGGTTGCGATGAGCCGAGATCGCACCATTGCACCCCAGCCTGGGCAACAAGAGCGAAACTCCATCACAAAAAAAACAAAAAAAAAAAAAAGAGAAAAAGAAAGAGTAGATGTGAGTCAGCTAAGCACTTCAGTCATCATGTAGCTGTTTTCCTGTGAGTGGGGGGAGGGGGGTGGTAGCCTGGTGATTGTGTCCCACTGATAGCTACACAGAGAAAGAAGGACATTTATAGCTTTAGAGCACTGCTAGAGAAAAGTTAAGGAACTCAAAGAACTGTCTTCACTTCATGCAAGCAATTATCTGTGTTGCTTATATATTGGCACTTGTATAGAAGAAGTCTTTTCCCGCTTCTCGGCCTTTTGGCTAAGATCAAGTGAAGATGACTTTTAAAACCCTTGTCTGTGATCCTGCAATCACCCTCCTTGGTACTTACATAAATGAGTTGAAATCATGCATCTACATGAAAACCTGCAAACGAATGTTTAGAGCAGTTTTATTCGTAGTTGCTAAAACTTACCAAGATGTCCTTCAGTAGGTGAAGGGATAAACTGTGGTGCATCCAAATAATGGAATATTATCCAGTGATAAAAAGAAATGAGCCACGAAAAGACATGCAGGGACCTTCAATGAATATCACTAAGTGAAATAAGCCAATCTGAAAAGGCTACATAATGTATGACTCCAACTGTATGACATTCTGGAAAAGGCAAAACTATGCAAAAAGACAGCAAAAAGATCAGTGATTGCCAGGGGTTGGAGGAGTAGGGAAGGGAGGTGGAACATGGGATCTTTTTTTTTTTTTTCTTTTGAGACAGAGTTTCGCTCTTGTTGCCCAGGCTGGAGTGCAATGGTGCAATCTCGGCTCACTGTAACCTCTGCCTCCTGGGTTCAGTCAATTCTCCTGCCTCAGCCTCCTGAGTAATTGGGATTACAAGCATGCACCACTACGCCCGGCTAATTTTATATTTTTAGTAGAGATGGGGTTTCACCATGTTGGTTGGGCTGGTGTCGAACTCCTGACCTCGTGATCTGCCCACCTTGGCCTCCCAAAGTTCTGGGATTACAGGCGTTAGCCACTGCACCCAGCCTGGAACATGGGATTTTTAGGGCAGTAAAGCTGTTCCGTATGATATCATACATTTATCAAACCTATAGAATATACAACACAAAGAATGAACTTGAATATAAACTATGGACTTTATGTAATAATAATATATCAATATTAGCCCATCAATTATTAACATGACAGATGTGGCTCGGCGAGCTGGCTCACGCCTGTAATCCTAGCACTTTGGAAGGCCAAGTCAGGCAGATCTTCTGAGGTCAGGAGTTCAACACCAGCCTGGCCAACATGGCAAAACCCCGTCTCTACTAAAAATACAAAAATTAGCCGGGCATGGTGATGGGTGCCTGTAATCCCAGCTGCTTGGGAGGCTGAGGCAGGAGAATCGCTTAAACGTGGGAGGTGGAGGTTGCAGTGAGCCGAGATCATGGCACTGAACTCCAGCCTGGGTGACAGAGTGCAAGAAAAAAATAATAACAATAAATAATAATGATAATAATATAAGAGATGTATCACACTAATGCAAATGTTAGTATTAGGGGTGTTAAGGGAGTACATGGGAACTCTGTGTACTTTCTGCTCAATTTTTCTGTAAACCTAAAACTGCCCACCCCCAATAAATCCTATTAATTAAAAAACAAAGCGAAACACTTGTTTATATGTCTCTCTCCATCCGCTTCACCACCATGAGAACTTAAAGGGAGGAACATGTTTTTTATCTTTATGTTCCCGGCCTCTGGGATGAAAGAGAAAGGGAACACTATTTTTAGTGCATTACCCTAGCATCATCGCCGACTTAGCGCATCTAAAATAAAAGTCTTGATTTGACCCTCAGGTCTCTGTCTGCTTTCCTGACTGAGGTAAATGGCAACTCCAGTTCTCCAGTTGCTCCAGCCAAAACCTTTAGGATCATTCTTGACTCCTTTTTTTCTTTTGTGCTCAACGTCTAGACCGCCAGTAGGTTGCACCTTGAAAATATATTTCAAATCCAACAGCAACCCACTCTATGCTCCTATCCCTACCCTCTGTCTAAGTTTGTTCATGCTGCTATAACAAAACAACACAGGCAAGGCGCAGTGCCTCACGCCCGTAATCCCAGCACCTTGGGAGGCCCAGGTGGGCGGATCACCTGAGGTTAGGAGTTTGAGACCAGCCTGACCAACATGGTGAAACCCTGTCTCTACTAAAAATACAAAAATTAGCTGGGTGTGGGTGTGGTGGCGGGTGCCTGTAGTCCCAGCTACTCTGGAGGCTGAGGCAGGAGAATCGCTTGAACCCAGGAGGCGGAGGTTGCAGTGAGCCGAAATCACGCCATTGCACTCCAGACTAGGCGACAAGAGCGAAATTCTGTCTCAAAAAAACAAAAACAAAAACAAAAACAAAACTGAGTAATCTATAAACAGTAGAAATGTATTTCTCACAGTTCTGAATGCTGGGAAGTTCAAGGTACCCGCAGGTTTGATGTTTGGTGAGGGCAGCTCTCTGCTTCTAAGATGGCGACTGTTGCTCCGTCCTCATTAGGGGGACGAGTGATGTGTCCTCACATGGTGGAAGGCAGAAGGGCAAAAAAAAAAAAAAAAAAAAAAAAAAGGAGCAAACTCTCTGAAGTCCCCCCACCGCACTTTTTTTTTTTTTTTTTGAGACAGGGTCTGGCTCTGTCTCCCAGGCTGGAGTTCAGTGGTGCAATCATAGCTCACTGCAGGCTTGACCTCCCGGGCTCAAGTGATCCTCCCACCTCAGCCACCCGAGTAGCTGGGACTACAAGTGCAAACCACCATGCCTCACTAATTTTTTGTATTTTTTTTTTTTTTTTTTTTTTTTTTTTTGTAGAGACAGGGTCTCCTTGTGTCGCCCAGGCTGGTCCAAAAGGGGGAAATAAGAACTCCTGGACTCAAGCGATCCTCCCGCCTTGACCTCCAAAAGTGCTGAGATTACAGGCATGAGCCATCGAGCCTGGCCTCCGAAGCCCCTTCTGTATGGGTATTACTCCCTCCATGGAGGCAGAGCCCTCATGACTCAGTCACTTCCCAAAAGGTCCTGCCTCTTAATATCACTACAATTAGGATTAAGTTTCTGCATTAATTTTGGAGGGAACACACATTTAAACCACAGCACCCTCCTTCAGCATCTTCTCCATTCAACAGCACATACTTTTTTAAAAACACGAATCAACTGATGTCATGCTTCTGCTCAAAAAACTAAAATGGCTTCGTAGCTTCCTGGCTGTCTGTCACATTCGGAATATAAACCAGAACGTTCATGACTGCTTACAGCGTCCTGCATGAGCAGACTCCTAGCTGTCTTCAACATCATTTCTCCTGCCACTCTGCCCCCGCTTCACTCCACTCCTGCCAAATCCGCCTTTTGACACCCTGCCAAGCACGAGTCCTCCTTTTGGTGTCTGCGTTTGAAATGCCTTCTGTTTGAAATGCTGTTTTCAGATACTCCCAAGGTTGACTTTCTCGTGTGATTCAGGTTTCTGTGCAAGTATCATCTCTACTGAGAGAGGAACCCTAACCACTCTATCTTAATCTTCCCCAGCCCCAACCCTTTATCGCCTTACCTTGATATTTTCTTCTTCAAAATGCTCCCTTATTACTTGACAGTATATATTTATTGTCTGCTAAGGCTGCCATAACAAAATACCACAAACAGGTGGCTTAAACAACAGGAATTTGTTTTCTCAAAGTTCTAGATGCTGGACATCCAAGATCAAGGTGCCAGCAGGCTTAGTTTCTCCTGAGACCTCTCCCTTCAGTAGCAGATGGCTGTCTTCTCAGTGTCTTCACATGGCCTTTTCTCTATTCACAGGCCTAATGCCTCTTCCTCTTCTCATAAGGACACCTGTCCTATTGGACTAGAGCCCCACCCTAGTGACTTCATGTAATCTTAATTACCTCCTTAAAGGCTCCATCTCCAAATACAGTTCCATTCTAAGTTACTAGGGGTTAGGGCTTCAACATATGAATTTTAGGACACAATTTAGTCCATAACACTTTGCCCTCTGGCCCCCCAAAATGTATGTCCTCACATCCAAAATACATTTATCTCTATCCCTGTAGGCCCTAAAGTCTTAACCCATTCCAGCATGAGTTCCAAATCCAAAATTTCATCTGAATATCATCTAAATTTGGTATGGGTGAGAAAAGAGGTATGATTAATCCTGAGGCAAATTTTTTTCCAAACTGAGCCTGGGAAACCAGACAAGTTATGTGCTTTCATAATATAATTGTGGGACAGGCATAGGCTAGACATTCCCATTGCAAAAGGGGGAAATGGGGGAAATAAGAAAGAAGAAAGGGGTACCTGGTCTTCCAAGTTCAAAATTCTAGTAAGGCAAATTCCATTTTTTAAAAAAAATTGTGGACCGGGCACGTTGGCTCACACCTGTAATCCCAGCACTTTGGGAGGCCGAGGCAGGTGGATCGCAAGGTCAGGAGTTCAAGACCAGCCTGGCCAATATGGTGAAACCCTGTCTCTACTAAAAATGCAGAAATTAACCAGGCATGGTGGCAGGCGCCTGTAGTCCCAGCTACTCTGGAGGCTGAGGCAGGAGAATCACTTGAACGTGGGAGGTGGAGGTTGCAGTAAGCCAAGATCTCGGCACTGCACTCCTGCATGGGTGACAGAGCGAGATTCTGTCTCGAAAAAAAAAAATTGTGGTAAAAACACATAACAACAACAAAAAAGGTAGGCTGGGCATGGTGGCTCACACCTATAATCCCAGCACTTTGGGAGGCCGAGGTGGGTGGATCATCTGAGGTCAGGAATTCAAGACCAGACTGACCAATATGGTAAAACCCCACCTCTACTAAAAACACAACAATTAACCAGGCGTGGTGGCGTGCACCTGTAGTCCCAGCTATTTGGGAGGCTGAGACAGGAGAATTGCTTGAACGCAGGAGGTGGAGGTTGCAGTGAGCCAAGACTGTGCTACTGCACTCTAGCCTGGACAACAGAGTGAGACTCCATCTCGAAAAAAATAAAAATAAAAAATTAGCCAGTCGTGGTGGTGTATGCCAGTAATCCCAGCCAGAGTGAGACTTCATCTCAAAAAAAAAAAAAGAAGAAAAATGGTTACCATGTGAACCATCTTTTTTTTTTTTTTTTTTGAGACGAAGTTTCACTCTTGTTGCCCAAGTTGGAGTGCAATGGTGCAAGCTCGGCTGACTGCAACCTCCGCCCCCAGGTTCAAGAGATTCTCTTGCCTCAGCCTCCAAAGTAGCTGGGATTACAGGCTTGCGCCACTATGGCTGGCTAGTTTTGTATTTTTAGTAGAGATGTTGTTTCTCCATGTTGGTCAGGCTGGTCTTGAACTCCCAACTTCAGGTGATCCTCCTGCCTTGGCCTCCCAAAGATTACAAGTGTGAGCCACTGCGCCTGGCCCATGTTAACCATCTTTTATTACTTTATCTTACATTTATTTTATTACAGTTTTTAAAATATCTTTTCAGCTTCACTGAAGTATAATTGACAAATAAAATTGTATACATTTAAAGTATGTGCACATGATGTTTTGATATACATGTATATTGTGAAATTATTACCACAAGTTAGTTAACACGTTAACTTTTTTTTTTTTTTGAGATGGAGTCTCACTCTGTCACCCAGGGTGGAGTGCAGTGGCGTGATTTTGGCTCACTGTAACCTCTGCCTCCCAGGTTCAAGCGATTCTCTTGCCTCAGCCTCCCGAATAGCTGGGATTACAGGCATGTGCCACCATGCTCGGATAATTTTTGTATTTTTATTAGAGATGGGGTTTCACTATATTGGCCCGGCTGGTCTTGAACTCCTGATCTTGTGATCCACCTGCCTCAGCCTCCTAAAATGCTGGGATTATAGGCATGAGCCACGGTGCCTGGCCAATATGTTTCTTTTTATTTTTTTAATGTGGCTACTGAAATTTTCTTTTTTTTGTAAAATTGAACACTTGGTCACCCAGGCTGGTGTGCAGTGGCATGATCTAGGCTCACTGTAATGTCCGCCTCCCGGGTTCAAGTGATTCTGGTGCCTCAGGCTCCCAAATAGCTGGGATTACAGGCGTGTGCCACCACGCCTGGCTAATTTTTTTGTGTCTTTAGTAGAGATGGGGATTGGTGATATTGGCCAGGCTGGTATTGAATTCCTGAACTGAAGTGATCCATCCGCCCTCCTCAGCCTCCCAAAGTGCTGGGCTTACAGGTGTGAGCCACCATACCCAGCAGAAAAATTTTTAATTACATCTGTGGTTGGGCTGGGCTCAGTGGCTCACGCCTGTAATCCCAGCAGTTTGGGAGGCCGAGACAGGCAGATCACAAGGTCAGGAGTTCGAGACCAGCCTGGCTAACATGATGAAACCCTGTCTCTACTAAAAATACAAAAAATTAGCTGGGCGTGGTGGCACACGCTTGTAGTCCCAGCTACTCAGGAGGCTGAGGCAGGAGAACTGCTTGAACCGGGGAGGCAGAGGTTGCAGTGAGCTGAGATCATGCCACTGCACACCAGCCTGGGTGACCAAGTGAGACTGCGTCTCAAAAAAAAAAAAAAAGTTATATCTGTGGCTCACATTATATTTGTATTGGACAGTACTGGCCAGGCTTTATTCAATAATCATTGAAGATATTTGAGTAGGACTCTGACACGATTCAAATTTTGATTTAGGATAATTCACCTAGCCCTGATGTGGAACGGATTCATTTTTGAAGAAGGGAGAGGAAAGAGGAAGGAAGACCTTCGTGAAAGTGGGACAGGCCTGAGAGCTGGGATTAGGCCCTTCAGGATCAACGGGAGTGATGGATGGATGATTTAAACCCAGTTTAGACAGGAAAATCAACATTTCTCAAATGTTTTCTTTCTTAATCCTGAGGACTTATTTTCTACAGTGTTATCAAATTCAAAGTGAACTCTGCCTACACTAACCTAACAAAGGAAGATTAAAAAGTTGCTTTAACAAAAGTCGTTCTTTATGAGGACTATTACAGATGCAAGCAAAGTTTTAGAGCAGTTACTAGCTTTTTGTGTGTGTCTTGAAATGCCATTTACATTGTTTTATGAAAGAGACAGTTTTCCCTGTCTTTACCTCAATGCGTTTAAAGGCTTGTGTTCCCTGACTTTAGATTTTATGTTTGTTTTCCACCTGGTTATCATACTAGCAAGCACCCATCCCACAAAGCTGCATGAAACTAGGATTGAGATTTACATTCTGCAGATTTAGATTCTAGGATTGAGATTTACATTCTGCAGATTTAGATTCTAGAATTGAAATTTACATTCTGCAGATAACTGCATCTGGAACTAAGCGACCTCAGACAATTATTCTATTCATTCCTTTTTTTCTAGGCAGACCTACATTAAAGTATTAGGTGTAAATTTTGTTTGTTTGTTTGTTTGAGACAGTCTCGCTGGCACCCAGGCTGGAGTGCAGTGACGCAATCTCGGCTGACTGCAACCTCTGCCTCCCAGTTTCAAGCAATTCTCCTGTCTCAGTCTCCTGAGTAGCTGGGACTACAGGCGCACGCCATCACGGCTGGCTAATTTTTGTATTTTTAGTAGAGACGGGCTTTCACCATACTGGTCAGGCTGTAGGTGTAAATTTTATAACATTCTCACTAACTTACTCTGTTTTGAAATTTACCCATCGCACCTCACATTTCCTCTTTTTTTTTTTTTTTAATAGAGCTACAGAAAGATTTCAAAAGGAATCAAATGACACAGCATAGGTGTCTGAGGGCAGCTAGCCTCACTGGCCCATCCTGACATACTTAATCCCTCATGCCTCATCACCAGAGCTGTGACTGTGACTGAGCCAGGCTCCTCCCAAAGTACACTGAAGACCCAGCTCAACCAACCAGTCTCTCGAAGCACATCAACAAACAGTTATATTGAGCAACTCTTCTCTAGTGGCCAGGGTGAAGGACTATCTAAGCTTGGACATCTCTGTTGCTTTGGGGGCCAGCCCAGTGCAGAACTGGTTTTTGAGCATCAGGTTCCTCCTAGGTGCCATTTGCCCAAGGAACACTTGTCTCAATATGCTCAACACACTTTTTTTTTCTTTTTTGAGGCAGGGTCTCACTCTGTTGCCCAGGCTGCATAGCTCACTGCAGCTTCTATCTCCTGGGCTCAAGTGATCCTCCCACCCCAGCCTCCCAAGTAGCTGGGTCTATAGGCACCTGCCATTACCATACCCAGCTAATTTTTTTTTTTTTTTTGATAGAGAAGGGGTCTCAAAAAAAAAAAAAAAAGAGAGAGAGAAGGGGTCTCACTGTGTTGTCCAGGCTGGTCTCTCAAACTGCTAGGCTCAAGTGATCCTTCTGCCTCGACCTCCCAAAGGGCTGGGATTATAGATGTGAGCCACTGTGCCCAGGTCAACACATTTTTTAGATTCTCAAGACTCAGTTTAATTCCAATTGTAACCTTTAAAAATAATCCCAGCATTTGGGAGCTAAGGCATGAGGATCACTTGAGGCTGGGAGTTTGAGACCAGCCTTGGGCAATACAGTGAGATCCCATCTCTACAAAAAAGAAAGAAAATGAAGGAAAATAAGAGAAGGGATGGAAAGTTATGAGACTAATGAAAAAAAAAAGGCTCTCAAAGATAGTGAATGATGAGAGGAGAAAGAAAGGACTTTTACTAAAAAGAAAAAGATTTAACAGAGAGCATTGTACTGGCAGGGCCCTCCAGGGTATCGATGCTTAGTTGTGACTGAGACATCTGAGAGGCCGCAGGCAAGGTCAGTTCTACTGAAGCTTTCAGCCTGTGGTCTACCCTGTCTGACCTGAAAGGAAAGGAATTTAAGATAGGAAAGGTTGAAGGGATTGGTGGGGGTGCGGGAAAGGACATAGAAGATGGCTTCAGGTATAGAAATTGAGCTGCCCCAAGGTGGAAATCTAAAATAATATCCACTTGCCCAGCTGAATTATTCCAGGCAAGGTGAAGACGACTGGTTCTCCCCACTAAGAAATGTCTCTCTCTCTCTTTTTTTTTTTTTTTGAGACAGAGTCTTGCTCTGTTGCCCAGGTTGGAGTGCAGTGGCACGGTCTCGGCTCACTGCAACCTCCGCCTCTCAGGGTCAAGCGATCCTCCTGCTTCAGCCCCTCCTAGTAGCTGGGATTACAGGCACACCCCACCATGCCCTGCTAATTTTTGTATTTTTAGTAGAGATGGGGTTTCACCATGTTGGCCAGGCTGGTCTCGAACTCCTGATCTCAGGTGATCCACCTGCCTTGGCCCACCTGCCTTGGCCTCCCAAAGTGCTGGGATGACAGGCATGAGCCACCGTGCCCGGCCAGAAATGTCTTATTTGTTAGGTTTGTAGTGAGCCGAGTGTTCTTTCTTCCCCCACCCGGGGGTTAGGTTAGGGATAGCAGAACAGTATTTAATAAACCAGAAGACTGAAATGGGGCCAGGATGCAGTGAGTAGATCCAGTAGGTTACATGGTCCTGAGAGATAAGAGACTCAAAGAGCCACCCAGCAGTGAAGACACAAACTACTACCACCTCCCCCTACCACCACCACTGGGCTTCCGTGGAGTCTGGGGTACAGATCAGACTGCACTGTATTTGTTTCCAAAATGATCAATTCTTAGTAATCCTACCCAAGGCTGTGTTGTCCTCTTTCCTCCCAGTTCGTGAGTGGAATTCTATGCCTACCTTCACCTGATGCAGGTTTTTAAATATTTCCAAACTGACCAACCCAGTTTCTCTTAACTTCTTCCTTCTCCAATTTTCTTTTCCACTTTTACCAAGTTAACTTCACATTCTTATCTCCAGATAAGTTCTTTAGTATAATCTATTACTTTGTCTTCCCGATTAATTACCTAAATCTCGTTTGATGTTTGTCCTTTTCATACCACTCATAGGTCAGATTCTCCTAATACAGCTCCATAATTAATAAGAAACAGTCATCAATTACAAGTTTTAAGGACTATTCTCTCCTCCCTGTCCTCTGTCTCTCCAGGTCACCCCAGCTCTGATCTTTGCCATCACAGTTGCTACAATCGGCTCTTTCCAGTTTGGCTACAACACTGGGGTCATCAATGCTCCTGAGACGGTGAGTGCCAGGCCACAAGAATTAGAATCTGGAATAGGGAAATTATTCCTTTAAGTAGGGTTTCAAGAATTCAGAATTTAAGGCCAGGCATGGTGGCACCTGCCTGGAGTCCCAGCTACTCCGGAGGCTGAGGCTTAAAGATCACTTGAGCCCAGGAGTTAAACACCATCCTGAGCAACACAGTTAGTGAGGGTCCCTCCCCCAACTAGGGGAATTAAACTTTGTATCTATCCTGTCCAAGACTGAAGATGGAGACAATATTGGTGGGGAAAATTAGTGGGGTCATTTAATCAAAGGAAAAAGGTCATTTACTCCTTATACCCTGGGCAGTGCTGTTCTTCCTCCCACTCTTTCACCCTATAGTAATACACTTCCTGTATTATCCCTTAGGGGTTAGTTACCAAGCTGGCCAGGTTCGCTTAGCAGAGGGCTGGGGTGAACATCAGTGCTGCCACCTACTGGGATATTCAGGACAAATGAAAAATTACTATTCCAGGGAGAGTTAACATTAATTCCAATATGTTATCTGCCTCTTCAATTCCCGTCTATTTATTCCCTTGATTCTCTAGGGAGGAAATGATCCCTAATATTTGTTTTGTTTGTTTGTTTGTTTTGAGATGTAGTCTCGCTCTGTCACCCAGGCCGGAGTGCAATGGCGCTATCTCGGCTCATCGCAAACTCCGCCCCACGGGTTCAAGCGATTCTCCTACCTCAGCCTCCCGAGTAGCTGGGATTACAGGCATGCGCCACCACAACTGGCTAATTTTGTATTTTTAGTAGAGACGGGGTTTCACCATGTTGGTCAGGTTGGTCTGCAACTCCTGACCTCAGGTGATCCACCCGCCTCGGCCTTCCAAAGTGCTGGGATTACAGGCGTGAGCCACTGCACCCAGCATATTTGTATCTTTTGTTCTCATCCAACTGTAATAGTCTGTCCTCCCACCTTTTATTTTGCAGATCATAAAGGAATTTATCAATAAAACTTTGACGGACAAGGCAAATGCCCCTCCCTCTGAGGTGCTGCTCACGAATCTCTGGTCCTTGTCTGTGGCCATATTTTCCGTCGGGGGTATGATCGGCTCCTTTTCCGTCGGACTCTTTGTTAACCGCTTTGGCAGGTATTGACTAGAAACTGGGCAAGGAAGTGGGCTCTACCAGATGCATTGGGGACAAGTGTGGAGAGTTAGGGCAGGGAGGTGATGATGCCTTTGAATAAGAACACCTTGAATTCTAATCAAGGGAAACTAGCCCAACTGGCCCCGAATATGACTGCCCTTGCTTGGAGCTCTACTACCCTGGAGAGCTCCCACCCAGCTGTGCAAGAGATGAACTGTGTGAGTGATTGGCCTTTGCAGTCCAGTTAGGGATAGTTCAGAATTATTCCCTAGTAAGCTCAACTATGGGGTTTCCAGGAACATACTTAATTTACAAGGTCCAAAGTTGATTACTTTTCTCAAAAAAAAAAAAAACAAAACTGGGGTCTCATATAAATGTTTTTGTTACCTCTACACAGGATTGGTAGGAATTATCTTTAGTCTATGGCAAATGTGGATAATGGCCAAAAAAAGAAAACTGAATCGTCTTTTTTTTTTTTTTTGAGATGGAGTCTTGCTCTTGTCACCTAGGCTGGAGTGCAATGGTGCAATCTCAGCTCACTGCAACCTCTGCCTCCCGGGTTCAAGTAATTATCCTGCCTCAGCCTCCCAAGTAGCTGGGATTACAGGTGCCCGCCACCACGCTCGGCTAATTTTTGTATTTTTAGTAGAGATGGGGTTTCACCATATTGGCCATGCTAGTCTCGAACTCCTGACCTTACGTGATCCGCCCACCTCAGCCTCCTAAAGTGCTAAGCTTACAGGCATGAGCCACTGTGCCTGGCTGAAAACTGAATCTTCTTATTTTATACTAGCTTAGTAATCTATTTTAGAAGGTAGAATATATTTTCAGTTATGACTGACAAAGGAACTGTTTTAATTTGCCAATTAGATATTCTAGAAATGCAAGAATGTAATTCACATTTAAAAATTGATAAGGCAACCTATTTTACTTGCTAATGTTCTTCCCCCTCTGCCCTCCCTCTGCCCAAGAAGCAGGGTCTTGCTCTGTCACCCAGGCTGGAGTGCAGTGGCCCAATCATAGCTCACTATAGCCTCGACCTCCCAGTCTCAAGCAATCCTCACACCTCAGCTCCCTGAGTAGCTGGGACTACCAGTGGGCACCATCATGCCTGGCTCCCAACTAGAAACGTTCTGATAATAGAAAGTAAAAAAGGGCTGGGCGTGGTGGCTCACACCTGCAATCCCAACACTTTGGGAGGCCGAGGTGGGTGGATCATGAGGTCAGGAGTTAAAGACCAGCCTGGTCAAGATGGTGAAACCCCATCTCTACTAAAATACAAAAAAATTAGCCAGGCATGGTGGCAGGCGCCTGTTATCCCAGCTACTCGGGAGTATGAGGCAGAGAATTGCTTGAACCTGGGAGTCAGAGGTTGCAGTGAGCGGAGATCGCGCCACTGCACTCCAGCCTGGGCAACAGAGCGAGACTCTGTCTCAAAAAAAAAAAAAGAAAGAAAAGAAAAGAAAGTGAAAAAGAAAAGTTAGACCAAAAAAGGAGTTGATATAAGCCTGGAGAAGAGCAGAATAATGAGTACAGAAGAGGAGAAGTTAGGAGCCTCTCACTTTGCTAATTCCATGTTGTCTTTGATTAACCTTACAGGCGCAATTCAATGCTGATTGTCAACCTGTTGGCTGCCACTGGTGGCTGCCTTATGGGACTGTGTAAAATAGCTGAGTCAGTTGAAATGCTGATCCTGGGCCGCTTGGTTATTGGCCTCTTCTGCGGACTCTGCACAGGTTTTGTGCCCATGTACATTGGAGAGATCTCGCCTACTGCCCTGAGGGGTGCCTTTGGCACTCTCAACCAGCTGGGCATAGTTATTGGAATTCTGGTGGCCCAGGTACTCTAGAACTTCTCATACTTAATGAGTGTTAGTTTCATGGGTCATTAAAAAAGTTAACATAGGTAAAGCACTGAAGAATATCTGGCACATGTTCAATTACATATGGAAGTTTTAGATAATAGATAGTAGCTGAAGAAGCAGGTTGAGTAGAGAAAGGAAAAGAAGCACAATTTCTTTTTTCCTTTTTTCTTTTTCTTTTTTTTTTTTTGAGAGGGAGTTTCACTCTGTCACCCAGGCTGGAGTGCAGTGGAATGATCTCGGCCCAACCTCTGCCTCCTGGGTTAAAGTGATTCTCATGCCTCAGCCTCCCGAGTAGCTGGGATTACAGGTGTGCACCACCACGTCCAGCTAATTTTTGTATTTTTAGTAGAGACAGGATTTCACCATGTTGGCCAGGCTTTTCTCAAACTCCTGACCTCAGGTGATCCACCCGCCTCGGCCTCCCAAAATTCTGGGTTATAGGTGTGAGCCACTGTGCCCGGCAATTTTTAAATTTTTTTCAATGGTAAAATAATGTATGATTTTCTGAACTTTTGTTTTGTTTTGTTTCTGAGACGGAGTCTCACTCTGTCGCCCAGTCTGGAGGGCAGTGGCGCGATCTCGGCTCACTGCAACCTCCGCCTCCTGGGTTCAAGTAATTCTCTGCCTCAGCCTCCTGAGTAGCTGGGATTGCAGGTGCCCACCATCACGCCTGGCTAATTTTTGTATTTTTAGTAGAGACGGGGTTTCACCATCTTGGCCAGGCTGGTCTTCAACTCCTGATCCACCTGCCTCAGCCTTCCAAAGTGCTGGAATTACAGGCGTAAGCTACTGCGCCCAGCCAACTTTTTGTGTTTCAATGAACTTGTGGCCTGTGAAGTATGGGGTTTATAGCATTATCTTTGTGTGGTTTCTAGATCTTTGGTCTGGAACTCATCCTTGGGTCTGAAGAGCTATGGCCGGTGCTATTAGGCTTTACCATCCTTCCAGCTATCCTGCAAAGTGCAGCCCTTCCATGTTGCCCTGAAAGTCCCAGATTTTTGCTCATTAACAGAAAAAAAGAGGAGAATGCTACGCGGAGTGAGTATCTTTCACTCTTTAGTATACAAAGTATATGGTTGTGGTTTGTTTTAAGGGTGAGGGTACTGGATCTATTTTCTGTCGTACCCTTTCCCTGCCCGTCAGAATCCAAGTGAAGATGGTTCTGATTACTCTACTTTGTTTTTTCTTTTTTTGAGACAGAATCTCATGCTGTTGCCCATGCTGGAGTGCAGTGGTGCGATCTCGGTTCACTGCAACCTCCGCCTCCTGGGTTCTAAGCGATTCTCCTGCATCAGCCTCCGGAGTAGGTGGGATTATAGGCATGTGCCACCACCACCACACCACGCCTGGCTACTTTTGTACTTTTTTTTTTTTTTTGAGACAGAGTCTTGCTCTGTTGCCCAGGCTGTAGTGCAGTGGCGCAATCTCGGTTCACTGCAACCTCTGCCTCCCAGGTTCAAGTGATTCTCCTGCCTTAGCCTCCCGAGTAGCTGGGACTACAGGTGCGCGCGACACCACGCCAGCTAATGTTTTTGTGTTTTTATTAGAGATGGAGTTTCACCATGTTGACCAGGCTGGTCTCAAACTCCTGACCTTGTGATTCGCCTGCCTTGGCCTCCCAAAGTGATGGGATTACAGGTGTGAGCCACCGCGCCCAACCCATCTAATTTGTATTTTTTTTTTAAGTGAAAGCAAGTTTATTAAGAAAGTAAAGGAATAAAAGAATGGCTACTCGATAGACAAAGCAGCGACTAATTTGTATTTTTATTAGAGATGGGCTTTCACCATGTTGGCCAGGCTGGTCTCAAACTCACCTCAGGTGATCCACAAGCCTCGGCCTCACAAAATGCTGGGATTACAGGCACGAGCCACCGCACTGGGCTCTGATTACTCTTGAGTAAAATTTTCAGCCCCTAAAGAATGAGGTGAGAGGGCAGGTTCAGGAATGGATGCTACCCATCACCTCACCTCGTGCGGCCCTTTCCTGGCTGCCTTACAGGAAGAATGAATTTGGGGCAGCACATTCTCTTTATCCTTTCCTCTTTCTTCTTTTCACCAGTCCTCCAGCGGTTGTGGGGCACCCAGGATGTATCCCAAGACATCCAGGAGATGAAAGATGAGAGTGCAAGGATGTCACAAGAAAAGCAAGTCACCGTGCTGGAGCTCTTTAGAGTGTCCAGCTACCGACAGCCCATCATCATTTCCATTGTGCTCCAGCTCTCTCAGCAGCTCTCTGGGATCAATGCTGTGAGTGTGATACTTTAGGGTCAAACGTGTCTTACAATATTTCACTTAAAATGCCAGGCATGGTGGCGGTGTGCCTCTGTAGTCCCAGCTACTCAGGAGGCTGAGGCAGGAGAATCGCTTGAACCCGGGAGGCGAAGGTTGCAGTGAGCTGAGATTGCGCCATTGCACTCTAGCCTGGGTGACAGAGTGAGAAACTTCGTCTAAAAAAAAAAAAAAAAAAAAAAGACAAAAATTAGCTGGACGTGGTGGTGCGCTACTCAGGAGGCTGAGGCCGGAGAATTTCTTGGATCTGGGAGGCGGAGGTTGCAGTGAGTGGAGATTGCGCCATTGCACTCCAGCCGGAGCAACCAGGGCAGAACTCCTTATAGAAAGAAATAAAAAGAAAGAAAGAAAGAAAGAGAAAGAAAGAAAGAAAGAAAGAGAGAGAGAGAAAGAAAGAGAGAGAGAGAAAGGAGAGAAAGAGAGAGAAAGGAGAGAAAGAGAGAGAGAGAAAGGAGAGAAAGAGAGAAAGGAGAGAAAGAGAGAGAGAAAGAGAGAGAAGAAAGGAAAGAAAGGAAAGGAAAGGAAAGAAAAAGGAAAAAGAAAGAAAGAAAGAAAGAAAGAAAGAAAGAAAGAAAGAAAGAAAGAAAGAAAAAAGAAAGGAAGGAAGGAAGGAAGGAAAGAAAGAAAGAAAGAAAAAAGAGCGAGCCTGGAAGTACACTGGCAACTTCAGACTGAGCTGACTTTACCAGTCTCTATGTTTTTACAAGTAGAATAGGGAGCATGATAGTTTAAAGAGGGCGGCAAAACAGAAGCTAGCATTTGACAGGTAACCCTTGTATTCCATGCAAATATCAGCTTCCTGCTATTGAGTGTGGATTGTGGGAAGAGAGTACTCCTGTGCCTTCTAGTCAATTGTGGATAAAATACGGATATGAAGAGCACCCTTGTACTTCATCCCCTGAGGGTTTTCCATTAGTCTTTGATCAATGGGATTAAATCATTTTGTAACAAAGCATTTTGCAAAACTTAGTATTTTGAGCATTTTAATACTAAGTTGGTTCTTGGCCTTTTCTCCTACCTAACACACCAGATATTTGTATTTGAAGTGGCAGTGCTTCTTGTGAGGGGTTAGAAGCTGTTTTATCAGAATGTACAAGGAGCCAGGTGTGGTGGCTGCTCATGCCTGTAGTCCCAGTTACTACTCAGAGGTTGAGGTGGGAATATCACTTAAGCCAAGGAGTCAAGCCTGGGCAATATAGCATGACCCTGTCTTAAAAAAAAAAAAAACTTGGGAGGAAATACACAGTAGTTAGAAAAAGCCTCCTAGGTGATTTTGATGAATCCCAGTCTCAAATTTCCTCATTTGGAAATGATAATGTAGGCCACACGTATTACTGGAGAAAAATGTGCTCCCGAGACTTTCCAGAGCAGCAGAGCTGGGACTAGGCAGGTGAGGCAGCTACGTGCAAGTGTAGCCCTGAGAATGAGCACCTCTTTAAAGAATGTACCTTGCGTTAGTTCTGTGCCTGTTTAAAAAAAAAAAGAAAGAATAAAAGAATGCACCTGAGGCAACTCCCTAGCTGCCTCACCACAGTCTGGGCCCTGCAAAACAGGGTCAGAAAAAAATCACCTGTGGGAAATTACAGATGATCCATGAGCATTCTGAGGAACAGACTCCTCCCACTTCAGAGTGGTATGTGCATACTTTCTTTCTTTCTTTTCTTTTCTTTCTTTTTTTTTTTTTTTGTGAGACAGAGGAGTCTCACTTTGTCACCCAGGCTAGAGTGCAGTGATGCAATCTTGGCTCACTGCAACCTCTGCCTCCGGGTTCAAGCGATTCTTCTGCCTCAGCCTCCCAAGTAGCTGGGACTACAGGCACGTGCCACCATGCCCAGCTAATTTTTTGCATTTTTAGTAGAGATTGGGTTTCTGTGTGTTAGCCAAGATAGTCTCAATCTCCTGACTTTGTGATCTGCCCGCCTCGGCCTCCCAAAGTGCTGGGATTACAGGCATGAGCCACCGCGCCTGGCTTGCTCTTTCTTTTTTTTTTTTTGAGAGGTAGTCTTGCTCTGTCGCCCAGGCTAGAGTGCAGTAGCGCAATATCAGCTCATAGCAACCTCTACCTCCTGGGTTCAAGTGATTCTCCTGCCTCAGCCTCCCAAGTAGCTGGAATTACAGGCGGCCGACACCACACACAGCTAATTTTGTATTTTTAGTAGAGACGGGCTTTCACCATGTTGACCAGTCTGGTCTTGAACTCCTGGCTTCAAGTGATCCACCCGCCTCGGCCTCCCAAAGTGCTAGGATTACAGGCATGAGCCACCATGCCCAGCCTATACCTTAATTATTGTTGGACTAAAGTGGCTCCCAATTTAGTCAATGAGCAGATTTTGCTCCACATATAATCATCACCCAAAGTTAGCTGCACCGGAATTATGGGGGATGGGATTCCTGAGTCAGCTGAATCCAGAGTCTCCGTGTAAGAGGGCTGGAAATTGCCTGTAAAAAAATAAATCTGGGCCGGGGACAGTGGCTCATGCCTCTAATCCCAGCACTGTGGGAGGCTGAGGCTGGCAGATCACCTGAGATCAGGAGTTCGAGACCAGCCTGACCAACATGGCAAAAGCCTGTCTCTACTAAAAATATAAAAATTAGCCGGGCGTGGTGGATGCACCATCTAAAAATCAATCAATCAATCAATCAGTCTGATGCATAGCAGGCTTGGAAATCACTTTTCCAACCTACTTTTGTGCAAACAATGTATTCTTTTTTTTTTTTTTTTTTGAGACAGAGTCTCTGTCACCCCGGCTGGAGTGTAGTGGCACAATCTCGGCTCACTGCAACTTCCACCTCCTGGGTTCAAGTGATTCTCCTGCCTCAGCCTTCTGAGTAGCTGGGATTACAGGCGTGCACCACTTCGCCTGGCTAATTTTGTGTTTTTAGTAGAGACAGGGTTTTTCCAGGTTAGTCAGGCTGGTCTCGAACTCCTGACCTCAAGTGATCTGCCCGCCTATGCCTCCCAGAGTGCTGGGATTACAGGTGTGAGCCACCTCACCTGGCCCAAGAAGTTTTATTGAGATGTGTACATGTACATTAGGTTTTTGATGTGTAGACATTGTGATAAGGTAGATAATTGTGATAACTATTTATTGCTTGTTTAAACTGCTCAAGTAATTACTTTTGTACCAACCTAATATCTTTCCCCACAAGCTTGACGTCATCATATAATATGTTGAGGTTTTGTTTTGTTTTGTTTTGAGACAGAGTCTTACTCCGTTGCCCAGGCTGGAGTGCAGTGGCTCGATCTCGGCTCACTGCAACCTCTGCCTCCCAGGTTCAAGCAATTCTCCTGTCTCAGCCTCCTGAGTAGCTGGGACTACAGGCACCTGCCACCACACCCGGCTGATTTTTGTATTTTTAATAGAGACAGGGTTTCACCTTGTTGGTCAGCCTGGCCTTGAACTCCTGACCTCAGATGATCCACTCACCTCAGCCTCCCAATGTGCTGGGATTACAGTCGTGAGCAACTGCGCCTGGCCAATTATAATCTTATTTTAGAAAATATAAGTATACATAGTTTACATCTTACATCTTAGGGATTTAAATAGTTATTTCTTGAGAAGGTAAATCCCAATGTAGAGGTCCATATTATCAAAAAGACTAATAAATATTGCTATGGAGGCAACTACTCTGGGTGAAATAAACTGAAGTGAACCTGGGTAACCTAGATAATGTTCCCTTGTTAACTTGAGGTCTGAGTCCAATATTTCAATATTTCTTTTCTTTTTTTTTGAGACGGAGTTTCGCTCTTATTGCCCAGGCTGGGGTGCACTGGTGCGATCTCGGCTCACCGCAACCTCCACCTCCCGGGTTCAATTGATTCTCCTGCCTCAGCTTCCCGAGTAGCTGGGATTACAGGCATGCGCCACCATGCCCTACTAATTTTGTATTTTTAATAGAGACGGGGTTTCTCCATGTTGTCAGGGTGGTCTTGAACTCCAACCTAAGGTGATCTGCCCGCCTTGGCCTCCCAAATTGCTGGGATTAGAGGCGTGAGCCACTGCGCATGGCCAGTTTCTCATAGCTGTGATAGTTGTAGCAACCTTACTTTTTTTTTCTTTTTTTTTTTTGATATGGAGTCTCGCTCTGTTGCCCAGGCTAGAGTGCAGTGGCACAATCTCAGTTCACTGCAACCTCCACCTCCCAGGCTCAAGCGATTCTCCTGCCTCAGCCTCCCAAGCAGCTGGGATTATAGGTACCCACCACCACACCCAGCTAATTTTTTTATTTTTATTACAGACAGGGTTTCACCATGTTGGCTAGGCTGGTCTTGAACTCCTGACCTCAGGTTATCCACCAGCCTTGGGCTCCCAAATTGCTGGGATTACAGGAATGAACCACTGTGCTCGGCCAGCAACCTTACATTTTAGCGCAGTGCCTAGTAAATAACAAACATAGTAATTTATTTAATATATATTAAATTGCAATAGTAGCTGGTATTATTTCATAAAACACTTCAAAAGGGCCTAGGCCTAGGAAATACAGCCCAATCTCTGCTTATTCAAGGAGCAGGATAAGGTTATTCAATTAGTTCACTATCAAATTGAGACATCAATGTGCCTATCAGTGTTTTGAGGGTTTGGGGAAGAGTCAATTAAAAAAGCATTTAGCTGGGCCTGATGGCACATGCCTATAATCCCAGCAACTTGGGAGGCTGAGAGGCAGGAGGATCACTTGGAGACCAAGAGTTTAGGACCAGCCTGGGCAACATAGTGAGTTGCTGTCTCAACTTATAAAAAAGAAACCAGTTAGTAGGAATTACACTTTCTTTTTTTTTTTTTTTTGAGATGGAGTCTCGCTCTGTTGCCCAGGCTGGAGTGCAGTGGCACCATCTCGGCTCACTGCAAGCTCTGCCTCCCAGGTTCACGCCATTCTCCTGCCTCAGCCTCCCCAGTAGCTGGGACTACAGGCGCCCGCCACCACGCCTGGCTAATTTTGTTTTTGTATTTTTAGTAGAGACGGTTTCACCACGTTAGCCAGGATGGTCTCGATCTCCTGACCTCGTGATCTGCCCGCCTCGGCCTCCCAAAGTGCTGGGATTGCAGGCGTGAGCCACTGCACCCAGCCTACACCTTCATATAAGTTGGTGAAGTAGACATAAGCAAGAGGAAATGGAACAGTGGGAATAAGCATAGTTAGAAGCAACAATGGACATTAGTAGCTAAAATTGAGAACATTTAAAAAGAGAAAGGAGGGCGAGGTGCAGTGGCTCACGCCTGTAATCCTAGCGCTTTGGGAGGCTGAGGTGGGTGGATCACAAGGTCAGGAGTTCAAGACCAACCTGGCCAACATGGCGAAACCATGTCTCTACTAAAAAAATACAAAAATTGGCCAGGCGTGGTGGCTCACGCCTGTAATCCCAGCACTTTGGGAGGCCGAGGCGGGCGGATCATGAGGTCAGGAGATCAAGAACATCCTGGCTAACATGGTGAAACCCTGCCTCTACTAAAAATACAAAAAATTAGCCAGGCCTGGTGGCACATGCCTGTAATCCCAGCTACTTGGGAGGCTGAGGCAGGAGAATCGCTTGAACCCGGGAGGTAGAGGTTGCAGTGAGCCGAGATCGTGCCACTGCATTCCAGCCTGGGCAACAGAGAGAGACTCCATCTCAAAAAAAAAAAAAAAAAGAAAGAAATACAAAAATTAGCTGGGCGCGGTGGCAGGAGCCTGTAATCGTGCCACTGCACTCCAGCCTGGGTGACAGATTGAGACTCCGTCAAAAAAGAAAAAGAGAAAGGAGATAAGATTCAGAAGATAATTCAGGGATATTAGGATTGAACAAAAATTGTAGTAAAAGGACTTCTTACCTCCTGGGACTTTTAAGTATTTTTTAAATTTTATTTTATGGTGACAGAGTCTTGTTCTGTCTGGCCTCCCAAGTAGCTGGGACTACAGGTGTGTGCCACCATGCCTAGCTAATTTTTATATTTTTAGTAGAAACAGGGTTTCACCATATTGGCCAGGCTGGTCTCAAACTCCTGACCTCAGGCGATCTGCTTGCCTTGGCCTCCCAAAGTGCTGGGATTACAGGCCTGTGCAACCACGCTCAGCCTTAAGTATTTTTTGAGGGTTCTGTGTAAGTGGTGTGCAGAATTTTATCAAAGCTGCATGTTTTCTTTTCTCCTAGGTGTTCTATTACTCAACAGGAATCTTCAAGGATGCAGGTGTTCAACAGCCCATCTATGCCACCATCAGCGCGGGTGTGGTTAATACTATCTTCACTTTACTTTCTGTAAGTTGGATGGTTTGATAATTTTGGGGGGAGAAATGAATCCTTGCTACAGATGTTCAAAGATGGATTGCATGGCTCCACCGTTATTTAGTTACACCTTTTTTGTTATTTATTTTTATTTTTTTAAATTTTTTGAGACAGAGTCTTGCTCTGTTGCCCAGGCTGGAGTGCAGTGGTGCAATCTCGGCTCACTGCAACCTCAGCCTCCTGGGTTCAAGTGATTCTCCTGCCTCAGCCTTCCGAAGTAGCTCGGATACAGGTGTGCGCCACCACGCCCAACTCATTTTTGTATTTTTAGTAGAGACGGGGTTTCGCCATGTTGGCCAGGCTGGTCTTGAACTCCTGACCTCTGGTGATCCACCTGCCTAGGCCTCCCAAAGTACTGGGATTACAGGTGTGAGCCAGCGTGCCCGGACTGTTGTTTAATTTTCCTTTGGAAAAAAGAGATACATTCAATGCTGAATGTAGTCTTCATTCTTCAAGCAAATATGGATGGATGGGAAAAGAGGAAGTATAGAAGGGACTATACAGTATGTTTTGAACTTGGAATTGGAGGAGAGGTGTTTGGAAAAACTTTCAAACTGTTATTCCTCTGTTTTTACACTAAAACAACAATAATAACAGAAGATTTCTGTGACCCCCAAAATATATAAGGATTTGTCCCCATCAAGTAAGCAATCAGTTCCGTAGTGGACACTATCTAGGTGTCCTGTGATTTAATTCTGACACTACCTGGAGATAGCATCAGAGCTCACAGGTTGGTGGCCGATTTCCCAAGACTGCCCCCAACTCCTGATGCCAGTCACAAGCTCCAGGTTGTTTTACCTGTGCTTCTGACTCACCAGCTGTAGATCAGGATTCCCACGACATCCTCTTTGGGTTTGATTAATTTGCTACAGTGGCTCACAGTACTCAGGAAAATTGTTTCCTAGTTTGATTTAAAGGATATTTTAAAGCACAGAAATACACAACCAGATGAAGAGATTCACAGGGCGAGGTCTGGAGGGATCCTGAGCATGGGAGCTTCTGTCTCTGTGGGGTTGGGGTGCACTCCTAGCACATAGATGAGTTGTTGCTGACCTTCCTGTCAGCTTCCACGGGTTCAGATATCTGGAAGCTCCCCATACCCTACCTTTTGGGCCTTTTATGCAGACTTAATTGGTTCTCCATGATTGAAGCATGGACAACTGTTCTGACCTGTGATTGGACAAAAAGGGAATGATCTGAACCCAGCTGGGCCTGTCTGCTTAGATGATTTGTTGGCCTCTCTGTAGCGTTTCTTCCTCTAGGGTGTGGGGCAGGACCCTCTCTGAAATGAGGGTTTTATGACCCACAGTCAGATTAGCGTCCTGCCAAGTGGGAGGGCAGGAGAAAGTCAGAGAAGAATTCTGTTATCTGAGGCCTGCTCCTGAGGCCTGAAGCATCCCAACATTATGACAAAAGACTCTACCAAGGGCTATGGGGATTTTGAGCCAGGACCTGTGAATGGCACACAATATGTATGTATATAAAATCATAAATCACAGGAGGGGTATCCATAACAAGTGTCCTGCTGTTGGTAAGGCAGATTTCAAGTAGCTCAGATGCTGTTTTCATGGAAAGGAAAACTGAAGTTTCATGTCATATTCTTCTTCCAGCTATTTCTGGTGGAAAGGGCAGGAAGAAGGACTCTGCATATGATAGGCCTTGGAGGGATGGCTTTTTGTTCCACGCTCATGACTGTTTCTTTGTTATTAAAGGTAAGTGCTCTTTGGGTGAAAAAAAAGGGAGGGGGAAAGAAGAGAGGTTACAGTTGACTTCTGTGACACAAGGGGTGGGTTGTTAAGGTTGCAGTTTGTCAATAAAGTCAGAGGAGAGAAGCAAGATGCCCAGAGTTTTTAAGAAACATGGGTCATCAGAGAACTGGAGGTAAACTGTTAGAATCTTTACATTTAGAGAACATTATTATGGTTTATAAAATAAGTTATCTAATTTAATTCTTTTGTTTGTTTGTTTGTTTGTTTGAGACGGAGTTTTGCTCTTGTTGCCCAGGCTGGAGTGCAGTGGTGCAATCTCAGCTCACCACAACCTCTACCTCCTGGGTTCAAGTGATTCTCCTGCATCAGCCTCCCGAGTAGCTGTGATTACAGGCATGCACCTCCACGCCCAGCTAATTTTTTATTTTTAGTAGAGACAGGGTTTCTCCATGTTGGTCAGACTGGTCTCGAACTCCCAACCTCAGGTGATCCACCTGCCTCAGCCTCCCAAAGTGCTGGGATTACAGGCATGAGCCACTGTGCCCTGCCTAATTTAATTCTTAAAATAATATCAAGGTAATCACACTTTATGGATGATGACGGGGTCTCAGTACAAAGTGACATATATGAGATCACATAGATGGGATTCAAAAATCCAAGCCTGGCTGGGTGCAGTGCTTCATTCCTGTCATCTTAACACTTTGGGAGGCCAAGGTGAGAGGATTGCTTGAGCCCAGAAGTTCAAGACCAGCCTAGGCAACATGGCAAGAAACTGTCTCTAAAAAAAAAAAAAGTATTTTTTTGTTTTTGTTTTTTGTTTTTTGAGACAGGGTCTTGCTGTGTCACCCAGTTGGGAGTGCAATGTCGCCATCTTGGCTCACTGCAATCTCTGCCTCCCAGGCTTCATTGATTCTCCTGCCTCAGCCTCCCTGGTAGCTGGGATTACAGGCATGCGCCACCACACCCAGCTAATTTTTGTGTTTTTTAGTAGAGACAGGGTTTCACCATGTTGGCCAGGCTGGTCTCCAACTCCTGACCTCAAATAATCCACTCACTTCACCCTCCCAAAGTGCTGGGACTATAGGCGTGAGCCACAGTGCCCAGCCAAAAAAACAACGAAAACCTTTTGTTTAATTAGCCAGGTGTGGTGGCACATGCCTCAAGTCCCAGCTATTTGAGAGGCTGAGGTGGGAGGATTGCTTAAGCCCAGGAGGTCGATGATGCAGTGAGCTGTTATAGCACCACTGCACTCTAGCCTGGGCAACAGAGTAAGACCCCGTCTCAAAAAATAAATATAAAAATAAAAATAAATCCAAGCCTTTTGATTCCACAGCCACTCTTTGTATTGTACGTCAGGACAGGAGGAGCTTGCCATTAGTTGCCTCTGGGAACCTAGATCCTGGGTTACACTGTCTTTAAATTTAATCTTCTGTGTTCCTTCCTCTTACAGAATCACTATAATGGGATGAGCTTTGTCTGTATTGGGGCTATCTTGGTCTTTGTGGCCTGTTTTGAAATTGGACCAGGCCCCATTCCCTGGTTTATTGTGGCCGAACTCTTCAGCCAGGGCCCCCGCCCAGCTGCGATGGCAGTGGCCGGCTGCTCCAACTGGACCTCCAACTTCCTAGTCGGATTGCTCTTCCCCTCTGCTGCTGTAAGTAAACTCACCTTATCTATGTATCTATGTATCTATCTATGTATCTGTCTATCTATCTATCTATCTATCTATCTATATATATATATATTTTTGAGACTGAGTCTCGCCCTGGTGTGCAGTTGCCCGATCTCAGCTCACTGACAAGCGATTCTTCTGCCTCAGCCTCCTGAGTAGCTGGGACTACAGGCACCCGCCACCGTGCCCAGCTAATTTTTGTATGTTTAGTAGAGATGGGGTTTCCCCATGTTGGCCAGGATGGTCATGATCTCTTGACCTGGTAATCTGCCCGCCTTGGCCTCCCAAAGTGCTGGGATTACAGGCGTGAGCCACCATGCCCGGCCAACTCACCTTATCTTAAAACCAGCCTACGTAGGCTGACATATTGAAGATACACCTTAATAATACAGTAGTCAGGCTGGGCGAGGTGGCTCACTCCTGTAATCCCAGCACTTTGGGCGGCTGAGGCAGGCAGATCACCTGAGGTCGGGAGGTAGAGACCACTCTGACCAACATGGAGAAACCCTGTCTCTACTAAAAATGCAAAATTAGCCGGGCATGGTGGCGCATGCCTGTAATCCAAACTACTTGGGAGGCTGAGGCAGGAGAATCGCTTGAGCCCAGGAGGCAGAGGTTGCGGTGAGCTGAGATCGGGCCATTGCACTCCAGCCTGGGCAACAAGACAGAAACTCCGTCTCAAAAAATATATATAATAATAATAGTAATACAGTAGTCCCTCCTCATCTGCAGTTTCAGTTACCTGCAGTCTAAAAATATTAAATGGAAAATTCCAGAAATAAACAAATCATAAGTTTTAAATTGCACCCGGGAGCAGTGGCTCAAAGCCGGTAATCCTAGGACTTTGGGAGGTGGAGGTGGGCGGATCACTTGCAGTCAAGAGTTCGAGATTAGCCTGACCATCTGGTGAAACACCATCTCTGCTAAACATACAAAAATTAGCCAGGCGTGGTGGCACAAACCTGTAGTCCTAGCTACTCGGGAGGCTGAGGCAGGAGAATCGCTTGAAACCAGGAGGTGGAGTTCGTGGTGAGCCAAGATCTTGCCATGACACTCCAGCCTGGGTGACAGAGCTAGACTCCATCTCAAAAACAAAACAAAACAATTTACGAATAGAGACAGGGGCTTGCTATGTTGGCCAGGCTGGTCTCAAACTCCTGGGTTCAAGTGATCCTCCCACCTCAGCCTCCCAAAGTGCTGGGATTACAGGCAGGCACCATGGTGCCCAGTTTAAGAATATATCTTTTGTCCATAAAATTGTGAAGAAGAAAAAAGAAGATGGGTGAGATGGCTCACGCCTGTAATCCCAGCACTTTGGGAGGCTGAGGTGGGAGGATCATGAGGTCAGGAGTTCGAGACCAGCCTGGCCAATATCGAGAAACCCCGTCTCTACTAAAAATTCAAGAAATGGCCGGGCGCGGTGGCTCACGCCTGTAATCCCAGCACTTTGGGAGGCCGAGGCGGGTGGATCATGAGGTCAGGAGATCGAGACCATCCTGGCTAACAAGGTGAAACCCCGTCTCTACTAAAAATACAAAAAATTAGCCGGGAGCGGTGGCGGGCGCCTGTAGTCCCAGCTACTCGGGAGGCTGAGGCAGGAGAATGGCGTGAACCCGGGAAGCGGAGCTTGCAGTGAGCCGAGATTGCGCCACTGCAGTCCGCAGTCCGGCCTGGGCGACAGAGCGAGACTCCGTCTCAAAAAAAATAAAAAAAATAAAAAAAATAAAAAATAAAAATTCAAGAAATTAGCTGGGTGTGGTGGCAGGCGCCTGTAATCTCAGGTACTTGGGAGGCTGAGGCAGGAGAATTGCTTGAACATGGGAGGCAGAGGTTGCAGTGAGCCAAGCTTGCACCATTGCACTCAAGCCTGGGCAATAAGAGCAAAACTCCATCTCAAAAACAAAAACAAAAACAAAAAAACAAAAAAAAACAAAACTGGCCAGGCACGGTGGCTCACACCTGTAATCCCAGCACTTTGGGAGACCAAGGCGAGAGGATCACCTGAGGTTGGGAGTGCAAGACCAGCCTGACCAACATGGAAAATCCCCACCTCTACTAAAAATACAAAATTTGCCAGGTTTGGTGGTGCATACCTGTAATCCCAGCTACTCAGGAGGCTGAGGCAGGAGAATCGCTTGAACCTGGGAGGCGGAGGATGCTGTGAGCGGAGCTCATGCCATTGCACTCCAGCCTGGGCAACAAGAGCGAAACTCCGTCTCAAAAAAAACAAAACAAAACAAAACTGGATAACTGGGGACTACTGTAATTACTGACGCTATGAAAGATTAGACATCAAAGGCTATAAACCAGATTTTCAACAATACATAGAAAAAAAATGACGGCAGAAAAGATTGAAATGGGATGGCAAAACTGGGAACCATTCATTTTTTATTATTTGAGACGGAGTCTCACTTTGTTGCCCACGGTGGAATGCAGTGGCTCACTCTCGGCTCACTGCAACCTCTGCCTCCTGGGATCAAGTGGTTCTCTTGCCTCAGCCTCCTGAGTAGCTAGGATTACAGGCACGTGCCACCACTCCCAGCAATTTTTTTTTTTGTATTTTTAGTAGAGACGGGGTTTTGCCATGTTGGCCAGGCTGGTCTCAAACTCCTGGCCTCAAGGGATCCACCTGCCTCAGCCTCTAAAAGTGCTGGGATTACAGGCATGAGCCACCACACCCAGCTCAGCAACACAGATTTTAAAAATAATACTCAAGGCCAGGTGCAGTGGCTCACGCCTGTAATCCCAGCACTTTGGGAGGCCAAGGCAGGCAGATTACAAGGTCAGGAGTTTGAGACCAGCCTGGCCAATATGGTGAAACCCCATCTCTGCTAAAAATACAAAAATTAGCCAGGCGTGCTGGTGGGCACCTGTAGTCCCAGCTACTCAGGAGGCTGAGACAGGAGAATCGCTTGAACCCAAGAGGAGGAGGTTGCAGTGAGCCGAGATCCTGCCATTGCGCTCCAGCCTGGGTGACAGAGTGAGACTCCATCTCCAAATAATAATAATAATAATAATACTCAAAAGTCCAAAAATACTCAGTAGACATTTGGAAGCATCTAACTTTAATGAAAAAAAATGACAGAAAGAAAAATACAGAGAAATATAGTAAGTTAGCAATAGAATCATAAGTAAATCTCTGAAGAAACCTTTATGTTTTCATTAAATATGGAAGGGTTATAGCTTGAAGCCTATTGGAAATATGAATGTGAAGGAAATTGTATTTGTCAATGACCAGATTTTTATATCAACCTTCCTTTTTTCTGTCCTTTCACTAGTACTATTTAGGAGCCTACGTTTTTATTATCTTCACCGGCTTCCTCATTACCTTCTTGGCCTTTACCTTCTTCAAAGTCCCTGAGACCCGTGGCAGGACTTTTGAGGATATCACACGGGCCTTTGAAGGGCAGGCACACGGTGCAGATAGATCTGGGAAGGACGGCGTCATGGGGATGAACAGCATCGAGCCTGCTAAGGAGACCACCACCAATGTCTAAGTCATGCCTCCTTCCACCTCCCTCCCGGCATGGGAAAGCCACCTCTCCCTCAACAAGGGAGAGACTTTATCAGGATGAACCCAGGACTGCTTCTGAATGCTGCTACTTGATTTCTTTCTCATCCCACGCACTCCATGAGCACCCCAAGGCTGCAGTTTGTTGGATCTTCAATGGCTTTTTAAATTTTATTTCCTGGACATCCTCTTCTGCTTAGGAGAGACCGAGTGAACCTACCTTCATTTCAGGAGGGATTGGCCGCTTGGCACATGACAACTTTGCCAGCTTTTCCTCCCTTGGGTTCTGATATTGCCGCACTAGAGGATATAGGAGAGGAAAAGTAAGGTGCAGTTGCCCCAACCTCAGACTTACCAGGAAGCAGATACATATGAGTGTGGAAGCCGGAGGGTGTTTATGTAAGAGCACCTTCCTCACTTCCATACAGCTCTACGCGGCAAATTAACTTGAGTTTTATTTATCTTATCCTCTGGTTTAATTACATAAATATTTATTTTTTAAGTGTAATTTTGCCAAATAATAAAAACAGAAGGAAATTGAGATTAGAGGGAGGTGTTTAAAGAGAGGTTATAGAGTAAAAGATTTGATGCTGGAGAGGTTAAGGTGCAATAAGAATTCAGGGAGAAATGTTGTTCATTATTGGAGGGTAAATGATGTGGTGCCTGAGGTCTGTACATTACCTCTTAACAATTTCTGTCCTTCAGATGGAAACTCTTTGATTTCTCAGAAAAGTTGTATGCCTATTTAATAAAGCTACTCATTTCCTTTGGAACTTTATCTTTAAGATAATAGTTTACATGTAGTAGTACTTGAAATCTAGGATTATTAACTAATATGGGCATTGTAGTTAATGGCGGTTGATGGGTTCTAATTTTGGATGGAGTCCAGGGAAGAGAAAGTGATTTCTAGAAAGCCTGTTCCCCTCACTGGACGAAATAACTCCTTGTAGTAGTCTCATTACTTTTGAAGTAATCCCGCCACCTATCTAGTGGGAGAGCCATCCAAATGAGAAACCTAAAATAATTGGTTCTTGGTAGAGATTCATTATTTCTCCACTTTGTTCTTTAGGAGATTTTAGGTGTTGATTTTCTGTTTTATTTTAACTCATACCTTTAAAGGAATTCCCCAAAGAATGTTTACAGCAAACTTGGAATTTGTAACCTCAGCTCTGGGAGAGGATTTTTTTCTGAGCGATTATTATCTAAAGTGTGTTGTTGCTTTAGGCTCACGGCACGCTTGCGTATGTCTGTTACCATGTCACTGTGGTCCTATGCCGAATGCCCTCAGGGGACTTGAATCTTTCCAATAAACCAGGTTTAGACAGTATGAGTCAATGTGCAGTGCAGCCCACACTTGAGAGGATGAATGTATGTGCACTGTCACTTTGCTCTGGGTGGAAGTATGTTATTGTTGACTTATTTTCTCTGTGTTTGTTCCTACAGCCCCTTTTTCATATGTTGCTCAGTCTCCCTTTCCCTTCTTGGTGCTTACACATCTCAGACCCTTTAGCCAAACCCTTGCCAGTGACAGTATTTTGGTTCTCAGTTCTCACTGTTCCCTCTGCTCCTGGAGCCTTTGAATAAAAATGCACGTAGCTATGGAGTGGGGTTTAGCTGGAAAGGTGGCCTTCCAACTTCACGTCAACTTCTGGCTCCTCAGTTTGGCAGTAAGGCAGGGAAGTTGTTTTCCTATTTCTCACTGAGAAGATTGTGAATATTTCCATATGGATTTTCCATTATTGTTTGTTTGATTCTTTGTTTTAAAATAAAAATTCTGAATGTACATGACATCACAAGCACATTATTTATTTATTTTTTGCCGTTCCTGTAACAACAAAATCAGCTTTAAATCCTGAGTTGGCTACTCAGTACCTGTTGTGACCTTGAGACTTGTATGAGACTCTGTTCTTAGAGTCTCATACATAAGAGAATAGCAATATTTGGCCGGGCCCGGTGGCTCATGTCTGTAATCCCAGCACTTTGGGAGGCAAAGGAGGGCGGATCACCTGAGATCGGGAGTTTGGGACCACCTGGCCAATATGGTGAAACCCTGTCTGTACTAAAAATACAAAAATTAGCCTGGCGTGGTGGCAGGTGCCTATAATCCCAGCTACTTGGGAGGCTGAGGCAGGAGAATCGCTTGAACCCAGGAGGCAGAGGTTGCAGTGAGCCAAGATTGCGCCATTGCACTCCAGCCTGGGGGACGAGAGTGAGACTTTGTCTCAAAAAAAAAAAGAGAATAGCAATATGTGTTTATTATGCAGATTAAGTGAAAAAGCCTTCGTGCCTTGCTTTTCATACTTGATGAATTATGTTGCTTTCTTTCCCCAGTGAGAACTAGTTTTTTTTTTTTTCTGTTTTTCTCGTGTTCCTTTCCACTTCCTTCCTCCTCCAGTCTTTGCTCTCTACAATTCATCCCACACTGCTGTCAGGGCATCCATGTGACATACAGCAGTCCCTTGCCATCCCCAGGGGACTGGTTCCCAGACCCCTTCTTAGATAACAAAATTCAGGGATACTCAAGTCCCTTATATAAAATGCATATAGTCTGGGTGCAGTGGCTTATGCCTGTAATCCCAGAACTTTGCGAGGCCAAGACGGGCAGATCACGAGGTCAAGAGATCCAGACCATCTTGGCCAACATGGTGAAACCCCATCTCTACTAAAAATACAAAACTTAGCTGGGTGTGGTGGCATGCACCTGTAGTCCCAGTTACTCAGGAGGCTGAGGCAGGAGAATCCTTTGAACCTGGGAGGCGGAGTTTGCAGTGAGCTGAGATCACGCCACTGCACTCCAGCCTGGTGACAGAGCAAGACTTGGTCTCAAAAAAAAATGCATATAATTATTATTGTGATGATTTAAATGCAAATAATCTATGCACATCATCTCATGCACTTTAAATCATCTCTAGATTACTTTTAATACCTAATACAATGTAAATAATTGTTAAACTGTATTGTTTTTTATAGTTGTATTGTCTTTTTTCCCAAATATTTTCCATCTGTAGTTCTTTGCATCTGCAGATACAGAAGTCGGACTGTATATCACTATCCTACTTAAAATCCTTCGGCCGGGCGCAGTGGCTCACACCTGTAATCCCAGCAATTTGGGAGGCTGAGGCGGGCGGATCACAAGGTCAGGAGATCGAGACCATCCTGGCTAACACGGTGAAACCCCGTCTCTACTAAAAATACAAAAAAAAAATTAGTGGGGCATGCGGCGGGCGCCTGTAGTCCCAGCTACTCAGGAGGCTGAGGCAGGAGAATGGAGTGAACCCGGGAGGCGGAGCTTGCAGTGAGCCGAGATCGTGCCACTGCACTCCAGCCTGGGCGACAGAGGGAGAGTCCATCTCAAAAAACAAAAGAAAACAAGCCGGGCATGGTGGCACATGCCTGTAGTCCCAGCTACTTGGGAGGTTGAGGTGGGAGAATCACCTGAGTCCAGGCGATTGAGTCTGCAATGAGCCAAGATCGCACCACTGCACTCCAGCCTGAGTGACAGAGTCCCTATCTCAAAAAACAAAAAAAGTATATTATACTAAAATTTGTCTTCCCAAGGATTATAATTGTTTTTTATCGGAGGAGGGGAACAGGATATCACTGTATTGCCCGGGCTATTCTCCTGGGCTCAAGCAACTGTCCGGCTTCAGCCTCCTGACTAGCTTGGACTTCAGATTCGAGCGACCAAGCCTTTCACATTACAATTGTTTTTTTAATTAATTAACTATTTATTTATTTGAGATGGAGTCTTTCTCAGTTGCCCAGGCTGCAGTGCAATGGTGTGATCTCGGCTCACTGCAACCTTAGTCTTCAGGGATCAAGTAATTCTCCCGCCTCAGCCTCCCCAGTAGCTGGGAGTACAGGCACACACTGTCATGCCTGGCTATTTTTGTAGTATTGTAGAGACGGGGTTTCACCATGTTGGCCAGGCTGGTCTTGAACACCTGAGCTCAACTGATCCGCCCACCTCGGCCTCCCAAAGTGCTGGGATTACAGGCGTGAGCCACCGCGCCCGGCCAATTGTTTTTTTATTATTGAAAGGTAGGAACACTGAGAAAAGCAGGGAAAGAGTAGGACCTTCCTGGTAGGAGCAGAAACCCATAAACTTAGACAGGGTAAAGCCTGATAAATCCTACAGTCAGGCCAGGGGCAGTGGCTCACGCCTGTAATCCCAGCATTTTGAGAGGCCAAGGTGGACGGATCACTTGTGCCCAGGAGTTCTAGAGCAGCCTGGCTCACATGGAAAAACCTCATCTCTACTAAAAACACAAAAATTAGCAGAGTGCGGTGGCATGTGCCTGTAATCCCAGCTACTTGGGAGGCCGAGACAGGAGAATCGCTTGAACCTGGGAGGCGGAGGTTGCTTTGAGCCGAGATCGCACCATTGCACTCCAGTCTGGGCAACAGTTGGGAGACTCCATCTCAAAAAAAAAAATTAGCTGGGCATGGTGGTGCACACCTATAATCCCAGCTACTCGGGAGGCTGAGGTGGGAGGACTGCTTGAACCCAGGAGTTGGAGGCTGCAGTGAACCATGATAGCACCACTGTACTCCAGCCTGGGAGAAGACAAAAAAAGAGTACACTAAGTTTGGACCGGCCCATGTAGCTCATGCCTATAATCCCAGCTCTTTGGAAGGCCAGGGCAGAACAATAGCTTGAGGCCAGGTGTTCAAGGACAGCCTGGACAATGTAACAAGACCCCAGTCTCTACAAAAATAAATTTAAAAAAATTTTATTTCATAAAAACAATTAGCCAGGTGTGGTGGTGCATATCTGAAATTCTAGCCACTGGAGAGGCTGAGGCAGGGGGATCACTTGAGCTCAGGAGTTCGAGGCTGAGGTGAGCTATGATCGATCCACTGCACTCCAGCCTGGGTGACACAGCCAGACACTGTCTCAAAAAAAAATAAAAAATAAAAAATAAAAAATAAATGCTCATGTAAATGTAAACTGAAAAAAAGTAAAAAATAAAAATAAGTAATGTTAAAAATAAAATGATTGACCAGGCGCGGTGGCTCACGCCTGTAATCCCAGCACTTTGGGAGGCCGAGGCGGGCAGAACACAAGGTCAGGAGATCAAGACCATCCTGACTAACACGGTGAGACCCCGTCTCTACTAAAAATACAAAAAAAATTAGCCGGGCGTGATGGCGGGTGCCTGTAGTCCCAGCTACTTGGGAGGCTGTGGCAGGAGAATGGCAGGAACCCAGGAGACAGAGCTTGCAGTGAGCCAAGATCACGCCACTGCACTCCAGCCTGGGCGACAGATCAAGACTCTGTCTCAAAAAAAAAAAAAAAAAAAAGATTAAAAAAAATGAATGTATTCCTCATTCCTCCACAGCTCAGGTGACAGAAAACTGAAATCTATTTTTTTTTTTTTTTTTTTTTTTTTGGTGATGGTGCTGGGGAATGAACCCAGGGCCGTGTGCAGAAAGCTGAAATTTTATGGCTGGAAGTGCCCAAAACCAACAGAGCAGTTTGAAATTAGGAGTGAATTGGCTGGGCACGGTGGCTCACACCTGTAATCCCAGCACTTTGGGAGGCCGAGGCAGGTGGATGGTGAGGTCAAGAGATCAAGACCATCCTGGCTAGCACGGTGAAACCCCATCTCTACTAAAAAATACAAAAAAATTTTAGCCGGGTGTGGTGGCGGACGCCTGTAGTCCCAGCTACTTGGGAGGCTGAGGCAGGAGAATGGCATGAACCCAGGAGGCAGAGCTTCCAGTGAGCCGAGATCATGGCACTGCACTCCAGCCTAGGCGACAGAGCGAGACTCCGTCTCAAAAAAAAAAAAAAAAAAATAGGAGTGAATCCTACCAAAAACAACTAAAAAGGGGGGAAAAAAAACCATAGAGAAAGTCATTCCTAAAAGTCTGATCATATTTTCTGCCCAAATTCCTGACTGACCAGCGAATTTTGCAAGCACAGGTGTCTCCAGGCCAAAAAGCAGCAGATGAAGACCCTAGAGCAGGATAGAGAGATCAGCTGTTGCTCGTTGCTGGGAAGATAACGTTTTTGCCTACTAGAACAAAAATACAAAATGCCCAGAAGAACACAAGAGAATCCAGAGTTTCTACAACATAATATTTGCAACATCAAGCTTTCAATCCAAAATGACTAGCTCACGTCATCCCCCACAAGTGTTGGGCTGTGAACTACTCCTAAAGACTGGCAGTAGATCCCAGGAGCCTACCTCCCTGGTGCCATGTTGCTGGATGTCCCGCACCTGTCCCATACTGTAGCTGTGCTAGATGTTCTGATTCTAATAAACTCTGAATTTTCCTCAGCTAACGCATGATCTTGACCATGAATCTCCACAAGGATCTCTTATAAACTGTGAGGGAAGCTGAAGCCAATCCTATGACTCCGACACTCTGTTCAGCTTGCCTTCTGTTAGTCTTTGTTCAACCGTGGCCCTGTTCATACACACCTGCGGGCTTGCTACCCAATTTTCTAAAGCTAAATAGGTGACAAAAGAGAAAGAGAGGCCGGGCACAGTGGCTCACGCCTGTAATCCCAGCACTCTGGGAGGGCGAGGTGGGCGGATCACGAGGTCAGGAGATTGAGACCATCCTGGCCAACATGGTGAAACCCCGTCTCTACTAAAAAATACAAAAATTAAAAATTAGCTGGGCATGGTGGCGGCGCCTATAATCCCAGCTACTTCCCAGCTACTCAGGAGGCTGAGGCAGGAGAATCGCTTGAACCCGGGAGACGGAGGTTGCAGTGAGCCAAGATCACACCATTGCACTCCAGCCTCAGCGACTGAGCAAGACTCTGTCTCAAAAAAAAAAAAAAAAAGATGAAAGAGACTGATACACTTTTAGTTAAACTCCACAGCAACAGATTTCTTTTTTCCAATGTCCTCAGCAAATTTGTATCTTCATTACAATATCTAAACACACTCTTCCAAGAACATTTCCATGTCTGCCTGCTGGCTTAGTTTATAACCACTATGAATCACTTGTAAAAGCAGTGTCACTTATTCTGCTAAGGTTTTCAATCCATTTTTTTTTCCCTAGGGCCTCCAGTTTATTCCATTTAGAGGAACTTCTACTTCATCAAGTACATCTGAGTATATCTGATCCATCATTCTCAATTGATTTCTATCTTGAACCACATGTAATTGAAGAATATGTCTGGGCATCCATTCCCTTGTCCCTGAACATGTGATGGTTAAGGAAAGTTCCCTATCATTGTAAAACAGTTGGGAGATTGGTGAGCCCAGTGCCACGGTAGACCACTAGAGGGGGGTGTGACTCTCTCAGTGAGCTTAACATTGACTTAATGGCTTTGCCCAAAGAGGGACAGTCTAATCTGTGTTTCAAAAGCAAGAGTTCCAGTATTCTAGCATGTCCTAAAGGTATCAGTACAAGTACTTGAGTTATTTTCATATTTCAAAAATGTTCACGGAAATGTTACTTTTACTAGCAATTATTTAGTTCCATAGAGGCTACTCTTATGCTTTCCAAATAGATTTATCTATTATTTTTGTCAGATATGTTCTAAAAATAGAGGAAAAGCAAAAAATGCCTCCTAATTTTATTTCCTAGAGATAACTATTACTTTTATTTCTATATCTGTATCTATCTTTCCACACTTAATTTATCTCCATATATGACATGAATGGGATCACAACCTATAAACGAATCTGCTCTTTTACCTTAATAATGGAATTTTCCCATACATTTAAATCTGCTTCATCCTTTTTGTTTTTGTTTTGTTTTGTTTTGAGACAGGGTCTCACTCTGTTGCCCAGACTGGAGTGCAGTGGCTCAATCTCAGCTCACTGCAACCTCCGTCTCCCGGGTTCAAGCAATTTTCCTGCCTCAGCCTGCCAAGTAGCTGAGATACAGGCACTCGGCCAGCATGCCGAGCTTATTTTTGTATTTTTAGTAGAGACGGGGTTTTGCCATGTTGGTCAGGCTGGTCTCAAACTCCTGACTTTGTGATCCACCAGACTCAGACTCCCAAAGTGCTGGGATGACAGGCATGAACCACTGCACTTGGCCATCTTTTTTGTTTTTTATGGCTACATAAGTACTCCAATATATCATAACACATTTAAGGAAAGTCCTATTGATATACATTTAGATTTAAAAAAATATTTTTGGCCGGGCGCAGTGGCTCACACCTATAATTCCAGCACTTTGGGAGGCCGAGGTGGGCAAATCACCAGGTCAAGAGATCGAGACCATCCTGGCCAACACAGTGAAACCCCGTCTCTACTAAAAATACAAAAATTAGCTGGCTTTGGTGGTGCGCAACTGTAGTCCCAGCTACTCACGAAGCTGAGGCAGAATTGCTTGAGCCCGGGAGGTGGAGGTTGCAGTGAGCCGAGATCGTGCCACTGCACTCCAGCCTGGTGACAGATTGAGACTTCGCCTCAAAAATAATAAATAAATAAAAATAAAAATAAAAAATTGTTTAGCTATTACCAACAGTGCTGTAATGAGTATCTTTATGTGGTTGTTTGATTAATGCCTTGGCATACAGTCCTAGGGGGTGTATCAAAGGATGATCACATTTTACATTGCCATGCAGGTAACTGACATTAATTGTATATGTTCTATGAGCTAGACAAAATACATATTAGATGACAGAAATCACTTCAAGTATTATTTCTATTTACACAAAAGGGAAGACCTAAAAGCCTGCAAAATAATTTGCCCAAGGTCATAATGGTGGAGCTGAGATTTTAATGTGTGTATTTTCTTTTCTTTTTTCTTTTTTTTGAAACAGAGTTTCACACCTATCTCCCTGGCTGGAATGCAGTGGCATGATCTAGGCTGATTGCAGCCTCTGCCTCCTGGGTTCAATCAAGTGATTCTTCTGACTCAGCTTCCCGAATAGCTGAGACCACAGGCATGCACCACCACGCCCGGCTAATGTTTGTATTTTTTTGTAGAGATTGGATTTTGCCATGTTGGCCAGGCTGGTCTTGAACTTCTGGCCTCAAGTGATCCACCCGCCTAGGCCTCCCAAAATGCTGGGACTACAGGTGTGAGCAACCTCTCACGGCCTATTGTTTTTTGATTGTTTGTTTTTTGAGACAGCGTCTTTCTCTGTCGCTCAGGCTGGAGTGCAGTGGCACAATCACAGCTCGCTGCAGCCTCAACCATCAGGCTCAATTGATTCTCCCTCCTCAGCTTCCCAAGCAGCTGGGACTACAGGCAAGCACCACTGTGTCCAGCTAATTTGTTTTATTTTTTGTAGAGATGGGAATTTGCTATGTTGCCCAGCCTTGTCTAGAACTCCCGGGCTCAAGTGATCTTCCCACCTCAGCCTCTCAAATTGCTGGGACTACAGGTGTGAGCCATGGCACCCAGCTTTCATGTAACCTAGAATGAAGCAGGACTCTATCAACTTTCCCCCAAACTGAGAATTGTTACTTTTATTTCCTAAATAATTTATTATTTATCTATTCATCTGAAATGTAAATTTTGGGCGTATGTTTTTATCCTCCCAGAAAATGTTTGTATCTATGTGACTTATATTTTTTAATTCAAATAGAATAAATCATTCATATGGTTTTGTGCCTTGTTTTTCTTTTTTTTTTTTTTTTTTTTTGAGACAGAACCTTGCTCTTGTCATCTAGGCTGGAGTGAGTGTAGTGGCTTGGTTTCTGCTCACTACAACCTCCACCTCCTGGATTGAAGCGATTCTCCTGCCTCAGCCTCCCAAGTAGCTGGGATTACAGGTGCCCACCACCACGCCCGGCTACTTTTTGTATTTTTAATAGAGACAGGGTTTCGCCATGTTGGCCAGGCTGGTCTTGAACTCCTGACCTCGCGATCTGCCCAGCTTAGCCTCCCAAAGTGCTGGGATTACAGGCGTGAGCCACTGCTCCCGGCCTGTTTTTCTAACTAATAATATAGTGATCTAAACTAGAATTCTTAATCAAATATGCAGTTTCTATATATATTTGGTAGTCTTCCTGGACTCTCTACCTTGTAAAATTGATTTAGTTGTAGCTGTACTAGAGCAGATATACACTGGTTGCTGTAGCAGAAACTATTCGTTTTCCATTCACATACAATTATCTTAACTTCTTCTGAAGGCCATGTCTTTTAGTTAGGAGGTAAATCTTTTTATTTTATTTTATTACTATTTTTTTAGAGACAGGGTCTCCCTCTGTCACCCAGGCTGGAGTGCAGTGGTGCGGTCATAGCTCATTGCAGCCTCAAACTCCTGAGCTCAGGCAATCCTCTAGCTTCAGCCTCCTGACTGGCTAGGACCAAAGGCACGCACCATCACACCTGGCTAAGTTTTTAAATTTTTCTGTAGACATGGAGTTTTACTATGTTGACCAGGCTGGTGTCAAACTCCTGGCCTCAAGTGTTCCTTCAGCCTCGGCCCCCAAAATACTGGGATAACAGATGTATGCCACTATACCCAGCGGTGGGAGGCAAATTGTAATGATCTCATTCGCTTTGCCAAATTGTTAGTTTAATCATGGGCTTATGTCAATTTTGGATAATATGTGAGGAGAAGTCACAGAAAGACTTCTGAGATTTTTCTGGATTTTCAATTGTCTGCACATAAAGTCAATATCTGCAACTACCCTTAATTATAGCAATACCAGCGATCAGTTCTGATCTCTAAATATTATTCCTTGCTAAAAGTAACTAATGCTTCTTGGAGAAATGGCCAATTCTAGAAGAATGTGTAAAATGGGCTGACAACCAATTGCACAAAAACAACAACAAAAACAAAATTAGCTGGGCGTGGTGGCGGGCACCTGTAATCCCAGCTACTTGGGAGGCTAAGGCAGGAGAATCACTTGAACCTGGGAGACAGAGGTTGCAGTGAGCCGAGATTACACCACTGCACTCCAGCCTTCCAGACAGGAGCGAGACTCCATCTAAAAAGAAAAAAAAGCCGGGCCAGTGGCTCACGCCTGTAATCCCAGCACTTTGGGAGGCCGAGGCGGGCAGATCACGAGGTCAGGAGATTGAGACCATCCTGGCTAACATGGTGAAACCCCGTCTCTACTAAAAATACAAAAAATTAGCCAGGTGTGGTGGTGCATGCCTATAATTCCAGCTACTCAGGAGGCTGAGGCAGGAGAATCACTTGAACCTGGAAGGTGGAGGTTGCAGTGAGCAGAGATCACGCCACTGCACTCCAGCCTGGGCAACAGAGCCAGACTCCGTCGCAAAACAAACAAACAAACAAAAGCAAACAAAAAAATCCATAATCTCTAACATAACTGTTGAAGAAGGAAAAAAAAACTCCAAAAATAATTTTGATTAGGGTGGTATACTTGAGCCAGGAACAGTGGCTTATGTCTGTAATCTCAAAACTTTGGGAGGCCAAGGCAGGTGGATTGCTTGAAGCCAGCTGGGATTACAGGCGCCCGCCACCATGCCCAGCTAATTTTTTTGTGTTTTTAGTAGAGAAGGGGTTTCACCACATAGGCCAGGTTGGTCCTGGACTCCCTGACCTCAAGTGATCCACCCACCTTGACCTCCCAAAGTTCTAGGATTACAGACATGAGCCACCACATCCGGCTATGAAATCATTCTTTGATCATCTCCTTACTTCTGTCATATGTAACACACTGTTTCCCAATGAATCCTAATCTAGGCCCTTATAAATAGGCATAATCATTAAAATAGACTAATCTCTGGTCTTGCTCCCTTCCAATACCTTCCCGTAGTACAGGGAGAACAATCTAAAATGCAAATCTAAGTATGTTACTCCTTAAAGCTTTTAAAGGCTCATATTTTGCCTATCCTATTTTAGTGTTTCTCTAGTATACCGTCTTATGCTACCATCCTTTCTCCCTTTTTTTTTTTGAGACCCCATCTCTACTAAAAATACAAAAATTAGCTGGGTGTGGTGGCACATACCTGTAATCCCAGCTACTCGGGAGGCTGAGGTAGAATTGCTTGAACCCAGGAGGCAGAGGTTGCAGTGAGCCACTACACTCCAGCCTGAGAGACAGAAAAAGAGTCCATCTCAAAAAAAAAAAAAAAAAAGCTGGGCATGGTGGCTCATTCCTGCAATCCCAGCACTTTGGGAGGCTGAGGCAGGCAGATCACGAAATCAGGAGTTGGAGACCAGCCTGACCAACACGGTGAAACCCTGCCTCTACTGAAAATACAAAAATTAGCCAGGCATGGTGGCGTGTGCCTGTAGTCCCAGCTACTTGGGAGTCTGAGGCAGAATTGCTTGAACCTGGGAGGCAGAGGTTGCAGTGAGCCGAGATTGCGCCACTGCACTCCAGCCTGGGTGACACAGCGAGACTCTGTCTCAAAAAATAAAATAAAATAAAGAAAAATAAAGATTAGCTTCAAGGCTAACAGAGTATCTTCCTATTGTAGCCTGAGCTCTCAGAAGCTAGAAGAGGGCTTGAGTGCAGAGTGCAGCATATTAGAGAGCACACTCATTAAGAAAACAAAAACAAAAGAACAAAAAACAAACAAACAAGAGTCTTCATCTGTCACACAGGCTCACTGCAGTCTCAAAATCATGGGCTCAAGGGATCACCCTGCCTCAGCCTCCAAAGTAGCTAGAACTACAGGTGTGCACGAGCATAACTGGCTACTTTTTTTTTTTTTTGTATTTTTTCTAGAGCTGGGGTCTCACTATGCTGCCCAGGCTGGTCTCAAACTCCTGGGCTCAAGCAATCCACCTGTCTCAGCTTCCCAAAGTGTTGGGATTACAGGTGCGAGCTGCCACACCCCGCCTATAGCATGCACTCTTGATTTTCTGAGAAACGATCAACAAAGTTTAACCCTGCTACTGCCTAAGCTCTCAAAGTGTCTGTCAAACTCTTGAGTTTATATGTATTTTTGAAGTTCAGTAGTTGAGGTCAAAACACCCACCTTTGGGGTTGGATCTGATCGAATTTGATGTTAACATTCTTGAGGGAAGCTTGAGTTCACTCCCAAGTTCTCACATATGGTGTCTGATAAGACATCAGACTCGAAGGAAGAGGGGAGTTCATTCCACATCAAACTATGTAACTTTCTGGGGTTATTGCAAAGCTATATAACATAATGCAACAGAGAGCAACATCTGGGGCTTTGGAGTCAAGCAATTAAGGGCTTGAATCCAGATTTTACCACATACAACCAGTACCACCTTTGGCATGTTGCTTAAGCTTTTAGCTTTTTTCTTCTATAAAAATTATTACCGAGGCCAGATGCAGTGGCTCATGCTTGTAATCTCAGCACTTTGAGAGGCCCAGGCGAGAGGGTCACTTGAGCCCAGGAATTCAAGACTAGCCTGGGCAACATAGCAAGAGCCCTGTCTCTACAAAAAAGATTTTAAAAATTGGCTGAGTGTGGCAGTGTGCACCTATAGCCCCAGCTACTGAGGAGGTTGAGGCGGAAGGATCATTTGAGCCTAGGAGATTGAGGCTGCAGTGAGCCATGAATGCACCACTGCACTCCAGTCTGGGTAACAGGGTTTTTAATTTTTTTAATTTAAATTTAAAATTTAATTTTTAATTTAAATTTTAGTTTAAAAGTTAAAATTCAAATTTTAAATTTAAATCAAAATTTAAACATATAATGTGGCTGGGTGGGGTGGCTCATGCCTGTAACTCCAACACTTTCAGAGGCCGAGGCACGTGGATCACCTGTGGTCAGGAGGAGTTCCAGACCAGCCTGGCCACCATGGTGAAACACCGTCTCTACTAAAAATATAAAAATTAGCCGGGCATGCTGGTGGGTGCCTGTAGTTCCAGCTACTCAGGAGGCTGAGGGAAGAGAATCACTTGAACCCGGAAGGTGGAGGTTGCAGTGAGCCAAGATCGTGCCATTGCACTCCAACCTGGGAAACAAGACCAAAAGTCGGTCACTAAATAAATAAAAACTTCCAGCCTCGTCTGAAGGTAGTCAGTTACCTCAATTGTTTGTTCACAGTGAATTACAGATCGAACTCCTTGTTCTACTCTTCCCCACTTCTCACTACTGCACTTGTCTTAAAGAAAAACAGAGCTTTAGCTTCTTAACCCACAAATGGTAGTTAACCTCAGAGTATAGCTTAAGGTTCAAGTGTAATACAGTTTATAAATATTTTCCTATGTTGTTGAGTGCTGTGTAAATCTTTTTTTTTTTTTGAGATGGAGTCTCGCTCTGTTGCCCAGGCGGGAGTGCAGTGGCGCTCTCGGCTCACTGCAACCTCCACCTACGGGTTCAAGTGATTCTCCTGCCTCAGACTTCTGAGTAGTTAAGATTACAGGCATGTGCCACCATGCCCAGCTAATTTTTATATTTTTAGTGGAGACAAGGTTTTATCATGTTGGTCAGGCTGATCTCAAACCCCTGAGCTTGTGATCCACCAGCCTCAGCCTCCCAAAGTGCTGGGATTACAGGCGTGAGCCACCGTGCCCAGCCCAGTGCTATGTAAATCTAAAGTACTCTTAAAGGTATTTACCTCCAAACGGAACTCATTTTAATTTCAGTTTTTTTGTTTTTTTGGTTTTTTTTTTTGGAGACGGGGTCTTGCTCTGTCTCACAGGCTGGAGTGCAATGGTGCGATCTCGGCTTACTGCAACCTCCGCCTCCCAGGTTCAAGCAATTCTGCCTCAGCCTCCTGAGTAGCCGGGATTATAGGCCCCTGCCATCATGCCCGGCTACTTTTTATTTAGGAGACGGGGTTTCGCCACGTTGGCCAGGCTGGTCTTGAACTCCTGTCCTCAGGTGATCCACCCACCTTGGCCTCCCAAAGTGTTAAGATTATAAGCTTGAGACACCATGCCTGGCCTGCAAATAGATTTCATAGCTGCTCAATGAGCCAAGAACTACTTTCGTGGCCAGGAATAACTGCCCCTTTGTCTCTCTGATAAGAGCACATTGACACCCATGTTCCAGGTACATCTGTTCTGCAGATCCCTGGCCCTAATTGAATCTCAAATTCTCACCCTTGGTTCTTGTCCTTAGCTCTTGTGACTACGCCAGTGTTATCAGAGGACATGTAAACACTGCTACCCTTTCTACTCCACATGCACCTTATCCTAAATGGATTAATGTATCCCATCTTTTTGCCTGTTTTGTTCCATGTATTTAATTGATTTAATACGATTCTAGCATCTTAATTTGATCTGTGAGCTTTTCTGTTTCTTAATAGTTTGCTTGGTAGTATCATCAGAGGTAGTGCTACCACTGCATTGAAGTAATTTCTCAGATGCTTAACCTTCTAAAATTCTCAAGCACACTTTATTCAAGGACCACAGAGTTTACACCAACTACCCAGAAGCCAGGAATAGCTTAAGGAGAGACTCACCACCAGCAGCTTCTTTTCAATCAAGTTTCACTTCAACCTCACACCCAGGAACCCATTCAAATTCCTACATTTCGGTATCCTTAGTCGAACTAACTTCCTGTGCCGGAAGCTTTTGTCTGTCCCAGTGACTTCTTTCTTTAACAAATTCCCTTCATCTCCCCCTTGAGTCAAAGCCCATGGGGGCCCCAGGAGGCATGCAATATTTACCAAGGGCTCTCCCCCACTTTCCTGCCTCTGTCTGGCAGTTGTTTGCCTTTACTTTTAGGTTTGTAGTCACAGCCTGTATTTTTTCCTGTAGACACACCAGGTTTTCTGAACGGTAGAATTACTCAGAGTAGAATTAACCTTGTCCTTCACCCCGAGAACTGAGCTTGAAATTCACTAATCAAGGCCTGTATTCCTCCCACTTCTGAGTTTTAAATTTATATTATGAAATTCGGAAAACCCAGGCAAATTCAATCCATGCTTCTCTCCTTCAGGTACAAACTGAAATGAAAATGAAAGCTGAGAAATCAAAATAATGAATTTTAAAAACTAAAATATGGTAAAGCTACTAAAATATAGCATTGGAAGTAACACACACCTCCTTTTGGGAAAAGAAAGGAAAATTTTCTAGAGAAAGGAAGAAATGTTAAACAGAGAGCCTTGTACTATCCTTTTTGCCTAATCTCCTATTATTTTTGTTTATTTTTGAGACAGTGACGCTCTGTCGCCCAGGCTGGAGTGGGGTGGCATTATCTGGGGTCACTGCAACCTCCCGGGTTCAAGTGATTATCCTGCCTCCGCCTTCCAAGTAGCTGAGATTACAGGCGCAAACCAAGACCTCTGGCAAATTTCTGTATTTTTAGTAGAGACAGGGTTTCGCCATATTGGCCATGCTAAACTTGAACTCCTGACCTCAGGTGATCCACCTGCCTTGGTCTCCCGAAGTGCTGGGATTACAGGTGTGAGCCACGGCACCTGGCCCACTAATCTTACTGCTTTTGACTGTAGTTATTATTGTTACTTTAAAGATTATTCCAAATAGATCTCTAAATTCTTACCTGCCAAGAGGTTGAAGATTAATACTGGGTGATTAAAAAAAAAAAAGTTCAGAAAACATAATACAGGGCTAGGCTGGTGACTCATGCCTGTAATCTCAGCACTTCGGGAGGCCAAGGCTGGTAGACTGCTTGAGCTCAGGAGTTTGAGACTAGCCAGGCCAACATGGGGAAACCCCGTCTCTCCTAAAAACACAAAAGTTAGCTGGCATGGTGGTGTGCACCTATAGTCTGGGCTATTTGAGAGACTCAGGCAGGAGGATTGCTTGAATCCGGGAAGTCGAGGCTACAGTGAGGTGAAATGGTGCCACTAAGCCCCAGTCTGAGCAGCAGAATAAGCCCGTCTTAAAAAAATAAAAAAGAAGGCTGGGCACTGTGGCTCATGCCTGTAATCCTAGCACTTTGGGAGACCGAGGAGGGTGGATTACCTGAGGTCAGGAGTTCGAGACCAGCCTGGTCAATACGGTGAAACCCCATCTCTACTAAATACAAAGAATTAGCTGGGCATAGTGGCAAATCCCTGTAATACCAGCCACTCGAAAGGCTGAGGCAAGAGAATCACTTGAACCTGGGAGGTGCAGGTTGCAGTGAGTAGAGATTGCATCATTGTGCTCCAGCCTGAGTAACAAAAGTGAAGTTCCATCTCAAAAAAAAAAAAAAAAATTGCCCAGACACGGTGGCTCACACCTATAATCCCACCACTTTGGGAGGCCGAGTCAGGTGGATCACCTGAGGTCAGGAGTTCGAGACCAGGCTGGCCAACATGGTGAAACCCCATCTCTACTAAAAATACCAAAAATTAGCCGGGTGTAATGTTGGGTGCCTGTAATCCCAGCTACTTAGGAGGCTGACGCAGGAGAATTGCTCGAACCCAGGAGGCGGAGGTTGCAGTGAGCCAAGATTGTGCCACTGCACTCCAGCCTGGGCAATAGAGAGAGACTGTCTAAAAAAACAAACGATAGGCCAGGCGCAGTGGCTCACGCCTGTAATCCCAACACTTTGGGAGGCCAAGGCTGGTGGATCATGAGGTCAGGAGTTCAAGACCAGCCTGGCCAACATAGTGAAACCCTGTCTCTACTAAAAATACAATTAGCTGGGCATGGTGGCTCACCCCTGTAGTCCCAGCTACTTGGGAGGCTGAGGCAGGAGAATCACTTGAACTCGGGAGGCGGAGGTTGCGGTGAGCCGAGATCGCTCCACTACACTCCAGCCTGGGCAACAGAGTAAGACTCCAGTCTTAAAAAAAAACAAAATAAAACAAAAAAAAAACACTTGGAATTAGACTGGATAGTCTTAGTAACATTGGACAATTGGGGAAATAATGAGAGAAAAGACTGGAAAAAACCACTCTGATAACCTGCATCATGCTGCTTCAGAGTGAAGGGACGTGCTCTCAGATCAGATACATTTAGGGCAGGCACAAGATGGGAAAAGGACAGTAAAGGATTATTAGTATAATTCACAGATGCCTGCGTAGCTGCTCTTAAGGTGAGAACATAAATCTGTTTCAACTAGCCTTAGAATTTACTTACATATAGGCCTCTGATGAAACTTTAAATGTTAGCATCAATTACAGATTCATACACGGAAATAACCCATTACATTTGTAGATGCACATGTACAATGCACGTAAGTGCCCTTTTTTCTAAAACTGGCATATTTATTATTCATTCATTCTAAAACTGGCATATTTATTTATTATTCATTTATTTACTTATTTATTTATTTATTTTTGAGATGGGAGTTTTGCTCTTGTCGCCCAAGCTGGAGTGCAGTGGTGTGATATTGGCTCACTACAACCTCCACCTACCAGGTTCAAGCGATTCTCCTGCCTCAGCCTCCCAAATAGCTGGGACTACAGGCATAGGCCACCACGCTCAGCTATTTCTATGCATTTCTAAGATAGCAGTGTCCTCAGCTAATTTCCTTCTCCACCCCAACCAAAAATTTAACAAAGATTTATGTTTAAGCTGTATATTTACTCATTGAAACACTCGGTGAAATCAGGGTAAAATCAACTAAAGGAAAAATAGTTGTTTCATTCATTTGAACTTAAACCAACTAAAGCAGTACTCATGTCATTACGATGCAGCAAATACGAGACCTCTTTCTACAAAGATTAGCACAACCAACAAATTAGGGGATATAGCAAAACAGAGCCAAAAACGGTAAGAAATCAATTAAGTATGTTACAGCTTAACCCTTTACCTCAATAGTTTTTAAAAAATAAGCAAAGCCTCCCAATCCCAAACAATACGAATACATCTTCATCACCAATTTGTACTTGTATTTCTTATTCTTGAGGTTAGATTCTAAACCCTAAAGATATCCAAACTAGTATTAGATCTACTTATCTATAGCCAGAGACGGCAGCCAAGGTTATTAAAATGTCTTTTCTAGGCAGGGCGCGGTGGCTCACGCCTGTAAATCCCAGCTGTTAGGGAGGCCGAGGCGGGTGGATCACAAGGTCAGGAGATCGAGACCATCCTGGCTAACACAGTGAAACCCCGTCTCTACTAAAAATACAAAATATTAGCCGGGCGAGGTGGCGGGCGCCTGTAGTCCCAGCTGCTCGGGAGGCTGAGGCAGGAGAATGGCGTGAACCCGGGAGACGGAGCTTGCAGTGAGCCAAGACCGCGCCACTGCACTCCAGCCTGGGCGACAGAGCAAGACTCCGTTTCAAAAAAAAAAAAAAAAAAAGTATTTTCTCCAGGAAGATCCAATAGGAAAAAAAAAAAAAAAGAAACCTCGCTGATTAGGCTCCAACCATACTCCACCCTCCATGAGATTGACTGGATGGGCATCATGGAAACCAGAACACGTGGTTTCCAAACAAGAAAAATCCTATGAGGGATGGGAGGAGGGGAGAGGAAGGATTCAGCCAGTGTCCAGACTGAAATTGAGTAATATCAGTTTCACTCATCTTCACACGTCTTCAGGTTGCATGTTCATGGAGTAGTTTAGGAATAAATCCATGGTTTGTGGAGTACTAAAATACCTAGTGGTCTGCTGTATTACATTAAGGCCTTCCCCAGCAGCTTCCAAGGCAGCCTCCAAGTCACTGGCAGGAGAATTTGGCTGGAACTGCATGCAGGACTGCAGAGATTCCTCTCCACAGTTATAGAAGGGACTGTTCCAGGCCTGATTGTTCCAGGATTGGGTGCACCAGGTCTGAGTGTTCCAGGAGTGGTTGCTCCAGGACTGGATGTTCTGGGTCTGGTTGCTCCAGGTTGAATTGTTCCAGGTCTGGTTGCTCCACATTGGAAGGTTCCCAGTCGGGTTCACCAGGCATCCCTGGTGGTAGGAAGAGTAAAGGCTGGGGTAGGTAGGTGCTGAGGCCTTCTGAAAGAGAAGGAGGGATTAACAGAAAGGGTACAAGGACAACCAGAACTGTCTGTGACTGGAGTTGTGTGTTTCAGGGATGGACAAGATTGAAAGATCACTGAAAGGAAAGAACAGAATGAAGTTTCCTGTTACCTGCGTCACACCATTGCTATTCTTCGGCCAGTTGTTTTTCTGCCACCTCTTAGATTTCATTCTCTGGTTCTGGAACCAGGTCTTCACCTGCAGGAAAAAATGATAGAAATTGTAAAATATTCATAATACAGAGGTACTTTGAATCAAAGTATATTGCTAACTTTTATTCCTGGCCAGGTGCCATATCTCATGCCTGTAATCCCAACACTTTGGAAGGCCAAGGCGGGCAGATTGCTTGAGCCCAGGAGTTCGCTACAGGCTAGCCAACATGAGGAAACACCGTGTCTACAAAAATACAAAAAATTAGCCGGGTGTAATGCTGCACGTCTGTGGTCCCAGCTTCTCAGGAGGCTGAGACGGGAGGATCGCTTGCACCTGGGAAGTGAAGGCTGCAGTGAGCCAAGATTGCATCACTGCACTCCAGCTGCGTGACAACAGAACCAGACTGTCTCAGAAAAAAAGAGAGAAATGAACATTTTGGATAGAAAATAAAGGCAAGGGCCGGGTGTGGTAGTTCACACCTGTAATCCTAGCACTTTAGGAGGCAGAGGCACGTGGATCACTTGAGGTCAGGAGTTGAAAACCAGCCTGGCCAACATGGTGAAGCCCCATCTCTACTAAAAAATACAGTAAAATTAGCCAGGTGTAGTGGCGGGCGCCTGTAATCCCAGCTACTTGGGAGGCTGAGGCAGGAGAATCCCTTGAACCCAGGAGGTGGAGGTTTCATCCATTTGTACTTAAACCAAGTAATGCTAATGTCATTATGATGTCTCATTATGAGGCCACTGCACTCCAGCCTGGGAGACAGAGTGAGACTCCGTCTCAAAAATAAACAAAAGAAAAGAAGGAAATAAAGCCTAGAAGAGGATAAGCCAATTAATGAAGGAAAATGGCCAACAAGTAATAAACAATGATTGGCCTTATTGAATGCACACAGATAAAAAACAAAACAAGCTGGAGTTGCTGGCAGAAAGAAAAAAAGGAAAAAAAAAGTTTTTATTTTAATGAGAACCAGTGTGAGTTAGGGTTTCTCCTACCCTGGTAAGTGGAGTTAGATACTTCTTTTTTATTAAGGAAACGTTGGAAAGATTTTCACAATATTGGTCTGTGCAAGAAAGTGGTTAAATTATGACATAATTATTCACATAATAGAATATTTAAGGAAAGAAAGAGGTGAAGGAAGTTACAAAAGCATTTCATCTTCATAAATTATTTGCAAGAGGCGATGTACGGACACATAGTACACACATCTACATGCATCCACAGAGGTCTTAGCCATGCAAATTAGTCCAATTTTTGTTCACCTTATTCCAAGGACAAAACAAGCCTACCTGTTTGTAGCTGAGGTTCAGGATGTTGGAGAGTTCTTGCATCTGCTGGAGGCTGAGGTATTTCTGTCTCTGAAATCTATCATTGAGTACACACAGCTGGGTGGAAGAGAACACAGTTCTGGTCTTCTGTTTCTTGACCGGGACCTTGTCTTCCTTTTTTGCGACACTCTTCTCTGCAGAAGTGGGTTGTTTGCCTTTGGGACTGGTGGAAGAATCAGGGCTGTCCTGAATAAGCAGATCCATGGAGGAAGGAAGAGGAGAGACTGTTGGGAACAAATAAAAGGACACTTTTGTCTAAAATTTTTCAAATATTAAAATATCCTTTAAAAAAATTGTTTTCAAAGTACTTTGATAATTCCCAGAACCCCAGATCTAAGTAATAAGAAGCAATTTCTTAAGCAGCCCTGGCACTTTGGCAAGCTTTATATAGTATTACTCCAAGAAGTCTTATCAGTATCTCCATTTTGTACATAATAGACTGCGTTGGGAGAGATCTATAATGGTGGCCAATGCATTGCTGAGCGGCGCTACCCCTTTTTTTTAAAATTAGGATGGAGGTTCACTCTTGTTGCCCAGGCTGAAGTGCGATGGTGCAATCTCGGCTCACTGCAACCTCCATCTCCTGGGTTCAAGCGATTCTCCTGCCTCAGCCTCCTGAGTAGCTGGGATTACAGGCAGGCACCATCACGCCTGGCTAATTTTGTATTTTTAGTAGAGACAGGGTTTCTCAATGTTGGTGAGGCTGGTCTCGAACTCCTGACCTCGTGATCCGCCTGCCTCGGCCTCCCGAAGTACTGAGATTACAGGTGTGAGCCACCTCATCAGGCCGGCGCTACCACCTTTTGCTTTAAACTGATGCTCAAAAGCTCCCACACTGGGTGTTAATAGGTCAGAATGGAGATTCACCAATTTTCACGTATTGCATCTCACCCTAAATCACTTTGTTTATGATCTTCATCAACACCTACATGATTGCTTAAATGCCATGATTCTGGGGATTCTATAAAACCAGCACCTCAGCTAGGTGGGATGGCTCATGCCTGTAATCCCAACACTTTGGGAGGCCAAGGTGGGCAGATCACTTGAGGTCAAGAGTTCAAAACCAGCGTGCCAACATGGTGAAACCCCATCTCTACTAAAAATTACAAAAATTAGCCAGGAGTGGTGGCGCATGCCTGTAATCCCAGCTACTGGGGAGACTGAGGCAGGAGAATCACTTGAACCCAGGAGGCCGTGATTGCAGTAAGCCGAGAGTGCCACTGCACTCCAGCCTGGGTGACAGAGTGAGACTGTCTCAAAAAAATAAAAAACAAAACCAGCAACTGACTGCCCAGTTCTCAATGCTAGGACCAGCAGGATATGTGAATCCGGATAAGCTTCTGTTTCAATCCAGGCCTTCCCTTTACTAGCTCTGACCTCATCTCTAAAATTATTTTTTTATTAATTAAAATGAGGTAACCAATTGAAATTCTCTAGCATAGGGCCTGGCATTTACTGATTTTGTAACTAGAAATGAATATCTAGATTTAGTCATCACTTATATACCTAATTGCTCTGCGGTTTTCCCAGTGTTCAACTCTCAATTCTACCCCTGCAGTCACATAACAAAGGGACAGGCTCTAAAACAGCAAAAATTAACAATCTCTTCTCTCTTGCAAGTAGATCTGAAAAGCAGAGGAAGCCTTTCAACTAATGATTAGAATTGGGGAAAATCCTAAATATTAGCTACCTATATAAACTGTCACTTGATGTGTGCTAAAGAAAACACATCCCCACTTGCTCATTCCCAAACCCAGCAATGTATTTTTAACATTTGAAATTATAAAGGTGGCCAGGCGCGGTGCCCAGCCAAGGCAGGTGAATCACTTGAGGTCAGGAGTTTGAGACCAGCCTGGCCAACACACCGAAACCCCTTCTCTACTAAGAACTACAAAAATTAGCTAGGCGTGGTGGCATACATCTGTAATACCTGCTACTCGAGAGACTGAGACAGGAGAAATCACCTGAACCTAGGAGGCGGAGGTTGCAGTGAGCCAAGATCACGCCACTGCACTCCCGCGTGGGCAACAGAATGAGACCCTGTCTCAAAAAAAAAAAAAGAAAGAAAGAAAGAAAGAAATTATAAAGGCAAGAACATTAATGCATAGTTTAGAAAAACTGGGTGAATAGCCATGCAGAGTGGGTCAGCGCCTGTAATCCCAGCGACTTGGGAAGCTGAGGGTGGAGGATCACTTGAGGTCAGGAGTTCAAGACCAGCCCGAGCTGCAAAGTGAGACCCTGTCTCTACAAAAATAATTTTTTAATTAGCTGGGCATAGTGACACACGCCTCTTGTCCTAGTAGTTGGGAGGCTGAGGCAAGAGGATCACTTGATCTCAGGGTTGAGGCTGCGGTGATCCATGATCACACCATTGCACTCCAGCCTATGTGACAAAGTGAGTCCCTGATTCTAAAAAAGAGGAAAAGCAGGGTGACATTCAAATCTGAGGCTCAAATATAGCAATCATGTTTACTTATTCCTTTTCCACAACCTACTCTTTACAACTGTAGTCATAATGTAAATGCGCTTTTTAAGCTATTTTACAGCGTTCAGTGTTACCAATGGCATTCTTGGTAAAGTTGGTTCATTCTCAAGTTTTTGAAAACTACTGAAAAATTGATTTTCAAAAAAGTGGTAGCGGCTTTATGAGTATCCCGAGTATCCCCCACCCCTTGCAGCTACCAGTCAGAAGCATGAGTACTAGCACAGGTTTTGAAGCCAAACTGGACTTCTAGCTACATTCTGTTTGACTGTCAGTAGATTAAACTTTCTGGAATTATCTTTACCATAAAGTTGGGTCAACGCTTCCCAGGACTTAGGAGAATTAGACATGGGAGGTGCTCCCAAACTCAGAGCTGCCCAGTAACATCCACAAACCCAGAGAATGGAGAAGAGACAGCCGTTACTGACATAGAAAGAATTACCCAAATTATGTATTACAGAAATCTCATCGTGATTTGCCATGCCATTTTTGGCAAAACAAAATCATGCTCATCCCTGAGCTATGACGTTAGGTCTTCTGGCTAATTAGCAATAAATCTGCTATTTATTCACATGTGTCCAGCACTATGTGAAGATGTACACATCACCTTCATTTAACTATAACGATACATTTTTGTTTCCACCATGCCTAAGCCCATAGGTTCTCAAACTTACTGCACACTGTTCAACTGCCGAATTCTGTGTCCTTCAACTCAATGCACACTCCTGAGACCTGGGACATAGTTCAAAGGGCAGGTGCCACCAAGTTATAATGGAAAAAGGGGTTTCCAGAGGATTAGTTGATAATAACACTTCTTTATAGTAATGGTCCATCATTGCTCAAGAGGGAAATGATCCCTTAACCCTCTCTCCTTCTCTCTTTTCCCTTAAGGAACTTGGCCTTTCAAGGATAAATTTCTTTCTTACCAGTCTCCGTGTGAGGCATCTCAGCAGAAGACATTTGCAAGGATGGATAGTTTTCTTCAGGCCCACAAATCACAGGCATAGGTGAAGATTCTTTACAGTCGGATGCTTCAAAGCAAGGCAAGCTTTGGGGACAAGCTGGATCCACACTCATGTTAGTATAGAGGAAGAGGAGGAAAAAATTTAAGAGGTGGACTGGAAAAAAGGTTAAGGCAGCTTTAAGACTTTTCTGGAAGATGTTAGAGAAATAGGACCTCCAGAAGGAAAAGTATCAAGAAATTGGGATAAAGTGAGTTGCCTGCATAATAACATGAGGCAACCAGCTCAGTCCAGCAGAACGTTAAAATCCTGGAGTCTCTAGATTTATAATGAAGGCTCTATCACCTTAGACCCACCCCTCCTGGCGGGCACACCCCCTACTGACCCACCCTTGTGAATTCTCAGTTAATCCCGTCTACCAGTCTCACCAAGGCCATTGTAATGCAAAAGTAGCTGCAGAGTAACCCAGACTAGGTGGGGAACTAGAAAACCGAGCAACAGAACCTGAAGACAAACCCAGCAACAAATACTTCTAGGTTCACCACGTTTCCAACTTTTAAATCAGGAATATGGTTCAACAGGAATGGGATAAAACTTTAATATTTTTAAAAATTAAGAAAAAGGCCGGGCGCGGTGGCCCACCCCTGTAATCCCAGTAAATTGGGAGGCCGTGGCAGGCGGATCACCTGAAGTCAGGAGTTTGAAACCAGCCTGGCCAACATGGCGAAACCCCCTCTCTACTAAAAATACAAAAATTAGCCACGCATGGTGGTGGGTGTCTGTAGTCCCAGCTACTCTGGAAGCTGAGGCGGGAGAATCCCTTGAACCTGGGAGGCAGAGGTTGTGGTGAGCCGATATCGCGCCACTGTACTCCAGCCTGGGCAACAGAGCGGGACTACGTCTCAAAAAAAAAAGGGGGGGGTGGGGGATGCATGCACCTTAAATTCCTGAGGTTATTGAAATTCTCATTAGGGTGATTTCTTGATTTGAGATAACTTAGTGTCTCAAAATCTGGCTAGTTTAGGCAGAAATTTCAACTAGCTCCATTTTCCTCTTTCATTCACTCTGAGGTTATAGTGAAACACAACATGGCATTATAGCATGAAGCCAAGGCATCAGTTAATGTTGAAAATGGTACTTGTTTTCAGCACCTACCTTAGTTTCCTTTAGTTTGGTTTCTTGTCTATCCCTCCTCCCAGGTAGTCGACTTCTGGCTTTTTCCCTCTGGCTCTTTAGCTTCTTCCCAGGTCTGGTGATTTGTCATGTCTTTCAAGACTACTCCGTGCCCATCTCGTGTGGGTGTGTGTGTTTCTGGGGGAAGGGAGGTGTTTTCCAAAGGAACAAAGTTTTTAGAGTGGGGTTCCAGCACTAACATTTATGGACAAAGTCTACAGTTTTCGATTTTCCTTCCTATTCCCAAACCCAACATTCAAGAAACCTAAGATTTCTTTCTCTTTTCCAGTCTTCCATACCGAAAAGTAAACTCTTAGCAAATCCCGATTATGTAATTTTTGAAGACAAAACTCTTTGACTCATTCTCCTCTGCACTCTGCTCCTGGGTCTGCACCCAGAGCAGCTGGCTTTGCTCCCACACAAGCTGACTTTTGTTCACAATGCAAAGACTCGAAAAGTATTGCTTGATGTGAAACAAGGAAATGAAATTGGGCGTAATCTTTTTTCTTCTCAGACTACCATTCCGGAGAAGATTAAGCATAGGGGCATCAGGGAGCCGGTGAGTGGGGCTAGTACATCATGCTTCAGGCAGATAGTCTATGTCTCGTAGGAAATAGGATGATTTCTTTAAAAGAAGGGAAAAACTTGCCCTCCTGTCTCTCTTAATCAGCACAGTTTGTTAAGTGGGGGCTGTCAAGGCCACCAAGACTCACCGAGGCTGAGCTTGCCCGCAGCTCTCCAAAGGGCAGGTACCAGAAGCTTTGTTCTTTGCAGAAGGGGGTCTTTGCATAAAAGCCTGAGCTGAATTCCCCCATCCCCCGCTCCCTGTCCCATTGTGTCTAGGGTAAGAGCCTCCGGAGTGAAAGACCAAAGGGAAGGGGCTGGTGGCTGGAAGGCCGACTTACTACATTCTTCGCCAAGGAAAGCAATTGGAATAAAGTTGAGGTTTAGGAAGCTATCTGACTTTAGATTTTTTGGAACAGGCTGGACTAAGGATGTGTTAAAATGAGCTAACGGCTGGGCACGGTGGCTCACACCTGTAATCCCAGCACTTTGCGAGGCCGAGCCAGGTGCATCATCTGAGATCAGGAGTTCAAGACCAGCCTGACCAACATGGTGAAACCCTGTCTGTACTAAAAATACAAAAATTAACTGGGCTGGGCGTGGTGGTGCACGCCTGTAATCCCATCTACTAGGGAGGCTGAGACAGGAGAATCACTTGAACTCCAGAGGCGGAGGTTGCAGCGAGCCGAGATCACGCCACTGCACTCCAGCCGAGGAGGCACAGTGAGACCTTGTCTCAAAAAAAAAAAAAAAAAGATTTAGTAGAGTAGATCAAATAGACCAAAAAGACAATTATAATGTTAATTGTAAGTGTAAAGTTGTGTAATAAGTAAGGAAAAAAAGTGCACTGGATGCTAAGAGAGTACAAATAATGGAGGTTGGGGTAGGGGAGGGATGGGCAGGGAAGATTGGACGATCCTCAGTGATCTGAGAAGGAAAAATGTGGAGAGAAGGGAATACCAGAAAACTAACAGTTTGGGTAAAGGCATGAGAGAAAATGATGGGTTCCAATACTGTTGTTTAGCAGGACTCAAAGGCAGGGGTGCAACAGGAGGGAGTTGTGGGAGAGAACACGGCAACTAACACTTAGTGAGCAGATTACTATCAGAGCTGTGTGAACCAGAACGACTCCATCTTCAATAGGAGCTGGGTAAAATGAGGCTGAAACCTACTGGGCTGCATTCCCAGATGGTTAAGGTGTTCTAAGTCATAGGATGAGATAGGAGGTCAGCACAAAATACAGGTCATAAAGACCTTCCTGATAAAACAGGTTGCAGTAAAGGAGCTGACCAAATCCCACCAAAATGAAGATGGGAGACTTTTTGAATAATTCAAGTGATAGGATTTGGATAGGGCAATAGGTAGTGTTGGAGATGATTAGGAAAGGTCAAGTGCAGCTTGAGTTGACACACATGCCAAATGTGAACCTACCCTTTGGCCAGGCGACACAGGTAATATACTATCTGTCTATCTATCTATTTATCTAGCTAGCTAGCTAGCTACCTATCTGATTTATCCCCCTACTACCACTAGAATATAAGCTCTGTGAGGGCAATTTTTTTTTTTTTTTTTTTGAGATGGAGTTTCCCTCTTGTTGCCCAGGCTACAGTGTAATGGCGCAATCTCGGCTCACCGCAACCTCCGCCTTCTGGGTTCAAGCGATTCTTCTGCCTCAGCCTCCAGAGTAGCTGGGATTACAGGCACACACCACCATGCCTAGCTAATTTTTTTGTATTTTTAGTAGAGACGGGGTTCACCATGTTGGCCAGGCTGGTCTAGAACTCCTGACCTCAGGTGGTCCACCCACCTTGGCCTCCCAAAGTGCTGGGATTACAGGTGTAAGCCACCGCGCCAGCCTATTTTTATTTTTGCCTGTTTAATTTATTATCTACAGCCCTAGAAGAGTATGAATGGATCATTCACCAGCATCCTCAGCACCACTTGGAAGCTTGTTAGAGATGCTGATTGATGGGCTTCACCACTGAATAGGAATCTTTGGTGGTTGGGACCAGGAATCTGTGTTTTAAAATTCTCCCTGTGATTTTTTTTTTTTTTTCATGACAGCCTACCATTGAAACCAGGTGATTTTTCTGAATGCTATTGTTTAAGAACTACTCTTCTAGAGAGAACCAGGCAAAAAGTAGAAAATCATTATTTGTTGATGAAGGAATGGGCATAAATGAGAACTAGGGTTTTGTAAACAAATAGAGAGTAGGAGTCATTTCCTTACATTTAAATATTGAACTGCACATCAATGTGATATACAGAATAACTCTTGAAAACAACAATGCTCTTTGCCTCAGGTCCCCTACACTGACAATTCAATGAGGCTTGAACAATGAGCCTTTAATTTACAACAGTCCTCCTTCCTCTGGGAGGTAGAGTTACTCTCCAATTACCAATGATGGGAAGATGAACACCACAGCTACGGAAACTGCTAGTTTGAAGATTACAGATGGAATTATACAGCATATTCTTCACTTATTTTGCCTGTTATACCTATAAAAACACAAGCAGCTAGGTGCAGTGGCTCACGCCTGTAATCCCAGCACTTTGGGAGGCCGAGGCGGGCGGATCACGAGGTCAGGAGTTCGAGACCAGCCTGACCAACATGGTAAAATCCTGTCTCTACTAAAAATACAAAAATTAGCCAAGGATGGTGGCATGTGTTTGTAATTCCAGCTACTCAGGAGGCTGAGGCAGGAGAATCGCTTGAACCCAGGAGGCAGAGGTTGCGGTGAGCCAAGATCACGCCATTGCCCTCCAGCCTGGGCAACAAGAGCGAAATTCCGTCTCAAAAAAATAACCCAAAACAAAACAACACATTTCTTCTCTTAATTTTTTTATTATGATTTTTTTCCTATGGTGCTGAGAAAAAAATTTCTGACTCACGGCTCAGCTTTGAATTTGTCAGATCTTACTCTAACTAAAGGCTTTTAATATTCAAGGACTGAATTACTATGTATACCAAGTTCTAAGGTCTACTGGAGAGTTCAGAAGACTAAACCATCAAGCCGAATTGTCAAAAATAGTCCTGACCATTTTTTGGTTCCTGAAAAATAGGAGGAAAAAAAAATGGTCCTGACCTTGACCAACACTATTGTTGCCAGGGTATTTATGACTTCCTCCTTCCCACCCTACCCTCAGGGGACCTTTGACCCAATGTAAAAAGGGATTTCTTTTTAACCCCTAGTAAGTCTAGCCCGCAGGGAGGAGGAATATCTAAGAATGCCTTCCAAAGTTTAGCATATAGAACCTTGCTCTGAAATAGTATAATATTATTGGCCAGAAGAGAATCGCCTTCTCAATTTCTCAGTAGGTGTTAGAGAAGGAGGAAGAAGAACATGTGGGCGGAGTTCAGGAAGGTGAAGTGATGATGTTGAGGAGAGAAAAGTCCAGCACCTATGACAATTCTCTTATCTTGACTTTAGCTGTTGCTCCAGTTAGCTGTTGACCCTAATAATACAGCATCTAAATAGTGAATTATCTAGGCAGTGAGTTATCCCAATTGATTGTTCAGGATCAGTTACAGATCATACTCCTTGCTCTACTTCCCCCCCCCCCTCACTACTGCAGTTGAGTAGTATTAAAAGCTTTTTACAAAAAATAAATAAATAGTAAGAATATTGCAGGACATCAGAGTATTTCAGTTATTGTAAAGGGGTTGGAGGAAGAGGGGGCAAGAGGTCCCTGCCACCAGGAGCAAATAAGTTTAATTATGTAAAAGAAAGAGTTCAGCCAGGTGCTGTGGCTCCTGCCTGTAATCCCAGCACTTTGGGAGGCTGAGGTGGGTGGATCACGAGGTTAGGAGTTCGAGTCTAGCCTGACCAACATGGTGAAACCCCGTCTCTGCTAAAAAAAAAAAAAATACAAAAATTAGCCAGGCATGGTGGCGCTTGCCTGTAATCCCAGCTACTCAGGAGGCTGAGGCAGGAGAATTGCTTGAAACCCGTGAGGCAGAGGTTGCAGTGAGCAGAGATTGCTATTCAGCTAGGAAAAAAATTAATTATATCACCGGCCAGGCGCAGTGACTCACGCATATAATCCCAGTACTTTGGGAGGCGGAGGCGGGAGGATCGAGAGGTCAGGAGTTTGAAACCAGCCTGGACAGCATGGTGAAACCCCATCTCTACCAAAAATACAATAATTAGCCGGGCATGGTGGCACCTGTAGTTCAGCTACTTGGGAGGCTAAGGCAGGAGAATCGCTTGAAACTGGGAGGCGGAGGTTGTGGTGAGCTGAGATCGCACCACTGCACTCCAGCCTGTGTGACAGAGCGAGACTCCATCGAAAGAAAGAAAGAAAGGAAAGAAAAGAAAGAAAGAAAGAAGAAAGAGAGAGAGAAAGAAGAAAGAGAAAGAAAGAAAGAAGGAAAGAAAGAAAAGAAAGGAAGGAAGGAAGAAAGAAAGAAAGAAAGAGAGGGAGAGAGAAGGAAGGAAGGAAGGAAAGGCCGGGCCCATGAGCCACGGAGCCCGGCCTCTGCTCATCTTTTAAGGCTGAATTTAAGTACCACATTTTTCTTTCTTTCTTTTTTTTTTTTTGAGACAGAGTCTCGATCTGTCGCCTGGGCTGGAGTGCAGTGGCGCAATCTTGGCTCACTGCAACCTCCGTCTCCCAGGTTCAAGCGATTCTCCTGCCTCAGCCTCCCGAGTAGCTGGGATTACAGGCATGCGCCACCACCCCGGCTAATTTTGTATTTTTAGTAGCGACGGGGTTTCTCCATGTTGGTCAGGCTGATCTTGAACTCCCGACCTCAGGTGATCCGCCTGCCTCGGCCTCCCAAAGTGTTGGGATTACAGGCGTGAGCCACCACGCCCAGCCAACTAAGGATGATTTTCACATCTTTAAATGATTAGGGGAAAAATCAAAATAATATTTTATAACTTGTGAAAAGTATACAAAATTCAAATTTCTGTGTCTTTTTTGTTTTTTTTTTCTTTTCTTTTCTTTTAAGGAAACAGGGTTTTGGCCAGGCAAGGTGTCTCCCGCCTGTAATCCCAGCAATTTGGGAGGCTGAGGTAGGAGGATCACCTGAGGTCAGGAGTTGAAGACCAGCCTGGCCAACATGGTGAAACTCTATCTCTACTAAAAATACAAAAATTAGCTGGGCATGGTGGCCTACACCTATAATCCCACCTGCTCTAGAGGCTGAGGCATGAGAATCTCTGAACCTGGGAGGCGGATGATGCAGTGAGCCAAGATGGTGCCACTGCACTCCGGCCTGGGCGACAGAGGAAGACTCCGTCTCAAAAAAAAAAAAAAAAAAAAAAAAAAGAAACAGGGTTTTGCTCTGTCACCCAGGCTTGAGTGCAGTGATGCTGTCATAAGTCACTGCAGTCTCAAACTCCTGGTCTGAAGCAATTCTCCTGCCCCAGCCTCCCTAGTCCCTAGGGCTACAGGTGTGTGCCACCACCCCTGGCTAATTAAAAAACAAAAACAAAAAAACACTTGTAGAGAATGGGTCTCACTATGTTATCCAAAATGTTGGGATCACAGGCGTGAGCCACCGTGCCTGGCCTGCAAATTATTATGTGTTGACTACTTGGCCCTTTGGAGATAGTTTGCTGACCCTGGTGCTACACAAAAGTGATGAGTCTTTTTTTGTTGTTTTTTTAAGATGGAATCTTGCTCTGTCGCCCAGGCTGGAGTGCGGTGGGACCACAGGCACGTGCCCTGGCTAATTTTTTTATGTTTTGTAAAGATGGGGTCTTGCTATGTTGCCCAGCCCAGGCTGGTTTCAAACTCCTGGGTTCAAGCGATCCTCCCACCTTGGCCTCCGAAAGTGTTGGGATTACAGGCATGACCCACTGTACCCAGTTGATAATTTTTTTTTTTAAAGACAGAGTTTCACTCTTGTCGCCCAGGCTGGAGTGCAGTGATGTGATCTGGGCTCACTGCAACTTCCATCTCCCAGGTTCAAGCAATTCTCCTGCTTTAGCCTCCTGAGTTGCTGGGACTACAGACACCTGCCACCACGCCCAGCTAAATTTTTGTATTTTTAATAGAGACGGGGTTTCACCATGTTGGCCAGGCTGGTCTCGAACCCCTGACCTCAAGTGATCCACCGACCTCGGCCACCCAAAGTGATGGGGATTACAGGTGTGAACCACCGCGCCTGGCCTAGTTCTGCCATTATTATTATTATTATTTTTTGAGACAAAGTCTCGCTCTGTTGCCAGGCCGGAGTGCAGTGGCGTGATCTCTGCTGACTGCAACCTCCACCTCCCGGGTTCAGGCAATTCTCAGGCCTCCCAAGTAGCTGGGATTACAGGCATGTGCCACCACACCCAGCTAATTTTTGTATTTTTAGTAGAGACGGGGTTTCACCATGTTGCCCAGGATGGTCTTGATCTACTGACCTTGTGATCCACCCACCTTGGCCTCCCAAATGCTGGGATTACAGGTGCGAGCCACCATGCCTGGCCAAGTTCTGCCATTATTAACATTTACCTAGGCATGGTACATTTGTCACAATTAATTAATCAATATTGGGTAATCAATATTGATTAATTTTGATTAATCAATATTAATCTTGATGGAATCCTGTTATTAATATTGATTAATGTTTAGGATTCTGGAACATAAAAAGACCATAGATTAAAAACTTGTTTTTTTAATGTGTGCTTTTTTTTTTTTTTTTTTTGAGAGGTCACTCTGTAGCTAGGCTGGAGTGCAATGGTGCGATCTCGGCTCACTGCCACCTCCACCTCCCAGATTCAAGAGATTCTCCTGCCTCAGTCTCCCGAGCAGCTGGGATTACAGGCACGAGCCACCACGCCAGGCTAATTTTTTGTATTTTTAGTAGAGCTAGGGTTTCACCATGTTGGCCAGGCTGGTCTTGAACTCCTGAGCTCAAGTGATCCTCCCTCCTTGCCCTCCCAAAGTGCTGGGATTACAGGTGTGAGCCACTGTGCCCGGCCTAAAAACTTGTTCTTTTTATGTTCTAGAATCGCGTCCAGGATATCTTCTATTTACTCATTATGTCTCCTTTGGCTCCTCTCGGCTATGACGGTTGCTCTACTGTATCGTAAGAACTCCCATTTCACCCACGGCCTCACCTATTCTCGCGTTTGGTCTCCTATTTGTTCCCTTTTCCTCTATCTGTACTTATTGCCTACCCTCTGAAGACATAATTTGTTTCATACCCACTGCTTTTAAAAGCATTATTGTCTTTCCTTAAGATCTTTGTTTTTTTTATAACTAAGAAAAGTGAGAATTCTAAGGTCAGAGTAGATGGAATTTTTTGTATTCTATTTTCCTCCTGCAAAATTCTCTCAGATTAATCCCATTCTTCTACTGTAGCGCTTACAAATTATAAATAGGATGATATGGTTTTGGGGAATCTGAAAAGGCAGCCTCTAGTGATAAGGTTAGTCAGACCTGGGTTTAAATTCCAGATTTACCATTAATCCAACTACTTGAATCTTGGGTGAATTAATTTAACTTGTCTAATTTTCTTAGTTCCATTATCTGTTGAACAGCTATATTACTATCCAACGTGGTTGATGTGAGGGTTTTCTTTATTTTGTTTTTCATTTTTTGTTTTTGAGACAGGCCTTGCTCTGTCATTCAGTCTGGAGTGCAACTTTTTTTTTTCTGTAGAGATGAGGTATTGCTAGGTTTTCCAGGATGGTCTGGAACTCCTGGCTTCAAGCGATCCTCCCTCCTGGGCCTCCCAAAGTGTTGTGATTACAGATGTGAGCCACCATGCCTGGACTTAGAGACGTTTAAAATACATGGTTCTGAGTAAATTCCCAAGTAAATTACCAAATCCTCAAATGTCCTGTGCTCTAATCTGTCTTTATTCATACCGAGTATTACTGGGAACTGTAAGGTATTGGGAATTGATTTTTTTTCCTGATCCAATTTCCATATTAATACATTCAATTTACTTAAGAAAGATAATTAACTATGTTTTAATTTATTTCTGGTAAAATGTTAGCAAGAATAAAAATATACACCCACAATACATACTTTAACCATGTATAAATATTTTTATTTATTTATTTATTTATTTTGAGACAGAGTCTCACTCTGTTGCCCAGGCTGGAATGCAGTGGCGTGATCTCAGCTCACTGCAACCTCCGCCTCCCAGGTTCAAGGGATTCTCCTGGCTCAGCCTCCCGAGCAGCTGGGATTACAGGTGCGTGCCACCAGCCCTGGCTAATTTTTTGTTTTTTGGTAGACGCGGTTTCACCATGTTAGCCAGGATGGTCTCGATCTCCTGACCTCGTGATCCGCCTGCTTTGGCCTCCCAAAGTGCTGGAATTACAGGCGTGAGCCACGGCGCCTGGCCCTTAACCATCTAAAAATCTTTAAAACTAGCTGGGAACCGTGGCTCACGACTATAATCCCAGCACTTTGGGAGGCCTAGGAGAGCAAATCACTTGAGGTCAGGAGTTCGAAACCAGCCTGGCCAACATGGTGAAACCCCGTCTCTACTAAAATTCCAAAACATTAGCTGGGCGTGTTGATGAGCGCCTGTAATCCCAGTTACTTGGGAGGCTGAGGCAGGAGAATCACTTGAACCTGGGAGTTGGAGGTTGCAGTGAGCCAAGATGAGGCCACTGCACTTCAGCCTGGGTAACAGAGTGAGACCTTGTCTCAAAAATAAATAGATAAAGAAAATAAAAATAAGGAACAGTCTTACATCACTATTTTTTCTAGTATTTGTTCCAAATTAAAAAATTGTTTTAATTATTGTTTAAATTTAAGGTATACAACATAATGTTTTTTGTTTGTATTTGTTTGTTTGTTTTGAGACGGAGTTTTGCTCTTGTTGCCCAGGCTGGAGTGCAATGGCGCGAGCTCGGCTCACTGCAACCTCTGCTTCCCAGGTTCAAGTGATTCTTCCGCCTCAGCCTCCCGAGTAGCTGAGATTACAGACACCCACCACCACGCCCAGCTAATTTTGTATTTTTTTTTTTTTAGTAGAGATGAGGTTTCTTCATTTGTCAGGCTGATCTCAAACTCCTGACTTCAGGTGATCTTCCTGCCTTGGCCTCCCAAAGTGCTGGGATTACAGGCATGAACCACTGCACCTGGCTGATCTCTCTTATATATGGGATGTAGAAGCAGTTAGGGTTGCTTGTGTTGCCCAGGCTGGAGTGCAATGGTGTGATTTCAGCTCACTGCAACCTCCACCTCCCAAGTTCAAGCGATTCTCCTGCCTCAGTCTCCGTAGTAGCTGGGATTACAGGCGCCCGCCACCACGCTCGAGTAATTTTTTTGTATTTTTTTCTTTTGGAGACAGAGCCTCACTCTGTTGCCCAGGCTGGAGTGCAGTGGCCTGAACTCAGCTCACTGCTACCTCCGCCTCCTGGGTTCAAGCAATTCTCCTGTCTCAGCCTCCGGAGTAGCTGGGATTACAGATGTGCACCACCACGCCCGGCTTATTTTTGTATTATTAGTAGAGATGGAGTTTTCACCATGTTGGCCAGGCTAGTCTCGAACTCCTGACCTCAGCTGATCCTCTCACCTCAGCCTCCCAAATTGTTGAGATTATAGGCATAAGCCACCGCACCCAGCCAATTTTTTTGTATTTTTAGTAGAGACAGGGTTTTACCATGATGTCCAGGCTGGTCTCCAACTCCTGACCTCAGATGATCCACCCACCTTGGACTCCCAACACACCCAGCCAGGATGCAGTTATTTTTACAAGGGGCTGGCTTCATTTCCTTTGGGTATATACCCAGAATTGGAATTGCTGGATTATACAGTAGTTCTGTTTTTAATTTTTTGAGGAATCTCCATACTGCTTTCCATAATGACTGCACCAACTTAGCTTCCCATCAATGTAAAAACTTTCTCTTTTCTCCACATCCTCACCAACACGTGTTCTGGGTGACTGGGAAGTCCAAGATCAAGGCTCCAGCAAATTCACTGTCTGGGGAGGGCATGCTTCCTGGTTCACAGGTGACTAAAATCGGGGAGAGAGCTCTACACTGTCTCTTTTATAAGTACACTAATCTCATTTATAAGATGCCACTCTTACTGCCTAATCACCTCCCAAAGGCCCTATCTCCTATTATCATCACAATGGGGGTTAGGAAATTTTTTTTTAGATGGAGTCTAGCTCTGTCGTCCAAACTGGAGTGCAGTGGCTCGATCTTGGCTCACTGCAACCTCCGCTTCCTGGGTTCAAGCCATTCTCCTCCTCAGCCTCTGGAGTAGCTGGCATTACAGGCTCCCGCCACCACACCCGGCTAATTTTTGTATGTTTATTAGAGACAGGGTTTCACCATATTGGCCAGGCTGGTCTCTTACTCCTGACCTCGGGGATCCATCTACCTCGGCCTCCCTAAGTGGTGGGATTACAGCCGTGAGCCATCGTGCCCGGCTGGAGCGGTTTTATTCACAGTTGCTAAAATTTACCAAGATGTCCTTCAGTAGGGTGAATGGATAAACTGTGGTCCATCTACACAATGAAATATTAGTAAGTGATCAAAAGAAATGAGCCGGCCAGGCGCAGTGGCTCACGCCTGTTATCCCAACACTTTGGGAGGCCGAGGGGGGTGGATCACCTGAGGTCAGGAGTTGGAGACCAGCCTGACCAACATGGAGAAAACCCATCTCTACTAAAAATAACTAAATTACCCAGGTGTGGTGGCTCATGCCTATAATCCCAGCTACTCGGGAGGCTGAGGTATGAGAATCGCTTGAACCTGGGAGGCAGAGGTTGCAGCGAGCCGAGATTGCGCCATTGCACTCCAGCCTGGTCAACAAGAGCAAAACTCCATCTAAAAAAAAAAAAAAAACTGAGATTAGGAAATAGAAATTCTTTTCTCCAAATTTCTCTCACTCCGTGATATAGGGAATGGGAGATAAACTTACCAAAGTTGGAAATGTCCTCTACTTAAGAGCACTAGTTCAATAAACTGGCTCCCCCAGGTTTACTGAGGGCTGATAAATTCACCTGGTTCTTTTACTTATCTAGAAACACAGTACAGATATTAAAATACCTAAATCCCAGTGGCCGCTTTGAACATAGTGCTACCCTACATATTACTGGAAAGAGGAAAATTCAGGACTGGATTAGAGAAATGGCTAATGAAAGATGGGCTGATGGCTAATCTTAAATTCCACTCTCCCTGTCTTCCTTAGCTTCACGGTCATTTTCTGTGATCCAAAAATGTGGTAAAAAGACTGCATTTTATCTAACTACCAAAGATGTATAGGCAGGAAGCCTGTAAGAATGGCTGATGTGTACAGTAACACACTTATAGACTAGCGCCTGGGCTTTCTCATCTTCTAACTAGTGTTCTTTTTTTGAGTTGGAGAGTGAAAGTCTCAAAAGTTGGGGATAGAAACTGGAGCTCAAAAATTACCACCACAGGCTGGGTGTGGTGGCTCATGCCTGTAATCTCAGCACTTTGGGAGGCTGAGGTGGGCGGATCACCTGAGGTCAGGAGTTGGAGACCAGCTTGGCCAACATGGTAAAACACCATCTCTACTAAAAATACAATATTGGTGAGGCGTGGTGGCTCACCTGAGGTTGGGAGTTCGAGACCAGCCTGACCAACACAGAGAAACTTCATCTCTACTAAAAATATAGAATTAGCCAGGCATGGTGGCATATGCCTGTAATCCCAGCTACTGGGGAGGTTGAGGCAGGAGAATTGCATGAACCTGGGAGGCGGAGGGTGCAGAGAGCTGAGATCACACCATTGCACTCCAGCCTGAGCAACAAGAGGGAAACTCCATCTCAAAAAAAAAGAAAAATATTAAATTCCCCATGAAATAATGTATCAAACCCTACTAACTTATACACTTTATTTTAATTTAATTAATTCATTTGTTTATTTATTTATTTTGAGATGGAGTTTTGCTGTGTCACCCAGGCTGGATTGCAGTGGTGCCATCTCAGCTTACTGCAACCTCTGCCTCCTGGGTTCAAGCGATTCTCCTGCCTCAGCCTCCCAAGTAGCTGGGACTATAGGCGCCTGCCACCATGCTTGGCTAATTTTTTTGAATTTTTAGTAGAGATTGGGTTTCACCATGTTGGCCAGGCTGGTTTTGAACTCCTGACTTCAAGTGATCCACCGGCCTCAGCCTCCCAAAGTGCTAGGATTACAGGCATGAGCCACAGCGCCAGGCCAATAAATTTTTATTCCATATTTATTCAATAATATTTATTGAGTACCTACTGTATATCAGAAACTAGTTGAAATACATGTGATTATGACAATGAATGAGATCAACAAGTTTCCAACACTAAGAGAGCTCTCATTATGGTGGGGGTAGAGAGATGAAGCAATATATAAATATAGTAATTTTAGATGATGCTGAGTGCTATAAAGTAAATAAAAATAAATAATATGACCAGATGACTGAGTATGTGTAGGGCTACTTCAGATAGGTAGTCACAGAAAACATTTTTGAATAGGTGACATTAGAAGTGAGATCTGAATGTTGCAAAGGAGGCAGCCACTCTCAAATCTGCAAGCAGACCATTGTAAGCTGTGGGAACAGCAAGAGCATAAGTCTGGAGATGGTAAGAAACTTACTGTCTCTGAGAAACAAAAGAAGGTGTGTTTGGCGTGTAACGAGCAAGTCAGGGAATGTGGTCAGATGAGATTGGAGACTTTAGCAGGGACCAGATCTTTTAGGTTTTTACAGGCCATAGTCAGGAATCATAATTTTATCCTAAGTGTGATGGCAAGCTATGCAGAGTATATCAGTGTTCTTAATAATAAACAACAAAATTAGTTTAAGGTGAAAAGCATTTAAAGAATATTAGAAGCCGGGCACAGTGGCCCATGCCTATAATTCCAACAGTTTGTGAGGCAGAGGTGAGACAATTGGTAGAGTCCAGGTGTTCAAGATCAGCCTGGGCAACATGATGAAACCCAGTCTCTACAAAAAATACAAAGATTGGTCCAGGCGTGGTGGCTTATGCCTGTAATCCCAGCACTTTGGGAGGCCGAGGCAGGCAGATCACCTGAGGTCAGGAGTTCGAGACCAGCCTGACCAACATGGAGAAACCCTGTCTCTACTAAAAATACAAAAGTAGCCAGGCGTGGTGGCGCATGCCTGTAATCCCAGCTACTCCGGAGGCTGAGGCAGGAGAATCACTTGAACCCGGGAGGCGGAGGCTGTGGTGAGCCAAGATCGCACCATTGCACTCCAGTCTGGGCAACAAGAGGGAAACTCCATCTCAAAAAGAAAAAAAATCTAAATGACCTTAGTCCTCTGACTCAAGTCACACATCAGAAAACAGTCACCCTTGCCTGGGCACTGTAGCTCACGCCTATAATCCCAGCTACTTGGGAGGCTGAGGCAGGAGAATCACTTTAACCCAGGCAGAGGTTGCGTGAGCCGAGACTGCACCACTGCACTCCAGCCTGGGCAACAGAGCAAGATCCTATCACAAAAACAACAACAACAACAAATTGCCCTTCCAGGAGTATAATCACATTTGTAGAGAAAAGTCATGTTTGGAGGGGATGTTTAGAAATATATTGACAAATTGCAGAAGGCACTGAACCCGTTAGCTTCTATAATGGATTTCCCTTTCAGTCTCAAAACATTTCCACAGGTTGGTAATTTCTTCATTGATTTTTTTATTTTCTTTTTCTTTTTTTTTTTTTTGAGACAGAGTTTCGCTCATGTTGCCCAGACTGGAATGCAATTGTGCGACCTTGACTCACTGCAACCTCCACTTCCCAGGTACAAGCGATTCTCCTGTCTCAGCCTCCCAAGTAGCTTGGATTACAGGCATACACCACCACGCCCGGCTAATTTTTTTGTATTTAGTAGAGACAGGGTTTCATCATGTTAGTCAGGCTGGTCTCGAACTCCTGACCTCAGGTAACCCACCCGTCTTGGCTTCCCAAAGTGCTGGGATTACAGGCGTGCTCCACTGTGCCCGGCCTTGACTCGATTTTTTTTCTTAAATAAAATCAATTAACATCCATTATAAAAACTTTAAATCTACAGTAGGGTAAAAATAAAACACATAAAAACTCCTTTGCATACCCCTCATTTAGTTCTACTCCACGGAATCAACGACTGTTAATGTTTTCTTGTTTATCCTTTCAGAACTCCATTTATTGGTGAGAATGGTGTCATGTAAAATGTCTTAGCCAGTGCGATGGCTCATGCTTGTAATCACAGCATTTCTGGAGGCCAAAATAGGAAGATCACTTGAGGGCAGGAGTTCGAGACCAGCCTTGGCAACACAGAGATCTCCATCTGTTTAAAAAAAAAAAAAAAAAAAAGAGTTTCGCAACACAGTCTATATATTTATTTATTTTAAATTTTTTTTTGAGATGGAGTTTCACTCTTGTCACCCAAGCTGGAGTGCAATGGCACAATCTCGGCTGACTGCAACCTCCATCTCCCAGGTCAAGCAATTCTCCTGCCTCAGCCTCCCGAGTAGCTGGGATTACAGGCACCTGCCACCAAGCCTGGCTTTTTTTTTTTTTTTTTTTTTTTTTTTTTTTTTGTATTTTTAGTAGAGATGGAGTTTCACCATGTTAGTCAGGCTGGTCCCAAACTCCTGACCTCAGGTGATCCACCTGCCTTGGCCTCCCAAAGTGCTGGGATTACAGGCATGAGCCACGCACCCAGCCGCTGTCTATATATTTAATATACACATCAAAATATGTTAAATCTGGAAAACAATTTTCATTGAAGGCCAAAGTAATCTTTCTAAAATACATTTTAAAATTTCAAAGTGGTAAGAAAGTTATGGAGGCAGAAATGGTGCAAGAACATTAGAAACACCATCACACCAGCTGGGCATGGTAAGGTACACCTGCAATCCCAGCTACTCGGGAGGCTGAGGTGGGAGGATCACTGTAACCTGGGAGTTTGAGACCAGCGTGGGCAGCATAGTGAGACCCCCATCTTTGAAAAAAAAAAAAAAAAACTATCACAGTTGGATTTTAATAGAGGACACTAAGAGTAAACAACACTACATGTGAAACAAATTGATAGAGCCTAGACTATGTCTCGAGTTATAACTGAAAATATACGCTTCCTCATTTATAATTTAGAGTAATGATTGCTGGGAAATGCAGTCTCATGCATGTAACTCTTTTAATCCCCACTTGGCCGCATAAGAATAGATCCTGGGCCTGGAATACTTCCTTACCAAGAGGTAAAAGAGCCCAGATGGGTGCAGTGGCTCATGCCTGTAATCCCAGCACTCTGGGAGGCAAGCAGATCACTTGAGGCCAGGAGTTCGAGACCAGTCTGGCCAACATAGTGAAACTTAATGTATACTAAAAATACAAAAATTAGCTGGGTGTGGTGGTACACATCTGTAGTCCCAGCTACTAGGGAGGCTAATGCACGAGAACTGCTTGAACCTGGGAGGTGGAGGTTGCAGTAAGCCAAGATTGGGCCACTGTACTCCAGCCTGGGCAACAGAGCAAGACTCTGTCTCAAATTAAAAAAAAAAAAAAAAAAAAGGCCGGGTGCGGTGGCTCACGCCTGTAATCTCAGCACTTTGGGAGGCTGAGGTGGGCAGACCAAGAGGTCAGGAGATCGAGACCATCCTGGCTAACATGGTGAAACCCCCATCTCTACTAAAAATACAAAACTTAGCTGGGCGTGGTGGCGGGCACCTGTAGTCCCAGCTACTCAGGAGGCTGGGGCAGAAGAATGGCATGAACCTGGGAGACAGAGCTTGCAGTGAGCCGAGATTGTGCCACTGCACTCCAGCCTGGGCGACAGAGTGAGACTGTCTCGAAAAAAAAAGAGCCCATGTAACCTGTGCTGGCTTATTGTCTTCTGTGAGACTATCTTTCCCTGTGGCAAGCCCAATGTGCCAGAGGGGTACGCATAGCCAATTTCCCTGCACTGGCTGCCAGGAAGCTGATCTTGCTCTGTAAGTAAAGCATTGCTCCACCCATGGCTTGACTGCATTGTTTTGCACAACTCTGATACTGAGGTGCATTGAGTGGAGACATTTGGAGTTCTATTCTTGTCGGTTGGCACAGTGATGATCTTTGCAATCCTCCATGTGGTGGGAGTCATTCCCTCGGTGTTGGTAACCAGTGTTCATTGTTCTGCTCTCCTGGGATTGATAACCGGGTGCACCATATTTTGCTTAATGATCAAGTGAGTCCAGGCGTGGAGGTTCACACCTAGAATCCCAGCACTTTGGGAGGCCGAGGCGGGCGGACCATCTGAGATTAGGAGTTTGAGACCAGCCTGGCCAACATGGTGAAATCCGGTCTTTACTAAAAATACAAAAATTAGCTGGGCATAGTGGCGCGTGCCTGTAACCCCGGCTACTCGGGAGGCTGAGGCAGGAGAATCGCTTGAACCCAGGAGGTAGAGGTTGCAGTGAGCAGAGATCACGCCATTGCACTCCAGCCTGGGTGACAGAGTGAGACTCTGTCTCACAAAACAAACAAAAAACAATGATCAAGTGAGATAATATTTAAACATTTCTAAATAAATATACATAAATAATACATTAAAATTCTATATACGGTCTAGTGCTGTTAAAACTGTTGATATTGGCTGGGCGCGGTGGCTCACGCCTGTAATCCCAGCACTTTCGGAGGCCGAGGCAGGCGGATCACAAGGTCAGGAGATCGAGACCATCCTGGCTAACACAGTGAAACCCCGTCTCTACTAAAAATACAAAAATTAGCCGGGCGTGGTGGTGGGTGCCTGTAGTCCCAGCTACTCAGGAGGCTGAGGCAGGAGAATGGTGTGAACCCGGGAGGCGGAGCTTGCAGTGAGCCGAGATCGCGCCACTGCACTCCAGCCTGGGCGAGAGCGCAAGACTCCGTCTCAAAAACAAGCAAACAAACAAACAAAAAAGCTGTTGATACTGTCCTTAATTCCTTCCAAAAATCACATGAGCTTTTGCCACTAACTAGAGAGGAACAACAATCATCAGATATATTTAGCATCAAAGGAACAAACAGGACAAAATTATCAATTCTGTACTGCAATCAATAAAAAGCTAATGTCTGTATTTGTACATTTGGTAATATGATTACATGTTAAATGGTGGCATGCATATGTGAGTGTGTGCCTGTGTGGTGTTTTGAGTAGAGTGAAAAATACACAGTAAGTGGTTTTTCTGCCACTGGCTGGAACATTAAAAAGTTTATGGGCACCGGGTGTGGTGGTTCACGCCTGTAATCCCAGCACTTTGGAAGGCCCAGGCTGGTGGATCACCTGAGGTTGGGAGTTCGAGATCAGCCTAACCAACATGGAGAAACCCCGTCTCCACTAAAAATACAAAATTAGCTGGGCGTGGTGGCGCATGCCTGTAATCCCAGCTACTTGGGAGGCTGAGGCAGGAGAATGGCTTGAACCTGGGAGGCGGAGGGTGCGGTGAGCCGAGATGGCGCCATTGCACTCCAGCCTGGGTAACAAGAGCGAAACTCCGTCTCAAAAAAAAAAAAGTTTATGGGCATACCCAATAATGATGGAAACACAAACCAACTCCGGAAGTCAATATATTCCTTCTACTTCCTTTTATTTTACAAGAAACACTTTCTTACCTCATATGTTTTTTCTTATGCTTTCTCTTGGACATTTCTTTATTATATTTCTTCCTCGTTTTACAAAACCATTGACTTATCTACAAAAAAATGAGGTGTGGGAGGTGATTAATACAGGAATAAGGATATTGGTCTATATAGCAATAGTACTATACAAGTGACTTTGTCTATCAATGAAGAAATGTCTATTAATGTTGTCATACCTGTTTATGTGTCATGTCAAATTCAAATGACAGTGATAGACTCTCTTGTATAGTGGGGCACCTGTTTAACTTAAACTTTGCCCAGAGAGTATGCATGAGGGATTTGCTGACTAATCTTTTCTCGGGATACTGTTTCTGTTTCTCATTTTCCCTTTTCCTTTTGTTTTCCTGTTCATCTTGCAGCTCCTTTTCGTTTTTTTCTTCTTTTTCTCGTTCTCTCTTTCTGCCTGCTTCTCCTTCTTCTCTCCATTTCTGCTTTCCATTTTGTTCATCTTCACTGTAATTTCCAGTTGATTGTTCTGGATCTTGATCCCAAGGCATAGCTGATTGTTTCTGTATAAAAAGATCCGTGGAATAAAATCAAGCTGCAGCTAAATTTGACTTTCAGAGCATAGTCAACAATCTTCCCTGGGAGAATATATTTGATTTTTCTAAATTAGCAATGTTGTACATTGGTGGAAAACATAGAGCAAAGAAAAAGTGAACTTGAGGCTGGGCACGGTGGCTCATGCCTGTAATCCCAGCACTTTCGGAGGCTGAGGCGGGCAGATCATGAGGTCCAGAGATTGAGACCATCTTGGCTAACATGGTGAAACCCCGTCTCTACTAAAAATACAAACATTAGCCGGGCATGGTGGCACGTGCCCGTAGCCCCATGCTACTCGGGAGGCTGAGGCAGGAGGATCACTTTAACCCGGGAGGTGGTGGCTCACGCCTGTAATCCCAGCACTTTGGGAGGCCGAGGTGGGTGGATCACCTAAGGTCAGGAGATCGAGACAAGCCTGGCCAATATGGTGAAACCCCATCTCTACTAAAAATACAAAAATTAGCTGGGTGTGGTGGCATGCACCTGTAGTTCCAGCTACTTGGGAGGCTGAGGCAGGAAAATTGCTTGAACCCAGGAGGCAGAGGTTGCAGTGGGCTGAGGTTGCACCACTGCACTCCAGCCTGGCAACAGAGTGAGACTGCATCTCAAAAAAAAAAAAAAATTTGCCAGGCATGGTGGCAGGCACATATAATCCCAGCTACTTGGGAGGCTGAGGCAGGAGAATTGCTTGAACCCGGTGGGTGGAGGTTGCAGTAAGCCGATATCGCACCATTGCACTCTAGCCTGGGCAACAGGGCCAGACTCTGTCTCAAAAAAAATAAAAATAAAAATAAGAAGAAATTCATTGCAGGGAATTGTCTTACGCAATCTTGGAACTGTCTTGGCAAGTCCGAAAGGATGGCTGGAACCCTTCAGTGTGCGATGGAGCTGCTCTCCCTAGGCAGAATTTCCTCTTAAAGCCTTAACTGATTGGATTAGGCTTTCTCAGATTATAATCCCTTTTACTTGAAGACGATTAATATGGATTTTAATTACATCTAAAAATGCCAGTAACAAGGCCCGGCGTGGTGGCTCATGCCTATAATCCCAGCCCAGCCACTGCACTCCAGCCTGGGTGACAGAGCAAGACTCTGTCTCAAAAGAAAAGAAATATGCCGGCCGGGCGCGGTGGCTCACGCCTGTAATCCCAGCACTTTGGGAGGCTGAGGCGGGCAGATCACGAGGTCAGGAGATTGAGACCATCCTGGCTAACACAGTGAAACCCGGTCTCTACTAAAAATACAAAAAATTAGCGGGGCATGGCGGCGGGTGCCTGTAGTCCCAGCTACTCCGGAGGCTGAGGCAGGAGAATGGCAAGAACCAGGGAGGCGGAGCTTGCAGTGAGCTGACATCCTGCCAGCTGACATCGTGCCACTGGACTGCAGCCTGGATGACAGAGCGAGAATCCCTCTCAAAAAAAAAAAAGAAAGAAAGAAAAGAAATATGCCAGTGGCACCTAGTGTTTGATTGAATAACTGGGGTCTATAGCCTACCCAAGTTGCCACATTAAAGACCATCACACTGATACTCAAACCAGACAGATATCACCCCTAAAAAACTATAGATTAATGTCCATTATGAATATGGAGGCAAAAACTTCAACAAAATGCTAGCAATCCTAAATCCAGCAACACAGTAAAACGATTATGCACCATAACCAAGTAGGATTTATTCTAGAAATATGTGATTAGTTCAAAATAGGAAAATCAATGTAATACATCATATGAATAGAATAAAGGAAAAAAACATGCAATCATCTCAATAGAGGCAGAAAAAGACCGTTTCTCTAAAATTTAAAGTTACCATATGACCCAGCAATTGCCCCTTTAAACAAAATGTATTATATCTATACAATAGACTATTATTTAGCCACAAAAGGAAATAAAATACTGATTCATGCTCAACATGGATGAATATTGAAAACAAGCTAAGCGGGGGCTGGATGTGGTGACTCACGCCTGTAATCCCAGCACTTTGGGAGGCCGAGGCGAGAGGACTGCTTGAGCCCAGGAGTTCAAAACCAGCCTGGGCAACAGAGTGAGGTCTCCTCTCCGCAAAAAATAAAAAAATGAGGTGAGAGGATCACTTGAGTCCAGGAGGTCAAGGCTGCAGTGAGTCCTGATCATGACACTGCACTCCCACCTGGGTGACAGAGCAAGACCCTGCCACACCGGAAAAAAAAAAAAAAAAAGAGGAAAAAGGAAAGCAAGTTAAGTGAAAGTTGAAATACAAAAAGTCATATATTGTATGATTCTGTTTATATGAAATGTCCAGCATAGGCAAACCTATAGAGACAGAAAGTAAATTAGTGATTATCAGAGATGAGGGTGGGATAAAATTCGGAGTGTCTGCTAATTGGTATACATTTTCTTTTAAAAAAATAATGTATTTATTTTTAAGAGACGGCAGTGGGTGAGGTGGGATGGCAGCTAACTGTGCTGTTGTTGGTCTCGAAATCGTCAGCTTCAGTGATCTGTCCGCCTTGGCATTCCAAAGTGCTGGGATTACAGGCGTGAGCCACCACACCAGGCCACAAGTTTTCTTTTGTTAGAAAAAAAAAAAAAAAACCCTCTTGTAACCCACATCCTTCTATTGCTACCACTCCTCTTCTCAATTTCTTTTACAGAATGTGATAAAGTGTAAGAAAATTTTAAAGAGTTCTCTGTATGTGTTCTTTGCCTGTTGGTGATTTTTCTCCCCTCATTCTCTCTTGAATATTCTCCAATCAGGCTTTCACATCCACTTCCACACATTCCTCTTCAGAGTCAGACATTAATGACCCTGACATTGCAAAAAAAGTAAAATGGCTGCCAGGCACGGTGGTTCCCGCCTGTAATCCCAGCATTTTGGGAAGCCAAGGCAGGCAGATCACCTGAGGCCAGGAGTTTGAGACCAGCTTGGCCAACATGGTGAAACCCTGTCTCTACTAAAAATACAAAAATTAGCTAGGCTTGGTGGCGCACGCCTGTAGTCCCAGCTACTTGAGAAGTTGAGGCAGGAGAATCGCTTGAACCCGGGAGGCAAAGATTGCAGTGAGCTGAGATCGCCCCACTGTGCTCCAGCCTGGGCAACAGAGCAAAACTCAGTCTCAAAACAAACAAACAAACAACAACAAAACAAAGGCCAGGCGTGGAGGGTCACTCCTGTAATCGCAGCACTTTGGGAGGCCGAAGTGGGTGGACCACTTGAGGTCAGGAGTTCAGGACCAGCCTGGCCAACATGGTGAAACCCCGTCTCTATTAAAAATACAAAAAACTAATCGGACATGTCTTTTGAACCCCGGGAGGGGGAGGTCGCAGTTAGTTGAGATTGTGCCACTCCAGCCTGGGCAACAGAACAAGACTGTGACTCAAGAAACAAAAACAAAAGAAAAGAAATCAAATGGCCAATTTCCCATCCCCATTTTCTTTTAAGGGTATCGTGGTGGTGAGATAGTGGGTTTGTTTTGTTTTGTTTGTTTGCTGTTTTGTTTTGTTGAGACGGAGTCTCACTCTGAAGCCCAGACTGGAGTGCAGTGGCTGGATCTCAGCTCACCACAACCTCTGCCTTCTGGGCTCGAAGGATTCTCTTGCCTCAGCCTCCTGAGTAGCTGGGACTACAGGCGTGCCTCACCAAGCCCGGCTAATTGTTGTATTTTTGGTGGAGATGGGGGGTTTCATCATCTTGGCCAGGATGGTCTTCAACTCCTGAGCTCAAGCGATCTGCCCCGCTTGGCCTCCCAAAGTGCTGGGATTTGAGGTGTGAGCCACTGTGCCTGGCCTGTCCCCATCTTACTTACTTGAATGATCAGGGGCTTCTGAAGTATCGGGATCTCTCTCCACATTGAAAGAGTTTATTCTCCCACTTCCTGAACACCATCCTTTCCTGGGGCTTCCTCAAGTCAATGGCTGCTCTTTCAAAGCTTTCTTTGTTGCTCCTCTTTCCCCTACTGATTTCTGTCCCTGTGCTTTTTCAATCACACTCAAGGTTAAATCCCTTCACCTCTTATCTCCTTTACATGTAGCTCTAATCCAGGTCATCTAATCTCATGGTTTTTAATACTGCCCAAAAGGGAGATTATTTTCAAATTTTTATTTCCAGTCTTCTATGTCAAACTCCCAATTCAATATCTCTGCTTGGATGTCTAATAAGTTATGTGAATTGAACTTAAAATTCCCAAACTCAGTTTATGGCTCCCTTCACTGAACGCTGACCCACTCAGGCCTCTCTATCTTAGTAAAGCCAACTCCATCTGCCCAGTGGTTTGAGTCAAAAAGCTTGGTGCTGTCTTTCACTTCTTCCCTTTCTCATAGCTCAACTCAATCTGTCAGAAAGTCTTGCTTTTCTTTCTTTAAAATATATCCAGACAACTGCCACTTCTTTTTTTTTTTTTTTTTTTTGAGACGGAGTCTCACTCTGTCGCCCAGGCTGGAGTGCAGTGGCGCGATCTCGGCTCACTGCAAGCTCCGCCTCCCGGGTTCACGCCATTCTCCCGCCTCAGCCTCCAGAGTAGCTAGGACTACAGGCGCCCGCCACCACGCCCAGCTAATTTTTTGTATTTTTAGTAGAAACGGGGTTTTACCTTGTTAGCCAAGATGGTCTCGATTTCCTGACCTCGTGATCTGCCCGCCTCGGCCTCCCAAAGTGCTGGGATTACAGGCGTGAGCCACCGCGCCCGGTGCATTGAGGAGTTTTAAAGACCAATTAGTCCTTGGTAGGGAGGTTACAGAGATGACCGACCAGATAAGGTAGATGTCATCCATCTTTTGGATGTCAGTGGGCCACAAATATGAGCACCCAGTGGCAATTCACAAAAGGAATTCCACAAAAAGAACACATTTCCTGACATCTATTTTTGGAGCCATGAAGAAAAAAAACTTTTCAAATAGCCATATGAAAAATGTTCAATTTACATGTTGCAGAGTGTCCCAAATAGTGAGATATACTGATAAGAAAATGCTTTCCAAAATACAGTGGAGAGACAGGAAAAAAAAAATGTAGGGCTGGGCGTGGTGGCTCATGCCTGTAATCCTAGCACTTTGGGAGGTCAAGGCGGGCAGATCATTTAAGATCAGAAGTTCAAGACCAGCCTGACCAACATGGTAAAACTCCATCTCTACTAAAAATACAAAACTTAGCTTGTGTAGAAGTACGTGCTTGTGATCCCAGCTACTTGGAGGCTGAGGCAGGAGAATCGCTTGAACCTAAGAGGCAGAGGTTGCAGTGAGCCAAGATACTGCCACTGCACTCCATTCGGGGACAGACAGTGAGACTCCATGTTAAAAATAAATAAATACATAAATATTTTATGAAAATGCTACTTGGTCGGGTGAGGTGTCTCACATCTGTAATCCTAGTATTTTGGAAGGCCAAGGCAGAAGAATTGTTTGAGCTCAGGAGTTCAAGAACAGCTTGGGCATCACGGTGAGACCCCTGATTCCATTATTATTATTATTATTATTATTATTATTATTATTATTATTTTAATTTTTGAGACGAAGTCTCCTTTCTTGTCCCCCAGGCTGGAGTGCAATGGTGCAATCTTGGCTCACTGCAACCTCCGCCTCCCAGGTTCAAGCGATTCTCCTGCCTCAGCTTCCCGAGTAGCTGGGATTACAGGCACCTGCCACCACGCCCGGGTAATTTTTGTATTTTTAGTGGAGACAGGGTTTCACCATGTTGGCCAGGCTGGCCTCGAATTCCTGACATGAGGTGATCTTCCTGCCTTGGCCTCCCAAAGTGCTGGGATTACAGGTGTGAGCCACCGCTGCCCAGCCCATTTTATTTATTTATTTATTTATTTATTTATTTATTTATTTATTTATTTTTGAGACAGAGTCTTACTCTGTCACCAGGCTGGAGTGCACTTGTGTGATCTCGGCTCACTGCAACCTCCACCTCCCAGTTTCAAGTGATTCTCCTACCTCAGCTCCAAGTAGCTGGGATTACAACCAAGTGCCACTATGCCCAGCTAATTTTTTGTATTTTTAGGAGAGATGAGGGTTTCTCCATGTTGGCCAGGCTGGTTTGGAATTCCTGACCTCAAGCGATCTGCCTGCCTTGGCCTCCCAAAGTACTGGGATCATAGGCATGAACCATCGTGCCTGGCCTCCGACTATACTCTTACCTGGTCACACAACCAGCCTCACACTCTGGTAGAAGAAACCACTTGTTAACCACTTGTTAACCACTTCGTTAATCTCAGCTAAGAGAAGAGAATTTTATTTTATTTTATTTCATTTCATTTATTTATTTATTTATTTTTGAGACGGAGTCTTGCTCTGTCACCCAGGCTGGAGTGCAGTGGCATGATCTTGGCTCACTGCAAGCTCCGCCTCCCGGGTTCACACCATTCTCCTGCCTCATCCTCCCAAGTAGCTGGAACTACAGGCGCCCGCCACCACGCCCGGCTAATAATTTTTTGTAGTTTTAGTAGAGACGGGGTTTCACCATGTTAGCCAGGATGGTCTCAATCTCCTGACCTCGTGATCCGTCTGCCTCAGCCTCCGAAAGTGCTGGGATTACAGGCGTGAGCCACCGCGCCCGGCAGAGAAGAGAATTTTAAAGAATCACTGAAGACCGAGTGCGGTGGCTCATGCTTGTAATCCCAGCACTTTGGGAGGCTGAGGCAGGCGGATCATTTGAGGTCTGGAGTTCGAGACCAGCCTGGCCAACATGGTGGAATCACATCTCTACTAAAAATACAAAAATTAGCTTGGCGTGGTGGCACACCCCGTAATCCCAGCTACTCCAGAGGCTAAGGCAAGAGAATTGCTTGAATCTAGGAGGTGAAGGTTGCAGTGAGCTGAGATCACGCGACAGCACTCCAGCCTGGGTGACAGAGCAAGACTCTGTCTCAAAAAAAAAAAAAAAAAAAATCACTCAAAGTTTGACTTTTGTGTTTGGGGATACCCAGGATCCGACACCTGACTCAAGCATGACAATGTTGAAAAGTGAGAGGCAATCAGGAGCTGTCCACGGTGGCTAAATGTGGACAGGAGGTCTCTGTTCGTCATGGTCGCTGGTAGTCCCCTCAGATGCAGGTAAGCTAGGGGAGTAAACATTTGATAGGGGCTGCTTTTGAGCTGTCCTGGGCACATTAGAGTTGCTGCCTATGGCCTTACAGGTCTTCCATCCTAGCAGCTCCTCTTGAAAGGAACACGGACATCAGAAGCTGGGGGCTGAGGAGGGAGTTCCACAGGCCAGCTGTAAGAGATAAGTTCCCAAAAAGCAAATTCGGGGAATAGGCACTCATAGGGAAGAGATCTTCAAAAGCAACAGAGAAGGCCGGGTGCGGTGGCTCACGCCTGTAATCCCAGCACTTTCAGAGGCCGAGGCAGGTAGATGACGAGGTCAGGAGTTCAAGACCAGCCTGGCCAACATGGTGAAACCCTGTCTTTACTAAAAAATACGAAAATTAGGCTGGGCACAGTGGCTCACGCCTGTAATTTCAGCACTTTGGGAGGCCGAGGCAGGTGGATCATCAGGTCAGGAGTTCGAGACCAGCCTGACAAACATGGTGAAACCCCGTCTCTATTAAAAACACAAAAAAATTAGCAGAGTGTGGTGTCGCATGCCTGTAATCCCAGCTACTTAGGAGCTGAGGAAGGAGAATCTCTTGAACCTGGGAGGCAGAGATTACAGTAAGCCAAGATTGTGCCACTGTACTCCAGCCTGGGTGACAGAGCAAGAGTACATCTCCAAAAAAAAAAAATTAGTTGGGTGTGGTGGCACGCAACTGTAGTCCCAGCTACTCAGGAGGCTGAGTCAGGAGAATTGCTGGTACCTGGGAGGTGGAGGTTGCAATTAGCCAAGATCCGGCCACTGCACTCCAGCCTGGGCGACAGAGCAAGACTCTGTCTTAAAAAAAAAAAAAAAAGGGCTGGGCATGGTGGCTCATGCATGTAATGCCAGCACTTTGGGAGGCCGAGGCGGGTGGATCATGAGGTCAGGAGATCAAGACCATCCTGGCTAACACGGTGAAACCCAGTCTCTACTAAAAAATACAAAAAAAAAAAAAAAAAAAGCCGGGCGCGGTGGCTTACGCCTGTAATCCCAGCACTTTGGGAGGCCGAGGTGGGCAGATCACAAGGTCAGGAGATCGAGACCATCCTGGCTAACACGGTGAAACCCCGTCTCTACTAAAAAATACAAAAAATTAGCCGGGCGTGGTGGTGGGTGCCTGTAGTCCAAGCTACTCGGGAGGCTGAGGCAGGAGAATGGCGTGAACCTGGGAGGCGGAGCTTGCAGTGAGCCGAGATCATGCCACTGCACTCCAGCCTGGGCGGCAAAGCGAGACTCCCTCTCTAAAAAAAAAAAAAAAAGCAACAGAGAAATCTGGGCTCGGTGGCTCACACCTGTAATCCTAGCACTTTGGGAGGCTGAGGTGGGTGGATCACCTGAGATTAGGAGTTCGAGACCAGGCTGGGTAACATGGTGAAATCCCGTCTCTACTAAAAATACAAAAAAATTAGCCAGGCATGGTGGCAGGCGCCTGTAGTCCCAGCTACTGGGGAGGCTGAGGCAGGAGAATGGCGTGAACTCAGGAGGTGGAGCTTGCAGTGAGCCTCGATCGCGCCACTGTGCCCCAGCCTGGGCGACAGAGTGAGACTCCGTCTCAAATAAAAAGAAAAAAAAAAAAAAAAGAAACAGAGACCTGGCTTGGTGGCTCATGCCTGTAATCCCAGCTACTTGGGAGACTGAGGCAGGAGAATGGCTTGAACCTGGGAGGCAGAGGTTGCAGTGAGCTGAGATCGCGCCACTGCACTACAGCCTGGGCAACAAGAGGGAAGCTCCATTCCCGCCCCCCGTCCCCCCAAAAAAGAGAGAGAGAGATCCTCCTGCCTCGGCCTCCCAAAGTGCTGGGATTACAGGCATTAGCCACTGTGCCCGGCTGAGAATGGATTTTTAAATACCTAAATAAAGGTAATTATTTGTTAGGAAGCAAGAGAGACTGGAAAGGCTCTGGGATCTGCTTGAGATTTCCTCTGGGGTCAGGGCAAGGCAAGTCAACAGAACAGGTTAAAGGGACAGTTATCGACAGAGAATAATATGCTCCTGTTCTAACCCTTCCAAGTTCACCTTATCCAAAAGCAATTAGGCTCTGATGAGTATTTTATTCCCTTGCAGATGCATCTTATGAAAATAGAGATTTGGGCAGGTGTGGTGGCTCACGCCTGTAATCCCAGCACTTTGGGAGGCCGAGATGGGCGGATCACGAGGTCAGAAGTTTGAAACCATCCTGGCTAACACGGTGAAACCCCGTCTCCACTAAAAATACAAAAAATTAGCCGAGCGTGGTGGTGGGTGTCTGTAGTCCCAGCTACTTGGGAGGCTGAGGCAGGAGAATGGTGTAAATCTGGGAGGCAGAGCTTGCAGTGAGCCGAGATCGCGCCACTGTACTCCAGCCTGGGCGACAGAGTGAGACTCCATCTCAAAAAGAAAAAAAAAGAAAATAGAGATTTAACCCTTGGCAGAGAATATGGAGCAGAGGCTAGAGAAGGCTTAGACTAGTAAGAACTGAAATGGACATTTCAGGCCTATGATGATAGCTACATCACATATTCCCCCGTTTTGTGTATAAACCAGCTGACACTTTGAGAGGGTAAGTGACATGTCTTAGGTACACAGCTTAGAAAGTGGCAAAAACTAAAAAGGAACAAAGCTGTTTGGTTTCAAATCTCAAATGGAAGAAGGACCTGACCCAGAGGTGACTAATCCGGTGAAGACAGTGGTCCTTAGGATCCAGGTAAATAAAATGCACTGAAAATAGAGCAGTTCTGCAGGGTGAAGTAGTTTCATCTGTCTGTGCAGAACCAACCTTACAAACAAATGGAGAAAATGGAGTGTGGCTTTCATTCTTGCGAGTCTGAATTTTGCAGGGATAGTGATTGAGATTGCAAGGGACCTTAGTTTGTGTGTGTGTGTGTGTGTGTGTGTGTGTGTGATGTGGGGGGTGGGTGTCAGTGTGTTTTCAGGATTTGGATTTTCTAGAAATCAGACCCTGTCGGCCGGGCACGGTGCCTCACGCCTGTAATCCCAGCACTTTGGGAGGCCCAGGTAGGCAGATCATCTGAGGTCAGGAGTTCAAGGCCAGCCTGACGAACATGGTGAAACCCCATCTCTACTAAGCCCCATCTCTACTAAAAATACTAGGCATGGTGGCGCACGCCTATAATCCCAGCTGCTCAGGAGTGGGAGGCAGGAGAATCACTTGAACCTGGGAAGTGGAGGTTGCAGTGAGCCGAGATCACACCATTGCACTCCAGCCTGGGCAATAAGAGCGAAACTCCGTCTCAAAAAATAAATAAATAAAAATAAATATTCTCTAACGCTTAAACTAATCCTATGAGATAGAAATTATTCAAGTCCTCATTTTATAAATGAGGAAGCTGAAGTTTACAAGACCAGTGCTCTAACCCCTGAGCTATGGAACCAACTGCGAAGCTGAAGTTTAGAGCAGGGCAGTAACTTGTAGATCACAGCTTAGTTAAGTGGCAGAGCCAGGAGAGGAAGAAAGCCTGTCTGATTACAAATCTCAAAAGTAAGAAAGATGTCATCCAGGGAAATGAGAAGGATTGTCCTGGAGGATTTGAGAATCATGTGTGGTATTTCTGTTCTGATCTACCTAGCTGTTTGAGAATAATAACCATCTATTAACTATACTTAATAGATGGTTTTACATTTCCAAAGTGAAAAAGAACAACAGTACAGGTAAGCGATGAAAGAAGGCGCATCTGGGGGCCGGGCGCGGTGGCTCACGCCTGTAATCCCAGCACTTTGGGAGGTCGAGGTGGGCAGAACACCTGAGGTCAGGAGTTCGAGACCAGCCTGGCCAACATGGTGAAACCCTGTCTCTACGAAAAATACAAAAATTAGCCGGGCATTGTGTGTTGTGGCGTGCACTTGTAATCCCAGCTACTAGGAAGGCTGGGCCAGGAGAATTGCTTGAACACGGGAGGCGGAGGTTGCAGTGAGCCAAGATTGCGCCACTGCACTCCAGTCTGGGTGACAGAGCGAGACTGCCTAAAAAAAAGAAAGAAAGAAAGAAGGCGCATCTGAATCTTTCCAGCCACAGGGGAAATCCTGCCAAAACGCAGATAAATAAACCCCCTGAAGTCTCTGTACAACACATTTATTCAAACCTGCTTTGAATAATTTGACAAATCTGCTTAACAATGACCTGATTAAAGGGTAGACACAAAAAGGAGGTGGCACAGTGATTTTCTAGTACATTTTTCTTCTTAGGAAGCTCTTTACAGCTATTCTATTGGAGAGGAACAACCATAGGAATTATTGAAATGGCAAAACCCTATATCCTCTGGAAAGCATTCTACCCGCCTTTCCCCTTCCCCCTCCCTGCCAGTGGCTCTCAGAGTTCAGCATGCATAATAATCCCCAGGAAGGCTTGTTGAAATGAGGTTCCTGGGTCCCACCCCAGAATTTCTGATTCAGTAATTCACACGCGGGGCTCAAAAATTTGCATGTCTGTGTAGGGGCGGAGAGGGTGTGATCCCTTTCCTCCTGATAGTAAGAGTCAGGAGGACACTCCAATAACAAAAGGCAGATTAACAAGAGAAAAGCATAACAAATTTATCTAATCCAAGTTTTACTTGACAAAGGAATCTTCAGAGATGAAGATCGAAAAACTCAGGAAAAAAGTGTCTGTTTTTATGCTTAGCTTCTCTGAAGAATGGACAGCTGTGTAGAAATGTGACTGGACAAAAAGGGAACGACCTAATGGTAATAGACTGAGTGGGGAAACCCAGCAAAGCCTGATTTTTTTTTTTTTTTTTTTTTTTTGAGACGCAGTCTCACTCTTGTCGCCCAGGCTGGAGTGCAGTGGCGCGATCTTGGCTCACTGCAACCTCTGCCTCCTGGTTCAAGCCATTCTCCTGCCTCAGCCTCCCGAGTAGCTGGGATTACAGGCACGCACCACCATGCCCGGCTAATTTTTGTATTTTTAGTAGAGATGGGGTTTCACCATGTTGGCCGAGCTGGTCTGGAACTCCTGACCTCGTGATCCGCCCACCTCGATTACAGGCTTGAGCCACCGAGCCCGGCTGACAATGTATTTTCACATGTACTTGAGAAAATGTCCTGGTGTTCCAGATGCTAGCAGTTTCTAAATATGAAATACACATTTCTGGAGATCCATTTTGCAGAGAGGCATTCCCAGTTTGTTTGTTTGTTTGTTTGTTTGTTTTGTGACAGAGTTTTGCTCTTGTGGCCCAGGCTGGAGTGCAGTGGTGCGGTCTCCGGTCACTGCAACCTCCACCTCCCGGGTTCAAGCGATTCTCCGGTCTCATCCTCCCAAGTAGCTGGGATTACAGGCGCCCGCCACCATGCCGGCTAATTTTTGTATTTTTAGTAGGGATGGGGTTTCACCATGTTGGTCAGGCTGGTCTCGAACTCCTGACCTCGGGCAATCCGCCCAACTTGGCCTTCCAAAATGCTAAGATTACAGGTGCGAGCCACCGCGCCTGGCCTCCCAGTATTTTTATATCAAAGAATTTTAAAATATTGTTTTCAATAAAGATGTAAACTTTCCCATAGAGAGTAACCTAATGTCTGAAACTAACCAAAAAAAAAAAAAAAAAAAAAAAAAGGAAGGAAGGAAGGAAGAGAGGGAGATAGGCTTTCAAAAAATATGCCTGTGCTGGAATTGCGAATTGTTCCTTGATAAAAGTCCTCTGTTGAAAGGCATTCCTTTAGACCCTGAGACTCACCTGCTGAGGCAGCACTGAATCTTCCATTTCTGTCTCAACCACAAATGGAATGCTCAGGTCAAGACTCCACGCCTACACATGTGCCTGGGGCAGTCTCATTTTTAATTCCATGCCTCTCTTGATGCCTGTAAAAAGGTATATGGTAATATAAACATTATATCATGTTTACAGCTAAGAAGACTAAAAGGAAAAACAAGATGTTCAGGATGGTTCTTTCTAAGTAATTGAATTGCAGGTGGTTTTTCATTTTTTCTTTTCACTTTTTGTATTATTTACATTCTCCATGGTGAAAATGTAATGTTTCTAAAGTTAAGAGAAAATATTGTTTCATTTTGTTTATTTGTTTTAGAGATGGAGTCTTGCTCTATTGCCCAGGCTGGAGTGCAGTGACACCATCATACCTCACTACAGCCTCGAACTCCTGGGCTCAAGCAATTCTCTCGTCCCAGATTCTCCAGTAGCTGGGACTGCAGGTGCATGCCATCTCACCTGTTTTTTGTTTTGTTTTGTTTTGTTTTTTGTTTTTTTAGGTGGAGGCTTGCTCTTGTTGCCCCGGCTGGAGTGCAACGGTGGTAAAATTTCGGCTCACCATAACCTCTGCCTCCTGGGTTCAAGTGATTCTCCTGCCTCAGTCTCCCGAGTAGCTGGGATTACAGACATGCACCACCACACCTGGCTAATTTTTGTATTTTTAGTAGAGATGGGGTTTCGCCATGTTGGTGAGGTTGGCCTTGAACTCCTGACCTCAGGTGATCCTCCTGCCTCGGCCTCCCAAAGTGAGCCACCACGCCTGATCTCGCCTTGCTATTTTTAAAAGATTTTTTGTAAAGATGGGGCTCTCACTTTGGTGCCCAGGCTGATCTTGAACTCCTGGCCTCAAGCGACCCTCCCATCTCAGCCTCCCAAAGTGCTGAGTTTATAGGGATGAGCCACCACACTCAGACTTTCTTTTAATATGAAAGCTCATACTCCGGCTCGAACTCCTGACCTCAGGTGATCCGCCTGCCTTGGCCTCCCAAAGTGCTGGGATTACAGGTGTGAGCCACCACGCCCGGCCAATCTTCTTTTTTTTCCAGAGACAATTTACTTTTTTTTTTTTGATATGGAGTCTCGCTGTTGCCTAGGCTGGAGTGCAGTGGCACGATCTCAGCTCACTGCAACCTCTGCCTCCCGGATTCAAACGATTCTCCTGCCTTAGCCTCCCTGAGCAACTGAGTCTACAGGCACACACCACCATACCTGGCTAATTTTTGTATTTTTAGTAGAGACAAGGTTTCACCATGTTGGCTAGGCTGGTCTCAAACTCCTGACCGCAGGTGATCTGCCTGCCTCTGCCTCCCAAAGTGCTGAAATTACAGGTGTGAACCACTGCGACCAGCCGACAATTTACTTTTGCTTTTGCTTTTGCTTTTGCTTTGGCAGACGGAGTTAAAGTAGATTTTACCTTGATTCAAACAGGCATTGAGTTTGTTCAAAACTAATTTCAAAATTTTAGGCCAGGCTCAGTGGCTAACGCCTGTAATGGAAGTTACAGGCCATTTGGAAGGCCGAGGCGGGCGGATACCTAGAGTCCAGGAGTTTGAGACCAATCTAGGCAACATAGCAAAATTCTGTCTCTACTAAAAATACAAAAATTGGCCGGGCGCGGTGGCTCACACCTGTAATCCCAGCACTTTGGGAGGCCGACGCGGGTGGATCATGAGGCCAGGAGTTCGAGAGGAGCCTGGCCAAGATGGTGAAATCCCGTCTCTACTAAAAATACAAAAATTAGCTGGGTGTGGTGGCGCACGCCTGTAGTCCCAGCTACTTGGGAGGCTGAGGCAGGAGAATCGTTTGAACCCAGGAGGCGGAGGTTGTGGTGAGCTGAGATCGTGCCATTGCACTCCAGCCTGGGCGACGAGAGTGAAACTCCGTCTAAAAAATAAATAAATAAATAAAAATAAAAATACAAAAATTAGCTGGGCAGTGGCTCATGCCTATAATCCCAGCTACTTGGGAGGCTGAGGCACGAGAATTGCTTGAACCTGGAAGGTGGAGGCTGCAATCAGTTAAAATGCACCACTGCATTCTAGCCTGGGTGACAGAGCCAGACAAGACTTCATCTCAAAAATAAAAAAATAAAAAAAATAGCCGGGCATGGTGGCTCACGCCTGTAATCCCAGCATTTTGGGAGGCCAAGGCCAGCAGATCACCTGAGGTCAGGAGTTTGAGACCAGCCTGGCCAACGTGGTAAAACCTCGTCTCTACTAAAAATACTAAAATTGGCCAGGAGTGGTGGCGCGCACCTATAGTCCCAGCTTCTCAGAAGGCTGATGGAGGAGAATCGCTTGAACCTGGGAGGCAGAGGTTTCAGTGAGCTGAGATCAGGTCACCGCACTCTAACCTGGGCAACAGAGGAAGACTCTGTCCTAAATAAATAAATAAATAAATAAATAAATATATAACAAACTGGATTTCATTCTTTATGAATTAATAGTCTCTTCTTGGGCCAGGCACAGTGCCACATGTCTGTAATCTCAGCACTTTGGGAGGACAAGGTGGGCGGATCGCTTGAACCTAGGAGTTCGAAACCACCTTGGGCAACCTGGTGAAACCCCATCTCTACCAAAAATGCAAAACTTAACTGGGCATGGTGGTGTGTGCCTGTAGTGCCAGCTACTTGGGAGGTTGAGGTGGGAGGATGGCTTGAGCTCAGGTGGTGGAGGTTACAGTGAGCCAAGATTGGGCCACTGCACTGCAGACTGGGCAATAGAATGAGACCCTTACTCCAAAAAAAAAAAAAAAAAAAAGGTCCATTCTCAGCTCTTCATTATTCATAGAGGAGTCCTTGTCTAAAGTTTTATTATTTAGTTACCAGCCTCCCAGTTGTACAGACACTGCACAGACACTCAGTCCTTCAGTCACTGCTGAAGAGCCAGCAGATGCCATGTCCAGCTTTCTCTCTCTCTAGGGTCTTGGCTCCTGAAATTCCTTGTTCTGTGGAAGCCTCTCTGATGCTTCCTAATAGTTTTTTTGTATTGATCCAGCTTTCCTGGTTGGTCTCAGCAAACAATTGGTCTGCCACAAGCTATTTAAGCCACAATCCAAACTGGAAGTTTCTGCTTCTCATTTTTGAGGTTGGCTTTCATTTCCTCATTGATTTAAAAATTCTAAAAAATACATGCTGTCCATGAGCCCTGGTGCTTCTTTTTAGGGAAAGCCAAAATTTAGTAGTAGCATTTTAAAAATCAATCAGATTTTTAAAATGAAATAGATGCTAAAAGTGATAAAGAACTACCAGGCACGGTGGCTCATGCCTGCAATCTTCCGGGTTCACTCCATTCTCCTGCCTCAGCCTCCTGAGTAGCTGGGACCACAGGCGCCTGCCACCACGCCCGGCTGATTTTTTGTATTTTTAGTAGAGACGGGGTTTCACTGTGTTAGCCACGATGGTCTCCATCTCCTGACCTCATGATCCGCCCGCCTCGGCCTCCCAGAGTGCTGGGATTACAGGCTGAGCCACCGCGCCCGGCCCCCTTGGCTTTCTTGACACTTGGTGTTATGGTCTGAATGTTTGTGTCTCCCCAAAATTCATATGTTGAAATCCTAACCTCCAAGGTGATAGTATTGGAGGTGGGGACTTTGGAAGGTGATTAGGTCATGAGGGTTCAACCAAATGAGTGAAATTAGTGCCCTTATAATAAAAGACCCCAGAAAGCTGGCTCATCCCTTCCACCATGTGAGGACACAGCAAGAAGGAGCCATATATAAACCAGAAAGTGGGCCTTTGCCAGACACCAAATCTGCCAGTGCCTTGATCTTGAACTTTCCAGCCTCCAAAACTGTGAGAAATAAATTGCAGCTGCTATTGGCCACCCAGTTTACAGTATTTTCTTATAATAGCCTGAATGGGCCGGGCCTGGTGGCTCATGCCTGTAATCCCAGCACTGTGGGAGGCCAAAGTGGGTGGATCACCTGAGGTCAGGAGTTCGAGACCAAGCCTGGCCAACATGGTGAAACCTCATCTCTACTAGAGATACAAAAATTAGCTGGGCGTGGAGGCATGCGCCTGTAGTCCCAGATACTGGGGAGGCTGAGGCGGAAGAATCACTTGAAGCCGGTAGGTGGAGGTTGCAGTGAGCCAAGATCGTGCCACTGCACTGCAGCCTGGGTGACAGAACGAGACTCCATCTCAGAAAAAAAATAATAATAGCCTGAATGGACTAAGACACTCACTTTTCCTATTTCTCTGGATATTCTTCTTTGTCTCTTTTGCCACTTCATCCTCTGCAAACAATACATTCAAAGTTGGACTTTTTTTTTATTATTATTTTTTTGAGACGGAGTCTTCCTCTGTCGACTCTGTCTCAAAAAATAAATAAATAAAAAAATATAATCTGATCCTTTCACCACATTGCTTTAGTGCCTTTAATGGCTCTTTCTGCTATTGGATAAGTTAAACTCTCACTTCACCCTGCGTGGTCTGACCACTAACTTCCTCTTACACAAGCCCAATATCTCCACCTGGCTAGCTATAAAATAGAATCTTAAACCCTAAGGACTGCTTTTCTCATTGGTTTCTTTCTTTCTTTTGAGACAGAGTCTCCCTCTGTCACCCAGGAGTGCAGTGGCGCAATTGAGAGGTGACAGCGTGCTGGCAGTCCTCACAGCCCTCGCTCGCTCTCAGCGCCTCCTCTGCCTAGGCTCCCACTTTGGCGGCACTTCAGGAGCCCTTCAGCCCACCGCTGCACTGTGGGAGCCCCTTTCTGGGTTGGCCAAGGCCGGAGCCGGCTCCCTCAGCTTGCAGGGAGGTGTGGAGGGAGAGGCGGGGCTGCGCGCGGCGCTTGCGGGCCAGCTGGAGTTCCGGGTGGGCGTGGGCTTGGCGGGCCCCGCACTCGGAGCAGCCGGCCGGCCCTGCCGGCCCCGGGCAATGAGGGGCTTAGCACCCGGGCCAGCGGCTGCAGAGGGTGTACTGGGTCCCCCAGCAGTGCCAGCCCACCGGCGCTGCACTTGATTTCTCACCGGGCCTTAGCTGCCTTCTCGCGGGGCAGGGCTCGGGACCTGCAGCCCGCCAAGCCTGAGCCTCCCACCTCTCCCCCGCCATGGGCTCCTGTGCGGCCGAGCCTCCCCGATGAGCGCCACCCCCTGCTCCAAGGCGCCCAGTCCCATCGACCACCCAAGGGCTGAGGAGTGCGGGCGCAAGGGCGCGGACTGGCAGGCAGCTCCACCTGCAGCCCCAGTGCAGTGATCCACTGGGTGAAGCCAGCTGGGCTCCTGAGTCTGGTGGGGCCGTGGAGAACCTTTATGTCTAGCTCAGGGATTGTAAATACACCAATAGGCACTCTGTATCTAGCTCAAGGTTTGTAAACACACCAATCAACACCCTGTGTCTAGCTCAGTTTGTGAATGCACCAATCGACACTCTGTATCTAGCTGCTCTGGTGGGGCCTTGGAGAACCTTTATGTGGATACTCTGTATCTAACTGATCTGACGGGGACGTGGAGAACCTTTATGTCTAGCTCAAGGTTTGTAAACGCACCAATCAGCGCACTGTCAAAACAGACCACTCGGCTCTACCAATCAGCAGGACGTGGGTGGGGCCAGATAAGAGAATAAAAGCAGGCTGCCCGAGCTAGCAGTTGCAACCGGTTGCGAGTTGCTTTCTGTGCTGTGCAAGCTTTGTTCTTTCGCTGTTTGGGTCCACGGTTCTTTTATGAGCTGTGATACCGCGGAAGTCTGTAGCTTCACTCCTGAAGCTAGCAAGACCACAAGCTCGCCGAGAGAAACGAGTAACTCTAGACGTGCCATCTTAAAAGCTGTAACACCGCGAGGGTACGTGGTTTCATTCTTGAAGTCAGTGAGACCAAGAACCTATCAATTCTGGACACACGATCTCGGCTCATTGCAATCTCTGCCTTTGGGTTCAAGTGATTCTCCTGCTTCAGCCTCCTGAGTAGCTAGGATTACAGGCTAGTGCCACCACACTAAGCTAATTTTTGTATTTTTAGCAGAGATGGGGTTTCATCATGTTGGGCAGCCTGGTCTTAAGCTCCTGACTTCAGGTGATCCACCTGCCACACACTTCCAAAGTGCTGGGATTACAGGTGTGAGCCACTGTGCCTGGCCTCTTACTGGTTTCTTTGCTTGATAATATGTTGCAAATATATAACATTATTCACATAGAAATCTTTTTCTGAAGGCGTAAATACTGACATATTGGGGAGGTTTCTTTTTCTTCTTGGTTTTTATTTTATCTTAGAGGTAGGGTCTTTGTCACTCAGGCTGGAGCACCGTGGCTTGATTATAGCTCACTGCAGCCCTGATCTCTAAGGCTCAGGTGATTCTCCCACCTCAGCCCCTCAAGTAGTTGGGACTACAGGTACATGCTACCATACCTGGCTAATTTTTGTTTGTTTGTTTGTTTGTTTTTTTTTTTTTGGTAGAGAGAAGGTCTCACTATGTTGCCCAGGCCTCAAGTAATCCTCCTGCCTTTGCCCCACAAAGTGCTGGGATTACAGGTGTGAGGCATTGTGGCCAGCCAATAAGTTTTAAGTGGAAGAGAGTGGTTGTCTTTTAATGTTATAGCTGGAGTGATTTGGTGATTTCCTGGCACACAGGTTTTTAAAAGCATGTACACAATAGGGTTTGTTTTCTTGCTACTACTGGAATCCTCCTGCCACAATGTACGTAAATCCAGGCTAATCCGCTAGAGGATGACCAAAGAGAGACGTGAATCAGCCAGCCCCACCCAGCCCACCAGCTTATTGCAGAGTGAGCTCAGCTGAGATGGAACCGATCCGATCCAATCCAAACCAGAATCACCCAGTGGTGTTCAGCCCAAATTGCTGACTCTCGGGAACTATGAACTAATTGAATAGCTGTGTATTTTAAGTTTTAAGTTAATTGATTATACAGCAAAACCTAACTGATGCCCTGTCCTGATTCCAAACACTGGGTACTCATGTTAAAAGAGCATCACCGGCCAGGCATGCTGGTTTACATCTGTAATCCTAGCACTTTGGGAGACCAAGGCAAGAGGATCACCTGAGCCCAGGTGTTCGAGATCAGCCTGGGAAATAACATAGCGAGACCCTGTCTCTACAAAAAAAATTTAAAAGATCCCCAGGTGTAATGACGTGTATCTATAGTCCCAGTTACTCGGGAGGCTGAGGTGGGAGGATCACTTGATCCCAGGAGGTCAAGGCTACAGTGAGTGAAGGTCGAGACACTGCACTTCAGTCTGGGCAACAGACTGATATCCTGTCTCAAAAACAAAAAATGGCCAGGCATTGTGGCTCACACCTGTAATCCCAGCACTTTGGGTGGCTGAGGTGGGCGGATCACCTGAGGTTGGGAGTTCAAGACCAGTCTGACCAACATGGAGAAACCCTGTCTCTACTAAAAATACAAAATTAGACAGTCGTGGTGGCGCATGCCTGTAGTCCCAGCTACTCGGGATGCTGAGGCAGGAGAATTGCTTAAACCCGGGAGGTGGAGGTTGCAGTGAGCCAAGATTTAGCCACTGCACTCACTCCAGCCTAGGTGACCAGAGAAAGACTCCATCTCAAAAAAAAAAAATATTTCTGTTTCTCACTCAGCCAGTTTCCATCTCAGCTGGGCCAGCTGCACTCCACCTGGTCCTCAAGCTAATAGATTTCACTTCCCTGAAGGCCCACAAAATCTTTTTTTTCTCTTTTTTTTTTCGTTGACACAGAATCTCACTCTGTCACCCAGGCTGGAGTGAAGTGGTACGATTACGGCTCACTGCAATCCCTGCCTCCCAAATTCCAGTGATTCTCGTGCCTCAGCCTCCTGAGTAGCCGAAATTACAGACGTGTGCCACCATGCTTGGCTAATTTTTTGGATTTTTAGTAGAGATGGGGTTTCACTATGTTGGCCAGGCTAGTCTTGAACTCCTGGCCTGAAGCAATCCGCCCACCTCAGCCTCCCAAAGTGCTGAGATTATAGGCACGAGCCACTACACCTGGCCACAAAATTCTTTAAAGAAGCCAATCCCATCCTCCCTCAAGAGCCAAGGGGCCACCTCACCCTCTTGTTACAGCAGATCCTGCCTCCCACAGTCACCCTGCTCCCAAGTGCAACCTCTGTCTGACCCTGCATGGTGTGCGGTGCCCTCCTGCCTCAGGCCGTGAGTACATGCAGCTGAACTGCTGTCAGTCTTATCTGTCCAGTGTCGGGTGTTGTGTGTCCAGCCACCCATAACCCTGGGTTGGGACTCCCTCCCTCACCAACCGGGGGAAGAAGTAGTGAGCAAACCATCTACCAATTCTTATCTAGATTTATCCTCTTCAGCTGTAGCTTTTGCAATACTCTGGTCATACTCAAAGCATTCTGCTGGGATGTCACCTGAGCTGGGCCTACATGCAATTCTGCTTTTCTTCTGAGAAAATAATTTGTCATTCTTTCTGCTTTTATAATTTGTTCTATTTTAAATTATTTTTCTCATTTTTGCCTTTGCTCCTTTCTTCTCAGCATTGTATACTCAAAGGAATACCCTCATACTCTACATTTTAATCCAAGACAGAGGAAAGCAACAGGGAGAACCCCTGAGGCAGGGGCAGAGGGAGGTTCAGGGAACTGTAAATGGGAGGTAGACAAGAGACCAAACAGGACTTTAAGTTGTTTCAGCAAGTATACAGCTTAGAAAGGATCTCATTGGTCTGGGTCCTAAAATATCTCAAAGGATGGCTGCTAACTCAAAACTTTTTTTTTTTTGAGACTGAGTCTTGCTCTGTCACCCAGGGTGGAGTGCAGTGGCACGATCTCGGCTCACTGTAAGCTCCGCCTCCCGGGTTCAAGCAATTTTCCTGCCTCAGCCTCCTGAGTAGCTGGGACTACAGGCATGCACCACCACACCTGGCTAATTTTTGTATTTTTAGTAGAAACGGGGTTTCACCATGTTGGCCAGGATGGTCTCGATCTCTTGACCTCGTGATCCGCCCACCTCAGCTTCCCAAAGTGCTGGGATTATAGGCATGAGCCACCGTGCCCAGCTCAAAACTTTTTTCTCACTACTCTACAATTAAATCTCAGTTGAACTCTGGGAAGATTCTGGAATACCTAGGTTCTTTCTTTCTCAGTGTCTATTTCACCAGTAGTTGTAACCATCCTTCAACCAAACATCTCCATTTGAGTAGCATAGGCTATAATGGATTTTCTCTATTTAAGATTACTCAGCAGTGGCCGGGCACGTGGTGGCTCACAACGGTAACCCCAGGACTTTGGGAGGCTGTATTAGTCCGTTTTCATACTGCTGATAAAGACATACCTGAGACTGGGCAATTTACAAATGAAAGAGGCTTTTTTTTTTTTTTTTTTGGAGATGGAGTTTTGCTCTTGTTGCCCAGGCTGGAGTGCAACGGCAGGAGGTCAGGAGTTCGAGACAAGCCTGGCCAGTATGATGAAACCCTGTCACTACTAAAAATACAAAAATTAGCTGGGCATGGTGGCACATGCCTGTAGTCCCAGCTGCTCGGGAGGCTGAGGCAGGAGAATCGCTTGAACCCGCGAGGCAGAGGTAGTAGTGAGCTGAGATTGCACCACTATACTCCAGCCTGGGTGGCAGAGTGAGACCCTGTCTAGAAAAAAAAAAAAAAAAAAAAAAAAAAGACAATCAGACCTGCAACCATGAACTGTTTTTCATGTATTTCTCGATTTCCTTGTTTGTGTTTCCTTATTTCTGAACATGATGTATGTTTTAAATTGAAAGCTTTAGCTCACTGCAGAGTCTCCTAAGTCACATCTCTTCCTTTGCAAGAGTAGGCGAAGAAGGATCTAAGGGCTTGGCTTGTTTGAAAGAACCACACCCCGAAAGTAACATCTTTGGAGAAAGTGATACAAGAGCTTCTGCACCCACCTGATAGAGGAAGTCCAAAGGGTGTGCGCACACACAATGGTGCCTGAAGAAGAGCCTCAAGACCGAGGTAAGCACTCATCTTCTCAGTTCTAGGGAAGGTAGTAGGAGCAGGATGGAGTGGGAAACAGGCATTGAGGTGATAGGGATGACTTTGGAAGAAGAAGTAGACAGCTTTTCATAAATAATAGTAATTTCAGTATGGAAACAGGTATGGACCCAAGATACTTGGATCAGGGAAAGATGAAAGAAAAAAAGAAAGGCCGGGCGGGCGCGGTGGCTCACGCCTGTAATCCAGCACTTTGGGAGGCCGAGGTGGGCAGAGCACCTGAGGTCAGGAGTTCGAGACCAGCCTGACCAACATGGAGAAACCCTGTCTCTACTAAAAATAGAAAATTAGCCAGGCGTGGTGGCACATGCCTGTAATCCCAGCTACTTGGGAGGCTGAGGCAGGAGAATCACTTGAACCTGGGAGGCGGAGGTTGCAGTGAGCCGAGATCGTGCCATTGCACTCCAGCCTGGGCAACAGGAGTGAAACTCCATCTCAAAAAAAAGAAAAAAAGAAAAACAACTCGGGCCTAGAAGGCCTTAAAGGAATATGAATTTGGCCAGGCATGCAGGCAAATGCCTAAAGTCCCAGCTACTCAGAGGTTGAGGCAGGAGGACCACTTAAGCCTGGAAGTTTGAGGCCAAGGCTGTGCAATTCAAGGGAAAAGAGAGTAAGGAATTGGAAAGTACAGTTTACTCTGAGAGTTTTGCCTGGATTTGTCTTGGGTTCCAGGGTACTATCTGGTCATTTGTTCTGAGATAATTTCTATAATCTCTTTTTGCTTTCACATTTTTTCTGTTTTAATTAGTTTTGATCATAGCCTGACTTTATTATTCTAAGATTTTTGGGACTCTGGTTTCCTGGCTCTTTGGCAGTGGGGATTATGACTGTGCATTTGTCATGCTGATCTGACAGAGAAAGGACTCTGGTGGTTCCAGTTGAAGGTCTGGTCCATGGCAGTCGTATCCATCTTGCTCCTCAGTGTCTGTTTCACTGTGAGTTCTGTGGGTAAGTTCTTGGCTGGAGTGCAGTCATCTCTTGGTCCTTTTCCCAATCACATTTTATCAATTTCCTGAAGAAACACGTTCCTCTTTCTTTTTTTTTCTTTTTTTTTTTTTTTTTTTTGAGACGGAATCTCGCTCTGTCGCCCAGGATGGAGTGCAGTGGCGTGATCTCGGCTCACTGCAAGCTCACCTCCCGGGTTCATGCCATTCGCCTGCCTCAGCCTCCCGAGTAGCTGGGACTACAGGTGCCCGCCACCATGCCTGGCTAATTTTTTGTATTTTTAGTAGAGACGGGTTTTCACTGTGTTAGCCAGGGTGGTTTCGATCTCCTGACCTCGTGATCCGCCCACCTTGGCCTCCCAAAGTGCTGGGATTACAGGTGTGAGCCACCGCGCCCGGCCACGTTCCCCTTTCTTGACATAAAATGGCAACCCTAACTGAGAAGGCTATGTTTCTAATAAAATGAGTTATTACTATTATTAATTATTCTGGATAATTGTGTGTACTTCCAGGTTTCTTTGCCTGGTTTTAGTTGCATTTTTCAAATGTGATCATAACTGTCTTGGTCAGCTTGGGCTGCCATAACAAAATACCATAGACTGGGCCAGGCGTGGTAGCTCATGCCTGTAATCCCAGCACTTCGGGAGGCCAAGGCAGGCAGATCACCTGAGGTCAGGAGTTCAAGACCAGCTTGGACCATATAGTGAAACCCTGTCTCTACTAAAAATACAAAAATTAGCTGGGTGCAGTGACTCGCGCCTGTAATCCCAGCTACTTGGGAGGCTGAGGCAGGAGACTCAGTTGAACCCAGGAGGCAGAGGTTGCAGTGAGCCGAGATCACGCCACTGCACTCCAGCCTGGGTGACAGAGTGAGACTCTGTCTCAAAAAAAAAAAAAAAAAAAAAAAAAAGCATAGACTGAGTGAGTTAAAAAACAGATATTTATTTTCTGATGGTTCTGGAGGCTGGAAGTCTGACATGAGGATGTCAGGATGGTTGGGTATGGTGAGGTCCCTCTTCCTGGCTTACAGCTGATGCCCTCTTGCTGTGTCCTCACATGATGGAGGGAGTGCTAGCTCGTCACGGTTTCTTCTTATAAGAGCATTCATCTCACCATGAGAGCCCCCCCTCATAACCTCATCTAAACCTGATTTCCTCCCAAAGCCCCTATCTTCAAATACCACAAATTGGAGCTTGGGACTTCCATATATGAACTTGGGGAGGACGCAATTCATTCTATAACAATAACTCCACTTTGATGGGTGTGCTGATGGTGGGTACCATCTAGTTGATCTGCTCCTTTGTTTTAAAAAAGTCTCTATTGGGAACATAACTATTATTCTTTCTATGATGCTATAATTGTATTACTGTGGGGTTTTAATCTTCATGTGAGATTCTTCCCAACATGACAGGAAAAATTGTTCATATGGCCAGGCAGTGGCTCACACCTGTGAGCACTTTGGGAGGCTCAGGTGGGAGGATCGCTTGAGGACAGGAGTTCAAGACCAGCCTGGGCAACAGAATGAGACCCTGTCTCCATAAAAAATAAAAAATATAACTTGGCATGGTGGCATGTGCCTGTGGTCCCAGCTACTCAGGAGGTTGAGGCAGGAGGATCGCTTGAGCCCAGGAAGTTGAGGCTGCAGTGAGCCATAATCGTACCACTGCAATCCAGCCTGGGCGACAGAGAGACCCTGTCTCAAAAAATAAAAATAAAAATAAATGTTTATACAGTGATACAATGGAAAAATAAACAAAGTAAACTATTATTTAATTGCTACTCCCTTTGCCAAGTTTTATATTTTTGTGACACCTGAGAAATTTCCCAACTCTCTTGTTTACTATTTGGGTGTCAAAATGTGCTCTATTATCTAATATTATGATTAGAAACAGAAATGAAACATCTGTGAGGAAGTTACTGAATACGATGACTTCCTATGTCAAGTAAAAATGTGTTGATGATACAGTCTTCAGTTTCTTTCTAGTTGTAAATACATCTCACAGTTTTCAATGTAACCCCAAGAGGCAGAATTATTACTAAAGTTAAACTTTGCTTTGCTTTTTATAACAAAGGGCAAGAGACAAAAGGGCTTAAAGATGTGATATGGTTGGGATAGTTGTCCCTTCCAAGTCTCATGTTGAAAATTTGAAATTTGGAAGGGACAACTATCACTTGAAATTTGAAATCCCCACTGTTGGAGGTGGGGCATGGCAGGAGGTTTTGAGTGATGCAGATGGATCCCTCATGAATGGCTTGGCACCCTCCTCGAAGGAATAAGTGAGTTCTTGCTCTGAGTTGGGGTGAGATCAGCCCCTCCCCCTCACTCTCTCTTGCACCCTCTCTTGCCATGTGATATGCCAGCTCCCGCTTTGCCTTCCACTATGACTGAAAGCTTCCTGAGGCCTCACCAGAAGGTGAGCAGATGCTGGCACCATACTTACTGTACAGTCTGCAGAACTGTGAGCCAGTAAAATGTCTTTTCTTTATAAATACCAAGTCTCAGGTATTCCTTTATAGCAATGCAAAAACGGACTAATACAAGATGGTTATTTAATTATCTGAGAGGAAAGAAGACATGCAAGAACTTAAAGACATAAATTCAGAGAAAATAGAAGAGTTTGACTAGGTTTAGTCTCAAAATCAGAATGATGAAATACATGAATAAAGAATTAAGGCCGGGCGTGGTGGCTCACTTTGGGAGGCCGAGGCGGACGGATCACGAGGTCAGGAGATCGAGACCATGGTGAAACCCTGTCTCTACTAAAAAAAAAATACAAAAAAAATTAGCCGGGCGCGGTGGCGGGCGCCTGTAGTGCCAGCTACTCAGGAGGCTGAGGCAGGAGAATGGCATGAACCCAGGAGGCGGAGCTTGCAGTGAGCCAAGATCGCGCCACTGCACTCCAGCCTGGGCGACAGAGCAAGACTCCATCTCAAAAAAAGAAAAAAAAAAAAAAAGAATTAAGTGAGGATAAGTGAAAAGTCAGATCTTGCTCTATGTGCCTGCCAGTGAACAAAAGAGACCGTTTTTAGCAAAAGATGTCTAAATGTCTCCAAAGGGTTAGGTTTTACCTTATATTTAATTTGACCCAAATGGTTTACTTACAGTTACAGCCATCAGAAAACTATGGAAAAACCAAAAGACCTGTGATATTTCAGGATTAATAGAATTAGATGCTGTTACCTAGTAAGTCAACAAATGCTTACTGAACACCTACTATGAGCAGGCCACTTTTCTAGGTGCTGGGTATATAGCGTGAATACAATGAAATTCCTTCACTAGACTGTATGTTATTGTAGGGGGAAATCAAGATATATACGTATGTAAACTTATAAACAAACAAGATAAATGAATATAAGATAGGGTTAAGAACATATTTTTTACTGGACCTGCACAGAAAGAAGCATGAGAAAAAAACAGTACGGCTTGAAATGGGATGGGCAAGAGAGAGATGTTGCAGACTTTGTAAGAGCATAACGTTTATTTATTTATTTATTTATTTATTTATTTATTTATTTATTTATTTTTGAGATGGAGTCTCGTTCTGTTGCCAGGCTGGAGTGCAGTGGTGCGATCTCGGCTCACTGCAACCTTCGCCTCCCAGGTCGAAGTGATTCTCCTGCCTCAGCCTCCTGAGTAGCTGGGATTAATAGACACGTGTCACCACGCCTGGCTAATTTTTGTATTTTTAGTAGAGATGGGGTTTCACCATGTCGGTCAGGCTGGTCTCAAACTCCTGACCTCATGATCCACCCACCTCGGCCTCCCAAAGTGCTGGGGATTACAAGCATGAGCCACTGTGCCCAGGCTTTTTTTTTTTTTTTTCGAGACAAAGTCTGGCTCTATTGCCCAGGCTAGAGTGCAATGGCACGGTCTCTGCTCACTGCAACCTCCACCTCCCAGGTTCAAGTGATTCTCCTGCCTCAGCCTCCTGTAGCTGGGATTACAGGCATGTGCCACCATGCCCACCTAATTTTTGTATTTTTAGTAGAAACAGGGTTTCACCATGTTGGCTGGGCTGGGCTTGAACTCCTGACCTCAGGTGATCCACCCGCCTTGGCCTCCCAAAGTACTGGGATTACAGGTGTGAGCCACCATGCCCAGCCGTAAAGTCATAAGATTCTTTATTTTTATTTATTTATTTATTTATTTTTTTGAGATGGAGTTGCACTCTTGTCACCCAGGCTGGAGTGCAATGGCACGATCTCGGCTCACTGCAACCTCTGTCTTCCAAGTTCAAGTGATTTTCCTGCCTCAGCCTCTTGAGTAACTGGAATTACAGGCGCCTGCCACCACCCTTGGCTAATTGTTTTTTTGAGACACAGTCTTGCTCTGTCGTCCAGGCTGGAGTGCAATGGCGCGGTCTCGGCTCACTGCAACCTCTGCTTCCTGGGTTCTAGCAATTCTCTTGCCTCAGCCTCCCAAGTAGCTCGGATTATAGGTGCCCGCCACCACACCCAGCTAATTTTTGTATTTTTAGTAGAGACGGGGTTTCACCATGTTGGTCAAACTCCTGACCTCAAGTGATCCAACCAGCCTCGGCCTCCCAAAGCGCTGGGATTACAGGTGTGAGCCACTGTGCCTGGCCACCTGGATAATTTTTATATTTTTGGTGGAGACGGGGTTTCACCATGTTAGCCAGGCTGGTCTCTAACTCCCGACCTCAAATGGTCCTCCCACCTCGGCCTCCTAAAGTGCTGAGATTACAGGCGTGAGTCACTGTGCCTGTCCACAGCATAAGATTGTATAGTACAACATAGATCCACTTAAAAGAATGAGAACTAACTCCGATTTCTCTTTCCCAGTGCCTCACAATTTTATGTATAGCAAAACTGTCAAGAGGCTGTCCAAGTTACGAGAGTATCAACAGTATCATCCAAGCCTGACCTGCGTCATGGAAGGAAAGGACATAGAAGGTACAACTCTGCAATGGGCAACAAGACTTCCCTTGCTATTAATCAAATTCCTAGTCTGATGGTTTATATCTTCAGCACTAAAATTATCAACTGCAGCCTGGTTTTTCCTACTGCATTCTTTAACTATCTACTTGGTATCTTAAATAGACACCTCAGGCTGGGCCCAATGGCTCACACCTGTAATCCCAACACTTTGGGAGGCCGAGGTGGGTGGATTACCTGAGGGTCTGGAGTTTGAGACCAGCCTGACCAACATGCGGAGAAACCGCATCTCTACTAAAAATGCAAAAAAAGTCCGGGCGCGGTGGCTCAAGCCTGTAATCCCAGCGCTTTGGGAGGCCGAGGCGGGCGGATCACGAGGTCAGGAGATCGAGACCACGGTGAAACCCTGTCCCTACTAAAAATACAAAAAATTAGCTGGGTGCAGTGGCAGGCGCCTGTAGTCCCAGCTACTCGGGAGGCTGAGGCAGGAGAATGGTGTAAACCCAGAAGGTGGAGCTTGCAGTGAGCCGAGATCGCGCCACTGCACTCCAGCCTGGGTGACAGAGCGAGACTCCGTCTCAAAAAAAAAAATAGACACCTCAAAATTAAAGTATCAAACAGGGGTCCTCAGAACTGTCTCACTTCCTCCTGCTCCCATCAATATTAAAGCCTAAAACTCAAGAATCATTCTTAGCAGTTTTTTTCTCTTTTTTCTTTCTTTTCTTTTTTTTCTTTTTTGAGACGGAGTCTCACTCTGTCGCCCAGGCTGGAGTGCAGTGGCGCGATCTCGGCTCACTGCAACCTCTGCCTCCCAGGTTCAAGCAGTTCTCCTGCCTCGGCCTCCCAAGTAACTGGGACTACAGGCACACGCTGCCAGGCCCGGCTAATTTTTTTGTATTTTAGTAGAGACGGGGTTTCACCTTGTTGTCCAGGCTGGTCGTGAACTCCTGAGCTCAGGCAATCCTCCCGCATCGGCCTCCCAAAGTGCTGGGATTACAGGCGTGAGCCACCGTGCCTGGCCAGCAGTTTTTCTTTGCTTATCATCTTCACCCCTGCATCCAATTAATCACTAAGTTCAACAGTAAATATATCCCTCTCCCTATACAGTTCTGGATTAACTGAAAAATAAATATACACAGGATTCAGATAAGAATAAAATTATGCCTGGCATAGTGGCTCACATCTGTAATCCCAGTGCTTTGGGAGGCTGAGGAGGGGTAATCACCTAAGCACGGGAGCTTGAAACCAGCCTGGGAAACAAGATGGGACCTCAACTCTACAAAATACTTAAAAATAAATCACCCAAGCGCAGCACGGTGGCTCATGCCTGTAATCCCAGCACTTTGGGAGGCCGACGCGGGTGGATCACCTGGGGTCAGGAGTTCGACACCAGCCTAACCAACATGGAGAAACCCTGTCTCTATTAAAAATACAAAATTACCCGGGCGTGGTGTCGCATGCCTGTAATCCCAGCAACTCGGGAGGCTGAGGCAGGAGAATCACTTGAACCTGGGAGGTGGAGGTTGTGGTGAGCTGAGATTGTCCCAGCCTGGACAATAAGAGTGAAACTCCATCTCAAAAAAAAAAAAAAATTACCGAGCTATGGTGGCATGTGCCTATAGTCCTAGCTACTTTGGAGGCTGAGGTGGGAGGATCAGTTGAGCTCCGGAGGTTGAGGCTACAGTAAGCAGCAATTACACTGCTGCACTCCAGCCCGGGTGACAAAGTGAGACCCTGTCTAAAAAAAAGATAATAAATAAAATAAAATTATCAGCTTTATTGATGGTAAAATCAAACCATGAAATATGGCCTAGAGTGAGGCCAAACTGTTGCTCCCTAGTCCAGGCCTACTCACCTCCTCAGGGATAATTGGTCGGCTGTGTCCAGGATCAGGGACTGCCTACAGCGTCGTATGCAGAGCCGGAGGGAGACAAGTTCCACCCCAGAAATGCCTCTATGGCCTTAATCCTTTGCAGGAAGGAAATATGGACCCAAAGGGCATCAAACAATTATTTCAAGAATGAAACAGGCCAGGCGCGGTGGCTCACCCCTGTAATCCCAGCACTTTGGGAGGCCGAGGCGGGCGGATCACGAGGTCAAGAGATTGAGACTATCCTGGCCAACATGGTGAAACCCCGTCTCTATTAAAAATATAAAAAGTAGCTGGGCGTGGTGGCGGGCACCTGTAGTCCCAGCTACTCCGGAGGCTGAGGCAGGAGAATTGCTTGAACCCGGGAGGCGAAGGTTGCAGTGAGCCGAGATCACACCACTGCACTCCAGCCTGGGCGACAGAGCGAGATGCCATCTCAAAAAAAAAGAATGAAATAATTCATTCTTTACTTATAGGGAAAAACTGTGAGAGGTAAAAAGATGACAAGAGTTTCTTTTTCAAAACTACTGGTGGGAATCGAACAATGAGAACACTTGGACACAGGGTGGGGAACATCACACACTGGGGCCTGTTGTGGGGTGGGGAGGGGGGAGGGATAGCATTAGGAGATATACCTAACATAAATGACGAGTTAATGGGTGCAGCACACCAAAGTGGCACATGTATACATATGTAACCTGCACGTTGTGCACATGTACCCTAGAACTTAAAGTATAATTAAAAACAAAACAAAACTATCATAGGAGGCCAGGCTCAGTGGCTCATGCCTGTAATTCCAGCACTTCAGGGCAGCTGAGGCCAGTGGATCACTTGATCCCAGGAGTTCCAGATCAGCCTGGGCAACGAAGCAAGACTCTGTCTCTACAAATAATACAAAAAAAATTAGCTGGGTGTGGTGGCGTGCCCCTGTGGTTCCAGCTACTTGGGAGGCTGAGGTGGGAGGATCACTTGAATCCAGGTCAAGGCTGCAGTGAGCCATGGTTATGCCACTGCACTCCAGCTTAGATGACAAAGCATGATCCTGTCTCTAAAAAAATTTTTAAATATTTATTTTGGTATAATGTATGTCAAAATATAAAGAAAAACATTTTGATATGGTCTACATTGTCACTGTTTGTTAGAGGGAATGTATATAATCTCGTTTGTGCTGACAGTGGAAGAAACTGGTGCTTCGAAGGAGGAGAGATGGATATTTTTCAGCACGTACTGCTCTTAAGTGTTTTGCATGTATTATGTCACCTCAACCTCTCAACATTCTGAGTGAGAAATATTCCCATTTACAAACGAAAAGAAAAATATTTAAGGCTTAGAGTGGTTATATAATTTTCCCAAAATTACAGCACAGAAAATGAGGTTGCAACCCAGATATGTCTTACTCTGGACTCATTCTTTATAATGGGATGCTAAACTCTAAATGATATTTATATCTATAATTATTAGTGACAAATATAACATTGCGAAGCTTATTTTTGCTAAAGATGTGGACATGGTTCATATATGACCACCAATGAATGATGAGAACCTGAAGTTAAAGTATTTGTCTTTCAGATCATTTTTGTGGGTTTAAAGCAGGGCCTGGAAAACTAAGGCATGGGCCAAACTCAACAAGCTGCCTAGTTTTGTAAATGGCATTTTATTGCCATACTCATGTTCTTTTTTTTTTCTTTGGTAACATATTGCCAGTGGTTGCTTTCGTACTGCAGTAGCAGAGTTAAGCAGTTGCAACAGAAACCGTATGGCCCAAAAAGCCTGAGATATTTACTATCTGGCCTTTTGCAGGAAGTTTGCTGGTCCCTGTATAGAGTGAAATGATCTAGGGATTAGTAAATACACCAGTAAATGAGTTCAGCTTTGGAAAATCCGTGGAGATCCATAGGTGAAAACTAATTAAACCTTAGCAAGCTAAGCTTATAACTTTATGTGAGGAGAATTCTCTGTTAATATTTTTTCTTCTTCTATACTCATTTGGGAAGATTGGAGCTGCTGCCCAACCCCTTGGACTTCATTTCAGTCTAGTTGCTACTTTATTTCTACTGGGATGCAATCTTGGACTAAGAGTCAAAAGAACTGTTCTGTGATGGGGGCTGATCTGGTGGTGATCAACACCAGGGAAGAACAGGTATGTTCTAACAGGCAAGGTGGTCAGCTAATCTGTTTCCTTTCTTAACTGATAAAGAGTCTTTTTATTGCCCTGAAAGTTCAAAGACAGGAAAAAAAAAAAAACTTCTGGGTAAAAAAAAACCCAAAAAACAAAAAACACAGGAAAATCTCCTTAATCTGGAACACTCAAAAATGACTTTTATTTTTATTTTTTTTGGGGGGACTGTCTCCTTTTGTCACCCAAGCTGGAGTGTAATGGCACGATCTCAGCTCCCTGCAGCCTCCGCCTCCCGGGGTCAAGTGATTCTCCTGCCTCAGCCTCCCAAGTAGCTGGGAGGATAGGCATGTACCGCCACGCCTGGCTAATTTTTGTATTTTTAGAAGAGACGAGGTTTCACCATGTTAGTCAGGCTGATCTTGAACTACTGACCTCAAATGATCCACCTGCCTCGGCCTCTCAAAGTGTTGGGATTATAGGCGTGAGCCACCATGTGTGGCCAACAATAACTTTATTTTTTATTTTTATTTATTTATTTATTTATTTTGAGACGGAGTCTTGCTCTGTTGCCCAGGCTGGAGTGCAGTGGCACAATCTCAGCTCACTGCAAGCTCAGCCTCCCGGGTTCACACCATTCTCCTGCCTCCCAAGTAGCTGGGACTACAGGCACCTGCCACCACGCCCGGCTAATTTTTTTGTATTTTTAGTAGAGATGGGGTTTCACTGTGTTAGCCAGGATGGTCTGGATCTCCTGACCTCGTGATCTGCCCGTCTCGGCCTCCCAAAGTGCTGGGATTACAGGTGTGAGCCACCACGTCTGGCTAACAATAACTTTAATAAAACAAATTCCGGAGCAAACTTCAGGCAAACATTGATGTTGAAATTTGATCCTGAAGAATTTTAATTTTAAAAATATAAGAAAAAAAATTCAGGCAAATAAAATAGTGAATTTGAAAAATGGAAAAATGATATTAATATTTGCCATCTAAGAAATGTCAACCAATTAAACATTAGTCCTTCATACTGTATCCTCTGCATTTCTTACCTTCTTTTCAACATTTTCCATCTATTTTTCTCTTTGTACTTGATTTTAAACAGTTTCTTCTGTCCTTCTATTCCAGTTCACTAATCTTCTTTTTGTTTTTGAGACAGAGTCTCACTCTGTTGCCCAGGCTGGAGTGCAATGGCGCCCAGGCTGGAGTGCAATGGCACGGTCTTGGCTCACTGCAACCTCCGCCTCCCAGGTTCAAGCGATTCTCCTGCCTCAGCTTCCCGAGTAACTGGGACTCCAGGTGCGTGCCACCACACCCAGCTAATTTTTGTATTTTTAGTAGAGACGGGGGTTTCACCATGTTGGCCAGGCTGGTCTTGAACTCCTGACCTCGTGATCCACCCACCTCGGCCTCCCAAAGTTCTGGGATTACAGGCGTGAGCCACCACACCTGGCCCTCCCACTTGACTAATCTTCTTCAACTATGTCTATCCTGCTATTAAAGCCATATATTAACATCTAAATTCAATTATTGTATTTTTCAAATCTAGAATTGATCTTGCTTCTCTTTCAAATATGCTGTCAAACTTTATAATGTTCAACACTTAAGCTTGTTTTTTTGCTGTTACTGGTTTTTGCTTTTTTTTTCTTTTTTTTGAGATGGAGTCTTGCTCTGTCGCCAGGCTGGAGTGCAGTGGCTCGATCTCAGCTCACTGCAACCTCCACCTCCTGCGTTCAAGCGATTCTCCTCTCTGTCTCCCGAGTAGCTGGGATTACAGGCGACCACCACCACACCTGGCTAATTTTTGTATTTTTAGTAGAGACGGGGTTTCACCATATTGGCCAGGCTAGTCTCAAACTCCTGACCTCGTGATCTGCCTGCCTCGGTCTCCCAAAGTGCTGGGATTACAGGCGTGAGCCACCGTGCCTGGCCGTTTTTTTTTTTTTTTTTCTTTGAGACAGAGTCTTGTTCTATCGCCCAGGCTGGAGTGCAGTGGCAAGATCTCTGCTTACTGCAACCTCTGCTTCCTGGGTTCAAGCGATTCTCCTGTCTCAGCCTCCTGAATAGCTGGGATTACAGGCGCCTGCAACCACGCCCAGCTAATTTTTGTATTTTTAGTAAAGATGAGGTTTTACCATGTTGGCCAGGCTAGTCTCGAACTCCTGACCTCAGGTGATCTACCTGCCCCAGCCTCCCAAATTGCTGGGATTACAGGTGTGGGCCACTGTGCCCAGATCTTCTTTTTTTATTTTTTTGAGACAGAGTCTCTCTCTGTCACCCCAGGCTGGAGTGCAGTGGTGTGATCTCGGCTCACTGCAACCTCTGACTTCTGTGTTCAAGTGATTCTTCTGACTCAGCCTCCTGACCAGCTGGGATTACAGGTGCATGCCACCGCTCCTGGCTAATTTTTGTATTTTTAGTAGAGACAGGGTTACACCATGTTGTCCAGGCTAGTCTCAAACTCCTGGCCTCAAGTGATCAGCCTGCCTCGGTCTCCCAAAGTGCTGGGGTTATAGGCCTGAGACACCATGCCTGGCCTATGGAATGTTTCAAATTATCCTTGTGTGATGGATGTTGTACTTGAAAAATTATTTATAAAAATAATTGGAGGCCAGGCACGGTGGCTCATGCTTGTAATCCTAGCACTTTGGGAGGCTGAGGCGGGTGGATCACCTCAGGTCAGGAGTTTGAGACCAGCCTGGCCAACATGGCGAAACCCTTCTCTACTAAAAATACAAAAATTAGCTCGGCATGGTGGCACATGCCTGTAATCACAGTTACTCGGGAGGCTGAGGCAGGAGAATCACTTGAACCCAGGGGGCAGAGGTTGCAGTGAGCCAAGATCATGCCACTTCGTTCCAGTCTGGGTGAAAAAGCAAAACTGTCTCAAAAAAAAAAAAAAAATTGGAGGCCTCAGATATTATTCTCTTCCAAAGAGTATTTTCATTTGCTTTTGCCACATGCCTTGGCACAAGTCCTACAGTACATTATGGCAATTTCAGGGCTTGAAATTTCTACAATATCCAAATGATTCAAAGCCAGATCATAATCTATATGAGGTCTGATTTACTGCCTATTTACCCTTACCTCTTTCTTGGCTCTGGACTCTAATTTTTGCCTAACCGTACAAAGTTTTCAAAAGTGCTGTTCATCCTGTCTCCCCAGCCATGTTGTAAACTTTTATTTGTTTTGACTTCTTATGCCACATTTAGCACAGGGTCTGGGCAGACAATAGACTGCTTGAATGTTCAATGAATGAATGAATAGATAAATTGATATGGCGGAGAGGGAGGGAAGCACACAAACCACTAACAATGTCTCGTATATGTTCATGTACATTCAAAATAATCTGAAAACCTATGTCAAAATATCTTTTCTTGTTTGTACAACATTATTTGAGGCCTGGCGACGTGTTTCATGCCTGTAGTCCCGGATACTTGGGTGGCTGAGGCAGAAGAATTGCTTGAATCTGGGAGGTAGAGGTTGCAGTGAGCCGAGATCATACCACTGCACTCCAGCCTGGGTGAGAGAGCAAGACTCCATCTCAAAAAGAAACAAGTAAAACAAAACAAAATATATGACGGCTGGGTGTGGTGGCTCACGCCTGTAATCTCAGCATGTTGGGAGGCGAAGGTGGGCAGATCACTTGAGGCCAGGAGTTCAAGACCAGCTTGGGGGCCAGGTGCGGTGGCTCACGCCTGTAATCCCAGCACTTTGGGAGGCTGAGGCAGCTGGATCACAAGGTCAGGAGATTGAGACCATCCTGGCTAATATGGTGAAACCCCGTCTCTACTAAAAATACAAAAAATTAGCAGGGCATGGTGGCGGGAGCCTGTAGTTCCAGCTACTCGGGAGGCTGAGGCAGGAGAATGGCGTGAACCCAGGAGGCGGAGCTTGCAGTGAGCCAAGATCTCGCCACTGCACTCTAGCCTGGGCGACAGAGCAAGACTCAGTCTCAAAAAAAAAAAAAAAAAAGACCAGCTTGGTCAACATGGTGAAACTCCATCTCTACTAAAAATACAAAAATTAGCCAGGTGTGGTGGCATACACCTGTAGTCCCAGTTACTCAGGAGGCTGAGGCATGAGAATTGCTTGAACCCAGAAAGCAAAGGTTGCCCTGAGCCGAGATCACACCATTGCACTCCAGCCTTGGCAACAGACCAAGACTCCACCTCCAAAAAAAAAAAAAAATTTGGCTTTCTAAAATTTGATTATAGACCTCTATCTTTCTTGTAACACAGAACATGTACTGGTTAAGAATACTGGCTCTAGAGTTAGATCTCTGTTATTTATTAGTTGTGTGACGTTTGACAACTTTATCTTTCTAAATCTGTTTCCTGAGACTTAGTAAAATGGAGACAGCCACACTATCTTCCTCACAGTAGTAGTTGTAAAATTTACGTGAAGTAACTTATGCAAACTCATGGCATAATACTTGGCATATAGTAGACAATGACTAATTTTAACTACTACTATTATAAATATCTTTATTTTATTTTTTGAGACAGAATGTTGCTCTGTCCCTCTGTCGCCGAGACTGGAGTGCAGTGGCGCGATCTCCGCTCACTGCAGCTCCGCCTCCTGGGTTCATGCCATTCTCCTGCCTCAGCCTCCTGAGTAGCTGCCTGCCACCATGCCCGGCTAATTTTTTGTATTTTGGTAGAGACGGGGTTTCACCATGTTAGCCAGTATGGTCTTGATCTCCTGACCTCGTGATCCGCCATCCTCAGCCTCCCAAAATGCTTGGATTATAGGCGTGAACCACCACACCTGGCCATAAATATCTTTATTTTAAAGTGACCTGTGGTCGGGCACGGTGGCTCACGCCTGTAATCCCAGCACTTTGGAAGGCCGAGGAGGGTGGATCACAAGGTCAGGAGATCGAGACCATCCTGGCCAACATGGTGAAACCCCATCTCTACTAAAAATACAAAAAAATTAGCTGGGCATGGTGGCTCGTGCGTGTAATCCCAGCTACTCTGGAGCCTGAGGCAGAAGAACCGCTTGAACCAGGGATTTGGAGGTTGCAGTGAGCCGAGATCACACCACTGCACTCCAGCCTGGCGACAGAGTGAGACTCCATCTCAAAAAAATAAATAAAAAAAATAAAAAAATAAAGTGACCTGTGGCTGGACATCATGGCTCACGCCTGTAATCCCAGCACTTTGGGAGGCCTAGGCAGGCAAATCAACTGAGGTCACGAGTTTGAGACCAGCCTGGCCAACATGGTGAAACCCCGTCTCTACTAAAAATACAAAAATTAACCAGGCATGATGTTGCATGCCTGTTATCCCAGCTACTTAGGAGGCTGCGGCAGGATACTCACTTGAACCCGGGAGGCAGAGGTTGCAGTGACCCGAGATCGTGCCACTGCACTCCAGCCTGGGTAACAGAGTAAGACTCTGTCTAAAAAAAGAAAGAAAAAAAAGTGACCTGAAGCATTTGGAGTGTTCATGCAAAGTTGTTTTTTATTTTTGGGCAGGGGGTGGGTTTGCATTTTTTGGACACAGAGTCTCATTCTGTCACCCATGCTAGAGTGCAATAACGTGAGCTCGGCTCACTGCAGCTTCTACTTCCCAGGTTCAGGCGATTCTCATGCCTCAGCCACTCGAGTAGTTGAGATTACAGACTCCCTTTACAAGAAGAATATATTAGGAGTGAGGGAGAATTTCCTCACTACATGCAGAGTCTTGAAGAATGCTGTCACTTAGCAAAGAAATAGGAAAGCAAGTGTGACATGAGGATTTATGATGGCCATGGCTAGAGCGTGCTCCTGTACGTGCCAAACATCATGCTCACAAGTGATGTCTTTGATCCAGCCCTGCTCAGCCAGAGGCCTCTGCTGCTGGACAGGGGCCCTTTGTGGCTACTCCTGGGTCTTCTCCTTTTATTCTTTTCTTCCTATGGCGGTAAGAACTCAGTTCAACTTGAGTCCCCTAAAGGCTATTGTAAGAATTAAAGAAAGAGGAAAGAAATACGAAAGGTGGCTTGCCAGTCTATTTTAGAGAATTATTTTAGAGAAAATAAACCTGAGAGGAGCTTCTGGCTGAGTTAGATCAGAGGCCCACTCTCTTACAGACCAAGAGTTTTTAAGGATTCAGGGTGGGAGAGTTTATCAGAGGCTTGGACTGCTTCTGTGTCTCTTTGTTGTGCTTATCTGGGAGGGAGAGTTGTATGTCTGTTCCCATACATCTTTGTGCAGCTGCAGGCATATCCCCCCAGTCTGCCTTTAGCTTTCCTATCTTAGTGCACCTGAAGGGAAAGGAATGTGCTTATTAAGGCCCACTGTTTTACTGGGGTCCATTGTATGAGGGTGAAGTTTGGCAGTTACCCAAGAGACTTTTCCTCCACCTCCCTATGTGCCTGAGCTGTCTTATCTGTGTTTTGCTGTCTGCTCTTTCTGTCTGCTTGTAGTTAGAAGAGAAGTGATTTCCTTGAAATGCATGAGGCTAGAAAGGGAGCTGGAACTTAAAGTGGCGGTGTTCGTCCCAGATGAGGGTGCTCCTGCTCTATCAGCTATGACTCTTCCATTTTCTTCCCTCAGGATTTCATCATTCAGAATCTGAAAAGAAATTCTTCTTATTTTCTGGGGCTGTCAGATCCAGGGGGTCGGCGACATTGGCAATGGGTTGACCAGACACCATACAATGAAAATGTCACGTGAGTATAGAATGAGGTAAAGGACACTGGGTCCTGATCATGTAGGGGTTTAGGGTGTTCCATCAGCTATTAAGCAAACAAACAATAAAACCCACAACACTTTTTAAAACCTAGGTCTATTTGACATCAAGGGTTGTGCTTTTTTTTTTTTTTTTTTAGACAAGAGTCTCACTCCATCACCCAGGCTAGAGTGCAGTGGTATGATCTTGGCTCACTGCAACCTCTGCCTCCTGGGTTCAAGTGATTCTCCTGCCTCAGTCTCCTGAGTAGCTGGGATTACAGGCATGTGCCACCACACGCAGCTAATTTTTGTAATTTTAGTAGAGATGGGTTTCACCATGTTGGCCAGGCTGGTCTCAAACTCCTGACCTCAAGTGATCCACCTGCCTTGGCCTCCCAAAGTGCTGAGATTACAGGTGTGAGCCACCATCCCCGGCCATTTATGTATTTCTTTACAAATTTTAAAGCACTTTAGTACAGATTACCACTTTTAACATTTGTATCAACTATGTCAAATACGTAAGGACATTGTTCTAGTTCCCATTTTTTCAGATAGAAGAACTGAGAATCAGGGAAATTAAATTACTTGCACTAAATAACAGAGACTAAGTAGCAGATCCAGGGAATTTACCTAGTTCTTCAGACTCCAAAAGCAGTGCATAGAACCTGATTAATACTTGTGACTAGGGAAAAAAAATATTTGAATCATTTAACTCTGTGAGTTGGAATTTCTATGGCAATTGGACATAGGGATGGCTAAACTGAAGGAATCCTCTTGGACATCTGCCAGTAGGATGTTCAACATATGCTTGAGTTGATTAAGATGACAGAGTACTAGGTCATATGGGAACAGTTTTCAGGGGAAATACCAGAGACACAAGTGGAGAGGAAACTGCCTGAACATGAGGTTTTACAAAACGTGGCAGCAGAAGTGAGAAGGTGGTTTGGGTAGACGTGACCTTGACTTTCGCACTGTTTAACCCTAGCCCTCTCCCAGTCTCTAACCTTTTCCAAACCACGGTTTCAAAACACCACTGTCCTTTATCTACCTTTCAGATTCTGGCACTCAGGTGAACCCAATAACCTTGATGAGCGTTGTGCGATAATAAATTTCCGTTCTTCAGAAGAATGGGGCTGGAATGACATTCACTGTCATGTACCTCAGAAGTCAATTTGCAAGATGAAGAAGATCTACATATAAATGAAATATTCTCCCTGGAAATGTGTTTGGGTTGGCATCCACCGTTGTAGAAAGCTAAATTGATTTTTTAATTTATGTGTAAGTTTTGTACAAGGAATGCCCCTAAAATGTTTCAGCAGGCTGTCACCTATTACACTTATGATATAATCCATTCACACATTCATTTATTCATTTATTCATTTATTCATTCATAAAATGAGTGTTTAGTGAACATTTTTCTATGTGCCAGAGACTGCTGGAGAATGCTTTTGCAGAAAAACAGAGGGAGCATGAGCATCTGCTCTTCTTTTCTTTTCTTTTTTTTTTGAGACGGAGTCTTACTCTGTCGCCCAGGCTGGAGTGCAGTGGCACGATCTCGGCTCACTGCCAGCTCCGCCTCCCGGGTTCACGCCATTCTCCTGCCTCAGCCTCCCCAGTAGCTGGGACTACAGGTGCCTGCCACCACGCCTGGCTAATTTTTTGTATTTTTTAGTAGAGACGGGGTTTCACTGCACTGTGTTAGCCAGGATGGTCTCGATCTCCTGACCTTGTGATCCACCCACCTCAGCCTCCCAAAGTGCTGGGATTCCAGGCGTGAGCCACTGCGCCCGGCCACATCTGCTCTTATTTTCCGACAGCTGACGGGTGAAGTGCCTGTTATGGGCTGAATTGTGTCCCCTCAAATTCGTATGTTGAAGCCGTAACCTACAGTACTTCAGAATGGGAGTCTATTTGGAGATAGAACCTTATGAGAGGAAATTAAGTTGAAACGAGGACATTAGGAGCCTTAATTCAATCTGACTGATGTCCTATGAGGAAATTCAGGCAGGTAATGTGGCTCATGCCTATAGTCCCAGCACTTTGGGAGGCCAAGGCAGGAGGATCCCTTGTGTCCAGGAGTTCCAGACCAGCCTGGGCAATATAGCAAGACCCTATCTCTACAAAAATTTTTGTTAAAAAATTAGCCAGGTGGCCGGGTGCGGTGGCTCACGCCTGTAATCCCAGCACTTTGGGAGGCCGAGGTGGGTGGATCACGAGGTCAGGAGTTCAAGACCAGCCTGGCCAACATGGTGAAACGCCGTCTCTACTAAAAAACTCAAAAATTAGCCAGGCATGGTGGTGGATGCCTGTAATCCCAGCTACTCAGGAGGCTGAAGCAGGAGAATCACTTGAACCTGGGAGGCGGAGGTTGCAGTGAGCCGAGATCACGCCATTGCATTCCAGCCTGGGCAACAAAAGCAAAACTCTGTCTCAAAAAAGGAAAAAAAAAAAATAGCCAGGTATGGTGGCATACGTTTGTAGTCCCAGCTACTCAGGGGGCTGAGGTGGAAGGATCGCTTGAGTTTGAGGTTGCGGTGAGCTACAATCACGCCACTGCACTCCAGCCTGAGTGACAGAATAAGACCTTGTCTCAAGAAAGAAATTAAAGAAATAAGTAAAAGGATATTTGAACACACACAAAGACACCAGGGGTGTACGTACACAGAGGGCCGACCATGTGAAGACACAGCAAGAGTGTGGCCATCTGCAAGCCAAGGAGAGAGTCCTCAGAAGACACCAACCCTGCTGACACCTTGATATTGGACTTCCAGCCTCCACAATTGAGAGGAAATAAGTATTTGCTGTTTAAGTAACGCAGTCTGTGCCATTTTATTATAACAGCCCTAGCAAACCAATCATGCAGTACTGATGTCAGTATTTGATGTACTTTCTGTGTTTGGTCAAAAGGTTTTCCATTTCGTTCTGATTTATTACTTTTAGCTGAAAGCAGACTATGCAGCAAGATACACAAGAACACAAGATATCCAAAGAAGGCAGTGTTCTTGCTTAGGTCCAATAAATTACTTGGGCTTCTTGATATTCGTTCAGTCTTGGGCTGGCACCTCACCTCAAGGTGCACAGAGAGGGAGATTAGAGATGATTATTCTCCTGGTTAGCTGGCAAACAGAATTATATTCCTTGTCCTCATATCCCAATAAGTTTTTTTCTTTTTCTTTTTTTTTAGACGGAGTTTCGCTCTTGTCACCCAGGTTGAAGTGCAATGGCACGATCTCGGCTCGCTGAAACCTCTGCCTCCTGTGTTCAAGCGATTCTCCTGCCTCAGCCTCCCAAGTAGCTGGGACTACAGGCCTGCGCCACCACACCCGGCTAATTTTTTCTATTTTTTTTTTTTTTTTTTAGTAGAGACAGGGTTTCACCATCTTGGCCAGGCTGGTCTTGAACTCCTGATCTCATGATCCACCCGCCTCGGCCTCCCAAAGTGCTGAGATTACAGGCGTGAGCCACCGCGCCTGGCCCCCAATAAGTTTTTCTTTGGTTCAAAGTTTCTGTGTATGGATTGCCACCTCAAATGTTCCCCGATTTGTTCTTATTCTTTTTACTGAAGTTCCCACAGGTCACTTTATTTCTAGTATAGTAAAAATACATCATATTTACATCAGAGTAATGCATTGCTCTGGTATAGTGATCAGAATTACAATAAAGCTGGTTCCATCCATGACTACTTTTGTAGATTTTCCCAATATGACTTCCAACTTTCTGAGATTGTGCCCTGATCATCTTGATGCAACAGAATCATTTCATTTCTTCGGCCACTGATTTCTTCACTCTCCTTTAGGATGGGCTATTTTGAAAGAGCTGAACTTGGCCGGGTGCAGTGGCTCACACTTGTATTCCCAGCACTTTGGAAGCCCGAGGCAGGTGGACCACTTGAGGTCAGGAGTTTGAGACCAGCCTGGCCAACACAGTGAAACCTCCTCTCTACTAAAAATACAAAAAAATTTGCCAGGCATGGTGGCGGGTGCCTATAATCCCAGCTACTCAGGAGGCTGAAGCAGGAGAATCGCTTGAACCTGGGAGGCAGAGGTTACAGTGAGCCGAGATCACGCCATTGCACTCCAGCCCAGGCAACAGAGCGAAACTTCATCTCAAAAGAAAAAAACAAAAAGCCAGAAAGATCTGACCTCACCTTAACCACTGTAGGTAGAATTTATCAGTTTAACTCTTACAAATCAACTTAACCAATTCCTCTCATTTGCCCATCCCTATGAGTAGTTTTAAGCCTTGCTTGCAGATTATAATCAGAATCCTAGGGAGCTTTTTAAAAAATGCCTCACCCCAGATATCCTCATGTTTAAGTTTCTGGGATTGAGAACCCCTGATCTACATTTGCTGTTGTGCAATATCATTTCATACACAAGCTCAGCACTATGAGGTGGACACCTCCTGAGCAGATGGGAAAATTACATTTGATAGCCACATTAGTTTCCTGTTCCTGCTGTAACAAATCAACGCAAAATGGCTTAGAACAACACAAATTATTTTTTTCTTTGAGACGGACTCACTCTCACCCGGGTTGGAGTGTAGTGGCATGATCTCAGCTCTGCAACCTCAGCCTCCCAAGTAGCTAGGACTGGCATGCACCAACGTGCCCAGCTATTTTGTATTTTTGGCAGAGATGGGGTTTCGCCATGTTGCCCAAGCTGGTCTCGAACTCCTGGGTACAAGCCATCTACCTGCCTCGGCCCCGCAAAGTGCTGGGATTACAGTGTGGGCCACTGTGCCTGGCCACAAGTTAATTTTTTTTATAGTTCTGGAGGTCAGAAGTCCAAACTGAGACCCAGTTCTCTGAAGTCAGGGAGGCAGCAGGGCTAGTTCCTTCTGCAGGCTGTGAGAGAAAAATCTGCTTCCTTGACTTTTCCAGCTTCTAGTGGCCACCTATATTCCTTGGCTTGTGGCCACTTCATCTGCCTTCAGAGAGCGCCTCTCCAAAATCTCTGCTTCTGTGATCACACTGTCTTCTCTAACTCTGACTTCTCCTGTGTCCCTCTCATAAGGATCATTGTGATTACACCGGGCCCCCTTGGACAATCCTGACAATCTCCCAGACTCAAGATCTTTAAAATAATCACATTTACAAAGTCCTTTTTGCCATATAAGGTAACATTTGCAGGCTCTGGAGATTAGAGTGTGGGCATATCTGAGGGCCATTCAGCATATTACAGTAACTTTTTGTTTGTTGGTTTGAGACAGAGTCTGGCTCTGTCACACAGGCTGGAATACAGTGGCACCATCTTAGCTCACTGCAACCTCTGCCTCCCGGGTTCAAGAAATTCTTGTGCCTTAGCCTCCCGAGTAGCTGGGACTACAGGCACATGTCACCATGCCCAACTAATTTTTATATTTTTAGTAGAGACGGTGTTTCACCACGTTAGCCAGGTTGGTCTCAAACTCCTGGCCTCAAGTGATCCGACCTCCTCAGCCTTCCAAAGTGCTAGGATTACAGGCATGAGTCTGTAATCCTACGCCCAGCCCTTACAGTAACTTTTGACAGAAAGTATACAAGAGTAGAAAGATTAATCAGAATTTCATTGAATTCTATTTCATTTATTTCAAGATACCTAAGTTATAATGTAATATTGAAGCATGAAACCTAAAGTTATATACATAAAGCTTGTTTGATTGAGGAAACTCAACTAAGATATAAATGTGAAATTGTTTTGTTGATTTCAATACCTGCTACCGTTGGGGTCTGTGAAACCCTTTTTTTCCAGCGTAGCAGGTCTTCATTAATGAAATATTAGTCCAGTTCCACGATATTTGGGTCATTTTCAGTTACTGAAACACTTTTGACCAGGCATGGTGGCTCATGTCTGTAATCCCAGGACTTTGGGAGGCCAAGGCAGGAGGATCGCTTGAGCCTAGGAGTTTGATACCAGCCTGGGCAGCATAGCAAGACCCCCATCTCTACAAAAAAAATTAAAAATTAGCTCTGTGTGGTGGTGTGTGCCTTTTGTTCCACCTAGTCAGGAGGCTGACGTGGGAGGATCAGTTGAGCCTGGGAGGTTGAGGGTGTAGTGAGATATGACCATGTCACTGCACTCCAGCCTGTGCTATAGAGCAAGACCTTGCCTCAAAAAAATAAAAAATGTTTAAAAAACCAGTTTATTGGGGTTGGATATGATGAATAAAAAGAAAAAAATTAAAAAAACCTTTCAGTTATTAAGTTTAGAATTTAGAAATATAATACTCTATAATGAAAAAGTAATTTGTAATAAAATATATACTTGACGTGTAAATGTTCACTTTAAATGTTTGAATTATACTTGATTCAAAGCTCTCCCATTCCAGTGATAGTCAGGGGTGGTTTTGGATTCTCAACACTGACCAGCCATCAGTTTCCTCTCTGTGGCAATGGCCTAAAACTTGGCTGTTTCATGGGGTTGCATTGATTGGATTTTAGAGAGCTCTATGGGTGTTGGTCTCTGCCCAGTCCTTTGTCATAAAAATGGAACTGAGGCTTAAACTTTTACTCCATCCCCACAACCTTTTGCTTTTGGGGAATTCTCATCCAGCAGTCCCTTGTTGGGGGAAGGTCATGGGTGGTTACTTACAAGATGGTTTGTGTTCCACCCACTTTCTGAACTGTACTTGCGTCACCAAATGGTGGGAATGCCAGCTGTTTGCAGACACTCTGCCTAGCATCACCCTGCGCTCCTTTCTCACCAACCGGCAGCATCAGGCCTGGCTATCAGGCTCTCTGCTGGTTCAATGGCTCAGCAATTAGATTAGATGTAATCACCAGCTCCAGTTTTATTTGTGGGCAAAGATACTTTGGTCACATCTGATCCTGCAAGGAGGAGGGGGTACATATAAAATGCCCTGCCCTTTCCCAAAAAAAGATAAAGCAGATAGGAATCAGTAACATAAGGTCGGCATTCTCCCAAATGTACTCTCTTATCCTATCGCTAGCCTACTTTTGATAGTGAAAAACGTTCTTGTGTCTGATCTTACAAAACGGTGTCCCTTAGCAAACGCTGCAGGAAGGAAACTGAGCTGGAGTTACTCTGAAACTAAAATGTGACTATGGGTCCTGGTAACCAGGAAATAGGAAAGATCTCATCTACCACCTCTCATTTAGCAAGTTACACACACCATTTCTTCCTGATATTTATTACTAGATTTTCACCTTTTTTTTTTTTTTTTTTTTTTTGAGATGGAGTTTTACTCTTGTTGCCCAGGCTGGAGTGTAATGGCGTGATCTCGGCTCACTGCAACCTCGTCTCCTGGGTTCAAGTGATTCTCCTGCGTCCCACTCCCGAGTAGCTGGGATTACAGGCACGCACCACCACGCCCAGCTAATTTTTGTATTATTAGTACAGACGGGGTTTCACCATGTTGGCCAGGGTGGTCTCGAACTCCTGACCTCAGGTGATCCACCTGCCTTGCCTCCGCCTCTCAAAGTGTTGGGATAACAGGCGTGAGCCACTGTGCCTGGCCAAGACTCTCACTGTTTTGAAAAATAATGGATCTTAAGATAAACTTAATTTTCAATCTCTCTTTTTTTTTTTTTCCTGAGATGGAGTCTTGCTCTGTCGCCCAGGCTGGAGTGCAGTGGTGTGATCTCAGCTCACTGCAATCTCCGCCTCCCAGGTTCGAGCGATTCTCCTGCCTCAGCCTCCTGAGTAGCTGGGATTACAGGCGTCCGCCACCATGCCCGGCTAATTTTTGTATTTTTAGTAGAGATGAGGTTTCACAACATTGGCCAGGCTGGTCTTGAACTCCTGACCTCAGGTAATCCACCCGCCTCAGCCTCCCAAAGTGCTGGAATTACAGGCATGAGCCACTGTGCCTGGCCTCAATCTTATAAGGAATTCAAAAGAATAGAGAAAAGCCCACAAGCATATGAGAAATCTCATTATGGCACAGCACAAATTTGATAAGTGATATATCAAACCAAAGTATCCTTATAACAATTTTTTATTTTTTGAGACAAGGTCTCACTCTATTGCCCAAGCAGGGCCGTGATCTCAGCCTCTCAAGTACCTGGGACCACAGGTGCACACCACCACACCCAGCTAATTTTTTTTATTATTTGTAAAGATGAGGTCTAGCTATGTTGCCCAGGCTGGCATTAAACTCCTGGGCTCAAGTGATCCTCTTGCCTCAGCCTCCCAAAGTGCTGGGAGAGCAGACGTAAGACACTGTGCCCAGCCTATTTTTAATTTATTTTTAGAGAAGGGGCCTCACTATGTTGCCCAGGCTGCAGTGCAGCAGCTGTTCACAGTGTGATCATAGGGCACTACAGCCTCGAACTCCTGGCCTCAAATGATCCTCCCTCCTCAGCTCAGGAGTAGCTGGGTCTACAGGTTTATGTCACCTTGCCCGGCCTAATAATATTTTAAATTAATAAAGTCTCAACAACTTGAAAAAGAAGAATAAAGTTGGAAGACTCACACTTCCTGATTTCAAAATGTACCACAGAGCAAGAGTAACCAAGACAGTGTGATATTGGCATAAAAACAAACATATAGATCAGGCCAGGTGAGGTGGATCACGCCTGTAATCCCAGCACTTTGGGATGCCAAGGTGAGCGGATGGCCTGAGATCAGGAGATCAAGACCAGCCTGGCCAACATGGTGAAACCCAGTCTCTACTAAAAATACAAAAATTAGCCCGGCGTGATGGCACACACCTGTAGTCCCAGCTACTCGGGAGGTTGAGGCAGGATATCGCTTGAACCCAGGAGACGGAGGTTGCAATGAGCCAAGATCGCACCACTGCACTCCAGCCTGGGCAACAGAGCAAGACTTCATCTCAATAAATAAATAAATAAACAAATGTATAGATCAATGTAATAAGCAAATTCAAAAATAAACATTCACATTAATAGTCAATTGATTGTTAACAACTCAATAGGGAAAGAATGGTCTTTTTTTATTTTTATTTTTTATTTATTTATTTATTTTTTTAAGAATGGTCTTTTCAACACATGTTGCTTGGACAGCTAGATAACCATATGCAAAAGAATTAAGTAGGACCCCTATCTAACATCATATAGAAAAATATATGTATATTTTTTAAGTCACAGAAACTTTTATTGGGAAGGAATGAGCTGTAGTAAAGTGACAACCAGTGCATGTGACCAAATGGGTGAGGTGGGGGTACAGGTGGGCACCAAGGGCTGGTCCAAGACCAGAGCTGGTGACCGCTGGGGCCTGATTGTGGGGCCTTGGGCCATAGGCCCTTTGGGCTGGACTGCGTGGGCCAGCAGAAATACAAAAATAAACTCTGGGCCGGGCGTGGTGCCTGTGCTGGGATTACACCTGTAATCCCAGCACTTTGGGAGGCTGAGGTGGGCGCATTGCCTGAGGTCAGGAGTTCCAGATCCGCCTGGCCAATGTGGTGAAACCCCGTCTCTACTAAAAATACAAAAATTAGCTAGGCGAGGTGGCAGGCACCTGTAATCCCAGCTACTCGGGAGGCTGAGGCAGGAGAATTGCTTGAACCCAGGAGGCGGAGGTTGCAGCGAGCCGAGATTGCACCATTGCACTACAGCCTGGGCTACAAGAGCGAAACTCTGCCTCAAAATAAATAAATAAATAAATAAATAAGTTGCCTTTTGAACCCCTGGGGTCCTCTAGCCCATTTCCTCCCTTCCTATCCCTTCCTACCCCTTTCCCGCTTCCTATCCCTTCCACATCTTCCCCCCGGCCCCCAACACTACACCTGACTAATTTATTTTTTGTTTGTAGAGACTAGGATCTCACTATGTTGCCAGGCTAGTCTCGAACTCTTGGCCTCAAGCAAATCTCTGGGCTCAGCCACCAAAAGTGCTGAGATTATAGGCATGAGTCACCACATCTGGCCATAAATTTCTTGAATTTTATCCTTCTACTGTGGTTATATAAGTCAATATTCTTGTTCTAAGAAAACACAAACTATTTTGGGATGAAGTGTTATCTGAAATTTACTCTCAAATATCTGTTTAAAAAGAGAAAATATAGAATGTTAAATGAAATGTGGCTAATGCTAACAATTGTTGTATCTAGGTAAAATGTACACACAGGTTTATGAGCTTAAGCTTGCAACTTTATGTAGTTTGAAATTTTTTTAAAAAAAGTTTAAAGTAAAACAAAAAATGTTGAGTGAACAGCAAATAGAGAAATTAACAGCGTTAGCCTGGGCAACACGGTGAAACTCTGTCTCCTCAAACAATACAAAAAATTAGCCGGGCATTGTGGCTCATGCCTGTAGTTCTAGCTACTCAGAAGGCTGAGGTGGGAGGATTGCTTCAGCCCGGGAGGTGGAGTTTGCAGTGAGCCAAGCCTCACTACACTCCCAGCCTGGGCAACTGAGAGAGACCCTGGCTCAAATAAGTAAATATAGAAAAAAAACAACTTTCATATATTACAACCAGTTGAAAAATGTAATGGCAATATTTTAACACACCATAATATAATCTGAAGAGGAAGATATCTGTAGAAAGTACGACTTGGGCCAGGCGCAGTGGCTTACGCCTGTAATCCCAGCACTTTGGGAAGCCGACACGGGGAGAGGTCAGGAGAATTGCTTGAACCCAAGAGGCGGAGGTTGCAGTGAGCCGAGATTGCACCATTGCATTACAGCCTGGGCTACAAGAGCAAAACTCCATCTCAAAAAAAAAAAAAGAAGAAAGTACCGACTTGGCTTAGCTGACTTCCATCTCGGATAAGCCACTTCTTATGTAACTTTGAGCAAGTTCACTACTTTTGTGCTTTTTTTTTTCTGTAAAATGAAGACACCGAAAGTGACCTATCTCAGAAGTTTTGAGGTTTAAATAAGCTAATGCACGTAAAATCCTTAGAATAATGCCTAGCACTCAATAAATGTAAACTGGGAGCATAAAGATTCAGGGCAACTTGAACTGATGCTCTCAGCAGGAAATACATGAAAGGAAGATATTATTATAGAAAGGTTTAAAAATATACCTAAATACTAGCCAGGCGCGGTGTCTCATGCCTATAATCCCAGTACTTTGGGAGGCCAAGGCAGGCAGATTGCCTGAGGTCAGGAGTTCGAGACCAGTCTGGCTAACATGGTGAAACCCTGTCTCTACTAAAAATACAAAAATTAGCTGGGCGTGGTGGCACACGCCTGTAGTCCCAGCTACTTGGGAGTCTGAGGCAGGAGGATCGCTTGAACCTGGGAGGTGGAGGTTGCAGTGAGCAGAGATGGCACCACTGCACTTCAGCATTGGTGACAGAGCGAGACTGCATCTCAAAAGAATACGAAAGGACATGTGACATGTAGAATTAATGTTTTCATTAATTTACAAATTTAACATGATTGCAATAAAAATAAGTTGCCTTTTTTAACTAGTCAGTGATTTTCAAGCTCATACAGAAAAATAATAAAAGTTAGCTTTGCTACTAGGAACGATTTGTAAGTTATAACAAATGCTCTGCCGGGCACAGTGGCTCATGCCTGTAATCCCAGCACTTTGGGAGGCTGAAGTGGGTAGATCATCTGAGGTCAGGAGTTCGATACCACCAACATGGTTAGACCCTATCTGTACTAAAAAATACAAAATTATCTGGGTGTGGTGGCACATGCCTGTAATCCCAGCTACTCAGGAAGCTGAGGCAGGAGAATTGCTTGAATATGGGAGGCAGAGGTTGCAGTGAGCTGATATTGCGCCACTGCCCTCCGGCCTGGGCAACAAGAGTGAAACTCCATCTCAAAAAAAAAAAAAAAAAAAAAAAAAAAGAAATATAACCAATGCTCAATCTGCCCCACATTTGTCCTTGCTGGTAGACCATGTTAAATTTAGTTCTTCAGTGGGGTAACTTCTGATGACCAAACTTGGCAGTGTGGTCCTGCACTCCAGCCTGGGCAACAAAGTGAGACCCCATCTCAAAAAACAAAACAAAAACCACAAAGAAATCACTGGATAGCATCTTCTTGGGTTATTACATATCATGCAGATATCCTTTCCAATTCTCCCTGTGATATTATAAAACATATTTGTTCTTAGTCACCATTTCCTGTCATATAGCTCCTAAAATCTTCAAAATCTCTGGAGTGATAACTTTTGTATGCTAATGGTGACTGCTTTGCTGGGGGCTCCAAGATACCCTCAGGATGTGGGCAGGTTGCCAGGAGAAACCACCAAGTGATTGGAGGGTTGAAAGTTTCACTCCCATTCCGGGACCTCCAGGGGAAGGGACAGGGGCTGAAGGTTGAGTTGATAAACCAATGGCCAGTGATGTAATCAATCATGCCTACCTAATGAAGCTTCCCTAAAAACACAAAAGGAGTTCTGAGGGCTCCTGGACAGTTTCACACTCCTTAAGGGTGGTTCACCCTGCTTGTCTTTTCTCCTATACCTCGCCCTATGCATCTCTTCCATCTGGTTATTCATCTGTATCCTTTGTAATATCCTTCACAATAAGTAAGGTGTTTCCCTGAGTTCTATGAGCCACTAGAGCAAATTAATCAAACTCAAGCAAGGGGTCGAGGGAACCCTGATTTGTAGCTGGTCAGTCAAAAGCACAGGTAAGACAACCTGAAGCTTGTGATTAGCATTAGAAGTGCAGGCAGTCTTGTGGGACTGAGCCTTCAACCTGTAAGATCTGGAGCTATTTCCAGGTAGACAGTGCTGGAATTGAATTAGACACCCAGCTGATATCTATGGCAGAATTGCTTGCTTGGAGGCCAGGTGCCGTGGCTTACACCTGTAATCCCAGCACTTTGGGAAGCCAAGGCAGGCAGATCATCTGAAGTCAGGAGTTCCAGACCAGCCTGGCCAGTATGGTGAAACCCTGTCTCTACTAAAAATACACAAATTAGCCAGGCGTGGTGGCAGGTGCTTGTAATCCCAGCTACTCAGGAGGCTGAGGCAAGAGAATCGCTTGAACTCAGGAGGCGGAGGTTGCAGTGAGCTGAGATAGTGCCATCACACTCCAGCCTGGGCTACAAGAGCGAAACTGTCTCAGAAAACCAAACAAACAAAAAAGAATTGCTTGCCTGGTGTGAGGACCCCTGCATATTTCCTATCAACAACGTAGTAAGCTCCACTTCTGTTCTACCTCCTTCCAATTTTCACATCTCTAATGGGAAGTTGATATTTGCAACTATCTGTGCCTGTGTTTTCCAATCTCACCCAAATGTACAATGAAGTTTCTTCCCAGTGGGAAGATATAAAATATTAGAATGCCAGATATTTACATTCTAGAAATGTAATAAAACTATTGTTCATCTAATTGTTAGTAAGAAAAAGAATAAAATCAAGAACAATTTTTAAAAGGTACTCAAATGTCAACTTTATTGTTTCTATATAAACACTTTTGTACTGAAAACTGTAAAAATAACAAAGTTTGCTGTGATTGCAATCCAAATTTTTGAAAGCCAGAAAATCTAATTATGCTATAGCCCAACTACCTAATGCTTTCTTTATCCATAAGTAACTTTGCTTCAATTTCTTGATGTTGGGTTTCATCTCACTGACTTTGGGCTTCTAAGACACATGGGAATACTTATATCATCTTGGCTTCTTTGGGTCAAATCAAACAGTAGAGCTAAAGTTATTCAAATACATTCAGATTACACAGATCCCTTATGAATTACTAGTATCATAGTAGGAAGAAAAAGATACAAGAAAAATACATCCTAGAACTCATTATCAAAATTATTGGTGTATAGTCTATACTAGCATAGAGTAGCTTTCTCAACCTGCTATATAAAATTACTACCAAGAAAAAAAGGTGCAAGAATAAGATTTATGGCTGAAGTGGCTTGGTGTCTTGATTCCCTATTCTAGCATTCTCAGAAGGATCCCATCCATTAGACACGCAGAAACTGCAGGGACATTTGAATGGTCTTGATTCCTTCTGAAAAAAAATGATGAAATGGATTAATTGGAATATTGTACCCCAGAGAAATGTAATAAGCCCTCAACTATAATGTTGTTTATTTTGGTAAGTGTTGGAACAGGGAACACACACAAAAAAGGACACACGGGCCAAAAGCAAAACATTTTAGGAGAAAAAAAGATCAAAATATGGGTACCACAGAATGGCAGCTTGTGGGTCATTTTGTAATGGTAACAAGTGCAGACTGTCAATAAAACATTCTAGTCTCCGTTCTCTGAATGCCTTAAATGTAACTCATTCTGCTACTAGACACTCTGCTGAAGTGTTTGTCCTCTTACTATACAGTGCTACCGTGAAGATATTTGTGACAGCACGTGAAAGTATCAACCTAACACCAAGAGTGACCCCTAGTGTAAACTATGAACTCTGGATGATAATCCTGTCAGGGTAAGTTCATCAGCTGCAAAGTGTGCAATTCTGGTGTGTGACGTTGACAGTAGAGGCGGCATGTGTGGGGTGTGGGGGAAAGGCTATGAACATAAAACTTCTCTGAAAAATAAAGAATAAAGAATATATTTTTAAAAACTACAAACATGAACTGACTTATCCAGAGTCCCTGGGGATTCAGAAAGTCCAAGCAAATTCCCTAATTCCCTATTCCGGCAAAAGGAAACAAACCAGATACCCATCCACATATATAGCCAAAAAAAAAAAAGGAAAATAAAAAGAAAAAAATTATACTTACCTTAACTCCCTTAGGCTCCTTGTTTGTTGGTCTTCTTTCATGCTTCATGGGAAAAAAATATGTTTATTGAAAACTATCAAGAAAAAGATTACTAATATTACACATCTATATAAGGGAGAGAAGCTAGGGAATTTGTTGAGACAGGGTCTTTCTCTGTTGCCCAGGCTGGATTGCAGTGGAGCAATCATGGCTCACTGCAGCCTTAACCCCCCAGGCTCAAGTGATCCAGCTGCCTCAGCCCTCAGCCACCCACCCCACAGCAGCTGGGACTTACAGGCACGCACCACTACACCCAGCTAATTAATTTTTTGTAGAGATGGCTGATTTTATTAATTTTTTATATTGCCTAGGCTGGTCTGGAACTCCTTGAGCTCAGGTGATCCTCCCACCTCAGCCTTCCAAAGTGCAGGGATTACAGACGTGAGCTGGGAGTCTTTTTTTGAGACGCTTGTTTTGTTCTTGTTGCCCAGGCTGGAGGGCAATGGCACAATCTCGGCACACTGCAACCTCCGCCTCCAGGGTTCAAGCAATTCTCTAGCCTCAGCCTCCCAAGTAGCTGAGATTGCAGGTGCCCACCACCAGGCCCAGCTAACTTTTTGTATTTTTAGTAGAGACAGGGTTTCACCATGTTGGCCAGGCTGGTTTCGAACTCCTGTCCTCAGGTGATCCACCTGCCTCAGCCTCCCGAAGTGCTCAGATTACAGGCCTCAGCCACCGCACCGGGCCTAGAGCTAGGGAGTCTTAATTAGGTCTTAATTTATGAGTGTCACTCTCCGGAATTGGACAGCCCCGGCCACATCACATCAACATACCGTACGAACTCCGCCGAGTAACATGTATCTCAATCTTGCCATCTTTTCTCTCTGCACAGACAGCAATGTTCTTACTCCTCTCCTGCTGTAAAGCCACTCATCTTCGATTTCCCTGAGGACTGCTGCTCCTACAGACTCTCGACGGAGTAAAGCTTCCGATAGAGGGGAAACAGATTCGCTACTAGCGTTGATAGTCAAGTTACTAAGGTTCTTTATCAACGTCTCGGAGGAGATTTGAGAGGCCCCTGAAAGAGAAGGTTAAAAGCCATTACATTAAGGGGATCTTCAACATTCACACATCAACTAGGTCTGCCCTTAAGCAGGGGAACAGGGCGCTGTGTGGGAAATTCCTCAGGGTGGAAGGTCACAGTAAACAACGCACAACCTCTAGTCTTTTCTCAAAAATCGCAAAGTTAGCCCAGCGCGGTGGCTCACGCCTGTAATCCCAGCACTTTGGGAGGCCGAGGCGGGCAGATCATAAGGTCAGGAGATCGAGACCATCCTGGCTAATACGGTGAAACCCCCTCTCTACTAAAAAATACAAAAAATTAGCCGGGCGTTGTGGCGGGCGCCTGTAGTCCCAGGTACTTGGGAGGCTGAGGCAGGAGAATGGTGTGAACCCAGGAGGTGGAGCTTGCAGTGAGCCGAGATCGCGCCACTGCACTCTAGTCTGGGGGACAGAGCAAGACTCCGTCTCAAAAAAATAAATAAATAAAAATAAAAATAGAAATAAAACTACAAAATTAGCCAGGCGTGGTGGTGGTGCATGCCTGTAATCCCAGCTACTCGGGAAGCTGAGGCAGGAGAATCGCTTGAATCCGGGAAGCGGAGGTTTGCAGTGACCTCAGGTTGCGCCACTGCACTCCAGCCTGGGCAACAAGAGCAAAACTCCGTCTCAAAAAAAAAGGAAAGTCAAGGCAGGAAGAAGTCACTTGTACAGGGGCACATGATAACACAGTTGACCCTTGAACAACACGGGTTTAAACTTTGGGTCCCACTTACGCGAGAATTTTTTCCAACCAATCACAAAATTCGAAATCCCCACACACACTGTTAACCTTTTTCACAAGGTTTCGCAGGGCCCACTGTGGCACTTGATCACTTACAGATTTTGGGGATGTCCTGGAACAATTCCCAGAGTATAACCGAGGGATGACTGTAATCCCTTGTTTTCTAGACTGTTATTATTATTATTATTAAGACGGAGTCTCGCTCTGCCTCCCAGGCTGGAGTGCAGTGGCGCCATCTCGGCTCACTGCAAGCTCCGCCTCCCGGGTTCACGCCATTCTCCTGCCTCAGCCTCCCGAGCAGCTGGGACTACAGGCGCCCACCACCATGCCCGGCTAATTTTTTTCTATTTTTTAGTAGAGAAGGGGTTTCACCGTGTTAGCCAGGATGGTAGACTGTTATTTTTTGAGACAGGGTCTTGCTCTGTCACCCAGGCTGGAGTGCAGTGGCACTATCATGGCTCATTGCAGCCTCTACCTCCCAGGCTCAAGGGATCCTCCCACCTCAGCGTCCAGAGTAGCTGGCGCTACAAGCGTGTCCCACACGCTGCCCTGAGCTAGCTTTGTTCACTTACACTTAAGAGATCCACTGAGTATCTCACAAGCATTACCTACCGTACATTCTGTGGAATCTTGTGAAAGAGACAAGAAAAACCCATATACTATTTTCTCCCAGAATCCTCATCCTTAAGCAAAACTGGGCAGTCGAAGTAAGTGGCTGTTACCCTCTCCAGTTAGCCCTAATTTAGTTGCCCAGCTCCTTCATGGTATTAGATCTCTTCACTCAAACTCTATTTTGGGAAATCAACCACTCATTCTCGTCTCTCCCATCCGAACTGTGAGGCGTATCCCATACATACGCATATCTCATACAATAAGAAGGTTATCGTTAACTGCCCGTGTATGTGTGTTTTGTTTTGTTTTTTGCCCCCTATATGTGAAAGTATTAAACAATATCAAAGTTCGAGATCGATTCTCAAAGTCTAGGGACCTGTGCACATAGAAACGAGGATCCTTTGTGGAACTGTGAGGTACTAAGGCAGACGCAAGGAAAGGGAGAGACTGGGGGTACGTTCATTTTTCTTTCCCACTCGGATATATAGACCAGCATTCTTTCTTCTGGACGCAGGGGACACAGCTAAGACCAGGCGCAGAGGGCGTCAGCGCGCCAGCGGCCCAGTTCCCAGACCTCCCAGCATCGGGCAGTCGAAGGTGTTGGCTCCAGGGTTTCTGCCGCCACCACCCTAGACACCCAGCCCCGCTGTCAGGGTCATAAATAAGACTTCAAACCACGTGGAGGGCCTCTGTGGCCAAGCCCGCGCTTGGGTGCTGCTGTAAGAAAGGAGTTCTCCACCGGAAGACCCGGCCTATCAGGGAGCAGAATTACCCAAGCAGTTTCTAGATAAGCCGCCCTCCGGTGGAGGTCCTGCTACTAATTTACATTACGGAGCACGTTTACGGCCTCTCCCTTCCATTTTCCCAGTGAAGCTGTTAGTCTGTTTATTAACATTTAGCTGGAAAGCCTGTCTCAAAAATGTTGGCTTAGAGCCCGGACTCGGTGGCGCACGCCTGCAGTCCCAGCTACGCAAGAGGATGGACTGAACCCAAGTGTTCGATACCAGCCTGGGCAACATGGAGAGACCCACTGTCAAAAATAAAAATAAAAATAAAAATAGGACGGGCGCGCTGGCTTACGCCTGTAATCCCAGCACTTTGGGAGGCAGAGGTGGGCGGATCACGACGTCAGGAGATCGAGACCAGTCTGGCCAACATAGTGAAACCCTGTCTCTACTAAAAATACAAAAGATTAGCCGGGCGTGGTGGCACATGCCTGTAATCCAGCTACTTTGGAGGCTGAGACAGGAGAATTGCTTGAACCCGAGAGGCGGAGGTTGCAGTGAGCCGACACCGCGCCACTGCACTCCAGCCCGGGCGACAGAGACTCCGTCTCAAAAAAATATATAAATAAAAATAATGTTGGCGAGAGATTAAGAAAAACTTTAGGTTCAACTGAAGTTAAAGTTTCTCATATTGTTTCATTTTTTTTCCCTATCTTTTGTTTATTTGGTCTCTGTATTTGTTCCTTTTTACCGTTCCTGACATGTATTTGCTGTTGGGGAAGATACTGATGCAACGACGCTACGAGCCGCGTTCTGTGATTCCAATTATTTATCCCCAGAAACTGGTCTTAGAAATCTGAAGTACTGGCCGGGCGCAGTGGCTCAAGCCTGTAATCCCAGTACTTTGGGAGGCCGAGGCGGGCGGATCACGAGGTAAGGAGATCAAGACCACCCTGGCTAACACGGTGAAACCCCGTCTCTACCAAAAATACAAAAAAAAAAACGGGCGCGGTGGCGGGCGCCTGTAGTCCCAGCTACTTGGGAGGCTGAGGCAGGAGAATGGCGTGAACCCAGGAGGCGGAACTTGGAGTGAGCCGAGATCGCGCCACTGCACTCCAGCCTGGGCGACAGAGCAAGACTCCGTCTCAAAAAAAAAAAAAGAAAAAAAAAGAAAGAAATCTGAAGTACTCCTAAGCATAGTGAATAAAATAATACATTTCTCACCACCACCATCACCGCTTTTAATAAAGTCTTTGACCTCTCTGTGTTGACTCCCTCTGGTTTGAGGTTTACCTAAATACATTCCTCTTGCAAAGACTGAAGTCAACATTAAAAAAAAAAAAAAAAAAAAAAAAAAAAAGACGGCAGCCTTTTGACCTCCCAACCCCCCTATAGTCAGATAGTCAAGAAGGGCATTATCTGGCTTACCTGAATCGTCCCGGGAATTTTCTTCGGTGAGCATTTGTGGAGACCCTGGGATGTAGGTTGGATTAAACTGTGATGGGTCCATCGGCGTCTTGACACAACACTAGGCTTCTCCAGGATCTTTGAAACGTAGCAGAAACTGATGACAGAGCCTCAAATTGCTACCAGGTAGCCCGGAAAGAGGCTGAAAACCGGAGCTCCAACGAATGGTCAAAGAACTGACGTAAACTATAGGTCCGGCTTCCTTTTAAAATACAGATAAGCCAATCTTCCAGGATATTTGAATGTTAATGATCCCATGATTAGAGGATTAAGGGATCCAAATGATTAAAGGTGAATGGGTGTAGTTTAGACTCATAGGGTAGTTCTTCATCTGCTTTGCATTAAAATAATCTGTCGGATGTCATATCTGCTAGAAAATTTATTAAAATCCTCTTTTTGTGGTTCTGTCTCCCTGAGGTTGCCTTACATATAAGTTGTTTTTTTCTTGTTTTTTTTTTTTTTTTTTTTTCCCAAACTCTACTCCTGGAGATGGCTTCTGTTTTGTGAACTGGGCTTAAGTGTTCTAGTGCAGAGGAGAATGGCAGTTTTTACCGCCCCCGCCCCACCACCACCACTGCCCATAAACTCCCAATTAAGCTGAGAAAGTTTCCTTTAAGTTTTCCTTGCTTCAATCATCTTAAACCTTTGCTGCTACTAAGAAGAGAGGAATAATGAAGAAGTATCTGTTATGAACACTTTCATAGCTTGATATTTTAGGGACATGTATTTTTTATTTGTTAATTTGCTTTATAAACTATAAACAGTACCTAACATTTCTGAGCAGCTGAAATTAACTAACCTTACAAATTGCTACTCCCTCCCCACAAAAAAATGCTTGTATTTGTAGCAAAGCACAACAACATTTAACCACTGATTGTCTGCAGGAGGTGGAAGAACAAGTCCCCAGCTGCCCCTCTCATCTTTTTCCCGTCTTATTCAAATACGCACGTTCCCCCATTCCCTCTCTAGGTGGAAACCACGAGAAAATACTCAAAGGCAACCTTGTTTGGGTTTGGTAAAAAGCAAAAATTGAAGTTATGATTAAGAAATATTTTCATAGAGAATGAGCAGCCATAGGCATAGATCATGTCCCAACACTTTATGCAAGTGATTCTCAAAAGTGTGGTCTCCAGGATCGCTTAATCACCCAGCAGTTAAAGGCTGCAGTGACCTATGATCGTGCCACTGCACTCCAGCCTGGTAGACAGGGCAGGACCCTGCCTCTTGGGAAAAAAAAAAAAGTGCAGTTTACAACAAGCACCTAGTTAACTTAGATATACAAATTCTGAGCTCCAAACCAGCCCTACTGAATCAAAGACTGGCGCCCAGTGGTAATGCTTTAACAAGCCTCCCAGGCAATTCTGCATTTAGCCAGAAGACCCAGAAGTGATCCCCAGGTGATTCTGATGGGTGCTCAAGTTAAGCAGCCCTGCTTTACGGCACTGTGAACTTTCTACTTCTGTTGTTCAGCTCTTGGCTAATCTCCCTCTTGCCTGGGGAATCTCTGATAATCAGTCCGCAAGAATTTCACTGGAGAGATAAATACAAAAAAATCCCATTGCAGGGGGTTTAGGATTAGGAGGTGAGATAACAAAAAGGGCTGAAATAGACTCTCATTTGTAAAAAACCTAGGCTGGGCACAGTGGCTCACGCCTGTAATCCCAGCACTTTGGGAGGCTAAGGCAGGTGGATTGCTTGAAGCCAGGAGTTCGGGACTAACCTGGCCAACATGGTGAAACACTGTCTCCACTAAAAATACAAAAATTAGGCCAGGCACAGTGGCTCACGCCTGTAATCCCAGCACTTTGGGAGGCCGAAGTGGGCGGATCACAAGGTCAGGAGATCAAGACCATCCTGCCTAACACAGTGAAACCCCATCTCTACTAAAAATACAAAAATTTAGCTGAGCGTAGTGGCAGGCGCCTGTAGTCCCAGCTACTCAGGAGGCTGAGGCAGAAGAATT